>NC_000007.14:137506779-138131779 GCF_000001405.40 Homo sapiens | reverse complement strand
GTGCAAATCATTTCACAATGTATAGGTATATCAAAATATCACATTATATACCTTGAACATATACAATTTTTATATGTCAGTTATACCTGAAGAAAGCTAAAAATATAGGGGAAAAAGCCACCTATGGATTCTTAGCCACACATGAATAATGTTAGGCAGAGATTTCTGAAACAGAAAATCTCCAGTAAGAACAACTGAAGAAAAAAAAAGAAAATATTTAAAAAATTATTTGAGATATAGCCAAGTTTAGTGATGAAATCAAGGTTAGATTAACCAAAAGATTACATAACTATACCTAGGGGATTGTATGTCCATAGTTTCTAGTCTTAGATTATTATTTATAAACATAGTAATTATGAATTTTGGTCTAAATCTTTAGTAAATAAGTTTTTAGACAAAAGGCAACAAAGAAACAAAACATCCCAACAAAGTCTCAGATTCTTCTTCTTCTTTTGTGTAGGTGAGATCTCACAATGTTGTGCTGGTCTTGAACTCCTGGCCTTAAGTGGTTCTCCTGCCTCGGCCTCCCAAAGTGTTGGGATTACAGGCATGAACATCATGTCTGTCCCTTTTCTTCTGATATATATTATAAAAATAAAACAAAAATACATTACTTGTATAAAAGCATGACTAAGCTCAAATTATTTTTGCATAAAAAAGTCTACAAATAACAGAATCTAGCCCTCATGTCGTTTTCCAATAATCTTCAGGATATACCACTTTGCAATCACTGGGAACTAAACAAAGCTGAAGTTTCTTTGCTAAGAAAGTTAGTAAATGCCACAAATAAGAGAAGTCATAATATCCTGGTTTCTCTGGAAGGAGGACATGAATTGAGAAGCAGGTGAGAACCTCCTGGAGTGCTGGAAATATTTTATCTCTTGATCTGGGTGTCAGTGACATGGGTGTTGGTATGGTTTGGATCTGTGTCCCCCCGCAAATCTCATGTCTAATTGTAATCCCCAATGTTAAAAGGGAGACCTGGTAGGAGGTAATTGGATCATGAAGGGGTGGATCCTTCATGAATGGCTTGGTACCACCCCCGTGGTGCTGTTCTAGTGATAGAGTTCTCATGAAATCTTGCTGTTTAAAAGTATGTAGCACTTCTCTCCTGCCCTCTCTTGTTCCTGCTCTGGCTGTATAAGATGAGCCTGTTTCTCCTTTGTGTTTTGCCGTGATTGTAAGTCTCCTGAAGCCTCCCTAGAAGCTGAGCAGATAGCCTGCATCATGTTTCCTGTACAGCCTCTGGAACCATGAGCCAATTAAACCTCTTTTCTTTATAAATTACCAGTCTCAGGTATTTCTTTATAACAGTGCAGGAATGAACTAATACAAAAATTGGTACTGAAGAGTGGAGCATTGCTATAAAGATACCTGAAAATGTGGAAGTGACTTTGGAACTGGGTAATGGGCAGAGGTTGGAAGAGTGTGGAGGGCTCAGAAGAAGACAGGAAGATGAGGAAAAATTTGGCACTTCCTAGAGACTTGTTAAATTCTTGTGACCAAAAGGCTGACAGTGATATGAACAATGAAGTCCAGGCTGAGGAGGTCTCATATGGAACTGAAGAATGTATTGGGAACTGGGGTAATGGTCACTTTTGCTATGCTTTAGCAAAAAATCTGGCTGCATTGTGCCCCTGCTCTAGGGATCTGTGGAACTTTGAACTTGAGAGTGATGATTTAGGGTATCTGGTGGAAGAAATTTCTAAGCAGCAAAGTATTCAAGATGTGGTTTGGCTGCTTCTCACCACTTATGCTTATATGCATGAGCAAAGAAATGATCTGAAACTGGAACTTATATTTAAAACGCAAGCACAGCATAAAAGTTTGGAAAACCTGCAGACTGGCCATGTGGCAGAAAAGAAAAACCCATTTTTCAGGGGAAGAATTCAAGCAGGCTGCAGAAGTTTGCATAAGTAAAGAGGAGCCAAGTACTAACAGCCAAGACAATGGGCAAGAGGTCTTGAAGGCATTTCAGAGACTTTCGCAGCCACTTCCATCACAGGCCCAGAGGCATAGCAGGACTGAATGGTTTTGTGGGCCAGGCCCTGGGCCCCACTACCCTGTACAACCTTGGGACCCTGCTCCCTCCATCCCAGTCACTCCAGCTCCAGCCGTGGATCAAAGGGGACCAGGAACAGCTTGGGCCTCTGCTTCAGAGGGTGCAATCTGTAAGCCTTGGTGACTTCCATGTGGTGTTAAGCCTTCAGGTGCACAGAATATAAGAGTTGAGTCTTGGGAGCTTTTGCCTAGACTTCAGAAGATGTATAGAAAAGCCTTGATGTCCAGACAGAAGCCCATTGCAGAGGCATAGCCCTCATGGAGAACGTCTACTAGGGCAGTGCAGAGGAGAAATGTGGGGTTGGAGCCCCCACAGAGTCCCCACTGGGGCATTGCCTAGTGGAGCTGTGAGAAGAAGGCCACCATTCTCCAGACCTCTGAATAGTAGAGCTACTGACAGCTCACACCCTGAGCCTGGAAAAGCTTCAGGCACTCAATGCCAGCCCTTGAGAGCAGCTGAAAGGGATGAACTCTGCAAAGCCACAGGGGTGGAGCTGCACAAGGCTTTGGGGGAACCCTTCCACCAGTGTGTCTTGGATGTGACACATGGAGTCAAAGGAGATTATTTTGGGGCTTTAAGATTTAATGACTGCCCTGCTGGGTTTTGGACTTACATGGGGCCTGTGGTCCCTTTATTTTGGCCAATTTCTCCCTTATGGAACAGGAGTATTTACCCAATGCCTATATTAGGAGTGACTAACTTGTTTTTTATTTTACAGGCTCGTAGGTGGAAGGGACTTGCTTTGTCTCGGATGAGACTGTGGACTTTTGAGTTAATGCTGGAATGAGTTAAGACTTTGAAGGACTGTTGGGAGGGCATGATTGTATTTTGAAATGTGAGAAGGACATGAGATTTGGGAGGGGCCAGGGGCAGAATGATACGGTTTGGATCTGTGTTCCACCCAAATCTCATGTCAAATTGTAATCCCCAGTGTTGGAGGTGGGGCGTGGTGGGAGGTGATTGGGGCATGGGGGTGGATCCTTCATGAATGGTTTAACATCATTCCCTTGGTGCTATTCTCTTGATAAGAGTTCTAATGAAATCTGGTTGTTGAGAAGTGTGTGGCACCTCCCCAACCCCCACTGCACTCCCTTGCTCCTGCCTGGGCCATGTGAGATGAGCCTGCTTCTCCTTCACCTCCCGCCATGATTGCAAGTTTCCTGAGGCCTCCCCAGAAGCTGAGCAGATGGCCAGCATCATTCTTCCTGTACAGCCTGTGGAACTGTGAGCCAGTTAAACCTCTTTTCTTTATAAATTACCCCATCTCAGGTATTTCTTTATAGCAATGCAAGAATGGAATAATACAGGTGTGTATATATGTAAAAAATATCACTGAGCTGTACATTTCAGATTAGTGTACTTTATGTACTTTACTGTGAGTGTGTGTATTTATATATACTCATATATATGTATAACAACATAAATTACAAATAGTTTAATATGAAGGCAAAATTCTTTATCAAGGGATGTGAATTCAGTAGTGCTCAGTGTGCACAGTCATCTATTTTCTGTGGGCATCAGGGTGATTCATACAGTTTTCAATATACTTTGTTACCACAAATTTGTAGAGTAGGTAAGGGCCTGTCATGACATTAAAGGTATTATTGTATTCCTGCCACAGCTCATTAAAGTCTCACACTTCGTATTTTCTCTAAGATACATTAAGAAAAATTATCTAAAATTTGAAAGTGGATGAAAAAAAAATGTGTCGACTTTCAGTGTTGTGGGGATTGTCTAGCAGGCTTCCTCAAGGACTGATTCCCCTCAGGGGAAACTTTGTAACTTTTTTTGATTTGCTGTTAATTATTTGTGGTATAGGGTTCCTAAGACCACCCTCGGGTTCAATAATTTGCTGGAAGGAACCACAGAACTCAGAAAAGCTGTTCTACTCATAGTTATGGTTTATTATAGAAAAAGAATTTAGATTTATTATCCAAGGTAAAAGGACAATATGGCAGAGTCCAAGAGAGAGACCAGGCACAAATTTCTACTTGTTCTCTCTCAGTGGAGTTGTATAGATAGTGCTTAACTTTTCCAGCAGTGATGTGTGACAACACGTAAGTAGTATTGTCAACCAGGGAAACTTATCTAAACGTTGAGATCCAGCGTTTTTTGTTTTTTTTTGTTTTTGAGACGGAGTCTCGCTCTGTCACCCAGGCTGGAAGCAGTGGCACGATCTCGGCTCACTGCAAGCTCTGCCTCCCGGGTTCATACCATTCTCCTGCCTCAGCCTCCCGAGTAGCTGGGACCACCAGCACCCGCCACCATGCCCGGCTAAGTTTTTGTATTTTTAGTAGAGACAGCGTTTCACCATGTTAGCCCGGATGGTCTCGATCTCCTGACCTTGTGATTCGCCCGCCTCGGCCTCCCAAAGTGCTGGGATTACAGGTGTGAGCCACCACGCCCGGCCCTAGATCCAGGGTTTTTATTGGGGGTCAGTCATATAGGCTTGGAGTGCCCACATAGCTGACCTTAGTTACTCAGTCTCCAGCCCTTTGGAGTCAAACTGACATCATGTAGCCACCTGCCTCCCCACCCCCCTTCATAAATCACATTGTTAGCATAAACTGTCTAGTGTGGCCCAAAGCCCCAGATAAGCAAAGACATTCTTCTCAGGAATGACATTCCAAGGGCTTAGAGGTTATCTCCCAATAAGTGGTTAATGGCCAGACCTTTCTTTGGAAGGTGCAGGGTTTGGATTTCCCAGGTCAGCTGAGTGAACTGTTTAATAGGGTAATTTACAATTTTGTAAGAGTAGTTATTAACTAATAGAAACCTGGTAGTGATGAAAATGATTCTTGTCCAATAACAATGCAAATGGATCTTTTATTGTAGAGATATAAATTATTAAATCTGGTAGAAAAGATAAACTCAAAAGTTATATAGTTGTATTGCCTTTCAGAAGGCTAAACTGGTTTGGAGCTAAATGAGCAATTTGATCCAAGCATCCTTTCTTTCAGCTGCTGAAACATTTTACTTTCTCCAATTCTCTTGGTATTTCTCTTACCGTTTTTCTGTTTCCATCATTAATGAGATAATTAAATCACTGGTATGTACTCATTTTGTATTTACATAAAAATCATATTTTTGATTTTTTTTTTTTTTGAGATGGAGCTTCGCGCTTGTTGCCCAGGTTAGAGTGCAATGGCGCAATCTCAGCTCACCACAACCTCTGCCTCCAAGGTTCAAGTAATTCTTCTGCCTCAGCCTTCCCGAGTAGCTGGGATTACAGGCATGCGCCTCCACGCCTGGATAATTTTGTATTTTTAGTAGAAACGGGGTTTCTCCATGTTGGTCAGGCTGGTCTCGAACTCCCAACCTCAGGTGATCTGCCTGCCTTGGCCTCCCAAAGTGCTGGGATTACAGGTGTGAGCCACCATGCCCGGCCTGATTTGTAAAAAATTATACTTTGACAGTTTCTTCTCATTTACACCCTCTGATAGGCAGCAACCTTCTTAATTTTCAGTGCTGATGGAGATTTCTACTATATCATTTTTTTGGGAATCTGAAGTGAGGGAAGCAGGAAGCTAAAACCTAGTACTCCAAAACTCCTGTCAACCTAAAATAATCAAAAGGTTCAGAATCTAATTTAAAGAGAGTTTATTCAAGCTCAAACAGTGAGGACGGACCACCCAGAAACACCAACTCCAAAGGAATGGAGTCAGCATTTTGAAGTAGGGAAGTTAAGATTTCATTTATTTAGACAGAGACAGAGATTTTAGTGGGATTACAACACTATTTACACAAGGTTGGTGCATAGTTACAGCAATTTGATTGGTTATAGGCAGTGTTTCCTTTTGGGAAGGGGACATTTAACACTTTTCACAGAGGGTGTAATAGTCATGCGTTTTTTGTCATCTGGTCTAAGCAAAGTGAGGCAGCAAAGGGGAAGTGAATCTATGACCAGGGCCATTAATGAAGAAGGCAGGAGGCATTTATCTGTGGTGTAGTTGAATTCACTCTAGTCATTGTGCAGAACAAGAAAAATAAGAAAGTGAGTTAATCTATCTGAGAACAGAAGTTGTAACCATGTGTGACTCAGATCATAGTCACATCTCACTCAGGGCTTAATGTGTTCTGGGGGGGGTTCCAATAGCTTTTAAATTTTATTTATCTCCACGCCCTGAAAGTCCCTGTTGCAGACATCTCTTATTTTGCCTGCTTCTTGGGGCAACGTATTTCTGGTGATTGAGGCAGGATTGTAGTTCCTTATGATTCCTTTCTCCTTAGTGCTGCTCTTGTTCCACTCGCTCCTACCCTCTTGCCTTTCCATCCCCCTCCCACTGTCTCTCTCATTCCTCTCTTGCTTCTTCTCTGCACAGGGATGAGTTTATGTCTCAGGCCCTTCCATTCAGTCTGCCCCAGGCCATCACCATTGGTTCCAGCATGATGCATGTTGGCCAGTCAGAGTTCTTCCCAGGATTACTTCCTTGACAGAGCTATTACCAAAGACTCTCACTCTCTTCTGGGTTCCTAATCTGAGTGAAGGAGAGTGTTGCTGAGAGCTATCTTGCCTGCTTTCATGCCTGCTGTCTGGAGACAGCTAGTCCAACGGGGTGAAAACAGTCACAAGTTGTAAACACACTGCTTGAGCCCTAGTTCTAGCTGCTTACAGCCACTTTACCCCTGCACTTCTTTGTTTCCAGTTCTGTGACAAAGTGAATTCACTATTTCTGCTTAAACTAGTCTGAATTGCATTTCTATTACTAGGAACTAATAACATCCTGATGGAAAAATCGCTATGTGGAAGTGGGGCATAACAAGTGAATACTCCTGAAAGTTAGAATTGACTGAGTTAATTTGGGTGAAGCATAATGGGAAACACAGTCCTCACTGGGAGTCTGGATATCTTTTCCACTATTTTATAACAATTCATATTTTTTCCAAATATGAGCAAATATTTTAATTAAACATGAAGAGAAAAAAACAGACTTTTAAAAGTATGCAGAAAAGGATAATTAACATTGGATCCCTTGTAAAAATGGAACCTCAGGGAGTCTAACAAAAATGCAACTTTGGCTAACTTTTGCTTTTTAAAATTCCTTGTTTGACTTCACCTCCCACTGCACAGGAAATGACAGCTTCTGGGAGACGGGTGGAGTTGCAGGAGTCCCCAGGAGCATCAAAGGGTTCAGGGGTTGTATTCTAGCAGTTTCTTTCTTTTCTTTTTTCTTTTTTTTGAGTTGGAGTTTCACTCTTGTTGCCCAAACTGGAGTGCAATGGCGTGATCTCGGCTCACTGCAACCTCCACCTCCTGGGTTCAAGCGATTCTCCTGCCTCAGCCTCCCGATTAGCTGGGATTACAGGCATGTGCCACCATGCCCAGCTATTTGTTTGTATTTTTAGTAGAAACGGGGTTTCACCATGTTAGCCAGGCTGGTCTCGAACCCCTGACCTCAGATGATCCGCCTGCCTCGGCCTCCCAAAGTGTTGGGATTACAAGTGAGCCACCGCAACCGGCTCTAGCAGTTTCTTGATCTTCTCTTTCCTGGTCTCACTTTCATCTCGCACTATCACCAAGGAGTGTGAGTAGCCTATGGAGACCTGCTTTGAAAAGATGCCATTCAGAGTCTTCACCTCTTGGGCTGCAGTGGAAGACTTGGGCTCATGGTCCCTGTATCCCAATTACCTAAAGGTTGGTTATGGCCCTCAGCTGATGGTGTTCTCATTGGCGGCCACAATGTTGCTGCTCTTCCCACAAGCCAGGCTCTGGATTCTGCAGCCGCAGAGGTCCTGCACTGCTTTCAGGTACATGGAAGATTCATGGGAGATATTGGGCTCCCCCAGAAAAAGAGACTACCAACTTCACAGACAGCAAAGGACCAGGTGTAACCAACATGGATCTGGGATGCCCCACACCCAAGGAAGTCAGACTCCAACCTCACCAAGCGGGGACCATCTCATCCTTCTGCTCTGAGTGGCCCAGTCAACCATAGCCACCAAAGCCCCAGGAGAAGACTCATTTCTTGGAGTCCAGAATCAATGTGTGGTTAGCATTACAGGTCACGTCTTACACAACCGTTATTGGCTGGTGGGTTCTTGACCCTTAGTAAATAGAAATAGACCAAGAATCTGAGATGGGCTTGAGCAAGGCAGTTTATTGGAGCTCTCAGCTTGAGCAGAAGGGGAGGTAGCAGCAGGAAGAGACCTGCAGCTAGCTCCCTGACTGCAGGTTAGTTTGGGGTTTCATTTGCTTTGGAGCTCCTCCATGTGACATCATTGCATGTTTGGGGTGGTTTGGCAGTTGCACCTATGCAGTCTCTGGACATGCTTCTTCATGTGATGCATGTCTCATTAGCATCTTAAATCTCCACCCAGGGGTGTGCTTTTTACTACTGAAATGAAGCAAAGGCCAGGTTAGGACAGGCTAGGACATTACTGGGCAAGTGCATTGGGGAGCATCTTTTGCAAAGTGCCCACTGTTAGCCAAGATGCTTGTGCTCAGAATACTCTGTCTCAGATTTGATTGGTCTATTTTGTGAAAGGAAACGTTTGTGGTTGTGTGGCTGCAAGGTTGAATGTAGCTTCAGTCAGCACAGCATGTAAGGGAAATGGGGAGGGGTCCCTGCCTTGCTCTGGGGGTCTCACAACCACCTTTGGTACAGGCAGAATCTACCCATCTTTCATTCTCAGTGAAGGTGGGCCACTCATCGTGGCACCAGCACCAGCTCACAGCCTTAACTATTCACTGTGCCTGGGTCCCAGCTGACCACATTGAGGGCACACGAAGGAACAGAGGTCTCCTTTGTCGCCCATTATACGGAATTCATTTCCACTGGCCATTCTAGTAATTGGCTGCCCGTTGTCCATGATCTGTGCGGTGCTGGGGATGCTCCTGCGTGGTTGCTGAGGCTCAGCTGCCCCATCTTGTTCTCCCCAAAGGCAAACGCAGAGCCCGTTTCCGTCAAGGCCAAGGTGAGGTTCCGCCCACAGGCTGCCTACATACTCACTTCCCGGCAGAGACCCGCAATGAGTCTGGGGGCTTCCATTCTCTTGGTGTCACCAGGTCCCAGCTGCGCCTTCTTATTTTGACCCCAGCTCCGCAGCTTCCATCGTGTCGTGATGAGGATACTGTGCGCAGTGCGCAAACCCGAGACCGCTGTCCGCACCAGGACCCCGCCAGGCACCCACATCTATGGGGCCCCCACAAATTCTGACCGAGATTGAGGTAAGCAGCTTGCTGTTTAGGCACTTCTTTTCCACCCATCGAGTCCTAGTTGGTTGACCCCGAAATCAAAAACTGCCCCTTTGCACTTCGACCCTTGAAGTCTGATGCGCTCCTTGGTGTGCTCAGACTCCGCGACGACCGCGGCCCCGCCGCTCACCTTGTTCACATATGCAGCCAGCCACGCTGTGCCCTTGCCTCCGCCAGGGCCCCATGGAGCTGCCACAGCGCTCGGCCTCTTGGGCTTTCTGCCCGCACGCTGGGACCTCCACGCTTCCCGGGCCGCCTGGGGCCCCTGTGGTTACCGAAGCCCGGTTCTTCCCAGGCTACTGCCCAGTCTTCATCCTGGGCTTGTCTCTGCTGGTTGGAGTTATGAGAAACCAGACAGAAAAAGGAAGAGAAGTAACTGTTAAAAAAAGACGGATAGAAGGGCTTCCCCCTACACCCCTGTCCCTTCCTCTCCTCCCCAGCACCCCCCAGCACTCCCCACCAGACCAAGGCTCCAGCCCATTCACCAGATTCACTTAAAGTGTAACTTATATTTTGGAACTTGGACCATGTGTCTGCCAAGGCTCAGGCTTTGGTGCTGGGTTAGAAGATTGTGCTGGATGCTTCCTGTGGCCTTCGGTGAAGTCCTTCATAAAGGAACCAAGTTTTGGTTCAAGCCTGGAGTGCAGAAGGCAACGAGGGAAGAGAATGTGGCCTTATTAAGAAAGTCTGATCTGCTTTGAGCTGAATCAGGCAAGCACGTGCTGTGCAAAAGGAGAATTTTGCCCCAAGCTAGGCAGTTAGTACATCTAGGGAGGGCAGCCGGAGCTCAAGCCGAGATTCTGAAGAATCCAAATAGGAAGCCAGGGGGATATAGCTCCTGCCAGAGGAGATATGACCCAACAGAAAAAGCCTTTTACCAAAATGCCCTTTAGATGAGAGAGTAAGCCTATTAGTTGGGCATCACCCTCTCATCCTGTTTCTCATGAATGGGAGGCAGAGACTAGGGTGGAAGAAGCTAAAGTGAGAATTTGGGGATTTCATGTGTAGAGACAGAAACATTAAGGCTACTATTTGGATTCAGGGAGGATTCTGATTCAAGAAGAAGACATTGAAGTTAGCAGAAGCCTGAAATTTTGAGAGTTCTGAGAAATATCAAGTCTTAGAAATATGAGTTTGTTTATCTTTGTTAATCCCTATGACTGTGGCTTCAGAATGCACACACCTCAAAGTGTTGAAGGCTGAAGACAGGATCATTGCCTATGCCCCTCTAATGGCCTCTCCTGGTGCTGTGTTGTTACTGTGGACGGAATGACAATGCCTGAAGGAGGCCCTCTTGGAGAACTGTCAGGGATAAGAAACATTTTTTTTCGTGTCATGTGGGTAATGTGCTGATGTTATAACAAGGTTTAAGGGTGGCACGCCTCACACATGCACATGAACACTCAGTCATCACGCTCATGAACTACAAAAAGATCAAGAAACATTCCTTTTTTTTTTTGAGTGGAGTTTCACTGTGTTGCCCAGGCTGGAGTGCAGTGGCACAATCTCGGCTCACTGCAACCTCCGCTTCCCAGGTTCAAGTGATTCCCCTGCCTCAGCCTTCCAAGTAGCTGGGATTACAGGGATATGCCACCATGCCCATCTTATTATTTTTTTTTTTTTTTGTACTTAGCAGAGACAGGGTTTCCCCATGTTGGTCAGGCTTGTCTCGAACTCCTGACCTCATATCATCCACCAGCTTCGGCCTCCCAAAGTGCTGGGATTAAAGGCGTGAGCCATTGTACCCAGCAAAGAAACAGTCTTATCAAGAAACACTGCAGGTCCAGAAACATTCTGTGCACTGGGCCAGGATGTCCTTGCCGCTCCAGCCCGGTATGTTTCTGTGGACCAGTGAGCATGGCATGCCGTGGGTCTCCTCTCCTTTTTCAGGCAGGTTGCATCACTATTGACGGATCTTTCTACATAGCTGATCAGAGGCCATTGATAAGAAAAATTGATTTGGGTTAACAAACATCTTTTTGGGGTTGCGTAAGTCCCCAAAAGATCAAGATTATTGGTTGTCAATACTTGGGCTCAGTAAAGCATTGATTTGGCAAGGCCATTTTTACAGCCGATGTTAACTGGAGAGACAGGAAATCCTTACTGAGGGATGGTGTTTTCTTTTGTAAAACTGCTATAACTAAGTACCACAAACTGGGTGGCTTAAAGAACAGAACTGTAGTGTTTCACAGTCCTGAAGGCTAGACGTCTGAGATAGAGGTGTTGGCAATGTTGATTCCCTCTGAGGGCTGAGGTGTAACTGTTCCATGCTTTTTGCCTGGTTTCTTGTAGTTGTTGGCAATCTTTGTCATTTCTTACCTTGTAGAAGCATCACCCTGATCTCTGTTTTCGTCTTCACATGACATTCACCCTGTGTGTTGTCTGTGTCCAAATTTCCCTTTTTTATGAGGACACAGTCTCATTGGTTTAGGGTTCACCTTACTCCACCCTACCCCAGTATGATCTCATCTTAATTAATTACATATGCAGTGACCCTATTTTATTTATGTTTAAGAGATGAGGTCTTGCTTTGTCATCCAAGCTAGAGTGCAGTGGCATGATCATAGCTCACTTCAGCCTCAAACTCCTAGGCTCACACAGTCCTCCTGCCTCAGCCACCCAAATAGCTGGGTGCTATGTGTGTGCACAACCAGCCATGTGTACACAACCATATCCAGCTAATTTTAAAATTTTTGTAGAGATAAGGTATCACTCTGTTGACCAGGGTGGTCTCAAACTCCTGGCCTCAAGTGATCCTTCCACCTTAGCCTCTCAAATAGCTGAGATAACAGGCAAGAGCCACCACACCTGGCCCTATTTTTATATAAGATCACATTCTGAGGTACTGGGGTCTGGGCTTTTTAACATATGAATTTTGAGAGGACACAGTTCAACCCATAACAGATGGGAAGCTTGAGAGGGGTGACAGTGGAGGGAGAAGGAACATGCAGAAGCTTCCATCAGACTGTTGTTCTTTCCTGACCTTCCTACTTTCTGTCTCCAGATCTTTTTCCTCCATCTCTGTTATGACTAAGAGAGGATTTCGCTCCCCCAATTTTTAGAAATACCTTTTCGCTGACAAATGATGGGACTCTTTTCCAATGTCTGTCTTTTAAAAATGCTTCGATAGGTGTTGTTTCCATTCTCACCTCTACACTAATACCCTCAAAGTATTTTTAAGGACTTTCACAACAGGGACCAGGACTCAAGTTTCTGCTCTTTCATAATGGTACCACCTTTTTCTTCTTCCTTCCTCCCTCCGTCACTCCTTCCATACCTCCCTCTCTGCCTGCCTCCCTCCCTCCCTCCCTTCCTTCCTTCCTTCCCTCCTTCCTTCCTTCCTTCCTTCTTTCTTTCCTTCCTTCTTTTTCTCTTTTTTTGAGACGGAATCTTGCTCTGTCGCCCAGGCTGGAGTGTAGTGGCATGATCTCGGCTCACTGCAATCTCCGCCTCCTGAGTTCGCGCCATTCTCCTGCCTCAGCCTCCCGAGTGGCTGGGACTACAGGCGCCCGCTACCAT
This sequence comes from Homo sapiens, assembly GCF_000001405.40. Classification (NCBI taxonomy): domain Eukaryota; kingdom Metazoa; phylum Chordata; class Mammalia; order Primates; family Hominidae; genus Homo; species Homo sapiens. The sequence continues at coordinate 138,119,003 of NC_000007.14, read as the reverse complement.
GCCCGGCTAATTTTTTGTATTTTTAGTAGAGACAGGGTTTCAACATGTTAGCCAGGATGGCCTCGATCTCCTGACCTCTTGATCCGCCCGCCTCGGCCTCTCAAAGTGCTGGGATTACAGGCGTGAGCCACCGCGCCCGGCTCCCTCCTTCTTTTTCTTTCCCCTCCCTCCCTCCCTCCCTCCCTTCCTTCCTTCCTTTTTCTTTCCCCTCCCTCCCTTCCTTCCTTTCTTTTTTCCTTCCTTCCTTCCTTTTTCCCCTTCCTTCCTTCAATCTTTCCTTTTTTTTGAGACAGAATCTCACTCTGTCACCCAGGCTCGAGTGCAGTGGCACAATCTTGGCTCACTGCAACCTCTGCCTCCCCAACCCAAGTGATCCTCCCATAGCAGCCTCCTGAGTAGCTGGGACTACAGGTGTGTGCCACCATTCCTGGCTAATTTTTGTATTTTTTTTTTTTTTTTTTTGGTAGAGATGGGGTTTTGCCATGTTGTTCCAGGCTGGTCTTGAACTCCTGGGTTCATGCCATCCACCTGCCTTGGCCTCTCAAATTGCTGGTATTATAGGCATGAGCCACCACATCCCCTTTTCTTTCCTCTCTTCCCAGTGCTAAATGTACAGCAGGATTAAATCAAAGGCCTTTTAACTGGCTTCAGATGATTCTTCCCCTGCCCCAACCTTAGAAACAGAATGGAGATTCATGTGATGCAACAAATCATTATACTTTATTATTTCTTGTGAACAAAATATTTTCCAGAGGTCAGTGTTATAAGTAATAATATTGGAATCAGTGAAAACAATCAGTATAGACCAAATTTTTTAAAATGATAATTTCTCAAAAATATATGTCTTGAGGTCATTGAACATTATCTATAAGCAACTGATCTTGGGAAAACATAATTTTTGAAGAACTCTCTCATCCTATGACAGTATGACAGTGACCTAATGTGAATGAATAAAATATATTTCTTTTCTTTTTTTTTTGTTTTTGAGACGGAGTCTCGCTCTTTCACCCAGGCCGGACTGCAGTGGCGCTATCTCGGCTCACTGCAAGCTCCTCCTCCCGGGTTCATGCCATTCTTCTGCCTCAGCCTCCTGAGTAGCTGGGATTACAGGCCCCCGCCACCGCGCCTGGCTAATTTTTTGTATTTTTAGTAGAGACGGGGTTTCACCTTGTTAGCCAAGATGGTCTCGATCTCCTGACCTCCTGATCTGCCCACCTTGGCCTCCCAAAGTGCTGGGATTATAGGCATGAGCCACCGCACCCGGCCAATAAAATATATTTCTGTAGTTGAATTGAAAATAGATATATCTCTATTGCTGAATTCTAATAATCTTATTCACTCTTTAAATTGTACATACAGGAAAATTACCAGAGTTCTTTTGAACTTGCTTTCTCAAAATTCATATAAAATTCTCAAAATTCATATAAGCTATCCAAGTAACACTATTAAAGTCTTAAGTACAATAATCTTATAAAGCACCTTGTTTCAATATATCTCCCAAGTTAAGAAGAAAAGCCAATATATGGCTTCTCTTTTACTATTTTACAAGGCAGGGTTTTATTTGTATATGTTGGTTGTTTCAAGCCTTTTCACGTAATAGTGGTTCTATAATCAATGTAGGCAAGATTGACAGTAAGATGTGTAAGTATGGATCAGCAGCCATGTTGAGACTCAGGCCCTTTAAGGATGCAAGAGAGATCCAGTTAAGTTTTCATTCCTCAGGTTGGATAAAAACTAAACATACATACATTGGAGGGAAACAAACACCAACATTATGATGGCTTTGTTGACCACTGTGGTGTTTAGCTCTATTTTAAGACTTTTCTACATGTAGCCCTCTCAACTCAAGGTGCAGCAAATCACTTCCTTGTTAATAATGTGTGTGTGGATCTTATCTTGGCTGTGTCTGTTTTGTAACCAATGGTCCAAAGCCTCAAGGCCACTGCCAGCACACTGCCACATGCACTTCGTTGTCCTGTTAACCCTTAAAGAACTCAGATTACCAACGCTACTACCCAGATTCATAAATTACTTGTTGTCATATGTTGCCTTTGATGTCTTTTCTGAAGTGTAATTTTTTTCTGTCTGGAATCTAGAAGATACTGATCTGAAAAAATTAGTTGATAATTTCCTAAGAGTTATTTCAACAGATTTTAATATTTTTACTTCAATGTGACTGAGTCAAAGTCATTTACACTGCACAAACATTAAACATGTTTCCATCATTATTTCTTCTCAGGATGGTAAAACCCTCTCTCTTCATTTTCACATCTAGGGGACTACCCATTGCACCGTCTTGGCACTCGTGGGAGTGAAAAATCTGTTCAGGAACTCCCTGCAGTCAGTATTCATCATGAAATGGGTATTCAGGATGATCGCGCCACCTGCCAAAACAATTCCCCCACAGAAAAAAGTTCACTCAAAAATTGCACAGCTGTATGTTTCAATAGCATCCTTTGAGAATTTCACTGACCACTACCCCTCTCTCCTATTCATTCCTCTGCTGTTTCTTACCTACTTTCCTCTTCTGTTTTCCCTCAAGCCAGCACCTTTTCCTGAAGCTCTGGACAGCCTCCTGAATGTGAGTGTGTTGAGGGAAGGTTGGTGGCCACCTTATCAACATTTTACTCAGAACAGAATCCCCAGTGGTGAATCATGTCTTAGGCATGTCATGTGCACATGCCTCTTCCCTACTCCTTCCCCCTTTCTGTTCCCTTGACGCTGGCTGCCTCCTTCTCCAATCCACTACATGGGCATTTCTCTTCAAAACTCTTATTACCAGTGTCACCCTCTGCTGATTAGCATTTTTTTCTTCTTTTTTTTACAGATGGAATCTCACTCTGTCACTCAGGTTGGAGTGCAGTGGCATGATCATAGCTCACTGCAGCCTCAAACTCCTGGGCTCCCAAGCAAGCCTCCTGCCTCAGCCTCCCAAGTAGCAGGGATTATAGGTATGTGCCACCACGGTTGCCCAAGCTGAACTCCTGGGCTGAAGCAGTCGCCCTGTCTCGGCCTCCCAAAGTGCTGGGACTATAGGTGTGAGCCACCACACCCAGTCTCATTAGCATTTTTACTTGCCCCTCTCACTAGACCTCCTGCGTGTTGAGAGTTTGAGATCTAGAAAGGTGATGAGTAGCAAAATAAGTTTGCTGGATGATTATGACGATGATGATGGCAGTGAATTTAGCTCTTAAATAACAATGATGAAATGGTCTGTAAAATGTCTGGAATGTGTGTGTTCCTGATTTAGTTTTCTGCATGTACTGTAAATTAAAATGGAAAATATTAAGATTTTCAAATGTTAAAAATCAACTTGATAAAAGCTGAAAAAAATCATGGTCCAATATCTCTAAATGATACAGTATTTGTGATTAATGGGGCCTAATTCTTGTTCCACCTTGCTGATTTTTCTAGTTATTTCCTGGTAAGAGTTATTTTTTTTTCCCCGAAGTTGCTAGAATTGCTTTTAAATATGTCAGATGTCAAACTGAATAATGTCACCAACTGTCTGTAAAACAATTAGTACATTGGTGGATTGATTATACTGTTTTTGTTTGTTTGTTTTTTGTTTTGTTTTGAGACAGGGCCTTGCTCTGTCTACCAGGCTGGAGCGTAGCCTTAGCTCACTCAAAGTCTGGGGTCCAAGTGATCCTCCCACCTCAGCGTCCTAAGTAGCTAGTACTACAGGTGCATGCCACCATGATGGCTTATTTTTAAATTTTTTGTAGAGATAGGGTCTTGCTATGTTGTCCAGGCTGGTGTCGAACTCCTAGCATCAAGTGATTCTCCTATCTTAGCCTCCCAGAGTGCTGGAATTACAGATGTGAGACACTGCACCTGGTTTCTCTTCTTAACTTAATGATATATTATTGATTCAATAGAAGTCATTTATCTTCAAGAGCTATTAATTAACCTATAACTGTTAGTTCTAGGAAAGTGTTATTTATGTGTTTATGTTTACTCTTTTGTTCTTGAGGTTGGGTGGTGGTGCCTTTTGATGTCAAACAATTTTCCCCCTGAAAAATTTCCATTAGGAAGTTGTTTTATTAATTCAGAAATTCAATATTAATCCAGTCACTGTACTTTCTGACCCATGAAAAACAGTAGGATCAGTAAAGTAAGTGTCCAAACTATATGAATCATCTTAGCATTTTCTGAATGTTCACTTAAAGATTCAAGATGAAGATGAATATTCAGGTGATTTGAAGAACTGGAAACATTAATAGAGAATGATTAAGAAGAAAAAAATGCATGTGTGTGTATATGAGTATATATATGTATATGTGTGTGTATATCTATACACACATATATAGCAAATATATTCTTTTTTTTTTTTTTTTTTTGAGATGGAGTTTTGCTCTTGTTGCCCAGGCTGGAGTGCAATGGCATGATCTCGGCTCACTGCAACCTCTGCCTCCTGGGTTCAGGCAATTCTCCTGCCTCAGCCTCCTGAGTAGCTGGAATTACAGGCAACTGCCACTACACCCAGCTAATTTTTGTATTTTTAGTAGAGACGGGGTTTCTCCATGTTGGCCAGGCTGATCTCTAACTCCCGACCTAAGGTGATCCGCCCACCTTAGCCTCCCAAAGTATTGGCGTGAGCCACCACGCCTGGCCAAAACTATATTCTTTTTTAAAGGGCCTGTAATATTTAGAGAATAAAGAGCTACTTCAGTTGGTTAGCTGAACTTGACATTTTGAAGGAGTATATGGAATTTTGCTTGTAGGAAGTCAGCTAATAGGTAGAGCTGGAAACTAAAATCTTAAGTATTTGTCTAAAAGTCTAAGTTCTTGGTTTCAATCTAGTGCTCTTTCTACAACATCATCATGCCTCTCCCTTAGAAATTTTTTTTTATAACTTTGCTCTAATTTGTGCATCACTTTCATTTTTAGGAATAAATAAATAAGTTGTTTCAACATTTGTGCTGCTGTTGTTTTAGCATATGTACATGATGAATTAATTCTCCTCAGGTTCCTTAGCCTGCATGCCTTCACCGAAGTCACAAAATGTCACAGATGCCAGGACTCTTCTTTTCAGTGAGAGTGTAGGGTTGTGGAAGGCCCTGTAGTGGATGTATTTCCCTCAGGCATGTTAACATTCAGAATATGCGGCCCACCATGCTTTGCCCTGGTGCTATGGACATAGGTCAGGGTTCTTATGAGCCTTGTTGCTTGACACATGACCATTCAATACCACTGGTCAATACCCATTAATGATCCCCGGAACTTACATGAGCAATTCTACAAAGCGGACATTTTTATTCAAGGCTTCAATGTCCTTCATTTCTTCTTCAGTGAGAGAAAAGTCAAAGATCTGAAATAACGGAAATAATAGAACATTTTTGAAGGTCAAGCTTGGGATCAGAAAGTGGGGCCACCGGTGGGAGCCTTCCAAAGATGTATGAATATCTCTGCAAATGTCTAAGAGGAGTCAGGCTGGTGTTGGGGGGCTACCCACTGAGGTGGAGCTGGATACTCTGTTCTGCCCTTTGTTTTTGAGACGGTCTTTCTGGGGACATCTTACAAGAAATTCCAAATGCTCTGAAACCACAAATGTTAATGAAATCCCCTAAAATTTCAAATGTGAAGAATTCTTATTTCTGTATGAAATGCTGGTCTTTTGATTCTGAACTACTGTCTTACACTTAAAAAATTCTGAGTCTCTAAATATGATTTTTTTTTTTTTTTGAGACAGGGTCTTACTCTGTCACCCAGGCTGGAGTGCTGTGGTATCATCTTGGCTCACTGCAACCTCCACCTCCTGGGTTCAAGCTAGTCTCATGCCTCAGTTTCCCAAGTAGCTGGGACTACAGACATGTTTTGCCATGCCTGGCTAATTTTTCAATTTTTGTAGAGATGGGGTTTCACCATGCTGCCCAGGCTGGTCTCAAACTCCTGAACTCAAGCGATCCTCCCACCTCAGCCTCCCAAAGTGCTGCAATTACAGGCATGAGCCTCACCACGCCTGGCCTAAATTTGCTTTTTAAAAAAACTTTTAATTTGCTTTGTTTTTAACTTTTAATTTGCTATGTTGAAATCCTTTCTCTCATTTTTTATGTCTCTTCTACCTTTTTATTCTAATTACATTTCCATTGTTTTATTTTTCTTAGATTTTATACTTTATTTATATTCTGGTTTTATGATTGTCCCTTATTAACATTTATATATATTTTTTCACTTCCTTTTATTTTTAACATTTGGATTATCTGTATATAACCTATCTTCTCTTTATTATTTTATCTTTCTATCCTTTAACTTTTAATATATTTAATTATTAATAGATTTTAATTATATAAGTAGTACATAAATATACGCTCTTTGCAAAGAAATGAAACACTGTAGAAGTACATAGACCCATATGGAATAAATAATGAAAATCTTGTCACTCATCACCCCATTCTTATTTCCCTTCCCAGATATTCCTCCCAAATACTACACACATTAAGAGGAAAATGCAGTAATTGGACCATATCTTTATGATTCTACAACTTTCCTTTATTCACATAATATCTTAGTGACCCCAGTGATAGTTCTATCACAATATGCAACCTGACTTTATTCATTTAGCCATGGTATTCATTGTGTAGATGGAACACGATTTACTTAATTATCCCTCCATGGATTCTTTCCAAGTACTCTTTTCAGGGAACCATTTTCTTTTATGATTTATTATCCAATTATTGGCATTTATGAGATTACATAAGGAATCAAAAATGTGCACAATATAAAAATGAATGAATCGCCTATAAAATGAATCCTTACTCAGACTTCTTTTTTGCTAAACACTAGTCCTCTCCTTTAAGTCTTGGAGGATCAGCCTCTTATCCAGTAAATATATGGAATAATCTAATGGCAAAGTGAGGTTGCAAACCTTGCAAAGATGCAGGATTTTATGAAATCAAAGAAAATGATCTTGGAGATTTGTTCTAATTATAGGTATGATCTTTTTCAAAGAAGAATCCTGCACAGTTAAAAATCTACTTTGATAGATATGTCAAAAGAGTGTGACTTGAAAAAAAAATTAAAGAATTAAAAATCTCCTTCAGATAAAGCCCTCCAAAATTTTTGTGATAATTATTCTCTTTATGAACATTCTGCAAAACTTTTGTGAAATAGAGGATGTCATGTTGTGGTATGTAATTTTGTCAAGCATATTTAAAAAAAATCAACACTGATTCACTGTTTCTTCTGAGTTAATAAACTTGCAATTGTAACCTACATTTTGTTGAGAATAGAAGTGAACTTACTTTCATAAACTTTGGTTTCGATCTTAATATAAGCTTTCAAATTCACCCTCTCTACATTATTTCTGTGTCATGTTTTTTCTTGTCGTATGTGGATTAATTTTCAGTGGTCTTTTTTTTCTCCCATGGCACAAATTATCCTAAGTGAATGAGGATCTCATATTACAAAACTGAGCTCCTGATAGTTCTTCTCAAACTGCTTCCCCTACAGTTTTCCCTTTCAGTAAATGTTTGAAGAAGGAGATATTGTTAACTGTATCAGATGTGGTTGAAAGACCAAGTGGGACAAGGACTGAGAATTACTGGATCTAGCAATGTGGAGGTCACTGGTAACTTTGACAAGGGCTGTTCCAGTGGGATGGTCAGGGTAAAAGTTTGGTTTGAATGGCTTCAAGAGATAGTGGGGGAAGGGAATGGGAAGCAGCGAGAACAACTTCTCTTTCCAGATGTTTGAAACAGAAGAGAGAAGTGGATAATACTTGGAGAGGAAAGTGAGTCTAGGTTGGATTTTATTTTTTAAGATAGGAGGTTACTACATATGTGAATGTTGGTGGGAGTTACACAGTAGAGAGGAACAATTGCTAGTGTAGGAAAGAGAGGGGGATGTTTGAAATTGAGGCTATGGAGGATTTATTAGGAAGTTGTTATTGCAATTTCCAAGGGCTAGGCATGGGAATTAGTGGCTGAAATATATAGGACAAGATTCTTATGGGAGAGGAAGTCAAAGAGCTGTCGGATAAGGGTGGAGAACGACTGGTGTGGATGTTGAATTCACTAAGAATTATGAGAGGAAGAGTGTTGGAGAAAGTGAAAGTGAGCCCAGAGATAACATCTTCAAAGAATGGAGGCCAGTGGATGATGGCAACAAAGCTGGACCACACCTGGTATAATTTCTTTTTTTTAAAATTTTAACTTTTAAAATATCCTGGCTCCGTATTAGCTTTCTTCATGTTTACCTTTAATTTTATCTAGTTTTTAAACTCATGGTTTTTTGTTTATTTGTTTTGAGACAAAGTTTCACTCTTGTCATCCAGGCTGGAGTGCTATGGTATGATCTCAGCTCACTGCAAACTCCGCATCCCTAGTTCAAGCGATTCTCCTGCCTCAGCCTCCTGAGCAGCTGGGATTACAGGCGCCCATGACCATGCCCGGCTAATTTTTGTATTTTTAGTAGAGATGGGGTTTTGCCATGTTGGCCAAGATGGTCTCAAACTCCAGACCTCAGGTGATCCACCTGCCTCAGCCTCCCAAGGTGCTGGGATTAGAGGAGTGAGCCACCGCACCCAGCCTAAACTGATGATTTAACTTAACTTTTTTTAATTTTAAAGCAATGGGATCTCGCTTTGTTGCCCAGGCTGCTCTCAAACTCCTGGTCTCAAGCAATCTTCCTGCCTCGGCCTCCCAAAGTGCTGGGATTACAGGTGTGAACCACTGTGCCCAGTCTTAACTTTTTACTACATAGTTTTTATTTTCTTTTGCTTTTCTTTTTTCATCAAAATATTTATTTTTCCCTTTATTCTTTATGCTTTATTGATCTTTGCCATTCTTTTAAAATATTTCTAACAGTTTATTTTACCTTCATTCTAAGAGAGCATAATTTATTATTTTGTTGCTCCTTGCTTTCATACCCAGCAAAATTCATGGTTATTGGGTGAGTCTATTCCCTAAAGAGTGAGAATTGGCTGTGATTTTCATTCTCATTTTCCTTCTAAATCTGTATCCGTTTTTTTCTTGGAATATGTGACCTCTGAGTTCCATTCTTTTATTATCAAGGCTATGGAAACATATGGAATATAACATAATTAGTTACAATGAAAATTTCAAGGAGAGTGGCATTTTCTCTGGTACAAAATTGCGATTTGCTAGATGCTATAAAGTCCAAATGCTTTCCATCGCAAAGGTCACTTGTAACACTCCTATAATTTTTGAACAGCAAAATTTTCAGTCCTCAAAAAGTCCATCAAAATGTGTTTTAATCTTCAATGAGCCTACACATTAGTAATGCAGTTGATCTCTTTCTAAGATTGTGGAAAAGAGTGTCAACCACTTTTTAGGATGAGGCATTTTGGCAAATGTTATTGTCAGGAGTTGATGTAACTATTCAGCATCTTTTCGCCTTTTTTCTTTTTACGAACTTTCCTTCCCCCTTCTAGTGGAGCTGTCTGTTAACTTCTTCAGCACAGGAATAGGGATATAGCCCTGGGGTCAGGGTATCCTACTCAGTGGCCACAGTGGGTAATATGAGGGTGACCTTCAGGAGCTAATCAGGGATTGATAGAGACCCTGATAGAAGACTTTGTTTCTGATCATCTTCACTCTTCACTGAGTATGAGTAATTGATTATCCTGGAGCTGTTAGGAATTGTCTGTGCCACCATGTGGGTGGAGAGAAAGGAGGGAGAGAGAGAGAGGACTAAATCTCTTTATAAATCATTTGAGTACCTGTGTCTAGCCATTTCTGATCTACTCATGGACTTTCCAGTTATGCAAGCCAATAAATTATCTTTTATTTTTTGCTAAAGTTTGAGTTGCATTCTATCATGTAGCAAAAAAGCTCTGAAGATGTAATTGTCTAATATTGTGGCTATCTTCCTATGTCAGTACTTGTATTTTTTAAATGGCTATATGATATTTCAGTGTACAAATATGTCATAGCTTGTTTTATAAAATCCTGTTGAAGATTGTTTTGAGTTTTTAAAAAATTACAAAGAATTCTATAATAAACATCTGTCTGTGTGTGTGCACCCATGTATATATGTGCAAATACATCTATAGGGTAAGACTGCTGAGTCAATGGATAAGTGTATTTGAATTTATTTAATTTGACAGATAACATTGTATGTTTTTATCATATACAACATGATGTTTTGACATACATATAAATTGTGGAGTGGTTAAATCTAGCTAATTAACAAATGCATTACCTCATATAGTTATCATTTTTGTGGTAAGAGCACATAAGATGCACTCTCTTTATGTTTTTCAAGAATACACTATATCATCATCAACTATAGACACCTTTTTGTACAATAGATCTCTTGACATTTGTTCCTTCTAACTGTAATCACAACTTTTTTGACCAACATCTCCTCATAGCACCCTCCCTTCAATAATCTCAGCCTCCGGTAACCACTATTCTACTCCTTACTTTTATGTGATTAACTTTTTTAGGTTCCACATATAAATAAATCATGTAACATGTACATTTGAATTTTGATGGACATGAAATAATTTAACCTACTCTTCCATATCTCATACAAATTAATGTTTCTAACAATAGTGTGTCAAAGCGCCTGTTTCCCCAAATATTACCAAGTATTTTGATTATTTTCTGATATGAAGGGACAACTAGTATCTTACTTTTTATTTATCTTTAATTATGAGTAGGGCTAAACAGGCAATTTACTTTTGAAATGTAAATTAGCTAATGGGTAATTAATTAATTTTGTATGGCACTTTTCTATGGTTGTGTTTACCTAGCAGTTTAGTCTTTAGTAGTAGCGGAATAAATGAATTACCCCTTTGTCTAGTTCTTTCTTCACTTGGAAGTTACAACGTAAGTCATAGATTACTTATAGAGGGAAGTAAAGGCAATTAGCATTCATGAAGTCTAAATGGTCCTCTTCAATAATTTTCAAATTTGTCCTCAACTTTTACCAGAGCCATTAAGAAGGTGGAAAGTTGACTATTATGAATTCCAAATTTTATTCACTCAATTTCTGTTGTGCTGGTAGAGAAGTGAGTAGGTAGTGTCAAGGGTCAATAGATAAGGGAAGAGGCTGGGTACAGTGGCTCACGCCTGTAATCCCAGAACTTTGGGAGGTCAAGGTGGAAGGATCGCTTGAAGACAGGAGTTCCAGACTAGCCTGGGCAATATAGCAAGACCCTATCTCTAAACAAACAAAAAAAAAATTTAAAACAAAAAATAAAAAGTAGATAAGGAAAGAGAAAATATAAGAGATCTGGATAGTGTACAAGTAGCAAAGCAATCTCTGAAGTACTAGCAATTGTCTCAAATTGAATGAAAATTAAACCTAGATATGGGCTACATGGGTCAAGGGGCTGGTATAAAATAAAATATGAGAGTGTTACAGGTTTCCTATTAAGCTGAACACATTCTATAAAAGCAAAAATAGCAAACATACCCATCTTTTCACATCTCCAAAAGCAATTCTCTTACCTGAAAATTTTCTTTGATCCTTTCAAGATTAAAGCTTTTAGGAATGACAACCACCCCTCGCTGGATGTTGAAACGCAAAACAATTTGAGCTGCTGTCTTATTGTACCTTTTCCCCAATGAGTTTAGAAGTGCATCCTTTAACAAAGGTGGAGAAGAAACATTCACCCTTAAAAATATCAAAACATGCATCATAATTAGTTTGCATAATGAGAACCAAAGGTTAATAAACCATCCTCCTCCTCTGTCTTCCCATTCACCCAGTCACCTACCAGGACACTGCAGGTCACCTGTAACCAGTTTCTCTGAGTGCAGAGTATGCACTGAATGGAGAGTTACTCGTAGTATGGGAAGATCAAGCAAGGCAAGTTTATGGAGCTGCCTCCTTCAGAGGGTAAATAATATTTTTTGATGAGTCTTATAGAGAGAGCTGGCATACAGGGAAAGGTAGGAAGACTGAAGTGGAAGAAATAGAGACACAACTTTTGGAATCATCTTAAAGTAGAAAAATTTCTACTTAAGTTTATGGAGCACATCATAGTAGAAGTATCACTATTGAATACAGAGATCAAAAGATTGAAAATTTGCAAAACATGGCCATAGAAACTCCTTTGTCAAATAATAATTAAACTAACTTTTACTGAGCATTCCTATATATCAGGCACTGATAGGCAATTTCATACCTATAATGTAATCAATTTTACAACAGCTCAGTCAGGAAAGTATGAAAAGTTCTAATTCATATATACAGATAATGACTTGAAGAGGTTGCACAGGCAAACCAAAAGGCATTCCAATCAAATACAGTAGTTCACATGAGCCTCACACTCTACACCAAAGGAAATGCTTCCTAAAGTTTTACTTACCAGATTGGATTCCTACTGGTCCCCAAAGGGCTATATGCAGTAATGACAATGTCATGTTGTTGGCAAAATTTCAAGAGTTTTGGCTGGGTGAAATACGGATGGCACTCAACCTATGTGGTTGCATTGGAGAGCAGAGCACAAAATCAAGGCCACGTTGTTGAATGCAATTGTACTGTTAAAAAAAATTCTTCAATAAAATCCATTTTATTAATAGAATCTCCTTCATACTATATACATTTCGTGTCCTAGTCTGTCCCTTCATATCTTGTTCATTTTGCTTCCTTAAAATGGATTCAAGAACATCTTTTGTTAAGATTTCACATAATATGAATGTCTTGTAACTTATTTAATCATCCCCTTAATTTTTTGTATTATGTTGTTTCCATTTTTTTCCATTATGAACAATGTTGTAGTAAACACACATCAGTCTATCTAGGCATTCTGATATTTTTTTATTAGCATAGATTGCAGAAATAAAGGACTGTGAACATTTTTTAAGGCCCTTGATACATATTGACAAATTGTTTTTTTAGTAAGGCTGAACCAATTTGCACTCACTAGCATTTAATCACTTGCCTACACGGGGGCATTATATTTAAAAATATTAATAAGACAAAAACTTTGCTAATTTGATGTGCAATAGAAAAATCACACTTCAATTTAAGTTTCTCTAATTAATAGTGAGTTTTTTTTCATGTGTACCAGTCTTGCAATTTGTCTTTCGTGAATTTCTGTTCATTCCTTTTACTCCTTTTTCTGTTGAGCCTTAGTGTTTTTTCTCATTTTTTTTCATTGATTTTCATTAGATTTTTTTTTGTTGTTGTTGTTGTTGTTAGACGAAGTCACACTCTGTCGCCCAGGCTGGAGTGCAGTGGCGCAATCTCGGCTCACTGCAACCTCCACCTCCCGGGTTTAAGCAATTCCCCTGCCTCAGCCCTGAGTAGCTAGGATTACAGGCATGTGCCACCAAGCCCAGCTAATTTTTGTATTTTTAGTACAGACGGGGTTTCACCATGTTGGTCAGGCTGGTCTCAAACTCCCGACCTCGTGATCGCCTGCCTCGGCCTCCCAAAGTGCTGGGATTACAGGCGTGAGCCACCGCACCAGGCCCCAAGTCCGTTTTTTAAAGTGACACCAATAGAAAGAAGTCTAAAGACTTGCACAGGGTCCCATGATGAGATTTAGGTGGAGCAATCATGAGCCTTCCTGACTCCCAGCTGAGGCTTCTTTGTGTCATGTAAATCCTGCCCCCACTCCCCACACCCTAGTGGAAGCTATTAGGCTGTACCTGGTTGCTGACTGGCTTGTGTTTGAGTCCTGGCTTGTTCAGGATGAGCTCCAGCTGCCTGCGGTTAAAATTGGACACTCCCAGGGATTTCACCAAGCCAGCGTCTTTGCAAGCTTCCATCGCCTGTAGAGTAAATGTCCACAGGTCAACAAACAAGCCTCACAAGAAGCAAGAATGAATGTTTATAAGGGTGACTGTGAATTCTTTAAAAAGGAAAGTTCCTGGGTATGTTAATAAGCATCTTGCGAAAAAAAGTAAAAGAAGGATGGTGGGAAAAGGCAGTAATTCTATGATTGAATTTGGAAAACATGTGTATGCCATATCTTCCCCTTGTATTTTCTCAAGGTATTTACCACACTTTAGTGATCCCAGGTAGGGCGCGATGGCTCACACCTGTAATCCCAGCACTTTGGCAGGCCAAGGCAGGAGGATCACTTGAGGTCAGGAGTTCAAGACCAGCCTGGGCAACAGAGTGAGACTTCATCTCTAATAAAAATCAAGAATTAACTAGGCATGGTGGTGCATGCCTGTAGTCCCAGTTACTTAGGAGGCTGAAGTAGGAGGATCCACTTGAGCTGGGGAAATTGAGGCTGCAGTGAGTTATAACTGTGTCACTGCACTCCAGCCTGAGCAACAGAGTGAGACCCTATCTCAATTAAAAACAATTTTTTAAAATGATCCTACTTCTTGAAATTTTTGGGTACTTTTTTTATGGCATAGTACCTGGGCACTTTTTTTTTTTTTTTTCCGAGATGGAGTTTTGCTCTTGTTGCCCAGGCTAGAGTGCGATGGCACGATCTCGGCTCACTGCAAACTCTGTCTCGCAGGTTCAAGCCTCCCAAGTAGCTGGGATTACAGGCATGCACCACCACGCCCGGCTAGTTTTATATTTTTAGTAGAGATGGAGTTTCACCATGTTGGTTAGGCTGGTCTCGAACTCCTGACCTCAGGTGATCCACCTGCCTCAGTGTCCCAAAGTGCTGGTATTATAGGCATGAGCCACTGCGCCTGGCTGGCAATTTTTATAAACATTCTGGTATATGTGAAATAGATACATTCTCCCATTTTTGGATGTAACACTCTGTCTCTCCTCTCTCTCTCATACATATATGTATGTAAATATACATACACACATGTTATATATAAAATTAGGTCTAGCTCTTCTTGGCTTCTCAGTAACTGAAATTAATATGTCAAAATTAACAGAAGGAATATGTCAAAAACTGAAAGGAATATGTCAAAAATCTCTTACTATACTGGTGATTTATTAATGTTCTTCTGTGTTTTTTTTTGAAACAGTATCTTGCTCTGTCACCCAGGCTGGAGTGCTGTGGTGGGATCTTTGCTCACTGCAGCCTTGACTTCTGGGCTCAAGAGATCCTCCCTCTTTAGCCTCTTGAGTAGCTGGACTACAAGCATCTGCAACCACACTGGCTAAATTTTGTTTTTAAAATATTTTTTGGAGATGAGGGGGGTCTCATTATGTTGCCCAGGTTGATTTCAAACTCCTGGCCTCAAGTGATCCTCCTACCTTGGCCTCCCAAAGTGCTGGGATTATAGGCATGAGCCAATGTCCTCCTGTATTCTGTCAATTTTTTGTTTTATATATTTTGAAGATACTTTATTTGATATATATGTGCTTAAAATTAGTATATCTTTTTGGTAAATTCAATCTTTCATCTTCACGCACAACTCTTTTTATCCCTAATAATGCTTTTAATTTTTAAGTCTGTGTTATATGATATTAATATAGTAATACCAACTTTTTCCGGTATTTGGTGAGTGTGTGTTTTTTTTTACCTGTAAAGTTTTAACTTTCACATGTCTTTTTGCTTAGGTGCCTCCTTTTAAATTGTCAATCTCTGTCTAGGTGAGTTTATTTTATCTACATTTATTGCAACCATACATATATTTGAACTGTTTCTACCATCTTGATTTATTTCAATTTATCCCACTTATCCTGTTTCTTCTTAACTCTTTATTACTTTTAAGAAGTTTTCTAATAAAGACAATAACTTAGCATGTTCACACGGTATTTATCTACCCTCAACATCTGTGATGCTAATAGTATATATATAAACTTTAATTGTAGCGTATTATGGGTTCATTTTCCTTTTATTATTTGATCTTAATATTTTTATAGATAATACACACTTTAAGTTTAATTTGATCACTTTTGCTTTATGCATTTTTTTTGGAGCATCTGTTAGATTTTTGTTCCTTTCACTTAGTACATCAATCGGACCTAATGATTTCCAGTGTGAGTCTTTATGTGGCAAAATTTCTGAGCATGTGTAGATGTGCAACTTTTTATCATGCATTATTTTTGCCTTCTAGTTTGGTGAGTTATAACTGATGTACAATAAACTACACATTTTTGAAGTGTACATTTTGAGGAATTTTAATGTGTGCATACACCTGTAAAATCATCATTACAATCAAGATCATGAACACCTCCAGTGGAATACTGATAAATGTTTAACAACCAGCTATCCAGGAAGAAAAAAGCTCCCCAGTTTGTAGTATTTGAGAATGTCTGTGATGTAACTATTCACACCGGGCTATTCAAGCTAACAACCCGACATCACTGAATGTGGAGTTAGGAAGAGGTTTGCACAACGGGTTCTTGCAAGCTGGTATGGGCCAGTTGTAGTACAAGATTACCCTTCCCCATTGAATTGCGTTGGCATTTCTGTTGAAAATCAACTGACCATATATGTGTATGGGTCTATTTTAACATTCTCTATTATGTTTTATTGATCTATATGTTCCTCTTTATGCTAATATGGCACTGTCATGATTCTAATAGTTGTATAATAATTCTTGAAATTAGTATAAGCCCTCCAAACTTATTGCTTTTTATTTTTGAGATGGAGTCTTGCTCTGTCACTGAGGCTGGGTTGCAGTGGTATAGCTCACTGCAGCCTCAACCTACCAGGTCAAGTGATCCTCCTACCTCAGCCTCCTGAGTAGCTGGGACCACAGGCACATGCAACTCCCATGCACGACTAATTGTTTGATGTTTTTGTAGAGACGGGGTCTCAGTGTTCCCCATGCTGGTCTTGAACTCCTAGGCTCAAGTAATTCTCCCCACTCAGCCTCTCAAAGTGCTGGGTTATAGGTATGAGCCACTGTGCTTGGCTATTGCTCTTTTTCAAAAAGTTGTTGTGGCTATTATAGGTTATTTGTACTTCCATATAAATTTTATTTTATTTTTTTGAGACAGAATCTCACTCTGTCACCCAGGCTGGAGTGCAGTGGTGGGATCTCGGCTCACTGCAACCTCCGCCTCTCAGGTTCAAGTGATTCTCATGCTGCAGCCTTTCAAGTAGCTGGGATTATAGATGGGCGCCACTATGCCTGGCTAATTTTTGTGTTTTTAGTAGAGACAGGGTTTTGCCATGTTGCCCAGGCTGGTCTCGAACTCCTGGCCTCATGTGATCCACCTGCCATGGCCTCCCAAAGTGCTGGGATTTATAGGCATAATCCACTGCTCCAGGCCCCATATAAATTTTAGAAGTAGGTTTTCCATTTCTATTGGGATTTTGACTGGGATTACATTGAATCTACAGATGAATTTGGGGAAAATTAACATCTTGATATTCTGATCAAGGAACATGGTATATCTCTCCATTGAATTTTGGATCATCTTTTATTTCTTTCAGTAATAAGTTGTTTTTACTGTATAGCTCTTGCACAGATTCTTTTAGATTTATCTTTAAATATTTAATGTTTAGCATTGTTTTTAAAAATAATTTCCAATTGTGTGTTGCTAATATATAAATTACATCTAGATAAAGATTTTAATTTTTTTAGGTCTTATGGGTTATTTACATGTGTGCCTCCTGTTTGATCAGACAACATACCTTGCATAATTAAAATACTTGAAGAATTATTGAGATTTATGTTATGGCTCGAAAAATGGCCTATGTTGCCGGGCGCGGTGGCTCACATCTGTAATCCCAGCACTTTGAAAGGCCAAGGCATGTTGATCACGAGGTCAGGAGTTCGAGACCAGCCTGACCAACATGGTGAAACCCCATGTCTACTAAAAATACAAAAATTAGCTGGGCATGGTGGCGTGAGCCTCTAATCCCAGCTACTCAGGAGGCTGAGGCAGGAGAATCGATTGAACCCGAGAGGCGGAGGTTGCAGTGAGCTGAGATTGCGCCACTGCACTCCAGCCTGGGCTACAGAGCGAGACTCGTGGAAGGAAGGAAGGAAGGAAGGAAGGAAGGGAGGGAGGGAGGGAGGGAGGGAGGGAGGGAGGGAGGGAGGGAAAGAAAACACTCTTATATTTTGGTGAAGTGTTCTATAAATGTCAGGTTAAGAAGGTTGATAATGTTTAAATCTCCTATATCCTATAGCTCTTTCTGTATACTTATCATTTTAGTATGATATCATTTTAATAGAATCTCTGACTATAGGCCGGGCGCGTTGGCTCATGCCTATAATCTCAGCACTTTGAGAGGCGGAGGAGGGTGGATCACAAGGTCAGGAGATCAAGACCATCCTGGCTAACACAGTGAAACCCCGTCTCTACTAAAAGTACAAAAAATTAGCCAGGCGTGGTGGCGGGCACCTATAGTCCCAGCTACTCGGGAGGCTGAGGCAAGAGAATGGCGTGAACCTGGGAGGTGGAGCTTGCAGTGAGCTGAGATCGCGCCACTGCACTCCAGCCTGGGCGGCAGAGCGAGACTCCGCCTCAAAAAAAAAAAAAAAAAAAAAAAGAATCTCTGACTATAAATGTGGATTTTTCTCTTTCTCTGTTCGGTTCTCTTAGATGATGCTTCATGTATTTTGAAGCTCTGTTATTAGGGGCATAGATGTTTAGGATTGACTCCTTTATCATTATATAATAATCTTCTTTATCCCATGTAATACTCATTGCTCTGAAGTATTTGTTGATATTAAAATAGCGACTGCAGCTTTATTTTTACTAGTGTTAGCCTAATATATCTTTTTCTATCCTTTTGCTTTTTGAAAGACTTTTGCTTTTAACCTGTTGGTGACTTTTTATTTAAGATGGATTTCTTGTGTATAATGTATAGTGGGACTTGGTTTATATCCATTCTGATAATCTATGCCTTTTAATTGGGGTGCTTAGACCATTTATATATACTGCAATTATTGATATTAGTGAGTTTAAATCTCCCATCTTGCCCTTTATTTGCTACTTTTCTCATCTGTTTATTGCCCCTTTTCTTTTTTTTTCTGCTTTGTCTTGGATTGATTATTTTTGTTATTCCATTTTGCCTTCTTTATTGGATTATTTATTATGCTCTGGAAGTTTTAACATTTTCTCTTTATGTTTTTTTTTTTTTTTTTTTTTTTTTTTTTTGAGATGAAATCTCGCTATATTGCCCAGGTTAGAGTTCAGTGGCTGTTCAAAGGCATGACTATAGCACACTGTGGCCTTGAACTCTTGGCCTCAAGTGGTCCTCCCACCTCAGAATTCCAAGTAGCTGGGACTACAGGTCACCTCACCCGTGATATTCCTCATCTTTCCTCTTTTGTGCTCCATGGTCCCTTTAAGATCTTCGTGTTTTTTTTTTTCTTTAACTATTACCCCCCTTTTTTTTTCTTTTTTGTAGAGATGGGTGTCTCACTATGTTTCCCAGGATGGTCTTGAACTCCTGTGCTCAAGTGATCCTCCAGCCTCAGCCTCCCAAAGCATTGGGATTACAGGCATGAGCCACTATGCCCACCTTCTTGTTTCCTTTTATTTTTTCTTCTTTCTTTTTTCTTAGAGTCCAGTTGTGTGGATATTGGAATTTCTAATTTTATTCTTTGAATTTCTTAGCTTTTCTTTCATATTTTAAAAAATTCTTGTCCTTTTCTTCTTCATATTGAGAGATTTCCTCATTCTGATATCTCAATTTGACCATTTTCTTCTATTTATCCCAACCAATTGCATTGTGTTTTTATTTTTTAATTTTTATTTTAGCTTGTTTTTTAAAATGTTGTTTGTTCACGTTTTATATTGCTAATATCTTTTCTTATGTTCTCTAATATATTAATTGGTTAATTTAGAAGTTCCTGGTTCTCTGTTCTGTTTACATTGGATCAGTAATTGAGATGTATTGTCTTCTTGTGAAACAAATGCCTTATTACTTTGGGCTGTGAAATCATTTTTTCCTGGGGATACTGGCTATCCTGTTAGGCAGTCCCTTAGAACAGAATGTTCAAAATGTCCAACTGTCCAAACCTGATTCCCTCCAATGAGGTCGGGAGTGACTGCGTGTTCTTTTGGACAGAGCCCCGGGCACTGGGAAATAAATCATTCCTCCTCGCCCCTCGAAACAACTCCACAGCTCAGACCTTCAGCTGTTGCCTCACAGGCAAGTATATAGAAAGAGGTACTTACCAGAGTGTAATTTCCAAACTTTTGGAGTTTGGAATCACATCGGTGGGAAAAAAAAACTGCCAGAGGTCAGTGGGTAACTTATGTTTTTCCTCAGTTTTTCACAAGTTCAGAATCTCAAGGCTGCTCTACAACTGAGTCCTGAGTTTCCACCTGTGCGGCAACATTTGTTCCCAGGCTATGGCAGGGGTGAAGGAAGTGCAAAAGGACCAACCGATCCTCTCCTGTATTATCTTCTTCCTGCTTGTTGGGTTGACTTCTACTCTAGGTCGGAGCTGCCACACCACCTCTAAGCAAACAAGTTCAAAATATCCCTCCCCACCACGAATCCATAAGGGTTTATTTATTATTTTCCTATAGTTGTCTACTCTTGTGATCTTGGGAAAAGAGCCAGCAGCTTTCCCAGAAATAAAAAACAGAATTGCTTTTCAGGTTTTTGTTGTTGTTCCTGTTTTTGAGACGGCATCTTGCTCTGTCGCCCAGGCTGGAGTGCAGTGGCATGATCTCGGCTCACTGCAACCTCTGCCTCCCAGGTTCAAGCAATTCTCCTGCCTCAGCCTCCTGAGTAGCCGGGATTATAGGCGCCCACCACCACGCCTGGCTAATTTTTTTATTTTTAGTAGAGACAGAGTTTCACCACATTGGCCAGGCTGGTTTCGAACTCCTGACCTCAGATGATCCGCCCACCTTGGCCTTCCAAAGTGCTGGGATTACAAGTGTGAGCCACTGCGACTGGCCTGTTTTTCAGTTTTTTTATGTATCATTTTAAGTTTGTTTCTTGTAGGCATCATATTAACAACTTGATATATATTTTTTGATTTGTGAATTTATCTTATTCATATATTTTAATTACTTTTATATTAGAACATATTTTGTTTACACTGTTTTTCCTTCCACCCCTCTCTCTTTTCTTTGGCATTCCAGCAAAACAAAAGTAAGAATTATTTAGTACCCAGAAGTGGAGATTTCATATACCTGTACTTATGGTTAGGAATGCCTGTTCTGACTGTTACTTTTCATTGAAAGTAAAGGGTGCATCTCTC
Organism: Homo sapiens; assembly: GCF_000001405.40. Lineage (NCBI taxonomy): Eukaryota > Metazoa > Chordata > Mammalia > Primates > Hominidae > Homo > Homo sapiens. Next base: position 138,098,022 of record NC_000007.14, on the reverse strand, counting down.
TCCATAAATATGACAGGAATAATCAGATCACAGTTTTAAAAATATCGTCTTTTAAAATAAGAAGCACATTTGAACTTACCTCCCAAGTGGCACACAGATTTGACTTGTGATATAACCATTTGCCATTCTCATCTCTAGGGTATATTTCATCTCCTGGCTGAAAAAAAAAAAAAAAGAATAAATGTAATTCATTTTATTTATATCTGGGAATTAAATAATAGAATTTAGACTTCCCAGTCTTCATAATTGTGAGCAATCAATGTCTATTGTTTCTAAATCACCCAGTCTAAAGTATTTTGTCATAGCGGCCCAGCTGGATTAAGACACCTGCCCATGCTTCCTGGGATGCCAGTACCTGTCTTGTGTGCACTGTCCTCTCACTCTGTACAGCTGACACCTGCATCTGTTAGAGGACAGACCTCAGGCTACTGGGACTTGTGTATCTACTCAATTAGATGTGCCCAGGAATTTACACCCTGCTCCCCCTGCTGGGACAGCCTTTGAACTAAAGTTACAAGTATCAATATTTGTTTCTTTGCCTTGTGACTGTGTAATTCTGAGATGTGAACAACTTTGTCTCCAGAGCTTTCTGTGACATTTAGCCTAAGTTGCTCTCTGTAGGACTCTGATTTCTACCTCACATCTGCTTAACCTCTTATTTTTCAGCCACATTTCCCCACTCCCTTAACAGTACTTCGAAATAAATCACTCTTGTATGCATTCTCTTCATCTCAGGGTCTGCTTCTGGGGAAATCAACCTAACGGGCTGTATGCAATAGGGGAGAGCTGATGGTGTCTGGGACTGGGGCAACTGCAGTAGAGAGGAAAAGAAGGGAACAGATTAGCACATGAATGAGTAGTAGAGCCAGCATGCCTTAATGTTGGCTTGGAAATGAGGTGGGGTGGTGGGAATGAGGGAGAGGGAGAAATCAAAGATGATCCCAGATGCCTTGGGTGGTTGGTGGTAACCATTTCTTGAGGTTGGGGCTAGGAATCCAGAATATCATTTTGGATATTTTGACTTTGAAATGGTCACTAGACATTCAAGTGGATATTGAGGGAGGCAGTTGAACAGAGAAGTCAAGAGCTCAGAGAGAGGTCATGGCTACAGATAAAATTTGGAGTCATTAGCATGTAAAATGGTATTAAATCCACATGATTGGATTAAGTCACCTATAGAGAGAGTGTAGCTAGTAAGACAAGAATATTGAGGGTAGAGGACTGGGCATAACAACATTTGGAAGCTGGCAGAGAAGAAGCTGCCAAAGACCATGAGAGGGTCATGAGATGTCACGAACACCATGAGAAGAAAATGTTTACAGAAGAAGGTGGTAGTCAACTGTATTGAAAGAGATCAAATAATAGGAAGACAAAATGTCTATTGAATTTGGCAGGATGAAAGTCTTTGTTGACTTTGGTAATAGGGATTTTCTTATTGGGAATTGCTGTGGTTTAAATGTGTCCCCCCTAATTCATGTGTTGGAAACTTAATCCCCAGTGCAACTGTGTTGGGAGGTGGGGCCTAATGGGAGTTGTTCAGTCGTGGATTAATGCCATTGTAAAAAGGGCTCAGACGAGGAGGGGTGCTTTCTTGTGCTCTTTGCCCTTCCTCGTTCCAGCATGTGATGACATAGCAAGAAGGCTCTAGTGAGGTGCTGGTACTTTGGTCTTGAACTCTCCAGCTTCTAGAACTTTGAGCCAATACATTTCTGTTTATTATCTATTACCCAGTGTCAGGCATTCTTTTTTTTTTCTTTTAAAGGAAATGTTTCTGAATGATAGCATTCTTTTTCCGTTGTTGTTGTTTGTTTGTTTTTGAGACAAGGTCTTACTCTGCTGTCCAGGCTGGAGTGCGGTGGCATGATTATGGCTCACTGTAGCCTCGATGTCCCCAGGCTCAGGTGATCCTCCCATCTCAACCTCCTGAGCAGCTGGGACTACAGGTGTGCACCACCACACCTAGCTAATTTTTTTGTATTTTTTTTGTAGAGACCAGGTTTCACCATGCTGTCCAGGCTGGTCTCGAACTCCTAGGCTCAAGTGATCCACCTGCCTTGGCCTCCCAAATTGCTGGGAATACAGGTGTGAGCCACTGCACCAGGCCTCAGGCATGCTTTTATAGCAGCACAAAACAGACTGAGAAGGGAATCAAGCAATTGGACAAAATCCATTATGCTCTTAAATTTGTTCCTAATTTGGCCAGGCGCAGTGGCTCACACCTATAATCCCAGTATTTTGGGAGGCCAAGGTGGGCCGATCAGCTGAGGTCAGGAGTTCGAGACCAGCCTGGCCAACATGGCAAAACCCTGTCTCTACTAAAAATACAAAAATTAGCCGGGCATGATGGCGGGCGCCTGTAATCCCAGCTACTCAGCAGGCTGAGGCAAGAGAATCGCTTGAACCCGGGAGGCGGAGATTGCAGTGAGCCGAGATCATGCCACTGCACTCCAGTCTGGGCAACAAGAGCAAGACTCCATCTCAAAACAAAACAAAACAAAACAAAACAAAAATTTTAATTTTTTCCTCTAGCATTTCACCTTTGTGAAACTCAGTTTTCCTTTATGGAAAACATTTTCCCCATTGTCTGCTTTAGGGAAAGACAATGTCTTTTCAACTTCCTCCCATCTCCCTGAGAGCAGGGAACAGTCCCTTTTCTCCTTGATGCCACATTATTATTCATGTTAATTATCCATTCTGTCTCTGATTTCTAAGCACTTTGAATTTCTCAACACTTATGACCCACATTTCTGCTCCATATTTCTTACCTTGTGTTTCCTAATTTTACTTACCTTCTGAATGGCCTTATGCCTCCATCATGAATTCTGTTACGTGATTTTTACTTTCCCAGATTCTAATCAGGTGGTTATCAAGCCTGAACCCACATTAGATACCTCTAGGTGTTTCCCTTGACCTTCCATTGTGCCTATTTTACTCATCCTTTCATCCCGATAAGCCTCTTTGTCTCTTTCCTTCATTCCTCTTCCTCACAGTCAGGTATTATTGGAAGAATAACCCAACCCTTTAAAAATCTATGCTATTGACTCTCATTCTTGTTCATTTATCTTTTAAACATGTCATAATTTTTAATATTTTGTTGGCTAAAATTCTGTCTGCTTGACACTTAAAAAATAATAAAGTGCTAAAAATATTTTAGCAAAAAAGATTTTTTGTTTAAAAAAACTTAAGATTCAAAAAGCATGTGAAGTCAGGTATGGTGGCTCATGCCTGTAATCCCAGCACTTTGGGAGGCTGAAGTGGGAGAATGGCTTGAGGCCAGGAGTTCCAGACCAGCATGGTCAACATAGCGAGACCCTGTCTCTACAAAAGAAAAATTGAAAAATTAGGTGAGTGTGGTGGCACACACCTGTAGTCTCAGCTACTTGGGAGGCTGAGGCAGGAGGATTGCTTGAGCCTAGGATCTCAAGGCTACAGTGAGCCACACACCACTGCAGTCCAGCCTGGGTGACAGAGCAAGACTGCCCCCCCACTCTTTTTTCTTTTTTTTTCCAAGACAGGGTCTTGCTCTGTCACCCAGGCTGGAGTGCAGTGGCGCAATCTTGGCTCACTGCACCCTCCACCTCCCCAGCTCAAGTGATCCTCCCACCTTAGTCTCCCAAGTAGCTGAGACCACAGGCACATGCCACCAAGCCTGGCTAATTTTTGTATTTTTTGTAGAGATGGGGTTTTGCCATGTTGCCCAGGCTTGTCTCAAACTCCTGGACTCAAGTGATCTGCCAGCCTTAGCCTCCCAAAGTACTGGGACTACAGATGTGAGCCACTGTCCCCGGCTGACCCTACCTTAAGCAAACAAACAAACAAACACCAAAAAACATGTCGTACTTAAGCTTCAAATATTGATTTCCCAATTATAGGTTCAGTTGGAAGGTAATGTCACTATATTGTGTCATTTCTCACTGTTAAAATTTTACCTTTTGTGCCTTTGAACCCATCAAAAATAAGAATAGAAATTATCTATCAAGTCCAAAAAGATGTAAATGTCATTAGTTAGTCACAGAGAAGTAAATTTTATTTTCTCACTTTTAAGTAGAGTCATGTGCTGCATAATGACATTTTGGTCAATGGTGGACTGCATGTATGATGGTGGCCCATAAGATTATAATAGAGTTTAAAATTCCTATCACCTAGTGACATCATGTTTGTGGTGTTGCTGGTGTAAACAAACCAACTGTGCTGCCAGGTATATAAAAGTAGAACACACATAATCATGTATAGTATATAATACTTGATAATGATAGTAAACAATTTCTGTTTTTACTATGGATACAACTTATATATTTGTTCTACTACACTTTATCATAATTTTAGAATGTTCTCCTTCTACTTTTAAAAAATGTTAAGTGTAAAAAAACGCCAGGCAGGTCTTTCAGGAGGGATTCCAGAAGAAGACACTGTTGTCACAGGAGATGGCAGCTCCATGCGTGTTATTGCTCCGGAAGAACCTCCAGTGGGACGAGATGTGGACGTGGAAGACACTGATATTGATGATGCTGACCCTGTGTAGGCCTAGACTAATGTGTGTGCTTGTGTCTTAGTTTTTAACAAAAGAGTTTAAAAAAAAATTTAATAGACAAGAGCTTATACAATAAGAATACAAAGAAAGAATATTTTTATACAGCTGTACAACATGTTTGTGTTTTATTCATGTTATTAAAAAAGTAATTAATCCCAACACTTTGGGAGGCCGAGGTGGGCGGATCATGAGGTCAGGAGATCGAGACCATCCTGGCCAACATGGTGAAACCCTGTCTCTACTAAAAATACAAAACTTAGCCGGGTGTGATGGTGCTTGCCTGTAGTCCCGGCTACTTGGGAGGCTGAGGCAGGAGAATCGCTTGAACCCGGGAGGCGGAAGTTGCAGTGAGCCGAGATGGCACCACTGCACTTCAGCCTGGCAACAGAGCGAGACTCTGTCTCAAAAAAAAAAAAAAAAGTAATTAGTATTAGTGTTACTACTAAGTATTATTACAAAGAATCAAAAAGTTAAAAAATTAAAACATTTATAAGCTGAAAACAGTTACAATAAGCTAATGTTAATTTATTATTGAAGAAAAAATATTATGTGATTCATTGTGTACCCTAAGTGTGCAGTGTTTATAAAGTCTCCAGTCATGTACAGTAATGACCTAGGCCTTCACATTCACTCACCACTTACTCCGTGACTCATCCAATTTTTATCCTGCAAGCTCCATTCATGGTAAGTGCCAGGTATAGGTGTATCTTATCTTTTATGCCATATTTTTACTGTACCTTTTCTATGTTATGTTTATATACACAAATATTTACCATTGTGTTACCATCGTCTACAGTATTCAGAATAGTAACATGCTGTGCAGGTTTATAGCCTAGGAGCAATCGGCTGGGCTATCTAGCCTAAGTCTGTAATAGGCTATACCATTTAGGCACAACGTGTTTGCGTTTTATTCATGTTATTACAAAAGTAATGCAGTCTACCATGGTAAATAAAACCTTACCACCTCGGTTTGTGTAAGTACACTCTATATGATGTTTGCAGAACAACAAAGTCACCTCATGACACATTTCTCAGAATGTATCCCATTGCTAAGCAACACATAATTGTACACTGGGTCTTTCTAAATTTTTAAGACTTAGGTTAGAAATCTGACATTTGAACAAGAGTCAGCATTAACAAAGTGAGGATGAGGGCGGAGATTGTGACTGTGTGAGTGGGAAGAAGGGTGTGTGTCTCAATGGTGGGCTACAGTTAGAGGACTACATGTTGGTTTGATGCAGAGAGCTTAAACTATAGTTGTAAAAACATGGTATAATAGAAATTGCATTGAATTAAAAAATCAAGAAACTTGGAAACCAAGCCTGAGTCTGCTAACATAATCTTCTCGGGTATTTGTCAGACTAGGTCAGTACTCTCTGATCTGTGGTAACAAAACACCACAATATTCTGTGGTGCCAAGTAATACGCTAGCTTCATGCACATAGCTATTGGCTCATGGTGCAGAGCTTCATGCACATAGCTATTGGCTCATGGTGCAGAGCTTCATGCACATAGCTATTGGCTCATGGTGCAGAGCTTCATGCACATAGCTATTGGCTCATGGTTGCCAGGGTGCAGAGACCTGACCTTTGGGCATCTGAACTCACCTTAAAGGCCATGGGTACTTCAATGATGTAAAGATCCACATAATCTAGCTGGAGGACCCTGAGTGTCCTCTCCAGGGTTGGGCGGACCATCTCTGGGACATGATTTGTAGCCCATAGCTGAAAGAATCAAAGAGGGAGAATTAACTAATGTCTACACGCTTTTTACGATAAGGCAGCCCCTTTTTCTTTGTAAAACACTCGTACACATTTTTTTTTTTTGAGATGGGGGGTCTCACTATGTTGCCCAGGCTGGTCTTTAACTCCTGGGCTCAAGCGATCTGCCCACTTCAGCCTCCCAAAGTGCTGGGATTATAAGCATCAGCCACCGTGCCTAGCCGCTTGTACACATTTTATTCACACATTTCATTTCACAAAAATATGTTTATGATGCAGTGTCATCTGAGTATAGGATGAGCTGATAAAACTCTTGACACTCAGAGCCTAGCTTGAGAGCTTGTTTGGAGGTTCTAGTAGGGGAGTGCAGCTACTCACATACACTTGACCTAAAAACCCTCCTCCTTCATCAGGGAAAGCCGTCCTCTTCCACTGAGAGTGCAGCTTCAAGAGGTACAATTGCCTAGACAGCCAGATCAGCTGAATTAGCCCTGGTGACTAATGGGGTGACATATGTTACAGCCAGATCACCCTCACATCTCCAGACATAATTTTATGCAAATCTACCACAAGAGACTTACAGATCCTCCTTGACCACAGAGTACCTAATTTGATGGCAGTCTTCCCCATTTCCGGGTGAATTTCCTGATGCTTAGTGCTTGCATTTTTCCTCATTGTATAACTAGGGTTACACAATGTTCTAGATGTCCTGACCTAGCGTGATACTTTATTGTCATGCCACTCTGATAAAATGAGCAAGGAATATGGTTATGCGTGTGGCTTCACTGGGTCCTTCACATTGTGACAGGTGGTGTGAAAGCCTGGTGAAATTTTAAATTAGTGCATAGATTTAGATTTGCTTTCACTGATCTTTTGTTCTTATTTGGTCCTACTTAGACCCCAGAGCAATTAAATTACTCTTTCGCTAAGGCATTACATAATGAAGGATCAAGGTTTGGTTGATCCTACTGGAGCATGTGTACCCTTAAGTGTCTGAGACATACGGTGCCAAGGTTGCTTATACCCACAGGACAAATTAGTACATCTTTTGGAATATCAGTTTTGCTCACAGATTTTTTTGGGGGGATATAAGTTTAGAATCATACTTTTCTTTTTTCTTTTTTTTTTTTTTTTGAGACGGGGTCTTGCTGTGTTGCTGAGGCTGGAGCGCAGTGGCTTGATCTTGGCTTAGTGCAACCTCTGCCTCCCGGGTTCAAGCGATTCTGCTGCCTCAGCCTCCCAAGTAGCTGGGATTACAGGCACCTGCTACCACGCCTGGCTAATTTTTGTATTTTTAGTAGAGATGGGGTTTCACCATGTTGGCCAGTCTGGTCTCGAACTTCTGACCTCAAGTGATCCTTCCTCCTCTGCCTTCCAAAGTGCTGGGATTACAGGCTTGAGCCACTGCACCCGGCCTGAATCATACTTTTTTTGGTCACAAGAAAGGGTAAGCAAAATTGGTAATATCTGATTTTTTCCTCTGTTGGACAATGATTTTTTTCTTGCCTTAAAAACACAGAGAAAATTTAACATGAAGAGAGTAGTGGAAAAATGTGTTACGTGTGTTTTGATTGCTACTCTGGGTCTCTTTGGTGTTCCTATTGCAATCCCATCTAAGTGGAAATTCTGTTTGATATTTATTTTACTTTCTTTTTCATTCCTGGGCATAGGCTGATGATATTTTAATTTACTTTTATTCAACAAACATACATAGTATTAGCTTTGTGCCAGGTTCGGTGTGAGTGCTTTGTAAATGTGAACTCATAACAACTTTATGAAATAGTTGACATTATTATCCCCATTTTACAGAGAAAAAAAATTGAGGTCCAGAAATGCTAGGCAACTCAGCCAATAGTGACAGATCTGGGCCTCTGACCTGGGCAACCTTGCACCAGTCTAGGCTCTTAATCACCCCCACATTGCCTCTCAGGTGCTGCTGAGCTGCAGTGAAGACAGTCCTGATGAGGCAATAGCAATGGCACATTACATGAACTCAGCTGCACACACTGTTTCTGTTTACGTAAGTAAACACCAATATTTCGCCCAAGTATGCTTTATTACATACAGCCCATATTGACATTGTATACGTATAAATATTGCTTTCTATTCACAACTGTACTTTTTGGACAATTTAAAGGATTAAAGTTAAAGGACAATTTAAAGCATGTTTTGACCACCTTTTCCTTGTATGCTAACTTTAGCCTCTATCATAGTAAGAAATGACTCCTATAATATGAGTCATTAAGCAAAAGGCTTGCATAATGTGCCTGCCCAGGAAGCCTACATAGCTGGCTTTTGGATTGGTGACCTTATGAGCTTGTTTTTTTTTTTTTTTAATTTACGTTTGTTTGCTTTTATTAAACAAAATCTGAATACCATGTCTGAGTTAATTACATTTGCTCAAATGCTTTTTTTTTTTTGAGAGAGGGTCTCGCTGTGTCACTCAGGTTGGAGTGCAGTGATATGAACATGACTCATTGCAGCTTTGACCTCCCTGGCTCAAGCCATCCTCCTGCCTCAGCCTCCCAAGTATCTGGGACTACAGGTGCAAGTTACCATGCCTGGCTAATTTTTGTATTTTTTTTTGTAGAGACAAGGTTTTGCCATGTTACCCAGGTTGGTCTTGAACTCCTGAGCTCAAGCAAAACACCTGCCTCGGCCTCCCGAAGTGCGGATTAGAGGCGTGAGACACCGCACCCAGCCAAATACATTTTTAAAACCCTCTTTCTCTCCCCTAAATGCTACTCTGCTTACTTCTCCCAAACTAATAAATAATTCGTTAATATGATACAAGAATGTTGAAAATCCTATTTTGCATGATTTTGGTCTCATTTGAACACTTATCTTTCAAACAAACAAACAAACAAACAAACCCAAACTGTTATTAAGTACTGCCTACTCATGAGTGCAATTACACACACACACACACGGAAGATGAATAATAAAATGAACAACTGAAACCTTCTCACTGTCCCCAGTGGAGGCTGAAGGCAAGATCTCACCTTTCCACAGTAGAAGATATCTTCCCTCCGCACCTTTCCTTCTGCTATCTTCTCCCTGATGGCCTCCCCAACTTCGTGTTCATTTTGGTAGATGTAGGCCCCATCAATATGTCGGTACCCTGTGTCAATAGCAACCTTCACCGATGTTGCACAGGCTCCCTTAGGGGTCTGAAGTGACAAAGAGGTTGGGTTTGGGGAAAAGAGAAATGGTCTTTCCTTTAATAATCATTAATCAGGACATTTTGCATGTACATTCCTTTACAGCTAAAATGACACATTCCCAATTCCTTGCTGTTGTGATTGGAAGATGGTGTTCAGCAGCAGGAGAAACTGACCTCCCAGGGGCCTCCGCTCCCTCAGTGGGAGACACCATCTGTCCCAGGTCTGCCCTCAGCTTCGTGGCATCAAAAATGTGATTTGATCAATATTTCCTGTGACAAGAGAATTCATGGAAGCCTTTTTACAGGAGGGCACAAGCTGATTGAAGAAGGCTAAATTATAAATCAAAAGGTTGGGTAAACAAATTGAGATGTATCCACAGAATGGAATACTCCTCAGTAATAAAAAGGAATGAAGTGGGCCTGGTGTGGTGGCTCACACCTGTAATCCCAGGACTTTGGGAGGCTGAGGCAGGAGGATTGCTTGAGGCCAGGAGTTTGAGACCAGCCTGGGCAACATAGGGAGACCCCATCTGTACAAAAAGTAAAGTAATTAGCTGGATGTGGTGGCATGCGCCTGTGGTCCCAGTTACTTGGGAGGGTAAGGTAGGGGGATTGCTTGAGCCTGGGAGTTGAAGGCTGCAGTGAGTCATGATCATGCCACTGTACTCCAGACTGGGCAACATAGACAGACCCTGTCTCAAAAAAAAAAAAAAAGAAAAGAAATGTAGCATTGATGACAACACATAGTATGGATGAATCTCAAAATAATTATACTGAGTGAAAGAAGCCGGACCAAAAAGAATAAATACTTTAGTTTTTCTCTTCTAGCATTTTATATAAATGGAATCATAGTCTGTGGTGACAGACATAGATCAGTGATTGCCTGGGGTCAGGAGTTGGGGGAAGTATGGGTGGAAGGAGGGATTACAAAGTGGCATGAGGAAGCTTATAGAGTTGATAGATATGTTCATTATTTTGATTGTGGTGATGGCCTCACAGATGTATATATGTCATACTCTTCAAATTGTATACTTTAAATATGGACAGTTTATTATATGTCAGTTATATCTCAATGAAACTGAGGAAAAAATATTGTTGAGGAACATTTTATGTTTTAGGATATATTTTAATAACATTTGGTAGCTACAGGTTTGTTCATTTTATTAACTCACGTTAAACATAAGAATGAGCATATCCTGTTCCCTGAACACTGATTTTTCATTTGCTATGGTTTGATTATTTTTGTCCCCTCCAAAACTCATGTTGAAACCTAATCTCCAATTTGACAAACAGTGTTGGGAGGTAGGGCCTAATGGGAGGTGTTTAGGATTAATGTCACCATAAAAAGGGCTTGTGAGAGTGGGTGCTCCCTCTTCTGTCATGTGAGTAATAGTGTTTCTCCTCTCCAGAGAATGCAGCAATCAAGGTACACCCTTGGAAGTGAGAGACTGGGCCCTAACCTGCCGGCATCTTGATCTTGGACTTTGCGGCCTCCAGAACTGTAAGAGAATAAACCTCTGTTCTTTATCAGTTATCCAGTCTCAGGCATTCTGTTACAGCAGCACAAAATAGAGTAAGACACCATTTTTCAGATTCCACATAATTCCCTATGCCTCAGTTATGATGGCATTTAAATATACGAATGTGTTTCTTTTAGTTACATTTTTTCTTAATGAGAAACAGCAATGAGATTTCTCTGAAGACAAACATCTAGTCTCATCAAATATAATTTTCAAAGCATCTTTTAGAGCGTGTGTGTGTGAGAGGGTTGATTCTATTTTCTGATTTGTGCTGACTTCATATCAAAGGGTGATTGTTCTGATCTTGCTCAACAAATGTTGGTTAACTACTTGTGCTTTCTTTAGTGTTCTAACCAAATGCTGGACAAATCACATCAGACATGTGAACTCTGGTCCACACCTATTGATTTGTTGTAGGCTGAGCGAGAGAATAAATCTGAAATGTATTTCTAGTGATTTTATAGTCCTGGGCAGGATATAGAAAGCCTTGGGGACATATATTGTATTTTTTCCCCCTGCTACAGTTGGAAGTCATCACTATAGAGAAGATAAGAGGATACGAAAAATGAACAAACTGGCTACATAGATGATATTATAAGATTCATAGTCACAAATATCAAATAGCTGGGAAAAGGAGACACACATTTCAGCAACATTAGAAATATTTGTTTGGTTAATTAAATAACAACATGATTAATAGGACTTGGACAGTAATTGAGTCAAAAGGCCAGAAAAAAGCCTGTAAAATGAGATGTTATGAATGACAAGTGTGACAACCAAAGTACAGTGGGAAGGGGAGGTGAGGCGTGGTGTCCAGAAATTTACAGGGAAGAAAATAAACATCTACTTTCATTCTCAAGTATCTACATTATTATCATTATTATTATTAGAGACAGGGTCTCCGTCACCCAGGCTGGAGTGCAATGGCACGATTATGGCTCACTGCAGCCTCGGCTTCCCAGATTCAAGTGATTCTTCCACCTCAGCCTCCCGAGTAAGTGGGACTACAGGCGTGTGCCACCATGCCTGGCATACATTTTTGTAGAGATGGGGTTTTGCCATGTTGCCCATGCTGGTCTCAAACTCTTGGGCTCAAGTGATCCTCCTGCCTTGGCCTCCCTCTACATATTATTAATATATGAAGCTTAATACTAGATGGTAAATAGAATCTCAGAAACATCACTGAGATTTTATGGGCTGGAACTGATCATTTAAATGAAGAGCTAAAGTACACAATGAAGGGAGCCCCAGACAAATGCGTATTAAAGTAGGTGCTTGTATTTTTGAAGATTAACCCAAAAAATGAAGTACAGAGGAGAGCATTTAGGATAAAGAAAGTACAGCTGGGGATGGTGGCTCACACCTGTAATCCCAGCACTTTCGGAGGCCCAGGCGGGGCAGATCACCTGAGGTCAGGAGTTCAAGACCAGCCTGGCCAACATGGTGAAACCCCATTTCTACTAAAAAATACAAAATGTAGCCAGGCGTGGTGGTAGACACCTGTAATCCCAGCTACTTGGGAGGCTGAGGCAGGGGAATCTCTTGAACCTGGGAGGCAGAGGTTGCAGTGAGCTGAGATCATGCCACTGCACTCCAGCCTGAGTGACAGAGCAAGACTCTGTCTCAAAAAAAAAAAAAAAAGGAAAGAAAAGAAAAAGAAAGAAAGTGGCAAAGGCAAGGGCTAAGGTAGGAGTGTAGTCCACCATGGTGCTGTATATTTGGATGATGACTCATTTAATAAGGATTATGGCACAGAAGCAAGTTATAGTAGTGAAAATCTTCAATTATTCAGCTATCACCAGGGAGTCTCTTCTAAAAGCTGGATATTTACTTACTGGATATCTACTATTTACTTATTTATTTATATGTTTATATTTATATACTTGCTGAAAAATATTGTCCCTCAGAAGGCAGAAGCAGCAGTGAGATGTATTACTATTTTGTACTTAATTCTCATCAGTATGGAGGAACTAGTTGGGACTGTGGACATGAGGACCACACTTTGTAATTCTTTTTTTTTTTTTTTTTTTTTTGAGACGGAGTCTCACTCTGTCACCAGGCTGGAGTGCAGTGGCATGATCTCAGCTCACTGCTACCTCTGCCTCCCGGGTTCAAGCGATTCTCCTACCTCAGCCTTCCGAGCAGCTGGGACTGCAGGTGTGTGCCACCAAGCCCAGCTAATTTTTGTATTTTCAGTAGAGACGGGGTTTCACCATGTTGGCCAGGATGGTCTCGATCTCTTGACCTTGTGATCTGCCCGCCTCAGCCTCCCAAAGTGTTGGGATTACAGGCGTGAGCCACTGCACCCGGCCCACACTTTGTAATTCTTAAATGTGGCACAAAAAAATTCTACATAAATTGTGACACATTTTTTAGGAAAACCAGTTTTGAAAAAAATCGGAAAGATCAAATAGGATACCACATAAATGATATGATAGGAGAATCTAAAATATAAAAATTTGATTCCACAATTAAAGACAATCTCACTGAACAGTAAAACAAAAAATCTGGTTTCCTAAAATGGCTGACAGCATCTCCTTCTACTTAAGAAAATTAAAAATGCTGGATTATGCTGGCGCAGTGGCACACACCTGTAATCCCAGCGCTTTGGGAGGCTGAGGTAGGAGGATCGCTTGAGCCCAGGAGTTTGAGAACAGCCTGGGCAACATGGCAAAACCCCATCTCTATAAAAAATACAGAAATTAGCCGGGTCTGGTGACTCGCTTGAGCCTGGGAGGCAGAATTTGCAGGGAGCCGTAATCATGCCACTGCGCTTCAGCCTGGGTGTTGGAGCAAGACCCTGTCTCAAAAAAAGAAAAAAAAAAAAAAAAGCTAGATTAAAACTTTTGAAAAGATTACCATAAAAGTACTGAAAAGACAGTAGGCATTTATTAATTCAAACTACATTTTATGGGAAAGTCTGAATGCAGAAATGAGAGGTGTAGGAGATGAAAAAGGAAAGTAAAAAAACTCCCTAACAGGCTATGGCCACCTCCAGTCCCTGGGAGAATTCATAACCTATGTAGCCGGAGTCTGCTGACCAGTTTCACATCGTCACTGGGTAGCAATGCCTCCAGGGAACCTGGAGCAAACACACACAAATGTTGTCTGAAAGAAAATACTTGTTTTTCACCCTTGATGCTCGCTCACAAATACTTTTTTAAAAGTAGTATTAACCTGCACACAGCTGAAGAATTCAGGTACCCCAGAAAACAAAGTTCCATAAAGGAAGACTGGTAGAAACAACTGAGAGCCTAAACAGAACCATAGATCCTAATATTGGAACTGTCATCAGAGTGAAATTGGACCTGTATCTTACACCATACACAAAAAGTCAACTCAAAATGGATTAAAGATTTTTAAGACCAGAAACTGTAAAGCTCCTAGAAGGAAACATAAGGGAAAAAGCATCATGACATTGGGATAGGTGATGATTTCTTGGATATGACACCAAAAGCATAAGAAACAAAAGCAAAAATAGGTTGTTGGTACTACATCAAGCTAAAAAGCCTCTGCACAGAAAAGGAAACACTCAACAGAGTTAAAAGGCAACTTATGGAATAGAAGAAAATATTTGCAAACCGTATATCTCACAAGGGGTTAATATCCAAGATATAATTAAAAGGAACTTCTACAACTCAATAGCAAAGAAGCAAAAACAAACAAAACAAAACAAAACAAAAAACCCCAAAGAAAAACCTAACCTGATTAAAAAGTTGACAAAGGACTTGAGTAGACATTTCTCCAAAGAAGACATACAAATGGCCAATAGGTATATAAATATCAATATCACTATTCATCTGGGAAATGCAAATCAAAACTACAATGAAATAACACCTCACACCCATTAGGATGACTATTATCAAAAAACTGAAAGGTAACAATTATTGGTGAGGATGTAGAGAAATTAGAACTCTTGTACACTGTTGGTGAAAATGTAAAATGGTGCAGCTACTGTGGAAAACAGTATGGAGGTTCCTAAAAAAATTAAAGATATATTAGAACATGTTGGTCAAGAAAAACAATTAAAAATAGAACTACCATATGATCCAGCAATCCTACTTCAGGGTATATATCCAAAGGAAATAAAATCACTATCTTGAGGAAATATTTGCACTTCCATGTTCACTGTAGCATTATTCACAATAGCTAAGATATGGAAACAACCTAAATGTTCACTGACAGATGAGCAGGTAAAGAAAATGTGGTACATAGACAATGTAATATTATTCAGCCTCAAAAAAGAAGGAAATTCTGCAGTACACAACATGGATGAACCTGGAGAACATTATACTAAGTGAAATAATTCAGTCACAGAGTAATACCACAATGAAAAATTGGAATTATTAGTCAAAAGTTAAAATAACTATGATTGTTTTGATTAAAGAAATAAGCTTGAGGCTGGGCATGGTGGCTCATGCCTATAATCTCAGCACTTTGGAAGGCTGATGCAGAATTGCTTGATGCTAGGGGTTTGAGACTGGCCTGGGCAATATAGTAAGACCCTGTCTTACAATAAAATAGTAAAATAAAAACAAAAATTAAAAAATTATCCAGGCATGGTGATGTACACCTGTCTGTAGTCCTGGCTACTCGAGAGGCAGAGGCAGGAGGATTGCTTGAGCCCAGGAGGTGAGATCTTCAGTGAGCTACGATTGCACCACTGCAGTCCAGCCTGGGTGACAGAAGAAGACCCCCATCTCTATTAAAATAAAAAAAAAAGAAAATTAAATTTAAAAACAAAGAAATAAACTTGAAAATCTCTGTAGAGGACAGGAAACTATGAAAAGTGCCCTAGAAGATTTAGGAAAGAACCAAACACAGCAATTCTATAAACAAAACAAACAAGCAAACAAAAATCTGATAAGATATCTAAAATTAAATGGACGCATCAGTAGCATATCGGACATAGCAAGAAGGAATTAGGTAGAAGGAAGAAGGTAAATCAGCAGAAATGATCCAGCACTGCTCCTCCAGGTTAATGTCCAGCATTCCCTGTGTCCTTTGAAAATGACGCAGAAGCTGCTGCCTTGGAACACGTGCTCCAGGCAGGATCTACCTGCATATTGCCTCCTAGTCACCAGACCAATAATTAGTTGTTCCAAGAGAAGGCTTCCAGTGAATATCACTTGGTAGGGAGACTAATTTCACAGCCATGGAGTCATGTTAGAATATATCCTTCTAAATATAAAAGGTAGGAGTTCTTGGCTGGGCTTGTTGTCTCATGCCTGTAATCCCAGCACTTTGGGAGGCCGAGGCAGGTGAATCACCTGAGGTCGGCAGTTCGAGACCAGCCTGATCAACAGGGAGAAACCCCGTCTCTACTAAAAATACAGAATTAGCTGGGCATGGCCATCTTGGTGAAACTCTATTTCTACTAAAAATACAAAAATTAGCTGGGTGTTGTGGTGCACACCTGTAGTCCCAGCTACTCAGGAGGCTGAGGCAGGAGAATTGGTGAACCCGGGAGGTGGAGGTTTTGGTGAGCCGAGATCGATCGTGCCATTGCACTCCAGCCGGGGCAACAAGAGCGAAAGTCTGTCTCAAAAAAAAAAAAAAAAAAAAAAAAAAAAAAAAAAAAGGTAGGAGTTCCTTTTATATTTTGGATATTATCCCTTATGAGATCTCCTGGCTGGATAAAGGAAGAAAGAGGGTGATACACTGAGGGAGCTGCACACCAAGACACCATGCAATGGAGGTGGAGAGTGTGTGTGAGAGTGGATCTTGGGGTGCAGCATCAAGAGGAAGGTGGAATTTCAAGTTGGATAAAGGAGAGTTTATTGATATGGAAACACCATCTTCTGATACGTGACTTAACACCTCAGGAAACAGTGCTAACACACTGCCAGCATAACTCTTGAAATCTTGGAAAAAGTGACATCCACATACATGAAGTAGACATTCCAGAAATACCATGGCAGATGGTCAAAAGAGGGCTCAGGAAGCTCAGAGAAGGGAGCCCACTATAGTAGATATACTATGTAAGGCTGGAAATCCACGGATGATCTATGTTTTGCAGCAGGGCCCAGAGAACACTCCTTTTATCAAAGAGACAGCAGTGCTTTAGCAACAAAAACACCAGAGTTGTTGAGCTCAATTACGGCTGTCCTCTGTAGACAAGGCAGACTGTGGGAGATGTTGAAAAACTAGGTTTACTAAAAAATTAGGGGCCAGGTGTGGTGGCTCAGACCTCTAACATCAGCACTTCAGGAGACCAAGACAGGAGGATTGCTTGAGCCTAGGAGTTCAAGACCAGCCTGGGCAACATAGTGAGATCCTGTCCTTATTTTAAAAACTAGGAATGATGGAATTTTAAAATAATAGAGGCTACATGGTAGTACTAACTTCAGAAGTGAAGTGGGCACTGTTATCAAAATGAGTGGTATCCAAAGAGCATAACCCACAGCGATGCTTTGCAGAGATGGTTAATTAGACAGGAAATCCCTAGAGTTTTCAGGCAACATACAGGATGCTCAGTTACATTTGAAATTCAAATGGGCAAGACTTTTTTGTATATGCATATTCCAAATATTAAATGGGATGGAACATACTTATATTTAAAAATTATTCATTGTTCATCTGAAGTTCAAATTTACCTGGACATCTTATATTTTTACTTGCTAAATCTGGCACCCCCACCCTAAAGGCAAGTTACATAGGCAGCCAACAAGTGCATTGCATAATTTAAAGAAACCAAAGCAGTCAGCATGGATCATTGGGCTGGGCATAGTGGCTCATGCCTATAATCCCAGCAATTTTGAAGGCCAAGGTGGGAGAGTTGCTTGAGTTCAGGAGTTTCAGACCATCCTGGGCAACATAGAGATACCTCGTCTCTATTAAGAATTTTAAAAAATGGATTATTGGAAGGCTGATGGAAGTTCTTTCAAGATAAAGTCATAGGTATGGCTGTATACTAGGAAAAGCATTAAGAAGGAAGCACAGTACCCAAAAGGCGCCCTCAGGCTCCAGAGGCAGCATATTCCATACTTGCAGTACTATTCCTACCCATTTACTGTGTGACATGAATACACCAGCTTTCATTAGGCCCAGAATGGGGAGGGGCTCAGCAGAACTCCAGACTTTACCACAAGCATCCCTGCCACTTGGGCCATATGACCCAGCAGGCCCTATTGTTTACATGTGGCATGGAGTTTATGGCAAGCCCCAGTTGGAGAATTACAAGGTAAGCCTGTAGGGTTCTGGAGCAAGTCACGCCATCTACATTGTTGACATTGCTGCTGAGTCCTGTAGAGATAGTACATCTGACCATGGGACATGATGTGACTGTGTGGCCAGAGCTGCCCATTATGAGCTGGGTTATATAAGATCCACTACAACGTAAGTTTGGGTGGGTCAGTGGAAATCCATTGTAAGATGTAATTGGCACATTTGTGATTGGACACAAGTTGGACAAGACAGCATGCCATCCAGATGTCATCCAAAATCTGAATGAGTTGCTGTTGCTTACAAATTAATAATTACTTTACAGCATTCTCCAAAAAGTGTTAGAAGACTGGCCAACAACTGGATTATTATTCATGATGATTGGCTGTACTGGAGGACAAGCTGCCACCCTCTTGTAGTGTGATGTCTATTATATTCTCAATAATAGTCCCCCGAGTGTTAGTTGCTTGTGTTTTTTCTTTTTTCTTGTAGAAATAAAGAGGAAAATAAGGCATTGCTTGCCCTCATGTCTAGTATCAGAATGGGGAAGTAGGACAAAATGGAGAAAAGACTTAACTCTCTGAAACTACTCATTTATGCTTTCTGCCTGGCCCCTGGTCCCCTTAGGTAGAGCTTATGAGACCTTCACCCTGTCCTCAGCTTAAAACCAGATCTGAAAAAATTACTTGGTATAAGAGCAAGGCTTTGTTTTCCCCAGGTGAAACAAAGTTCCCTGGGTGATCAGAAAAGGGGAATTCTATGGGCATTGGAGAGAAAGTAAGGAATGTTTAGGGCCGGGTGTCATGGCTCACGCCTGTAATCCGAGCATTTTGGGAGGCTGGGGCAGGTGGATCACTTGAGCCCAGGAGTTTGAGACCAGCCTGGGCAACATAGCAAAAACCTGCCTCTAATAAAAATAAAATAAATAAAATAAAAGGAATGTTTAAAGGATGGCACATTCCTGAGAAATGGGTTCTGAGCCCTGCACCCCCACCTCCCTTTGCTCAGGGGCAAAATGTAGTGGGTGTTTTAGGCTTCTCCTAGGTACTCACCAAGAGCTTGGACTACACTTCTCCTTTGCCCCATGGCTCATTCAGATTCTGAAAACTTGCTGCAACTACAGCAGTCTCAACCAGAGCCACTCAGGAAGGAATATTCCCCCACCTAACTTTCTAGGCCATGCCTTCTCCATAGCTTGTACCCCATAATTAGACTTCCTCATCATTTCTTTCATCTTTGAACAATAGTTATCTCCTGTAAGGGACTTACATGGGGGAGAGATAACAAACAATAGAGAATATAGCTTTGAGAATCTCTGCATATATGTGGTTGGAGCCAAGATTATGAATGAGATCATAAAGAGACATTGTGCAAAGAAAGAAGAGAAAGGGGCCAAGGATCAAACTCATATAATTGTTCCAAGAGTAATTTTCCATTGCATTACCAAAAACAAGGGAGGTGTGCAATTGAAGTGGAATGTGGGATTGTGATCCAAGTTTTAACTACTCTTGCTATGGGTAGTTTATTTCTCCTCATCTGCCTTCCATTCTCCATGCTACAACCTGAGTTTTATCTTTCAAAAACACAGATCTAGTGATGCTCTTTCTTTGCTTCTAAACTTTAGATGATGTCTCATTACTATAGAACGAAGTTCCAACTCCTGGCTGAGCATAGTGTCTCACGCCTATAATTCCAGCACTTTGGGAGGCTGAGGCGGGCGGATCGCTTGAACCCAGGAGTTCAAGACCAACCTGGGCAATATGATGAAACCCCTTCTCTACAAAAAATACAAAAATTAGCTGGGCATGGTGGCACCTGCCTGTGGTCCCAGCTACTCAGGAGGTTGAGTCAGAATGATTGCTTGAGTCTGGGAGTCAGAGGTTGCAGTGAGCCAAGATTGCATCATTGCACTCCAGCCTGGGTGACAGAGTAAGACCCTGCCTTAAACAAACAAACAGAGTTCCAACTCCTTAGCATGGTGTTCAAGGTCCTTGGTAATCCCTGTCTTAATCTGCATTTTCAGATTCAGCTGCCATCACCATTAACTCCCTGTGCCAGGCACTATGGGCTTGGCATTCACTGGATATATCATATATCCTTCTCTGTCTAACTAAAATGTCTCTATACTTCGTATTGCCAAAATGTCCTGCTTTAGCTGTGCTTCTCTGTCTGGTACATTCATGCTCAGCTTCAAATAGTTCATTCATACATGACCACTCAAATTTCAGTAGCATTTCTACACATGTCACTATTTATTCTCGTAATCAGCATTTAATGTTGAACTGCAACAAGGAACAGATATTCTCATAAGCTGAAACTTTACTATGTTTTAAAGGAAGCCCATTTCAATCTTCATGGTCAAATTTAATTATTTCCATTTCTATGCTGATATGGTTTGGCTGTGTCCCCTCCCAAATCTTATCTTGAATTGTAGTTCCCATTATCCCCACATGTTGTGGGAGGGACCGAGGGAGAGGTAATTGAATCATGGGGAAGGTTACTTCCATGCTGTTCTCAGGATAGTGAGTGAGTTCTCATGACATTTGATGGTTTTATAAGGGGCTTTTCCCCTTTGGCTCAGCACTTCTCCTTGCTGCCATCTTATGAAGAAGGACGTGTTTTCTTTCCCTTCTGCCATGATTGTAAGTTTCTTGAGGCATCACCAGCCATGCTGAACTCTGAGTCAATTAAACCTCTTTCCTTTATAAATTACCCAGTCTCTAGGGTATGTCTTTAATAGCAGCATGAGAATGGACCAATACATATGCTTTCAGAGACTGTTTACAGAGAGTTCTAGAATAGCATTGATCCTTATCTTGGTCATTCTACAATTAGTTGTCAAGAATCTGCCCCCTCTATTTGATTTTTAATCCCTAGATAACAGAGACATTGTTTTCCTCATATATGACACTTCTATCGCCTAGTGCTTAGTGCATGGCAAGTATTCACTAGGTGTTTGTTAGACTGAACTAAAAATTATCTCATATAAAAAAAACACAAGTCATAAACACACGAATTTCATGTGGCTCAGTTCACTCTAGTAATCAGCATTTAGCTAAATTTCAGTAAAGGAAGCAGAAAATTCTCCTTCTCTAATCCAAACTAATTTTTAATCATGAATTGATTTAGTTTAACCTTTGGCTCAATACCTATTCAGTAAATAGTAGTCCTTTCATTATTACAAATTGAGGTTGCTTCCATTACTACAAAAAGTAAGTCAATGAGATCTGCTTAAAATAAATTGCAGATTATGCTATAGGCAAATGTTAAAAGAAACAAACAAGCAAGCAAAGAGAGAAAAAATAAGCTTACCGATTTAGGTTCTGAGTAGGTACCAAGTCCGATGATGGGAATGCTGTTTCCATCACTTAGAGGTATGCGGTGACTTGCAGCACTGAGATCCATTGTGGAGAACCTGACTGTAGGAGTGATTCTGAACACCACAGGGAGTCTTTTTAGAAAGGTGTCCTAGGGCCTATTCCATCAAAGAAAGGAAGGCCAGAGGGAGGAGCAGAGGGAAGGGAGATTAACACACCTATTTCTCAACCTGTTTTTTTTTCCAGGTTGTCCTGGAAATCCTAAGCATGGTTGTCCTTTGAACTTCATCAGAGGCTTGTAAAACGTAACCTATTGAGAGTTTATGCTTACTTCTTCACAACAAAAGATTGAAAAAACAAAAAGAAACAAATCTGTCTGGCCTCTATCAGTTAGGATGCTTTTGTTGGCAAATAAGAGACTGACATAGTTTGGCTGCGTCCTCAACCAAATCTCATCTTGAATTGTAGCTCCCACAATCCCCAATGTCATGGGAGGGACTCAGTGGGAGGTAATTGAATCATGGGGGTGTTTTTTTCCCATGCTGCTCTTGTGATAGTGAATAAGTCTCACAAGATCTGATGGTTTTATGAAGGACAGTTCCCCTGCACATGCTCTCTTGCCTCCTGCCATGTAAGACATGCCTTTGCTCCTCTTTCACCTTCTGCCATGATTGTGAGGCCTCCCCAGCCATGTGGAACTGTGAGCCCATTAAATCTCTTTTTCTTTGTTAATTACCCAGTCTTGGTTGTCTTTATTAGCAGTGTGAGAATGAACTAATACACACATCTATCTTAAATTCTCTTAAACTATAATGGAAATTTATTGGTTCATATTCCTCAAATTCTGGCAGTAGGGCTAGCTTCAGGGGAGACTAGACATTTTCTAGGACTTCCTGGGAGATTTGGATGCAGCAGGACTGGAAAGGGATCTAGGATCTTTATCACAAGTTAAGCTTATCACCAGTTAAACTGGACTAGAGGAACAATAACATGGCCAGGACCAATTTCTCACTTCTCATTCGTCTCTCTGCCTTCCTGTTCTCTCAGGAAACTCTCTCTCTCAGTTCCCTTAACATTGAAAAGTGTTTACTGACTGTCCTTGGAGTGACAAGGTTTCCAGCTCAAACAACGAAAAAGAGATTTTACTTTCTCAGTAGCTCAAACAGTAGTCCTGAAATTGAAACTTGTTAGCCTTGATTGCCTTTCTTGGTTCATGGATCCATCGTGAAATCAATCACAGTGGCCAAAGGAAATAAAAGACATTTCCTTAAAAAAATTAGAAGCCATTTCCAAATTTGGAGCTGGGGGTTGAAGGAGGCAGGAAATTCCACCCCAACATATGGCTCCCTGGTATAATGAAGATTTTGAAGTAAAGACCCTTAGAGATCAACGGGCTCTGGAAGAGACTTTCCCCTGTCTACATAAAGATAGGATGGACCCACCAAGGAGGACAATTGTTCTTTTTCCCCTACCTGTTATCTCATGATCCATTACAAAAAAAGAAGACAAAGAATGTGTTGGGAGTCAGAAACTGATACCCCAAAATATGGCACTTTGACATACTGAACTGGAAAAGCCTCAAGGTCCCTCTGACCTCTACTCCCTACCACCTCTCCCAAAGTGAAGTTCCTTTATCTGCCTAAGATCCAGACCCACCAAAAGGAACAATTCGTTTTTCTTCCTCTCCCTGTAAGACTAAGAATGTAACCTTTCCTGAACAAACCCTTTCACAAGGTAATGTACAAGTTAATCTCTACTCCCTGATCCATTCATTCTCCCTAGTGATCTCCTCAACAGAATTCCTCTTTTCCCCTCTCCCATAACCTGATTTACCAGTAAATAAGCTTCTAAACCCTGTTGTGGGTGGGTAATCACTCTGTGGTTCTCCCTGTGTAAACATATAGTTAAATAAAATTGAATACCTTTTCTCCAATTAATCTGCCTTTTGTGAGTTGATTTTTCAGTGAAACTTCAGAAGGCAAAGAGGAAGTTTCCCTGGCCTGTACACTTCACAGGTCACTGAGTCCACAATGGTTAAAATGTCCTGAAGTTGAAACTGGCCAAATTGTCCCATATTTATGGATTTTTGAATAAACATAGAAATGTGCCCTCTGTCTTAAAACTTGAAACTTATGTCTTAACTGAGTTTTTTCCTCAGGAAACTGACCCTCAGGCAAGGGACTGAAACTCACTAGATCACCACATCCTGATACTGAGATACCAAATACCTGATTCATCAGGATTTCTTCTTTATCCCTCCCTAATTTCTTTTCGCACCTTCCCTGCTATGTAAACAGATCAATTTTGGTCAGTCAGGGAGACAGATTTGAGACTGAACTCCCACTTTCCTTGACTGCAGGACTAGATTAAAGCCTTCTTCTCTGGCAATCCTTGTTGACTTAGTGATTGGCATTCCGTGCAGGGAGCATCACAATCTTGACTGAACTCCAGGTATTTCAGCAATAAAGTTTGTCTATAATTGACTTGCCCTCCCTCCAACAGTCATTCTTGCTTATGTACACATTAACACATAACGTATATATAACATGTTCAGTATTCAGCTAGACACAGTAATTTAAACTAGGCTGTGGCAATGTGGAACATAGCAGTAATGGTCTTTAATATCATTTTTAAATTGATACAACAAATGCTTACTGTGCACCTTTGTGTGCTAAAATGTTGATTAGCATGTGTTTGTTATTTTTATTATTACTGAGTTTTTGCTATTTAGTTCTATGCATTTTAACACATATATAGATTTTTGTAACCACCACTACAATTGGGATACTGAAAAGTGCTATAAGCCAAAGAACTCTATCCTATCACACCCTCCCCTAACCCTTAATCCATAGAAATCACTGTTTTCAACCACCATAGTTTTATTTTTTGAAATTATCATAAAAATTGAATTACACAATATAAACTTTTTTGAGATTGGCTTCTTTCACTCAGCATAATGCCTTTGAAATTCATCCAGATTGTTGCTTATGTCAACAGTTTATTATTTTTTTTAGTGCTGAGTAGTAATCAGTTATATATCTGCACCGTAGTTTGTTTCTCTATTCTCCAACTGAAGGATGTTTAGTTTGTTTTCAGTTTTTGGTGATTTTGAATAGGGCTGCTCTAAACACTTATGTACAGGGTTTTGTATGAACATTAAATGTTCATTTCTCTATAGTAAATACCCAGGAGTGAGATTATCGGGTAATGTGGCAAATGTATGTTTTGCTTTATAAGAAACCACCAAACGGCCATTCCGAATGACTACCATTTTGCCTCCCCAGTAGCAATGCACATGAGTTGCAGTTGTTCTGTATCCTGACAGCACTTAGTATTTTTTATTTTAGCCTTCTAGTACATTTGTTGTGTTATTTCATTGTTATTTTAATTTGCATTTCCCATGTGGCTGATGATGTTGAACACATTTTTCTTTTTTCCTTTTTTTTGGTTTTTAGAGAGAAAGGGTTTCACTCCATCCCCCAGGCTAGGGTACAGTGGCATGATTATAGCTAGCTCACTGTAGCCTCTACCTCCTGGGCTCAAGTGATTCCTCCTGCTTTACCCACTTGAGCAGCTGGGACTATCAGTGTGTGCCACCATGCATGGCTGGTTTTTAAAAATTTTTTTGTAGAGACAGGGGTCTTACTATGTTGCTCAGGCTGGTCTTGAATTCCTGGGCTCAAATGATCCTCTTCCCATCTCAGCTTCCCAAATTGCTGGGATTACAAACATGAGTCACCACGCCTGGCCCACCTTTTCTTATGCTTATTTGCCGTCTGTATATCCTCTTGGTGAAGTGCCTATTTAAATCTCCTGCTCATTTTTAAAATTGAATTGTCTTCTTAGTGTTGAATTTTTAGATTTCTTGGTAAATTCCTGATGTGTGTTTTTTACTGGATATGTAGTTTGCAAATATTTTTTCTCAGTCTGTAGCTTGTCTTTTCATTCTCTTAACTGTATCTTTCATAGAACAAAATATTTTAATTTTGGTAATGTTTATTTGTCATTTTCTTTGTATTGTGCTTTAAGTATCTAACCCCAGGTCACAAAAATTTAATTCTGTGTTTTTTTTCTGAAAGTTATATAGTTTAATATTTTCTGTTTAGACCTATGGCTCATCGTGAATAAATTTTTGTATAATTGAAGAGATTTAGTTGTTTTGTTTTGAATAAGGATGGCTTATTGTTTCAATTACATCTGTTGAAAAATCTGTGCTTTCTTCACTGAATTTCTTTTGCACCATTGTTAAAAATAAAAGGCAAGCGAGCAGCCATATACTCTAGTAAATCATAAGACCAGCCCTGATTTTATTGATAATTGTCCAAGTTTCTAAAAACTATAATATGATAAATATTTCAACATTAAAACCATATATTTAAAAAAATAAAATAAATAAATAAAAGGCCATATATTGGTGGGTCTATGACTTTCTACTTTGTTTCATTGATTTTTTTTTTGCTTTATTTCTGTGAACTCCACATAGAAATAGGCTTCACTGATCTATTTGTCTCTTCTTTCATTGATACCACACTGTCTTGATTTTTGTAGCTTTATCATAAACCTTAAAACCATATAGTATAATTTTCAGACTTTATTTTTCTTGCCCAAAAGTATTTTAGCTATTCTTTCTCTTTTACTTTCGATATATGTTTTAGAATCAGTTTGTGTGTTTAAAATTCCTGCAGGATTATTTTGTATATTTAAATTGTTTTCTGGGTGTCTTATTTTGGGCTGCCATAATAAAATATGATAGACCGGGTGGTTTAAACAACAGCCATTTATTTTGCACAGTTCTGGAAGCTGTGAAGTCCAAGATCAAGGTGCCAGCCAATTCAGTTTCTGTTAAGAGCCAGGAAGAGAGCTTCCTGGCTTGTTGATGGCTGTCTTGCTGTGTTCTCACAGTGTGTTGGGGACTGGGGAGGTGGGGAAGAGGAGAAACAGAGAGTAAGCAAGCTCTGTGGTCTCTTTTTAAAAGGACACCAAGCCCGTCATGAGGAACCCACCCTCATGACCTGATATAAACCTAGTTACCTCTCAAAGGCCCCATCTCAAGATACCATCACACTGGGAATTCAAGTTTCAGCCTGTGAAATCTAGGGGGACACTATTCAGTCCATAGCGCTGGAGTTACCCTGGGGATTACGATTAGCATCTTAACTTTGTAACAATCAAGTTTGAATTAATACTAACCCAGTTTTAATAGTATTCAAACATTTTGATCCTTTAAAAACTCCATCAGCCTACTCCTTTATGATATTATTGTTACATAGATTTTGTCTTCAGGTTTTGACAATTTGACAGTAATGTGTCTTTCTGTGGATCTCTGGCTGTGTCCTTCTTGGAGTTCACTGAGCTTCTTGGATGTGTAGTGTCATGATTTGCACCTAATTTGGAAAGTTTCTTGGCCATTATTTCTTCAAAAAATAGTGTTTTATTTTTTTCTCTCCTCTCTTTCTTGTACTGCTATTATGTATACGTTTGTATGGCTGATGGTGTCCTACAGGTCTCTTAGGCTTAGTCATCTTTCCACTCCAGTGAGTTTTAAATGTCAGATATATTTTTCATTTCTGAAATTTCCATTTAGTTATTTTAAGTATGCTTTATTTCTTTCCTTAGACTCTCTACTTTTGCACTGGCTTCATGAGTGTTCTTGATTGTTTCCTGGGAAACTTTTGTAATCGCTGCCTTAAAGTTTTCACCATATAAGTATGTACAACATCTATGACATCTTGGCTTTGCTGTCTTTTGGTTATTGAGAACTTTTTGAATGTTAGGTTATGAGATCCTGGGTCCTGGTTTTGTTTGTTTGTTTGTTGTTATTGTTTGTTTGCTTTTGAGACAGGGTCTTGCTCTGTTTTCCAGGATGGAGTGCAGTAGTGCAGTCACAGCTCACTGCAGCCTCAATCTCCTTGGGTCCTGTTTAAATGGCATAGAATGTTAATGTTCTCATTGTAGAAGGCAGGCTTTAGAGTTGTATTCAGTGGGGGACTCCATCTTATTTGGAACTAGAACCCTCACATGTTTCTTAATTTTTAATGTATTATATACATCCTTACTAAATTGATGGAATCTAAATATTACATTGCTTTTCTCATCAGAAATGTTTCAAGTTACTCTTTATATATTAATATTTTCAAAATAAATTGACCTAAAACAGCTCCTATTTTCATTCAACAAAAAAATTGCTTGTGAATTATACTTTCTTTGTGGCCATAAATCCATAAAAATTATATTGACAGAAATAATAAGATTAAGTTTGGTATTTACTATGTACTTTACATGGCTTCTTTAATTTTCACAACAATCTTATGTGGTGAATATACTGGATCATTTAGTGTCCCCCCAAAGTCAGGTCTATCTGAAACCTCAGAATGTGACCTTATATTTAGAAATAGGATCTTTGCAGATATAATTAGATAAGTTACTATTGGATTTCAGTAAGCCCAAATCCAATGACTGGTGTTCTTATAAGATGAGAAAACAGAGACATAGAGGCTTAGGGAAGAATGACATGTGATGACAGAGACAGAAATTGAAGTAATGCATCTACAAGCCGAAGAATGCCAATGATCGCTGGCAACCACTAGAAGAAAGGAAGAGGCAAAGAAGCATTCTTCCTTAGAAACTTCAGAGGGAGCATGGCCTTGCTGATGTCTTCATTTCAAACTTCTAGCATCGAGAAATGTGCTAGAATAATTTTTGTTTGTTTGTTTTAAGCCACCTAGTTTGTGGTAATTTGTTATGGCAGCCCTTAGAAAGGAATGCAGTGGGTAATATTATTATTCCTGTTTTATAGGAAGAGTCTTGAGGTCCAAAACAGTTTTTGTCAAAAATTGCTTAGTAACTGGAAGAACTGCCAGGCTGTCTGACTCCAGAGCCTATGCTTTTAGTCACTACACTCTACTCCCTCCAATAAAGTGATAACAGGGTAGATACATTGATCAATGACAACATATTTAAAGGGACTACAAAAATGACTAATCCAAACTAGTCATAATTAAATGAAAATAAATTGAAACCTTCGTATATAATATGCTCACAGTATTAGATACTCTTCTCTCTGTAGATCTGATGGTAGAAAAATGTTTGCTTGTTACTGTATCAGAGATGAAAATTGATTTGACCTGTTTACTGGAGAGCTATTATCAATAATAAATTTTACTAAATTATTAGTATTATTTATTATTACTATTAGCATAATTAATTATTACCATTAATAAAAAGGTTAATAAAAATGTCTAGAGTATATCTTAAGTCAGATACTTTAGATGACATTTTAGCGCCATTTAGTCAATCACTTGTTGAATACATCAGTCCAGGACCATTAGAAAAATACATGTAACCAATGAAGTTAGTTTTATAAACTCCCTGCAGCAAGGAAGACTGCACTCTACATAGAAGCATGGAGTCTTAGTAAGAGGGAGATGGGAAGAGCTCATTGTAGAAACTGGGCTTATCTTAGGTGATTTGGGGAAAGATTCCAGGACACAGCTATATTTTGTGGGTGTATGTGTGCCCTCTTAACACTGGGCCAATACAGTGATTGGATATCTTAATAATTTATTTCTAGAAGGTTGAATAAATAGAGCATAGCTAGCATTGCCATTGGAGAAAAAGTAGCAGTCACCCATGTTGGCTGAAGATGGGATATTTGGTTATTCTTGTGGTTGCATAGTACCTCTGCTCAGGTATAATTACAGAATGGACTTATTTTTTTCTTATTCCATCATGGTCATGAAGAGTCCTCATGTAATATTGATATTCTATGAAATTATTTATGTTTAGCAGGGAAGAAACATCATAGCCTAGTGGTAGAAACTAGGCCACTGTCTGCTGATAGATATCAGGAAAGACAAAGTCAGACTGTGGGACAATAATCTTTGATGTTCAAGACCTTTGCATTGTCAGGATCCTGCTGATTAGATTATCTAGGAAAGGTTGCCTCTAGACTGGACAAGTGTCAGTTCCTTCTGAGCCTTCTAAGGTTGGTGCAAAAGCAACTGTGGTTTTTGCCATTACTTTTATATGGGAAAAACCACAACTACTTTTGCAGCAACCAAATATTATAGAATGAGTGTTTGCATCATGTAATGTAAAAGTGGTTACACAGTAGCACTTAAGAATCTAGACAGGATGCATTGAACAACTGTGATACAGGCACTTGCCAGAAAAAGAAATTATTATGACTTTTGTAGAAGACTGTTCATCCACTGGACTAGATAACCAAACCCAGATCTCAAAAATGCGCTAAAAAATCCAGCAGAGTCTATTCTTGTACATATGTATTTGCACCAAGGTATGCAAATACATATGTAGATATGTATGTTTGTTCTGGCATAAACTCCCTCTTGGTTAGTGAAGAGGAAATCAAGATGAAATATGTTGTTATCCATTCAGACCCTGCGTAATGAATTTAAACTGTTTGATGCGTTTCCAGTGGTAGTGTACACATAAGGAATAGTATTTTGGTAGGGCATGGACTCAAAGGACAGTATAAACATTATGTATCTTCAAAACAGAGAACTAATCATTGGACCCTAATGCTGGACATATTTTCTGAGTGAAGTTAAATAATTCCTGCAGGATACAGTGACTCTGAAGAGAGCAACTGACCATTGCAGAGAGCGGAGCGGAGTTCCTGGGTTTAGTTAATGATCTAATAAGATGTATTTTGTAATGTGGAGGTAAAGTCCAATTTTTACAAGGTTGAAGGTTGGGACTCATAATGTGAGAGACATTTCAGTACTAGAAGAAATTTGTATAAGAACATCTATCTTGACAATATTTAAAGAAACATCTATGACATATGTTTCCCCCAGCGGGGTCAAATGGATATTGATCCACCAATCAGATTTACAGCAGTAACTAAGGTCTGAGAAAAATGTATAAGAATGTTTTCTTTCTCTTGAAATGCCACAAGAAAAGACCACAGAGGCTTAGAAGTTTAAAAAAAAATGTATAGGAGAACAGACTGAGAACTCTTGACCCAGTCACTGGAGAGCTTCAACATATGCTATTAGGCAAGATCCATAGTAAAAAAAATCAAAAGGAAAAGTGTATTAAATTATCTTAAAATTAATCTTGTTCCAGAGATTTTAGTAAAAGCTATCTAGTTTACATAATCATTAGCTTCAATGGAGGGTTTTGAATCAATTGTTACTTTAGAGGATTGTCTGCTTCTGGTAGAGTTCAAAGAATTCTCAGCTTGAGGTCTACCAGTGAAATGGAAGTCCCCTGATCTAGGAAAAAGGATGTATGTCTTTTGAACTGAAAATATGAATGCAGGGATTACTATCTTAGAGTCTCACCACAGTGTTAATTAGTAACAGTACCTGATACAGTCCTGTTAGTCAAAGCTCAAGGCAAATCTTCCTTTGCTTTCTCTTCCAGAAGACAAAATCTCCAGGTTTCAGGCTCAAAGATTGTGTAAATGGTTACTTTGAAAAGGCAGCTTGTATCCGTTTAATGATAAGATGTAGTATTTAGTTATGTCAACTTGCAGTGGGGCAAAGACTAGGATCAGAGCAAAATTCTGAAATGCATGGCATGGTCTGTTATTAACTCTTAAGGGGAGAGCCTATGTCATGAAGGTAAATGGAATACTGTAGGAACTTACATGTAAGTTCCAGTGACTCTTAGAACTTTGACAATTTTTAGTTTTAGTAATCCTTTATTTTCTCTACATTTTCCTGAAGATTGGGTATAAGAACAATACAGTTTTTGAGTAAAAGGAAAAGCATTCAAAGTCTTTAATGATGGTCTGGCAAGAAAAAGTCTCAATCCATCCTAAAAATAAGTAAAGAATGACCAAAGCTTGCTGGGAAATATTGATTGGACCAATAATTGCTCTTTCATTTTATGCTAACTGGCAGATCCACTTGAGGTTAGTTAACTCAGTTATCTGAAGTCAACTGACTTTTGAGAAAGGCTTATATGCCAAGAGTGAATTCGAATCAGTAATAGCATAGCTTGCCTGACAATCTCCAGCTTTTATGTTTAAGTATGAACTACCAATGAACATCATTCAATTAGGGTTATCAAAAGGTACATTAATTATTTTTATCAAGTGTTTGATTCCTGAAGGGATCCATAGGACCCAGTTTATACTTTATTACAGGCAACAAATAAAGCAATAGCAGGAGAAGAAAATGCATTGGGAGTGTCTAGAGATCTCAGGTGAAGACTTCCTTACTTTCACACCACATGGTTGTTCTGATTATGCTTTGTCTTCAGGTATTAAAACACCAGTGACCTGTGTGAGCACCTTGGTACCAGAAAGCCCAGAGCCTGCTCAAGGAGGGTGTGTCTTACAGTGAGCTAGTTGCATAGACATATTCCAATATGTGACCAGACTTAGTCCCTCAAGCTCCACCGAAACCAGTGGAAATTATAAATGCAATTATTAATACTAAATATTGCTGACAGGCTGGTACATGCTACCCTGAAAACAACTCACAGATCCATGGTTATGTAATATCATTTACCTTTAATTAATACATATTTAGTTAATACATTCCCTAGTATTGACAAGAGTCGATGTCATTCTCTAGGCAGTTCTGGAGATAAGCATTTGTCCTTATCTCCAAATAAGAAGGTCAATAGAGGTTAACCCCTGCCATACAAAGGGAATATACAAAGGTCTGTATAGGGCACTGACAATTTCCTAATACAGGTTAAATAATCAAGGCATTTTTCTTGCTTGAGTAGGGAAGGAGAGTTGTTGGGTCCAAGGTACTAAAGCTGTGGATAGTTATATATGAAGGAGAGACAAACAATGATGCCATAGTCTATCTCCAAGGCATTTAATTTATCCCATAAAGTGCATTGTAATTGTTTACAATTGACAAGAATATTTACATCTAAAATACTGGGAAAAAAGTCTTTTAATAGTTATTTTGGCAGTTGTTATTATTATATAACTATGATTAATAACTATTATTATATAACTATTATATACCTATTTAAACATAGGTATATTTCTTTTAACCTGAAAAGTACAAAACTGATGGGTACATATTTGTATTAATGTATTTTACTTATACATAATTAATCTGGAAAGGTGAACTTTTGCTGTGATTTATCAAGCTACCCGTCTTTCATCTTAAATTTTGCACAATAGTTTCAAATTGGTGAAAATTTGGAGAATGACAAATCTGATTATTTTTACTTATTTTTAAAATAAATCTTTGTGGTACCTAGGGAACCCTTCGAGAAATTTAATGATAGCTTAGTCATAAAAAGACATCTTCACTGAAAAGATTTTCCAAGCTGAGACATCTGTGAGTACTCACCAGACTCCAGCGTATAGTGATGCAATGCTGTGATTTACAGAGGAAAGACCGAGTGCAGCAGAAGAGTTCAGCCAAGCATTAGGGGTCAGAGAGATGGCATCCCAGGCTAAGCTTCCCAGCATCTGTATTCACACGCAGCACACCAAGTTTCCAGATTGAACCGCCAAGATCTGTGTGAGGAATACATTAGCTTAGGCTACAACTCAAAACCAAGCTTCCCAGCAGGAATTTTTCTCTCTTGAGCCACATAATCAAGCCTAGCTAACTCAGCTGGTTTGACCTGTTGCACATCATCAGTAAAGAAACTGACCTTGGGGGTGCGGGATCACCAGGGGGAGCTTTACCCTTTAACCAGCATATCATAAAACTGCCCTTATCTTGTCTGAGTGTCAAAATGTCATCCAGGAGACCTAGAGACAAAGAGTTTACAGGTGGAAAGTCCAGCTGTAAATTAACTGCATTGTCCATATCCTCTTATTTTTCTGAATTTGGGGCTTAAATTTGGGGAATGCAAAATGAAGAGTTTTCAGAGAAGAGGAGGTATAAAAACATGAGACAGTCTCTAGAGGCAGGTAATAGTTACCCAAATGTTTGTTCTCTCCAGGCAATATTTGAAAACACACCATAACAAGAAACAATAATTAGTAGAAACTTTTAATTCTTTTAAGCTGTGAGGGTTTTTTTGTTTTGTTTTGTTAAAATAATTTAAAAGCATGTCCAAAGGAATGAGGGCTAATAGAATATTATAGTGCTAAAAAAGGTACATCTGTGAGAAAAAATGACTGAGTCATTTTACAGAAAAACACAAATTATAATTTTCTCCTTTTGGTTCACTATTCACGTAACAAATTGTAGTAAATAATTTACTAATACTGCTCTATGTGCAAGAATTTAGACATAGAGAGATAAATACACAAACAGATGATAAACATAAAGATTTTAACTTTAGTCTTAATATATAATTTTATAAATATATTAAACAAAATAATGCTTATTATATTGAATTTACCATTTTAATTTTCTGCAACAATTTCCTGAATAGAGAAATCATTTTTTGTACCACCTATATATTTATATATTTTACATATTTTTGTATCTATTATACCATTTACATTAATTGCCATATTTAACAAAAATAATTCTATTGCCTTTAGATAGAAAAGAAAATTAAAGAACATGAAGCCAAGAATTGCCTTTTTTTTCAGTGAATACGCATGTTAGATTATTAACTCAAATATAAAGTGGCAAAAATAAATATATGACATTATTCTAAAAGCATTTACACAAACTTTTAATTTAGCCATTTTAAGAAGTAATGGCAAATTAAAACTATGTTTAGTGACTAAATTTCTGTATCTTTTTCTTACTAATATACTTTTTGGGCATTCAGTGATAACTTATTAATGAGCTAAATTTAACTTTTATCTAAGGTACCAAGCTAATTAAGGATCTGGAAATTACAATTTTAGCCAGCACATTAAGCCTTTATAATTTGTAGCAGTATAAAAATGTCACAATATTAAACCCTTTAAAAAGACATCTGCTATGACCATTTCAATTAATTGAATACGATTTTGTATTTTTGTCATATTTACTTGACCAACGAAAGGAATTTTGGAAATTTTAATCTTGAGAAACTTCAGTCTTGCACAAATGAAAATATTGTGCTAACAAAATTCTCATATGACAAAACCTGGGGAAAGACAGTGTTATCTCTCAATCAATATTATTTGTCTCTAAACCAATATTAACTCTAGTTTGTTGGAGTTAATATTGACTCAATCTGAGATTTACCTTTTTAACCAAGAATATTACATAAACCTTTAAAATATAATTTATAAACATCTGCATTAATAACTAAATTTGACTCTAAATTATGCCAAAAGCTCTGTATAGTCAACTTTTTAAATCTTGTAACCCTAACCAATGACATTAGCTTAACTCACAATTAAATCTCTCATTATTTCCTTTAAACTCCAAGCTTTTAGCAAGATGAAATTGTAAAAGACAACACATTTTACAAGTTTAATGTTTTTGCTTTTCCTTTTAATTAGGATAGGACTGTTAATTTTCCCGTAATGTCTTTGTTTAAAATATTGACAGGTCTCTTTGTTGAAAAAAATTATTAAATTTCCCTTAAAAATTCATTAATTTGTAAATCCTTCTCATGATTAAGCTAATTATTTTTTTCACCAAGTTTTTGTATCTTCTGATCTTATCAAAATATAATTGCTAGTGGTCATGACAGATCTGAATTCTTCAATATACCTTTTCCTGTCCATTCTGGGGTTTGAGAAGTCTTCTATTAATATTAATATATGGCATAGGGATATGAATATGATCAAGGTTTAAAATGCACACACCAGTCAAAATCTGGAGAGGAAAAGGAAAGATACAAACAAGAAGGAGGGGAATAGGAGTCAGACGGAGACACACGTGAACCTGCTTTAAGTTCTCAAACTTATCAGTGGACTTAAAGGGTATTTTAGAGAGGTAGTTTTAAAGGGCAAATTGCACTTGGAAGCCTCCTCATCTTAATTAAAGAAAGCAGACCAGGTGGGGCTGGGAGCAAAAAAGAAAAAAGAAAAAGTAGACCATTGGACAGTTAAAATTGTGTTTTGCTTTCCTAAAGGGCATCTCAAATGAACAATCTTATTTATACCAAAGATTTCTAAAAGTGGCCACTATAATCCCGGGTTGTCTTTGTAAACTGTGCCAGTTGGAAGGATAGGTCCATGAACATCATGCTGTATACTATAAATAATACCATTTTTATTTGTCACTTAAAATCGATAAAGATCCATTTTACCCTTGACCTAAAAAAAAGAAAGAAAAGAAAAAGAAGGAATGATAGTTGCATGAATTGACTCTGAAACAAGACAGCATGAAGAAAGGTAGGTATTTGGCCTAAAGGAGGCAGAATTTTAGAGTCAGGAGACTTCCGAGACTGATTAGAGTGGGGCTGGTGAAACTACATGTCTCCCAAACCTGGCCAAAGACAAGTCATCACCAGTGAAGCCTCTGGGGAAATAAAACAAAATAAAGACATTTTCAGAGATACAAAGACAAGATTGAGGAAACAATCCTTGAAGAGTTTTGGAAAAGAGATCTGAGGCAAAGTTTATATAAAGGGCACTAGTCTAATGAGACCCTTGGAACTCTTCAGCCCTGGGCCACCTGGAGGATGGACTCACTGGGCCTATGCTCATCCTCTCTCCATAGACTTTTCCTGTTACAGAAAAATGAGACTCAAGATACTGGATAATCACCCAGAAAAACAGAAGCAAGTTTTAGAAGACTGGACATCTTTATCTCAAACAACAATAAACTTATGACCAGACAACCCAAAAAGTTCTGGAGATGTTATTTCTAGGAACACAAGATAAATCTTACATTGAATGGCTTCAATCAAATAATCTGAGGTCAGATTCAGATTCAACTCAACATACACATTGCAATGTCAGGCAGGTGGTGGGGGGTACTAGCAGATAAAGACAAAAAGGATCTCAGATAATGCATGTACATTCTTACTGGGTTAAAGATCTGTTTATAGCAGAGAGAGTCTCAGGTTTATCTTGATAAGGTCCTCCACATCTATTAACACTCACACACTATCAAAGACTACCATAAATACATCTTGTAGTTAAGGTTACGTTTATTGAGCTTGGTGCAGCAAGGGAGACCGTACTCTGGGGAAACAGGGAGTGTCTTGGCAACAGGGAGTGAAAAGATGCTCCTTGTAGAATTTAGCCTTTACATTAAGGTTATTTTTATTTTATATTTTTTAAAAATTTGAGACAGGGTCTCACTCTGTCACCCAGGCTGGAGTGCTCACTGCAGCCTTGACTTCTCTGGGTTCGGGTGATCCTCCCACCTCAGCCTCCTGAGTAGCCGGTACTACAGGCGCATGCCACCACACCTGGCTAATATTTGAGGTCTTTTTTATAGAGATGAGATCACACTATGTTGTCCGGGCTAGTCTCAAACTCCTGGGCTCAAGCGATCTTCCTGCCTCGGCTTCCCAAAGTGCTGGGATTACAGACATGAGCCACCAGGCCTGGCCTAAGGTTATTTCTGAGAGAGTTCAAGAATCAGAGGTTTGATCAGGATTGAGCACTGGCAGAAAGTGGGGACAATCCAATGATTTAGTATCATAATTTTTATCGATGAAACAAGAGGAATGAAAAGGCTTAAAACTGTCAGTGGAGACGCAGCAGCAACTCATTTATACCAGGTGAGGGGTATGTTTTGATTGTGTGTGTGTGTGTGTGTGTGTGTGTGTGTGTGTGTGTATGTGGTTGCATAGTGCCTTAGTTTCTTTTTTCCTTTTTTCCAACTGAATTAGTCTCTTTTTATTCTCTTGGCAATCTCTTCCAGAGTCATTACTTCCGTTTTAGGCGATAAAATGGATAAGGCTCCACTTCCAATGCTGTCACTGCTATGAGCGTGGTCTTTCTCTTTACTGCAACTAGGAATTAAAACTTTCTATTCTTGTTTTTTAGACCAGGCATGGTGGCTCATGCCTGTAATCCCAACACTTTGGGAAGCCAAAGCAGGAGGATTGCTTGAGTCCAAGAGTTCGAGTCCAGACTTGGCAACATAGGGAGACCCCTGTCTCTACAATAAATAAAAAAAGATTCTTGTTTTTTATATTCTAGCCCCAGAAGTAGTTTCCACTGTAGAAGTTATCTGATGACAGTATTATGCTTTCTTGTAGTGGCCTACAGCCAGGTGTCTTCAGGAAGAAGCAGCTGCAGGATGGATTTAGTTTAAATATTAACATGTGTTAAACTAAGAGGTATTCTCTCAAATGAGTTTAAATGCATTTTATTTTTAGACAACCTACATAACGTGTAATTTCCTTAAAAACAATACCTGTGCTTCAAATACATCAAAATAAATGAAAAGCTCAAGATGACTTCAGTTCCATTTGTCTTAAGTCCTGGTGCTGTGTGGATGACAAGCACCAACCAATTATGATGACAGGTGATAGATCCAAAGTAATTGCCAAATTAGTTAACATTTTTCCATTTCTAAACCATCCCTAAAGAAAATCATATATGGGGGTCACACCACCCTCAGGGTAATCCAGTAGAGCAACCATGTCATCTGGAATCATGTGTCACCAGTAAAGAACTGGTAGTTTTTGAAATTAGCAAGGATACGTTTGATTTGTTCTGCAGCCCCTGCCATAAAAGTTTTACTTTATCTGGCCTCTGTTCAAGTTTGCCTTTGATTAATTTCATGTACTTTTTTTTTTTTTGTCTTGAGATGGAATCTCACTTTGTCACCCAGGCTGGAATGCAGTGGAACCATCTCAGCTCACTGTAACCTCTGCCTCCCGGGTTCAAGCAATTCTCCTGCCTCAGCCTCCCAAGTAGCTGGGACTACAGGCCCCACCACCACATCTGGCTAATTTTTGTATTTTTAGTAAAGATGGGGTTTCACCATATTGGCCAGGCTGGTCTCGAACTCCTGACCTTGTGATCCGCCCACCTTAGCCTCCCAAAGTGCTGGGATTACAGGCATGAGCCACTGTGCCCAGCCTATAGTTTCTTTCTTTTTTTTTTTTTCTTTTTAGAGATAGGGTCTCGCTCTGTCACCCAGGCTAGAGTGCAGTGGTGCAATCATAGCTCACTACAACCTTGGACTCCTGGGCTCAAGTGAGCCTCCTGCCTCGGCTAGGACCACAGGCACACACCACCATGCTGGATAACATTTTAAAGGGTCTTGCTTGTTGCCCAGGGTGGTCTTGAACTCCTGGGCTTGAGCAATCCTCCTGCCTCAGTCTCCCAAATTGTGAGGATTATAGGAGCGAGCCGCTGTGTCTGGCCCAGGATTCTTTAATTCTTTAGTACCCTTTACTAGTTGATAAAAATCTTCTTTTTGAATTTACATGTTGACTTGTAGATTTTGTCTAGTAGCAAAGATAACCCCAAAATGATATTGTATTACCCTATGGGGCAATAATCAGTTTTATATCCAACCCAGCAATTTTTTTTCTAAATTTTTGAAAGGCCATTCCTGATGGATTACTTAAACCCTTGTTACTAGAATCCTCTTGGAACTAGCTTTACCCTCTCTTCTTTTCTCTTCTTATTGATAAGTTAAACAGACTTTTGGCATCTTTTCATATTATATATATACTTTTGGAGACAGGATCTTGCTCTGTTGCCCAGGCTGGTGTGCAGTGGCACAATCATGGCTCACTGCAGCCTTGACCTTCTGGACTCAAGTGATCATCCCACCTCGACCTTCTGAGTAGCTGAGAGTAGTATAGGTCTGCACCACTATATCTGGCTAATTTTTGTATTTTTTTTTTTTTTTTTTTTTGTAGAGATGAGGTTTTATCATGTTGCCCAGGTCTCAAATTCCTGGGCTGAAGAGATCCTCCTGCCTTGGTTTCCCAAAATACTTGGATTGAACGCGTGAGCCACTGGGCCTGGCTTCTTTGACCAGTCATATTTTCAATGCTTTGAAAATTATAGCTTGACAGAGGAGGGGTGTCAAGGCATAAGTTCCCCTTGGTCCTCCGAAGGTTTGCTGAAAAAAAATCACTGGCAATATGCATATTCATAGGAGAAAAGGCACACGAATTTATTTAATGCACATACATGGGAAGAATCACAGAGTGATTACCCATCTCCCAATGGGGTGCAGAAGCTTATACACCATCCTGGCAAAACAAATTACAGGAGGGCAGAGAAGAGGAATTCTGTTGATAAAATTACCAGGGAGAATGAATGGATCAGGGAGCAGAGATTAACTTGTACAGTATCTTGTGAAAGTGTCTGTTCAGGTGGGGTTACCCTATTGGTTTTATGCGGAGAAGAGGAAAAAGTGGTGGGTCTGGATGTCAGACAGATAAAGGCTTTGGGAGAGACGGCAGGGGCCGTAGTGGGTAGGGGGGCAGGTCAGAGAGATCTTGAGGCTTCTCCAGTTCAGCATGTCAAAGAACCGTATCTTGGGTTACTGGTTTCTGAGCCCCAGCAACAGGATAATTGTGGAGAGTAGCCTTGTCCTTAAATAAGGTACCAAACTTTCAGGGTGAGGATAAATTCATTGTCAGCAATGCAGCCCAGGTGGTGACTCATTATGTAACTCAGGTCTCTGAACATTGGAAGGACTCCCTTAGCCACTTTGCTTAAGATTTTATAAGAGATCGCTGGAAACAGCAAGATTATGATGGCAGAAGAGTTTCTGAATTTCCCCAAATGTCTTTATATAAGAGAGAGGGGAACTAGGAAGGCAGAAGAAAAAAGACGACAGACATCTTCAATACAACTGGGAACAAAGAAACCTCCATGAAACCCTAAACACCAACAGGTAGGGTTAAATGGCCTCAAAAAAAGCAGGCTCCTATAGAACTCACTTAGATTTAAAGTCTATATAAATCTATGCAGAAGTAGTGGATGGAAGGGACAGAGGAATTCTGATCTCCAGAGAAACCTGGAACACAGATATTCCCCACAAACTCTTTTTTTCTTTCTTTCTTTTTTTTATTTGGAGACAGAGTCTAGCTCTGTTGACCAGGCTGGAGTGTAGTGGTGCAATCTTCGCTCACTGCAACCTCCACCTCCTGGTTTCAAGCGATTCTCCTGATTCAGCCTCCCGAGTAGCTGGGATTACAGGTGCACGCCATGATGCCTGGCTAATTTTTGTGTTATTGTTTTGTTTTTATATATATATAGAGAGATGGGATTTGGCCATGTTGGCCAAGCTGGTCTCGAACTCCTGGCCTCGTGTGATTTGCCTGCCTCTGTGAGCTGGGATTACATGCGTGAGCCACTGTACCTGCCCCCACCCCCCACCCCAAACTCTTGAGTCATCAAAGAGAAGAAATATGTCTGAGTGGAATCCTCGGACAGCAGATGTGAATGAAAGTATCAGTGAGCAAAATCAGTGTGCAAAAATCACAAGCATTCCTATACACCAATAACAGACAAACAGAGCCAAATCATGAGTGAACTCCCATTCACAATTGCTACAAAGAGAATAAAATACCCAGGAACCAAACTTACAAGAGATGTGAAGGACCTCTTCAAGGAGAACTACAAACCACTGCTCAACAAAATAAAAGAGGACACAAACAAATGGAAGAACATTCCGTGCTCATGGTTAGGAAGAATGAACATCGTGAAAATGGCCATACTGCCCAAGGTAATTTATAGATTCAATGCCATCCCCATCAAGCTACCAATGACTCTCTTCACAGAATTGGAAAAAACTACTTTAAAGTTCATATGGAATCAAAAAAGAGCCCGCATTGCCAAGTCAATCCTAAGCCAAAAGAACAAAGCTGGAGGCATCACGCTACCTGACTTCAAGCTATACTACAAGGCTACAGTAACCAAAACAGCATGGTACTGGTACCAAAACAGAGAGATAGACCAATGGAACAGAACAGAGCCCTCAGAAATAATACCACACATCTACAACCATCTGATCTTTGACAAACCTGACAAAAACAAGAAATGAGGAAATTTAATTTAATTTAATAAATGGTGCTGGGAAAACTGACTAGCCATATGTAGAAAGCTGAAACTGGATCCCTTCCCTATACCTTATACAAAAATTAATTCAAGATGGATTAAAGACTTAAATGTTAGACCTAAAATCATAAAAATCCTAGAAGAAAACCTAGGCAATACCATTCAGGACATAGGTATGGGCAAGGACTTCATGACTAAAACACCAAAAGCAATGGCAACAAAAGCCAAAATAGACAAATGGGATCTAATTAAACTAAAGAGCTTCTGCACAGCAAAAGAAACTACCATCAGAGTGAATAGGCAACCTACAGAATGGGAGAAAATTTTTACCATCTACCCATCTGACAAAGGGCTAATATCCAGAATCTACAAAGAACTTAAACAAATTTACAAGAAAAAATCAAACAACCCCATCAAAAAGTGGGCGAAGGATAGGAACAGACACTTCTCAAAAGAAGACATTTATGCAGCCAACAGACACATGAAAAAATGCTCATCATCACTGGCCATCAGAGAAATGCAAATCAAAACCACAATGAGATACCAGCTCACACCAGTTAGAATGGCGATCATTAAAAAGTCAGGAAACAACAGGTGCTGGAGAGGATGTGGAGAAATAGGAACACTTTTACACTGTTGGTGGGGCTGTAAACTAGTTCAACCATTGTGGAAGACAGTGTGGCCATTCCTCAAGGATCTAGAACTAGAAATACCATTTGACCCAGCCATCCCATTACTGGGTATATACCCAAAGGATTATAAATCATGCTGCTATAAAGACATATGCACACGTATATTTATTGCGGCACTATTCACAATAGCAAAGACTTGGAACCAACCCAAATGTCCATCAATGATAGACTGGATTAAGAAAATGTGGCACATATACACCATGGAATACTATGCAGCCATGAAAAAGGATGAGTTCGCATCCTTTGTAGGGACATGGATGAAGCTGGAAACCATCATTCTGAGCAAACTATCGCAAGGACAGAAAACCAAACACTGCATGTTCTCACTCATTGGTGGGAATTGAGCAATGAGAACACTTGGACACAGGGCAGTGAACATCACACACCAGGGCCTGTCATGGGGTGGGGGGAGGGGGGAGGGATAGCATTAGGAGATATAGCTAATGTAAATGACAAGTTAATGGGTGCAGCACACCAACATGGCTCATGTATACATATGTAACAAACCCGCACGTTGTGCACATGTACCCTAGAAATTAAAGTATAATTTTAAAAAGTCAGCAAATAATAACAGGCAATTTATAGAAAGTAACTGCAAATGGCTCCTTAAACCTATTTAAACATGACCAAGTTCACTCATAAGAGAAAAGCAAATTAAACTAAATGAGTTACTGTTTTTCTACCTCTCAGCTAACGAGAACACATTGTACTAGTGGAATTGTGAAATGGCAGAACTGTCTAGGGAGTACAGTTTGGCAATATGTAACCAAAATTTAAAGTGCATATACCCTTTGATCTAATGATTCTAATTTCAGAAAGTTATCCTATAAAAATATTCACGTTCGAAATGACACAATTGCATGGTTATTTATTGGACATTGCTTACAATCCCAAAATATGGAAAATAATTAAAATGTCCATCAATAGGTGAAATAAATTAATGTGCTGCCTGCAAGATACCATGCATCTCTAGAAAAGAAAGAGGCAGCTTTTCATGTATAGATATGGAAGGATCTCCAACATATGTCAAGTATGAAAAAGTAGAATAAGCATAGAATACATGCTCACTTTGTTGCCCAGGCTGCCTTGCTCCTTCAACAAAGATCATTTGACTATATATTGTGGGTCTATTTTTGGGCTGTGCTTTTTGTTTCATTGAATTATTGAACTATTTGCCTGTTATTTTCACCAATATCACATTGTGACTGTACTGATTACCCATGGACTTTTTTTTTTTTTTTTTGAGACAGAGTCTCACTCTGCTGCCCAGCCTGCAGTGCGGTGGTGCAATCTCAGCTCACTGCAACCTCCACCTCCCAGGTTCAAGTGATTCTCATGACTCAGCCTCACAAGTAGCTGGGATTACGAGTGTGTGCCACCACACCCACCTAATTTTTGTATTTTTTTAGTAGAGATGGGGTTTCACGATGTTGGCCAGGCTGGTCTCGAACTCCTAACCTCAAATAATACCATTAAAAAAAAAAGATTTATATGGAGTTCTTTACATAGACTATCTTTAGAAAAAATACAGAAGAAACTGGTAGTAGTGGTTGCCTTTGAGAAGGGTAACTTTCACAAATATAATTAATATTGAAATATGAATTTATGAATTCAATTTAGAGAAAAATGAGTATACA
Organism: Homo sapiens; assembly: GCF_000001405.40. Classification (NCBI taxonomy): domain Eukaryota; kingdom Metazoa; phylum Chordata; class Mammalia; order Primates; family Hominidae; genus Homo; species Homo sapiens. Next base: position 138,054,494 of record NC_000007.14, on the reverse strand, counting down.
TAGAAAAATCTGGAAGAATATAAACAAATAACATTACAGGGAATTTTCACTTTTAAGTTACATATTCCTGTAATGTTTAATAGTAGATAGATGGTAATTTTTTAAAAATATGATGGAGATAAAAGAGAGCAAAAATTGGCTGGGTGCAGTGGCTCACACCTGTAATCCCAGCATTTTGGGAGGCTGAAGCATGTGGATCACCTGAGGTCAGGAGTTCAAGACCAGCCTGGACAACATGGTGAAACCCTGTCTCTACTAAAAATACAAAAATTAGGTGGATATGGTGGCAGGCACCTGTAATCCCAGCTACTCAGGAGGCTGAGGCAAGGAGAATCACTTGAACCCAGGAGGCGCAGGTTGCAGTGAGCACAATTGCACTCCAACCTGGGTGACAGAGCAAGACTCCATCTCAAAAAAAAAAAAAAAAACACACAAAAAACAAAAAGTTAGCATGAGCTTTCATTCAGAGATATGGGTAATAGGACTTACTGTGACAGATACTAAAACTACAAATCATCTAACAAATGTAATCTGGCTTCATGTGTGACATTATTCTATGCAAATGGTACTCTCTGATGTACTCTGTTTCACCTTATAGGAATTCAAAAGCACTTGGCCATACATAAGTTCCATTAAAGTGGGTAAAAGTTTATTTCATCTGATGCTGCTATTATCTAAATCTTTAGCACAACAAAAATGCAATGAGGTCCTAATGAGTTATTTCAGCTATCGTTTTGATTACAGATATTAACAGGTGTTTTAGGAAATTTAAAAATATCCTTTCTGTTTAAGAAAAGTTGTCCAACTTCTTTCTCTGTCTATCAAAATACAAAAGTGGCTCCTAAGGACGCTAGAGGAAGACCATGACACTCTCAGTAATGGTAGCTGTTTTCTTAAGCACAGGACAGCCACCCAGCTTCCCTGTAAATGAATGCCAGGCATTTCTTGATTTTGAGTTGGGTCTGTTGTTTTGCATCCTCAAGTTAACATCAGTCCACAGATCAAAACATAAATCCTATATAGTGGCCTGTCTTTGTATTTTCCAGAATCCAATTGGGTTTGGTGCCATCCCAGAAGGTTTTGTGTATTTGAAGTCATTTCTCATATGAAAGACCAGGGTTCTGAGGCAATATTGGGATTGGAGTGAGGGCTTTGAGGGCTCATCAAGTGTGCTGGCAATACCCGGAACAGATATTTCTTGGCGTGGATCCATCTATGTTATCCAATACAGTAGCCACTGGCCATGAAATTTGGCAAGACAAATTGAGATGTGCTGCAAGAATAAAATACAGACTGGATTTTGAAGATTGGGGGAATAGAAGGTAAAATATCTCACTAACAATGTTTTATGTTGACTACATGTTGAAAATAATTTTGTGATGTATTGGGCTAAACAAAATATATTAATAAAATTAATTTCATCTGTTTCAAAAAAAAAAAGTATCAGTGAGTTGGAAGGAGGATCCAATATGTAGGTGGGCACCAAAAGTCCATGAGTACTCTCTAAGAGGCTGTAGGAGATCAGCAAGTCCTGAGGCAGCCTCATTCAAGGAACTCGGAAATACCCAGGAAAAACTCATTTAAATTGCACAGAAGCATATTTTATGGAAAAGGCTGCCTAGAGCACAACAGAAAATAAGAGCGTACTTAGGAGCGGAAAGGGAGAGTGAGAGAGAAAAATGTTTCAACTGCTGGTGGAATGGGTCCAGAGGAAGCAGATCTCAAAATTGTGGAAATGGCTTTATGGGGAGCCCACAAGAATGAATGTCTTGTCATTCTTTAAATGAGAAGACACATCTCATTTAAAGATGAACAACAGAAAAGAATTACATTCAAGCCCCATATAAATATGCTGAAAGGAAAACAAGGCAAGATGAAAAGGAAGTGAATCACATACAACAAATGGAAAAGTCACATTAGAAAAAAATTTAGAAAATTAGCACAGAGCCGAGCACGGTGGCTCATGCCTGTAATCTCAGCACTTTTGGGAGGCAACCCAGGGGTTCGAGACCAGCCTGGGCAACATGGTGAAACTTGGTCTCTACAAAAGATACAGAAATTAGCCAGGTGTGGTGATGGGCACCTGTAGTTCCAGCTATTTGGGAGGCTGAGGTGGGAGAATTGCTTGAGCCCAGTAGGTCGAGGTTGTAGTGAGCTGTGATTGTGCCACTGCCCTCATCCTAGGCAACAGAGTGAGAAACTGTCTCTAAGTAAATAAATAAATAAACTAAAAGATTGTGTTTCAAATTTTATGTCTTTTAAAACTTGTTTTTGATTATTTATAGTTTCTCTCTGTGAACCACCTGCTCACCAAAACGTGTTGAGAGGTGAAGCCAGCCAGACTTCCTGGGTCGAGTGGGGACTTGGAGAACTTTTCTGTCTAGCTAGAGGATTGTAAATGCACCAATCAGCACTCTGTAAAAATGCACCAGTCAGCACTCTGTGTCTAGCTAGAGGATTGTAAATGAACCAATCAGCACTCTGTAAAAATGCACCAATCAGTGCTCTGTGTCTAGCTAAAGGATTGTAAACGCACCAATCAGTACTCTGTAAAAACGCACCAATCAGCACTCTGTGTCTAGTTAAAGGCTTGTAAACGCACCAATCAGCACTCTGTAAAATGGACCAATCAGCACTCTGTAAAATGGACCAATCAGCAGGACGTGGGCAGGGCCAAATAAGGGAATAAAAGCTGGCCACCCGAGCCAGCAACAGCAATCCACCTGGGTCCCCTTCCACACTGTGGAAGCTTTGTTCTTTTGCTCCTCACAATAAATCTTGCTGCTGCTCACTCTTTGGGTCTGCACTACCTTTATGAGCTGTAACACTCACCATGAGGGTCTGTGGCTTCATTCCTGAAGTCAGCGAGACCACGAACCCACTGGAAGGAAGAAATTCTGGACACATCTGAACATCTGAAGGAACAAACTCTGGACACACCATCTTTAAGAACTGTAACACTCACCACGAGGGTCCGTGGCTTCATTCTTGAAGTCAGCGAGAACAAGAACCCACCAGAAGGAACCAATTCTGGACACAGTATGTCTACACAAAGACTTGTACACTGATGTTCGTAACAGATTTCTTTGTGAGTCCCAAACTGGAAGCAGCACAAAAGTCCATCAACAGGTCAATGGAGAAACAAACTGTGGCATATACAAGCAAGCAAATGCTACCAGGGAGTAAGAAGGAATATAAACTACTTGTATGTGCCACAACGTGGAGGAATCTCAAAATCATTAGGCTGAGTGATAAAGACAGGCACAAAACATACATAAATTGAAATTCTATTTATTTATTTATTTAAAGTAGAGGTCTCACTTTGTTGCCCAGGCTGCCTTGCTTCTTCAACAAAGACCACTATATTTGTGGGTCTATTTTTGGGCTACGCATTTTGTTTTATTGAACTATTTGCCTGTTATTTTCACCAATATCACATTGTCACTGTACTGATTACCCATGGCTTTTTTTTTTTTTTTTTTTTTTTTGAGACAGAGTCACACTCTGTTGCCCTGGCTGCAGTGCGGTGGTGCAGTCTCAGCTCACTGCAACCTCCACCTCCCAGGTTCAAGTGATTCTCATGCCTCAGCCTCACAAGTAGCTGGGATTACGAGCATGTGGCACCACACCCACCTAATTTTTGTATTTTTTTAGTAGAGATGGGGTTTCACCATGTTGGCCAGGCTGGTCTCGAACTCCTGACCTCAAGTGATCCGCCCACCTCGGCCTCCCAAAGTGCTGGGAGTACAGGCGTGAGCCACCAAGCCCAGCCTCCACGGACTTTTGATATGTAGCAATCTCTTTGGTTTTGGCTTACAAAAGGATTGCTACAATCCTTACAAAAGAGGATTGAATTAACCCTCTGCCTTTGATTTTTGTAAGGTACAGGTAGTTTAGAGATCAGACAAAAATTGTTAGATTTTATATCATATATCACATGAATTAGTGATTTTAGTAGGTATGTAGTGGTATCTCAATGTTTAAATTTGAAATTCTTTAATGACATACGATGTTGAGCATCTTTTCATATGCTTATTTACCATCTGTGTATCTTTTTTGGTGAGGTGTCTATTCAGATCTTTTGCCCATTTTAAAACTGGGTTGTTTTCTTATTGTTTAGTTTAAGAGTTCTTCATATATTTTAGATACCAGTCCTTTATCAGATATGTTTTGCAAATATTTTCTGCCAGTTTGTGTTTTTTCAGTCTCTTAACAGTATCTTTCTTGAAGCAGAAGTTTTAAATTTTACTGAAGTTCTACTTATTAATTTTTTCCTTTCATGGGCCATGCTTTTGGTGTTGTATCAAAAAATTCACTGCCAAACCCAAGGTCACCTAGATTTTCTCTTATTTTATAATCTAGAAGTTTTATAATTTTGTGTTTTACATTTATAGTTCTATGATCCATTTTGAGTTAATTTTTATGAAAGGTGTAAAGTCCATGTTCAGATCCAGTTTTGTTTTGTTTTGTTTTGTTTGTTTTGTTTTAAGAGATAAGGTTTCACCCTGTTACCCAGGCTAGAGTTCAGTGGCATGAACTTAGCTCACTGCAGCTTCCAACTCCTGGGCTCAAGTGATCCTTCCACCTCAGGCTCTTGAGTAACTAGGGCTATAGTACTTTTTGTTTGTTTGTTTTTGGATTAGTACTTTTGGTTTGTTTGTTTGTTTGTTTTTGGATGTCTGGTTGTTCTAGCACCAATAATTGAAAAGACTATCTTTTCCCCATTGAAATGCCTTTGCTCCCTTATAAAAGATCAGTTGACTGTATTTATATAGATCTGTTTCTGGTCTGTTGATTCTGTTCTATTGATCTATTTGTTTTTTCACCAATACCACACTGTCTTCATTACAATAGCTTTATAGTAAATCCTGAAGTTAGATAATGTCAGTTGGCTATTCTAGGTCTTCAGCTTTTTATATAAACTTGAGGATTAGTTTGTCGATTTTCACAAAATGAGTTGAGATTTTGATTGAGATTGTGTTGAATATATAAAGTTGGGAGGAACTTACATTTTGACATTATTGAGTCTTCCTATTCATGTGCATGGAATATATCTCCATTTATTTAAATCTCCTTCAATTTTTCTTTATTGAGTTTAGGAAATTTTGAAACTGACCCAATTGTCCCACAGAACTGATGTTCATGCTTTCTTTTGAATAAACGCAGAAACTGATCCTCTCAGTTTTGAAATTTGAGAAAGTTATATTTGTCTTATCTGAGCTCCCTTCTCAGGAAATTAATCATCAGACCTCCCATATAATATCAAAGAACTGAAACTCACCAGGTCACTGCATTTGGACAATGAATTGTCAGACCCCTAACCCATCATGATTGTCTAACCAGCCACCAGCTTCCCACTGACTAACTTCTCTTCCTTACCCCTCCCTAATTCTTGTTTTCCTGCATGTAGTTACATTTCTACTATATAAACCTCTAAGTTTCATTGGTCAGGAAGACAGATTTGAGACTGATCCCCCATCTCCTTGGCTGCAGAGCCCAAATAAAGGCTTCATTTCTCACAATACTTGTTTCAGTGATTGACTTTCTGTGCAGCAAGCAGCAGGAGTACACCAAACCTCTAGGTCATTTTGGTAACAGTTTTCCCTATTCCTAGTTTTCTAGATTGTTTTTGTTGTTCTTACCATGAGTGGGTGTCATAGTTTGTTTGTCAAATGCTTTTTCTGCATCTATTGATATGACTGACCATATGTCTTTTCTTCTTTAGCCTGTTGATGTGATGAATTACATTAAATGATTTTCAAACATTGAATCAGCCTTGCATACCTGGAATAAATCTCAATTATTTGTGGTGTATTTTTTTAATACATTGTTGGATTTGTTTTGCTAATGTTTTACTGAGGATATTTGCATTTATGTTCACGAGACATACTGGTCTGTAGTTCTTACTTGTAGTGTCACTCTCTGGTATTAGGGTAATGTGACCTCATAGAATGAATTAGGAAGTTTTCTCTCTGGTTCTATTTACTGCAAGAAACTGTAAATAACCAATATAATTTTTTTTTAATATTTGGTAGAATCCACCAGTGAAATCATCTTGGTCTGTATTTCCTGTTTTGGAAGGTTAATTACTGATTCAGTTTTTAAAATAAATATAGGCCTTTTCAGATTATCTACTTTATGTATGTTAGTTTGGGTTGTGTCCTTTTTTTTCTTTCTTTCTTTTTTTTTTTTTTTTTTTGCAGTGAGAGAAAAGTGGAATTCAGTTTTATTTTGTCCTCTCTGAAACTTCCATTTATACCATGTCCTCATCTATCAAAGAAGAGGAAGAAAAAGCCCTGCTTTATGCCGTAGAATGCAAGTACTGGTATACTTGTTAGAGGTGGCAGGATGTTTGTTGCTCCAGTTTTTTGGCTTCGAGAGATTACACTTTCGGTACCAGTGTAGTGAGAAATCACTGGCAAACTGCTAGAAATGTCTTCTGGATTTGTCAGTGTATCATTTCATAAAGTGCTCCTGGAATTAAAATCTGCCAGGCTGTCAAAAGTGTCCACACTTTTGCAACAAAGGATAAAAGAATCCCAATGGGTATCACTGGGTCCTGCTCAGCTGGGTCTCATTATTGGCACTGCTGCTTTAACCTTTGAGGCGCTGGCCCTCACCCCAGGTGAAACCTTCTGGCCGTTCTTCAGGTGTGGATTGTAATTTGGATCCTCATCTGGTGTATCAAAAATCACTTTCAAAATAGATGGTGTTTTCAGAATTCTTATTCCACCAGACTGACCAGGAAACAGATCTTCCAAGAAAAAATATATGTATCCAATTGCAATGCCTGGTTAAAAGTTCCTCTGACATGCTCATCCTGTTCGACCTCTAGGCTTGGAAAGTTGTCACAGAAAATGTGCTGTGAAATAAATGACAATGCCCTGAAGTGAAAATCTGGAGGTCTACTTTTATCTGTTCAGAATATCTAGTGAATCGTGGGAGACAGATGAACAGCTTTAGGAAGAAGACGGGGTGTTCTTTAACATTTTCCTGTGTGTGTTTTATTTGTTGAAGGAAACGGTCATTAATAATCCACCAGAAAGGACAGTCTGCTGTCCAGCCTTGGAAACAGCCTTCTAGCATTTGACAGTAACGATAGAAAAATTATGTTAAATAAAAAACGGAATCCAACTGCCCCTCAAAATAAGAACTTTGTTATTAATCTCCATATTTGAAAGTGTTTAAAGATTAATTAAGGAATTGAAGTATAACTGAAAAGGTGTGATCACTTCCAACTGCTGACCCCTCTTGAAACAGCACTCCCTTCTTGGGTCACTGGAGAAGCATTCTCGATGCCAACTTGAACCCTGGAGTAATTTATTTATTTATTTATTTATTTATTTATTTAATTTATTTTTGAGATGGAGTTCCGCTCTTGTTGCTCAGGCTGGGGTGCAATGGCATGATCTTGGCTCACCGCAACCTCCACCTCCCGGGTTCAAGCAATTCTCCTGCCTCAGCCTCCCGAGTAGCTGGGATTACAGGTATGTGCCACCACGCCTGGCTAATTTTGTATATTTAGTAGAGATGGAGTTTCTCCACGTTGGTCAGGCTGGTCTTGAACTCTCATCCTCAGGTGATCCACCCACCTCAACCTCCCAAAGTGCTGGTATTACAGGCGTGAGCCACTGCACCCGGCCACCCCAGAGTAATCTTCGTATGCCCCCACCAACCCTGTGACCAGGGCCTCTGGGCATCCCCAAGGCTCAATCCCCAGTTTCCTGAAGACTCAGTTATATCCAGCCAGGATAATGAGAAGGTGGCACTGCAGCTGCTCACCACGGCAGTGGTGGTGAGAACTCAGGCAGTTGTGTAGGCACGGCTGACTGGCAGGATCTAGGCTGTGCCATTCAAGGAACTGGTCTATTTTATCTAGGTTTTCAAATAGGTGGACATAGATTATTCATTGCATTTTTTTTTAATGTCTGTGGAATTAGTAGTGATGGCCCCTCTTTAATTTCTGATATTGGTAACTGCGGTGAGAAAGCTGGTTGACCACCTCAATCTCACTTTTTCTAGTGTAGAAACTGTTGGTTGAGGAAAGATTTTTCACATGCAGGTTGCTGGGCAGAATGAGGAGATGCGGTATCAGGTATATGAAAGTCTGATTCTCCTACTATCAGTTTGGAATTTTTTACTTTTTTGTGGATCTGGTATCTCTCTTCATGTTTGAGTTCTGAATTGTTGCTGGTAAAAATCTCAATGCTCTCTATATATTTTTTGGTTTTCTGTAGGAGGGCAATGAAGCCAGCTTGCTTCTATGCTGCCATTTTAAAATCAGAAGTCTTCCTTCTTTCCTGGTGTACACATTCAATGCTATCAATGCTATACATTCCTGTAAAAGTATTGCTTTCACTGTATCCTACGCATTTTGATAAGTTGTATTTTCATTTTAATTTATTTCAAAATATTTTAAAATTTATCTAGAGACTTCTTTAACCTATGTTTATTTAAAATTGGATTGTTTAAGCTGAAGTATTTCGGGGGTTTTGGGGGTTTTCCAGCTATCTTTCTGATTTGATTTCTGGTTTAATTCCATTGTAATCTGAGAGGATACTTTGTATAATTTCTGATTGCTAAGGTGTGTTTTATGGCCCAGAATGTGGTCTTATATCATAGTCAATGTTGTGTGTGAACTTGAAAAGAATATGGATTCCTCTGTCGCTAGATGACATATTCTATAGATGTCAATTAGATCCCGTTGTTTGGTGCTGCTGTTCAGCTCGACTATGTCCTTACTGATTTTCAGCCCACAGGATCCATTAGTTACTCCAAAGGGGCATGGAAGTATTCACATGTAATAGTGGATTCATCTGTTTCTCTTTGCAGTTTATCAGTTTTTGCCTTGTATATTTTGATGCTTTGTTGCTAGGTGCACACACGTTAGAAATTATGTCTTCTTGAATAACTGACTCCTCTATTATTATGTAATGTCCTTCTTTATTCTGGGTCATTTTCCTTGTTCTGAAGTTGGCTTTGTCTGAAATTAATAACTACTTGGCACATCTCATTGAAAGATGAACAACAGAAAAGAATCACATCAATCCCCGTGTAAAGATGTTGAAAGGAAAACAAGGCAAGATGAAAAGGAAGCGAATCACATACAACATATGCAAAAGTCACATTAGAAAAAAATTTAGAAAATTAGCCAAGCACGGTGGCTCACGCCTGTAATCCCAGCACTTTTGGGAGGCCACTCAGGAGTTCGAGACCAGCCAGTACAAAAAATAAAGTAATTAGCTGGGTGTGGTGTTGCATACCTATAACCCAGCTACTTGGGAGACTGAGGTGGGAGGATTGCTTGAGACCAGGAGTTTGAGTTTACAGTGGGCTATGATCATGACACTGCACTCTAGCCTGGGTGACAGAGGAAGATAAGTGACTTGTAGTATATTTACACAATGGAATAGTACACCTCATTGAAAATGAGTAAACAACAGTTTCACAAAACAACATGCACAAATCTCAGGAATGCAATATAGAGTTTAAAAAATGGAGTCCAGAAAAGAACAAATAGTAAGATATCCTTTCTCTGAAGTTCAAAGCCATTAGAACTAAAAGGTTTGAGAGGCTGAAGTGGGAGGATTGCTTGCGGCCAGGCTGGGTAACATAGCAAGATCTCATCTTTACAAAAAGTAAAACAATTAGCCTGGTGTGGTGGTTCAGTGCCTATAGTGATATTGGTACTGTAATTTTGAAACTTTTTTTTTCTCAACCTAAGATCATCAGGGCAGAATTTTGAAAATGTTTTTATCTTTGTTGTAAGATAAAGCAAGTAAATAAATACATAAATATCTTAAAGTTATTAGGAATCAAGATTTAAAGTGTCAAAGAGCTATAAACATAAAATCATGCCATGTCATATCAAATTTGAGTTGGATATATCAATATAAAATCAAGTTAAGAAGGTATTCATATATTCTTCACACTGAAGCCACCTAAAAGCAATGATAGCTTAGTAGTGAGCCCTCCTAGAGCTCAGATCTCAGTGTCTAAATACCTTTCTATATTCCAGGAAATTAAGGCTCTTTAGAGCTATGACTGGATATGGACTGGGGCAGAGAAAGGACGGGTGAACTTGCCTTTCTGGATGTGCCAAAGGGAAGAAAGTGCTCAAAAAGAACTGAAATGAATCAAAAGGACACAGAGGTCAGTTTGCTGGAGCTCTTGCTAGTCCAATTTGGGACAATTTGATTATTTTAAAAATAGTGATTATAAAACTTCGAGTAAATAAAATTCATGAGTCTAGAATTATTGTTTATTTATTTATAGACAGGTTCTCGTTCTGTTGCCCAGGCTGGAGTGCAGTGGTGTGATCATAGCTCAGTGTAGCTTCGAACTCCTAGGCTCAAGTGATCCTCCTGCCTCAGCCTCTTCAGTAGCTAGGTCTGCAGGTGCATGCCCACCACGCCCAGCTAATACAATTATTTTTAAAAAATTAAGAACTGAAAGAAAAAAGAATAAAAGCCCTTCACAGACTACCACTGCAGGCAATTATTATGTCTACTCCCATTCCAAAAACTGACAGTTAAGTACGAATGATTACATTTTCATCCTGAGTTTTGTAACACAGTTTATTTACACTTGGTGAGGAAAAACTCTTATTTTCTGAAGAATGCAACTGATAAATGTAAGAATTATGATATTACCATTTTGCAATTACCAATAGATAAATTAAGGTGAGTATCATAGTCGTTGTGAAAACGTCTATTTTCAAGTATATTGGGCAACAAGATTTGCACTCTGCTAGAATATCACTGAAATGAGAAAAACACACCTGGAAATGAAAATATCTACGTTAAAAAAAATTTAAATTCAGGTCAACAACAAGAAAACTGATATAATTCTAATATTTTTACAAATCAGTTTTTATTCAAAAGAGAAATACAGTATTTCATGCTATTCTCTCTGGGATCACTGTCTTTCATTGTCTAATATTCAGCATCTTAAAAAAATGTTTTTATATATTTTGTCTGGTTTGTTAGATTGTTCCAGGGAGAAGGTTAACTATAGTCCCTGTTATTCTATCTTGGCCAGAAGCGGAAGTCCAAGCATTAGTTCAGTAGGACTAACTTATTTGTAAAGTAAGTTTTAGTCCTATTACATTTGGCTTAATTATTTGCATAAAGTGCAGCAAGAATAAGCATTTGCCCTATAGGCCCTCTGTCTCTCTTTTTTACATTTCTTTTTTTTAACCTTAAATACTTTTATCCCTAATCCTTTTTAAACAATTTGCTTTGCTAGAACCTTTTTCATAAGGAATCTAAGATTAGACCTTTTTAAAAGCCTGGAGCCTAGCCAAGGATTTACCTGTGCCTGCAAATGCCTGTGTGAATTGGGTGAATTCCTCTTTTTAAGGTCCCAAGAAAACTTAGGGTTCCTGGGCCTGCCAGAAAGTGTCATTCTTTTTTTTTCTTTAACCTGCTTCAGAAAAGGAAGAAAGTGACGTTCTTTGCATATCCACAGGTCAGGACCCTGTAAAGGACAAAATATTAGGCCAATTTTTCCGAGGGTGTTTTATTGGCTCTATAGATCAGCCTCATTTTCTCAAGGCAATCTGAAAATGTCATCCCAGTCAAAGCCTTGGTAAAATAATCAGTGACTCAAATTATGCTCTGTTATAAAAGAAAACAGACTGTTACTAAAATTATGCAAATAACTATATTATCATATATTAAGAATATTCACTTAATAGTTCCAAAATTTGTAGAAATTCAGTGAGAGAAAGGAATTATGTTTTAAATTTTGCTCATAAGAGTATACTTTACTCAATTGTTAAGAGCTGTAAATAGCTTAAAAGAAGAAAAAGTTCTCTTAACTGAAAAATAAGAGAATAAGCAAACGTTTTACACAAAAAGTCATAAAACATTATTTCAGTCTTCTATTAGTTCAGCCCATGCAATTAACTCCTGTTCTTCCTGGTATTGGATTAGCAAACCTCATGAATTCATCAGCTCTCCATGAAAGTCCTGTAAGTTTTCCTCTTTATTTCAATGGAACAATCTCTAAAGTTATCAGAAATGTATATTTAAGAGTACTCCTCAGAGTTCTATAGCTGATTATAAACTGCCTTATAAAAGTAGCAGAGTAAAACAACAATTATGAATGACAAAAATCTTAGAACAGCTATGGTTAAAGATACAATTGACAAAGAAATTTGGTTACTTCTGTGGCATACAACAATTTTACATAATAATCATAATTAGTACTAATACACTAAGACATATCAGAATCACAGGAATATCACACAAAAGTATATGTTTTGGAACACATACTTTTTTTTAAAATTATACTTTAAGTTCTAGGGTACATGTGCACAACGTGCAGGTTTGTTACATAGGTAGACATGTGCCATGTTGGTTTGCTGCACCCATTAACTTGTCATTTACATTAGGTATTTCTCCTAATGCTATCCCTCCCCCTGCCCCCCACCCCACGAAAGGCCCTGGTGTGTGATGTTCCCTGCCCTGTGTCCAAGTGTTCTCATTGTTCAATTCCCACCTATAAGTGAGAACATGCGGTGTTTGGTTTTCTGTCCTTGTGATAGTTTGCTCAGAATGATGGTTTCCAGCTTCATCCATGTCCCTACAGAGGACATGAACTCATCCTTTTTTATGGCTGCATAGTATTCCATGGTGTATATGTGCCACATTTTCTTAATCCAGTCTATCATTGATGGACATTTGGTTGGTTCCAAGTCTTTGCTGTTGTGAATAGTGCTGCAATAAACATACGTGTGCATGTGTCTTTATAGCAGCATGATTTATAATCCTTTGGGTATATACCCAGTAATGGGATGGCTGGGTCAAATGGTATTTCTAGTTCTAGATCCTTGAGGAATGGCCACACTGTCTTCCACAATGGTTGAACTAGGTTACAGTCCCACCAGCAGTGTAAAAGCTTTCCTATTTCTCCACATCCTCTCCAGCATCTGTTGTTTCCTGACTTTTTAATGATCACATTCTAACTGGTGTGAGCTGGTATCTCATTGTGGTTTTGATTTGCATTTCTCTGATGGCCAGTGATGATGAGCATTTTTTCATGTGTCTGTTGGCTGCATAAATGTCTTCTTTTGAGAAACATCTGTTCATATCCTTTGCCCAGTTCTTGATGGGCTGTTTGTTTTCTCTTGTAAATTTGTTTAAGTTCTTTGTAGATTCTGGGTATTAGCCCTGTGTCAGATGGGTAGATTGTAAAAATTTTCTCCCATTCTGTAGGTTGCCTATTCACTCTGATGGCCGTTTCTTTTGCTGTGCAGAAGCTCTTTAGTTTAATTAGATCCCATTTGTCTATTTTGGCTTTTGTTGCCATTGCTTTTGGTGTTTTAGTCATGAAGTCCTTGCCCAAGCCTATGTCCCGAATGGTATTGCCTAGGTGTCCTGCTAGAGTTTTTATGGTTTTAGGTCTAACATTTAAGTCTTTAATCCATCTTGAATTAATTTTTGTATAAGGTGTAAGGAAGGGATCTAGTTTCAGCTTTCTACATATGGCTAGCCAGTGTTCCCAGCACCATTTATTAAATAGGGAATCCTTTCCCCATTTCTTGTTTTTGTCAGGTTTGTCAAAGATCAGATGGTTGTAGATGTGTGGTATTATTTCTGAGGGCTCTGTTCTGTTCCATTGGTCTATCTCTCTGTTTTGGTACCAGTACCATGCTGTTTTGGTTACTGTAGCCTTGTAGTATAGTTTGAAGTCAGGTAGCATGATGCCTCCAGCTTTGTTGTTTTTGCTTAGGATTGTCTTGGCAATGTGGGCTCCTTTTTGTTTCCATACGAACTTTAAAGTAGTTTTTTCCAATTCTGTGAGGAAAGTCATTGATAGCTTGATGGGGATGGCATTGAATCTATAAATTACCTTGGGCAGTATGGCCATTTTCACGATGTTCATTCTTCCTAACCATGAGCACGGAATGTTCTTCCATTTGTTTGTGTCCTCTTTTATTTCGTTGAGCACTGGTTTGTAATTCTCCTGGAAGAGGTCCTTCACATCCCTTGTAAGTTGGATTCCTTGGTATTTTATTCTCTTTGTAGCAATTGTGAATGGGAGTTCACTCATGATTTGGCTCTCTGTTTGTCTGTTATTGGTGTATAGGAATGCTTGTGATTTTTGCACATTGATTTTGTATCCTGAGACTTTTCTGAAGTTGCTTATCAGCTTAAGGAGATTTGGGGCTGAGACGATGGGGTTTTCTAAATATACAATGATGTCATCTGCAAACAGAGACAATTTCACTTCCTCTTTTCCTAATTGAATACCCTTTATTTCTTTCTCTTGCCTGATTGCCTTGGCCAGAACTTCCAACACTGTGTTGAATAGGAGTAGTGGGAGAGGGCATCACTGTCTTGTGCCAGTTTTCAAAGGGAATGCTTCCAGTTTTTGCCCATTCAGTATGATATTGGCTATGGGTTTGTCATAAATAGCTCTTATTATTTTGAGATATGTTCCATCAATACCCAGTTTATTGAGAGTTTTTAGCATGAAGGGCTGTTGAATTTTGTTGAAGGCCTTTTCTGCATCTATTGAGATAATCATGTGGTTTTTGTCATTGGTTCTGTTTATGCAATGGATTATGTTTATTGATTTGCATATGTTGAACCAGCCTTGCATCCCAAGGATGAAGCCGACTTGATCGTGATGGATAAGCTTTTTGATGTGCTGCAGGATTCGGTTTGCCAGTATTTTATTGAGGATTTTTGCATTGATGCTCATCAGGGATATTGGTCTAAAATTCTCTTTTTTTGTTGTGTCTCTGCCAGGCTTTGGTATCAAGATGATGCCGGCCTCATAAAATGAGTTAAGGAGGATTCCCTCTTTTTCTGTTGATTGGAATAGTTTCAGAAGGAATGGTACCAGCTCCTCTTTGTACCTCTGGCAGAATTTGTCTGTGAATCCATCTGGTCCTGGACTCTTTTTGGTTGGTAGGCTATTAATTATTGCCTCAATTTCAGAGCCTGTTACTTGTCTATTCAGAGATTCATCTTCTTCCTGGTTTAGTCTTGGAAGGGTGGATTTGTCCAAGAATTTATCCATTTCTTCTAGATTTTCTAGTTTGTTTGCATAGAGGTGTTTATAGTATTCTCTGATGGTAGTTTATATTTCTGTGGGATCGGTGGTGATATTCCCTGTATCATTTTTTATTGCATCTATTTGATTCTTCTCTCTTTTCTTCTTTATTAGTCTTGCTAGTGATCTATCAATTTTGTTGATCTTTTCAAAAAACCAGCTCCTGGATTCACTGATTTTTTTGAAGGGTTTTTTATGTCTCTATCTCCTTCAGTTCTGCTCTGATATTAGTTATTTCTTGCCTTCTGCTAGCTTTTGAATGTATTTGCTCTTGCTTCTCTAGTTCTTTTAATTGTGATGTTAGGGTGTCAATTTTAGATCTTTCCTGCTTCCTCTTGTGGGCATTTAGTGCTATAAATTTCCTTCTACACACTGCTTTGAATGCGTCCCAGAGATTCTGGTACGTTGTGTTCTTGTTCTCATTGGTTTCAAAGAACATCTTTATTTTTGCCTTTGTTTCATTATTTACCCAGTAGTCATTCAGGAGCAGGTTGTTCAGCTTCCATGTAGTTGTGTGGTTTTGAGTAAGTTTCTTAATCCTGAGTTCTAATTTGATTGTACTGTCATCTGAGAGACACTTTGTTGTGATTTCTGTTCTTTTACATTTGCTGAGGAGTGCTTTACTTCCAACTATGTGGTCAATTTTGGAATAAGTGCGATGTGGTGCTGAGAAGAATGTATATTCTATTGATTTGGAGTGGAGAGTTCTGTAGATGTCTTTTAGGTCTGCTTGGTGTAGAGTTGAGTTCAAGTCCTGGATATCCCTATTAATCTTGTGTCTCATTGATCTGGCTAATATTGACAGTGGGGGGAACACATACTTTTAACACATTTATATAAATATAATCCAAAGAAGGTTAAACATCAATTCATATTTGACAATGCTTCCTGTATGATTTTATTATACCAAGTAAGCCAAATATGTCTCTTTTGGACTTTGGGGGACTTAATATCAAACAAATTAAATGATGTCAAAAGGACTGAATTTAGAATATGATTTTGGAAACTTTGACGAATATTAAAAGTTTAAACTCTTGATATCACTAAATAGGATCACAGGTCATTGTAAAATAAGTCATTCATTTGACCAAAGTGATAACTCAAATATTTTTTTAAAGCAAAAACCTTTATTCTTTCAGAGAGGAGACTTAATTTCCCAAACAGTAAGCAAGTCCTAATAAAGATGGCATGAGGCCAGTCAAGTCTGTCTTTCATATGTTTTAAACAAATCTATTAAATTATAATTATCTTGATCATAAAATCTAAATTCCATAAACTTTTTTTTTTTTTTTTTTTTTTTAGACAGAGTATTGCTCTGTTGCCCAGCCTGGAGTTCAGTGGCACAATCTTGGCTCACTGTAAGCTCTGCCTCCCAGGTTCATACCATTCTCCTGCCTCAGCCTCCCAAGTAGCTGGGACTATAGGCGCCCGCCACCACGCCAGGCTAATTTTTTATATTTTTAGTAGAGACGGGGTTTCACCGTGTTAGCCATGATGGTCTTGATCTCCTGACCTCGTGATCTGCCCACCTCGGCCTCCCAAAGTGCTGGGATTGCAGGCATGAGCCACCACGCCTGGCCTCCATAAACCTTTTTTTTATAACATTTTATAGTTTATTTAAATTAAGAAGTGGTTTAATGCTCCAAGAAAACCTTGTTAATTTGACAAGGTCTAGTAGCATCAATGTGCCTTTGATATTAATGTTTAATTTACAGAGAAAATCTGAATTAATTTTATCTCTCAGAAAGTGTCTCCCCTTTACAATCTCATGCATCCACCTCTTCCATGATAGTCCCTGGGCTTAGAGGGTTTGAATAGTTTTAATTTCTGGCCCTGGGTCTTATGAACACAGTTTATTTTGATTGTCCTCTTTTCCCAGGTTTGAAGATGAGGCTTTAACTGCCATCAGTGTTTAAGATTTGGCAGGACTTGGTGTCCTTTTTAGACCCAAGAGAAGCAGCCCTGTAACTTAATGGCATAAGGACTATAAAAGCAATACAGAAAGTTACATGGGTGTAATAACCTTAAATTTTAAAAGTTTAATTTCAGTTTTCCTAAGCAAATCAAAACTTAATAACAATGTCATAGGAATTATTTTGAGAAAACAAAAATCTGTTTGTGAGACCAGTTACCAAACAGCAAAAAAAAAAAAAAAAAAAAAAAAAAAAAGAATGCATCTGCACTGTGACTGTTTTTCCCTATGGGGAGTCCATTTAGATAACCTGGAAGTCAAAACTCACGAAAAGTGTACTTGAATTAGTTAGACATAGGAATAGTGTGTCCTGGGTCATAAGTGAACATTTTAAGTTTCATAGAAGAATTTAAAGCAAAGAGCACAGAATGTTATCTTAGAAGACAACATTTCCTTTAAACTGTTAAAGAAAAACATTTTTAGCATCAGACCACAACAGCAGTTAGAACCTGAGGAAAAAAGTTACAAGAACTGATGAAAAACTTGGAGGAGAGAGAGTAATTATCTAAATCCTTCTCAAAATGAAGAGAAAGCTAAAAACAGTGAGATGCAGTAAAAGTTGAACTTTTGAGTTAAAGAAATAAAAATCTCAGCTGGGCGTGGTGGCTCACGCCTGTAATCCCAGTACTTTGGGAGGCTGAGGCGGGCAGATCACGGGGTCAGGAGTTCGAGACCAGGCTGGCCAACATGATGAAACCCCGTCTCTATCAAAAATACAAAAAATTAGCTGGGTGTGGTGGCACGCACCTGTAATCCCAGCTTCTTGGGAGGCTGAGGCAGGCAAATTGCCTGAACTCAGGAGGCGGAGGTTGCAGTGAGCAGAGATCGCACCACTGCACTCTAGCCTGGGCAGCAGAGCGAGACTCTGTCTCAAAAAAATAAATAAAAATAAAAATAAAAATTCTTTTGTAACTTTATTAGGAGAAAATTAATACTTTAAGAAAATGTTGTTCTAACTAATTCTTTAGTGTATTCGTGGGTTTTTTTCATATGAAAGCCCAATTTTTAGAAAGACTATCATAAATAATTTTCTTTTAATTCTAGCCAACTCGATTACATAAAGTTTTTTTCTCATAAATCCTCTTTTTACAAACCTTATTACCACTTACATAAAACATTTATGACATGCTTGGGCTTCCTGTTTTTTCCTAAACATCCCTCTTTCTTAAATAACTAGTCATTGTAGGACAGAAAATTTACCATACAAGATTCTTTCTCATATAAAATTATTTTCCTTTTAAGCTTTCTTACCAAAAAGTGTCTCTTTATAACTATAACCATCTTTACATCTCTCTTATTTACTGGTTCCTTTTACCTTGTTTCATAAATAACCTTTTAATTAGACAAAAATTATTTTCCTTTAAATAAGAACACATTTGGTGTGTGTGTGTGTGTGTGTGTGTGTGTGTGTGTGTGTGTGTATGACAGCCAGACCCTGTCTTGCCTCCACAGGCTGGAGTGCAGTAGTACCATCTCAGATCACTGCAACCTCCACCTCCCAGGCTCAACTGGTCCTCCCACCTAGGCCTCCTGAATAGCTGGGACTACAGGTGCATGCCACCACGCCTGGCTAATTTTTGTATTTTTCGTAGAGACAGGGTTTCACCAATTTGGCCAGACTGGTCTTGAACTCCTAAGCATAAGTGATCCCCCTATCTTGGTTTCCCAAAATGCTGGGATTGTAGGCATGAGCCACCAAACCCAGGCAAGAGCACAATTCTTTAGAAAAATATTTTCCTATAATTTTTCTAAAAAAAATTGGAAATGACTCAGACATATGAGTATTATTTAATCCAATGTAATTTTAGATTCTAAATTATATGACAAGTTTATTTATAAGAATTTACTCCATTTGCCTAATTATTATTATTATTATTTTTTGAGATGGAGTTTTGCTCTTGTTGCCCAGGCTGGAGTGCAGTGGCGCAATCTCGGCTCACTGCAACTTCCGCCTGCTGTGTTCAAGTGATTCTCCTGTCTCAGCCTCCTCCATTTTGGAGCTTTAGAATTTGACTTCCCCACTGGATTTTGGACCTGCATGGGTCCTGTAACCCCTATGTTTTGGCCAATTTCTCCCATTTGGAATGGCTGTATTTACCAAATACCTGTACCCCCATTGTATGTAGAAAGTAACTAGCTTGCTTTTGATCTTACAGACTCATAGGTAGGAGGGACTTGCCTTGTCTCAGATGAGACTTTGGACTGTGGACTTTTGGGTTAATGTTGAAATGAGTCAAGACATTGGGGGACTGTTGGGAAGGTATGATTGGTTTTGAAATGTGAGGACAAGAGATTTGGAGGGCCCGGGGGTGGAATGACATAGTTTGGCTCTGTGTCCCCACCCAAATCTCATCTTGAAGTGTACTCCTATAATTCCTACACGTTATGGGAGGCACCCAGTGGGAGATAATTTGAATCATGGGGGTGGTTTCCCCCATACTGTTTTCATGGTAGTGAATAAGCCTCACAAAATCTGATGGTTTTATCAGGGATTTCCGCTTTTGCATCTTCCTCATTTTCTCTTGCCGCCACCATGTAAGAAGGGCCTTTCGCCTCCTGCCATGTTTCGGAGGCCTCCCCAACCATATGGAACTGTAAGTCCAATTAAACTTCTTTTTCTTCCCCGTCTCTGGTATGTCTTTATAAGCATCATGAAAACGGACTAACACACCCTTTCTTATGTTAAACACCCAAGAGTATCCCTGTTGTAATAACTATTTTAGAAAAAAAAAAAAAAATCAGGTAAGGCTGGGTACAGTGGCTCATGCTTGCAATCCCAGCATTTTGGGAGACCAAGGCAGGAGGATCATATGGGGTCAGGAGTTCAAGAGAAATCTGGCCAACATGGTGAAACCCTGTCTCTATTTAAAAAACAAAAAAATTAGCTGGGTGTGGCAGTGCATGCCTGTAATCCCTGCTATTCAGGAGCGTGAGGTGGGAGAATTGCTTGAACCCAGAAGGCAGAGGTTGCAGTGAGCCAAGATCGTGCCATTGCACTCCAGCCTAAGTGCCATTGCACTAAGCAACAGAGTGACTCTGTCTCAAAAAAAAAAAAAAAAAAAAAAATCAGGTAACACAATACAAAAGCAAGCAGATTATGATATGAGAGGACTTTGTCTGTTTAAACTCTTGGGGGTCATAAAAAAAACAGAGGTTTTGCCCCAAAAAGGAGTCTAGCACCTTCTGTTTTCTTCAAGGAAGCCCAGGCTGTTAGAAATTATTTTAGTTTGGCTGGGCATGGTGGCTCACACCTGTAATCCCAACACTGTGGGAGGCCAAGGCAGTCAGGAGTTCGAGACCAGTCTGGCCAACGTGGTGAAACCCTATTTCTACTAAAAATACAAAAAAATTGGCCAGGTGTGGTGGCAGGCACTTGTAATCCCAGCTACTTGGGAGGCTGAGGCAGGAGAACTGCTTGAACCCAGGAGGCAGAGGTTGCAGTGAGCTGAGATCACACCATTGCACTCCAGCCTGGGCAACTACAGCAAGACTCCATCTCGAAAAAAAAAAGAAATTATTTTAGTTCCCTCATGCAGCAGAGGGTGGCAAGAGGAAGGAGAGACAGGTAGAAGTAAATGGAGAAAACATAATTCAGTCAACTGCGAAGAAAAAAACCTTTTTCTCAAAAAACAAGACCCTAGAGAGAAAGAAAACATAAAGGCCTTTTAAATATATATATATACATTATACATATTATATTATGAATTTTATATTATAGATAATATATAAATATGAATTACATATTATATAGGTAATATATAAATATGAAAATGCACACAGAGACACATTTACATCTTGGATATTAGCTTTTAATTAAGCAGACTTTTAACCTTTGAGCTCTTAAAAAATCCTTTTAAATCTCAATACCATTTTTTAGCTGGGACAAACTACTGATATTTCAAAAGTAACAGAAATGTCAAGCCAGAGATAACCTGATTTAGGAACCAACCCAGGCTGTCATGGTGAAAAACAGGGTGGAATCTTAGCTACTGATTACAATGTGAAGTCATTGCTCTATCAGTTTGGCTTGGCTAGCAAAAGGTGGCCTAGTTATGCAAATGCAGTCCCTCAAGTAGTAAAACTCTTTCTTTTTTTGCTGGCCGTTTTTTTTCCCCCCCGGCTATGGGAATTTAGCTAATTCAGAGGCTTTGTTCCGCATAATTTGGAACTTTTTTTCAGACTTGATCAAGTTGGGTAGAGTTGGTCAAACCCGAAGGAAAAAGATCAAAACAACAACAAAAACAGAAACAAAAAACAGTTAGCAAAACAAACAATTGCATAATTTATACAATAACTGAATACTCTAATGGTAAGGAAAAATTAAGATCAGCTGGTTGTTAATGTTAACTTTAGTCATTAAGGAGAATTTCCAAGACAAAACCCAAATTCAGCTACTTATCTAGGAATGGGGCCCAGGCTGAAGACTGCGCTCTACCATCTTAGAAGCAGGAAAAATCTCAAACATTCCTTCCCTGTTGGAAGTGAGCTGAAGCTCCAGGAATGAGTTGGCTGCTCTCCATCGTCATGGAAGCAAAAAAGCTGGCCTTCTTGTTGGAAGTGAATAAAACTCCAGAAAAAGGAGTTGTACAGCAAAATAAACCTTAAATCGCAACCAAATTTGGGGAGATCAAGGATTCTGTGGAGGGGAGTAGCTCCCAGACCTCAGCAAAATGTCCTGTTGGTTTGAGCAATAAAGATATTCGTTCACGCTGGTACCAAGCACCAATAGGAGATTTGTCAAAGGTAAGGGACACCTCCACTCAGAGTCCCTTACCTGGGTTGCCAATTTATAAACCAAAAAGTATTCAAGAGAGGTCTCAATTGATTAGAACTTTATTTTGCCAAAGTGAAGGATGTGTGCCTGGGAGACAGGCCTGTTTCTTTCTCCAAAGATGATTTTGAGGGCTTCAGTACTTAAAGGGGAAAAGCAGGCTGGAGGAGACAGAGGGAGGATATGGTCACATTACTGAATCCACATGTTGTAAGAGAAAAAAAGTAGGTAGGGGAATAGTCAATTATGTATTCATCCTGTGCTCACTATACCATAAGGTGACCACAGAATAGCTACTTGTGGAGATTTTTAACTTATCTGTAGCTTGCTGCTTAGTAACAAAATGGAAAGTAGCTTCTTGCATGACTCAGTTTTCAGGTTAATTTTTTTTTCTTTTGGCAGAGTGAGTTGGGATCCCAACTTTCTACTTTCCTTTCACAGATCATATATTTAAATGTGAAAAGTAAAAATATAAAGCTGTTTGGGGCTCAGAAACCAATACCTCCAAGTATGGCATTTTGACTTGCTGAACTGAAAAAGCCTCAAGGTCTCTTTGACCTTCCCCTGTCCTCCACTGCCTCTCCCAAAGAAGCTGACGTTCCTTTATCTGCCTAGGATCCGGATCCAGCAAGGAGGACAGTTCTTTCTTCCGCTCCGTTATCTCATTATCTATTGCAGAAAAGACCCAGATGTGACCATACCTGAGAAGACGGTATAAAGACTGTCTCCAAGGATCATTTAAATTCCAAAGAAAATGATTTGCAAGTTGATCTCTGCTCCCCAATCCAATCATTCTCCCTATCAATTATTTATCGCCCCTCAGTGGAATTCCTCTTCTACCTGCTCCCATAATCTATGTTACCAGGGTACAAGCCCCCATTCTTTGTATAACTTCAAGACAGTATATAAGTTTCTATAACTCAAAAAGTTTCTATTACTCACTGGGAAGTTGGGTCTTCATTCTGAAGGCTCCTATGTAGACACATTGAATTAATTTTTATGTCTTTTCTCCTCTTAATCAGTCTGCTTCATGCCAGTGATTTTTCAATGAACCTTTAGTGGGTGAATGGCCATAGCCCCCACAACATGGCAGTGTGAGCAGGATGGTCAAAGCTATGCTTCTGTCCTGGAAGCTGCATTGAAGAGAAACCAGGAACCTGGGCAAAGGATTCCTTTACCCGGAACCCGGAAGCAAAGGGGTAAGAATTTCTTACCAGCCAGGGGGCCTCTCTCCCTCTGTGCACTCCAGCCGATGAGATGGTAAAAATCACTGGTTGTCTCCTCTACATGGTTTTGATCAATGGGAAAAAAGAATTTGTGTGACAAGCCTTGGGTTGTAGTGACTCTGGTGTACATGTGGTATGAATATTCATACTGTTTGACCCACTTCCCTCGCAGAAATAGCTTTTTTTGTTGCTCTTTTCCTTTGTCTTTTTCTTTCTGGGTTGTTCCGTCATAAAGAGGGGTACCGTAGGGGAGAACATGAGCCTAGAACCCCTTTAAACCCACTGTTCAAGAGCCTGCAGACTCATCAGTTTTCACAGTTCTATGTTGTCATCTGTAAAGACAAACTTTGCTGTAGGTCCCAGAAATAAAAATCAGATGAGAGTCCCCTCTCATCTTGTTTTATGGCCTTGAGAGCTTGATCTTGTGACTAGATGGGGGTACCCTCTCTTGGTCTCTGCCATCCGGACTGCATGATTTTTTTTTAAATTTTAACTTTTATTTTTGACACAAGATCTCATTCTGTCATCCAGGCTGGAGTGCAGTGGTGTGATCATGACTCACCAAAGCTTTGACCTCATCGGCTCAAGTGATCCTTCCACCTCAGCTCCCCAAGTAATTTGGATTATGGGCACGTGCCACAATGCCTGGCTAATTTTTTTTGATTTTGTGTAGAGATGGTATCTCATTATGTTGCCCAGGCTGGTCTCGAACTCCTGGGCTCAATGTTGGAGGTGGGGCCTGATGGGAGGTGACTGGATCCTGCCTCAGCCTCCCAAAGTGCTGGGATTACAGGCATTACACTGTGTCCAGGAAGAGGGCATGAATTTTTGGGTTCATATCAGGGGACCAGTCTGAAAGGACAGGGAGTCCAAGATGTAATATTTTAAGCAGCACACTCTTCATCTCAAGGGTGTCAAGCTCTTAGGGGAGTTTTGTCTTAAAAGGTCCCGTCTCTATGGGGCTTCTGTTGTGTAAACCAAAAAGTATCTGAGACAGGTCTCAATCAATTTAGAAGTTTATTTTGCCAAGGTTAAGGACATCCTTGGAAGAAATAAACATGGAATCACAGAAACAGTCTGTGGTCTGTGCCT
The DNA here is from genome assembly GCF_000001405.40 of Homo sapiens. Taxonomy (NCBI): domain Eukaryota; kingdom Metazoa; phylum Chordata; class Mammalia; order Primates; family Hominidae; genus Homo; species Homo sapiens. The sequence continues at coordinate 138,030,367 of NC_000007.14, read as the reverse complement.
TTCTCTAGCTGTGATTTTGAGGGCTTCAGTTTTTAAAGGGGAAAAGTGGGCTGGAGGGGAAAGAGGGAGGGTATGGTAATCCACATGTTGCAAGAGAAAAGCAGCAGGCAGGGGAATTTATGCATTCAATTTATGTATACAATTATGTATTTATCTCATGATCAGTAAATCAGCACTTTACATAAGATAAGGTGAACATAGAGTAGCTGCCTGAGGAGATGATTAACCTTTTATCTGCAGCTATCTGCTTAGGAACAAAAGGCAAGGCAACATCTTACATGACTCAGCTTTCAGGATAATTTTTTTCTTTTGGCATAATGAATTAGGGCCCCAAGTATTTATTCTCCTTTCACATTGTCTTTTGTTACTTTAAGTCTATTTCTGAGAGTAAGTTTTTAATGATCATGGGGATTGCTTCCTCGACGCCCTCCCCAGGAATACCTCTTGCTTATGTAGAAAAAAACCTGGAAAGTTACCACCTGGGCTTTCAAGAGGCTTTTGCATTGAGTTACTATTGGAACTAAGTACACCACTGAAAATAAAAAAGATTTTATACATTTCTTATTCTAAATAATTAATGGGAAAATCAAAAATTTTAAAAGGACATAGGCTAGTATCATGGCTAGCCTTAGAAATTCTCTTGATAAAATTAAAAAGAGTGAAAAAAAAAAGTTTTGACCTGAAAGTTAAAATCTTTTGCAAGTTCAAAACTGCCTGCTCTACATTCCCTCCGGGAAGATCAGTGGAGAGCACCTGATGTGGTTTGGATGTTTGTCCTCTCCAAATCTCACGCTGAATGTGATTCTCAAAGTTGGAGGTGGGACCTGGGCGGAGGGAGGGTGATTGGATTATAGGAGCAGATCCCCCATGAAGAGTTGAACACCATTCCCTTGGTGATAAGTGAGTTCTTAGTTCATGCAAGTTCTGGTTGTTTAAAAGAGTCTAGGATCTCTCTTCTTTCTCTCTCTCTCTCTCACTCACTCTTGGCATGTGACATGCTGGCTCCCTATCACCTTCTATCATCATTGTAAGTGTCCTGAGGCCTCACCGGAAGTAGATGCCAGCACCATGCTTCCTTTAAAGCCCGCAGAGCCATGAGCCAATCAAACCTCTTTTCTTTATAAATTACCCAGCCTCAGGTATTTCTTTATAGCAATGCAAATACAGGCTAATGCACCACCCCATGCCGTAGTACAGTAGCTAAGTCTCTCCCATTTGACTAATGCTGCGTGGGTTCAATACCCAGCCAGGGAATTGCCATTTATTGATCCTTTTTCCTTCCATGGACAGTTTCCGATTTCTCGTCCTGTGTTTTCCTTTCTCTGAGCTATCTCTAGGGTGATTCTGGATCGTGTAAAAATTGTTTGCCACCTCTTTGGAGATAACTCGTGCACCCATGATTAAGTCATAATTTTGATTGAGACCCTTAGAAAGATACCTTTGGTAAAGAAACTCAAAAGCCAAAAATATCGGCTGTTGTCCTGGGTAAAATCTGGTAACAGGAGACTTGAAAGAATTGTTTTTTTAAAGAGCTCTGTGGCTAAAAATCAGCTTAATTAAAAGCTGATATTCAAGTGTTCTCTCTCTGTCTCTCTCTCTCTCTATAAATATATACACATATATATATACGTGTGTGTGTGTGTGTGTGTGTGTGTGTGTGTGTGTGTATTTAAAAGGCCTTATACTTTTCTTCCCTTTTTTTTTATTCTATTTTTGGGAATTTTTTTTTTTCAGATGACTGAAACCTTTTTAAAGAACTCATGTGTTTGGTTTCTATGTTCACTTCCTTTTCTTAAAAATTGTTCTTCAAGTTAGTTTTATTTCACCCTATTCTTCATATATTGTAAATTCTAACAGCCCGAGAACCCTTAAGAAAAACAGAAAAAGGTGCCACAGACTCCTTTTTGGGAGCACCTGCTTTTTTTTCCTCTGGGAATCCCAAGTTGTAAATGGACATAGTCCTCTCAGATCTAAAACTGTTCTTTCTGTATTGTGTTATGTGGTCTTTTTGGCTTTTTGGGGTACCAGAAATTACTTTGCATTGCGCAAAAATAACCTTGGTGTATGTAATAGTTAAGTAAGAGATACACTCTTAGAGATGGCTAGTGGTAGTTACTTATAGTGAATGGTTATTACTCCAAGGTGCTACTTATTTTGTGGCACATTTGGAGGGGGAAAATGTGCTTTTGGGTATTTAAAAGCTACGTAAATACCCCCACTCCCCAATAAGGGATAAGACTCCCATGGGGGATGGCCTGATCACACAGTGGGCTGATCAGTGTTGAGCTGTCCACCAATCTTGGGAGAATGTCCCTGCAGTGGAGTGTATTGTAAAAGCATTGCACTGTCACATTCCACTGTATCCCCCTCTTTTTGGGGACCCAAGATTCAATGTAAAATGGGATCCTTGATTTTGGGGCATCTGTGTTCTGCCTTCCAGCTTTGCCTACTTGTTGCATATTTAAATATTAAAGCTGCATGCTTTCCTGGCCCTTTCCTTACCGAAAACCAGTTATCTACATAGGAAATAAGTTAAGTTAAAAAGCCAAAATACAGGCAGAGCCCAGTGGCTCACATCTGTAATCCCAGCACTTTGGAAAGTCAAGGTGGGAGAATCACATGAAGCCAGGTGTTTGAGACCACCCTGGGCAACATAGTGAGACCCCACCTCTACCAAAAGAATTTAAAAATTAGCTGGGCATGGTGGCATGCCCTGTAGTCTTATAACCAAAGTGGAGGCTCAGCTGCTCACTGCCAACAGAGTCCATTGAATAAGAGTGAGGTCTGGTATAAAGAAAGTGATATTTTATTCTGAAGCTAGCTTAGGGGAAGAAGTTATAACGCTTCCTGCCTGAGGGTACCACTTTTCTTTTGGATCAGAAAGCAAGCACTATTAAAGGGGGCTTAGCATTAATGGCACAAGGGGTGGGAGGAAGTGAGCAGGTGAGGGGTTGGCATGTTAGCTTAGTGCCATATCTACCAGGTGATCGAGCTGGTGACTGCTGGTGTCTCCATGGGCAGGCATAGTTTGGGTTGTAAATTGACTGTTATCTCTCGAGGCAACCTCCTGGTGGGTGAGATTTCCTTCCTGGAGCTCCTAAGCATATAGTTAGGTGAATTTGCCCTGTAGGGAATGTCTGGTGAAGGGGAGGTAAAAGGCTATTAAAATTTAGAAATCTGCATTTCTAAAGGACTAAGTAAAAAGTGGGGAAAGGAGGAAAAAGAAAAGGAGAGAAAGAAAACAAATAAACTATTTCTTAGGAAAATGGGAGTACTTGGTTACAATTCCCCACTACCAAGTTCCCTTCCATCTCTGTGAAATTGGGGTACTGTATTTATTCTGGCTACTTCCTGCTGAAAGACAGTGTAGTTATTGGGTATTGGTATGGAATTGATCTGTTTGGATTTGGAAATATTCATGAATACCTGGACTTTACAGATGATATTCGTTGGACCATTATGGTGCAAGTTCCGGAAAGTCTCTGGGGAAAGCCCGTCTCGCATTCCCATATGGAGGGTGCAGCAGCAGTAAACTCCACAACAGAGGGATATGCCTATCCTTGAAATCAGGGCGAATGTTACAGCCAGCTTTTGCTACCAGGATGGTACTGACCTGAGTCAGGACAGTAATCACTGGTCTAGTGACAATGTGGAGTCAGACAAAGCTTTGATTTGTTGGTATGTATCTTGCAGGGCTATCTGAGACATTTCCCAAATTTACTGGGATGTATACACAGCAGTTAGTCTTAATTATCATACAGGTTGTCCACTGCCCATCATAACTGGATATAATGACAGGTTGGCTAAATATGTATTTAACAGGTTACAGGAAGAGCTATGAATACTCATGAACATTGTCATAAGCACTGTCTAGTTCTTGAGAATGGATCAGTTTAGTTAAATATCTGTGTCCCATCCAGGAGGTGGCATTGCAGGTGGGCTAGGCCTCTACATGTGATAAAGGCAAACAGATTATTAATAAGAGTCATTTCTATGGAGACAGAAGAAAAACAAAGGTTAACACTGAGCACAATTTATTCAGATGTTAGACTCAAAGCATCTTTAGTTACAGAAGAGGAAGGCTGTGGTAGTCTGACATGTCTTTCTCATCTATATTACAAGGAATAATGTAGTAGTAATTTCATTGATTCCAAGTCAGAAAAATTTTCAAGCAATAATTTGGGACTTGAAGCCTGGATGGAATTCAGGATTCAGTCCAAATTGCAGAAAATAAAAACTCACAAACAAACAGTGAACACAACTAGACTCTAACAACAGGTGTGCTATGTTTTTTTTCTAAAACATATTTTTTTCTCTCTAGTTATTTTTACTAAAGACAAGTCATTGTAGAACCAATTTATTTGCATAATAAATTTCAGTCTTATCATCTGTGGCCTGAATATTTGCATAAAGTATAGCAAGAATTATTACTTGCCACATAGACTCTTTCTAAAATTGACTTTGCTGGTAGTGTTTGATTCCTTTATTCCATAAGGAATCTCAGATTAGATTTTTAAAGACTTGAGCCCAGTCATGGATTTATCTGTACCTGCAAATACTTATATGAGTTGGGGGAATTCCTCTCCTTAAGGCCCCAAGGTAATTTGGGGCTCCTGGACCTGTCAGGTGACATTCTTTACTTACCACAGGTGAGGAACTCTATACAAGGACTGTGTAGACAAGGTATGAGGCCAGTTTTCCCAAGGGGCTTTTATTGGCTCTATAAGTCAACTGTGATTACTTAAAGCAGTCTGTTTATACCTGAAAGTATGCCACTCTAGTCAAAGCCTTGGTAAAATCACCAGGGTCTCCAATGGTGTCTTGTTACAAAAGAAAAAAGATTCTTATTGAACTTGTGCAAACAACTATACTGCCATAAATTAAGTACACTTACAAATAGTTTTCAAATTCTGAGGAAACCAGGTAGACAGAAAGAAATACGCTCTAAATTTTACTCTCAAGAATGTAATTTACCCAGTTGCTAAAAGCTGCAAACAGTACAAAAGACAAAAGGTTTTCTGAACTCTGTGAAACAAAAGAATTAGCAATGTTTCAAACAAAAAGTTGTAAAAAGACTATTTTGGTCTTCCATTAGTTCAGTCTATGTAATTAACTCCTGTCCTGCTTGACATTTATGAACACATTAACTCTCTATGGCAGTCTTGGAAGTTTTTCCCTCTATTCTAATGTCACAATTTTCAAAGTTATCAGAAACTTAAATTCCAGGGCAACTCTCAGAGTCCTATAGCTGATTATAAAACTGCCTATGAAAAGAATCAGAGTGAAATAACAATTGGCAACTGCATACAGAGGGGTTTGAGGCTCCCTTTCCTTTGGGGATTGCCACCTCTCTCCCCTAGCCTAACAAATAACTCTGCTCACCGCCACTCAGGCCTGCAAAATGAACACCAGGCCACCGGGGCCTGAAGAGTACTGGAGCAAGGGGGTTGCTCGTGGCAGGGTCAGGGGAGGGGCTGCCCAGGCCGAGTGAGGGGCTAAAGTCTCAGAACAGCTGTGGTTAAAGTCTGATCACCTTATGGCACAAAACAATTTAACATAACAATTATAATTGTTACTGATAATATATAGACATATCAGAATTATAGGACATATCAGAATTATGGGAATCCTATACAATTTTGGAACACATGCTAATAATATATTTATATGAATATGACCCAAAGAAAGTTTAAACACCATTTTATATTTGGCAATATTTTTTGTATGGTTTTAGTATGCCAAATAAGCCAAATATGTCTCTTTTGGACTTTAGGGTACCTAATATCTAAAAGAGTTAGCCAGATCAAAGAAAAAGCTTAATTTAGAAGTTGACTTTGGAAAGTTTGTCAAATATCAAAGGTTTAAACACTTACTATTACAAAATAGAATCCCAGGTCACTATATGTCATTTATTTAGCCAATGATATCCCTCCTTCTCAGGATGAAGATATATTCCTATCTTATGAAAACATTCAAGTAACACCCTGGACATTTTCATGTTACTCTCTTTTTTAGTACCTGGTGATTGGCTTTGGTTAGATTTTCTATTTTAACCAATGCTTCTTCCTGTTCTTTCATTTTTAGCTTCTCTTTCAGTTTCTCTGCTTTGAACAGTTAGGTACAGTCATTAAATAGCTTTTGGTTCATCTGCATGAAGAGCTTCAGTGTGTTGGATATCAAGCCATGTATTGTCTTGTTCCAATGGGTCTTTGAATTGCAGTACAAGCATGGAAACATGATCAGCAGAATCTTTGCTGCGCTGTTACTGATTAAGCTCATAATGTATTCATTATTCCGGTAATAGAGCGCTTGCTCTGCCACCTGGAAGTGTGAGCTGGAGACACATTTGGCTAGCTGCCAGAAGAGAGGTTCCATGATCTTCCAAATTCCAATGGTTCAATTATATCTAAAATTTCTTCTAATTTGTTTAAGAAAATTACTTCTTTTGGACTGTAAGTCTTTGGCCCATATTTGAGAAGTGCCATCACCATTGATGCAGTGAGGGTGCTATCCTTTTCTAAAAACTGTACTACACAATATGCCAGCTGGGGATGGTAGACTCTCAGAGATTTCACTTTGTGCAAAGGTATAGCACCTTGACTAAGAAAATCTGTGCTCTTCTTTTAGTGGTAAAACAAATCCATTAATCATATTTCCCAATATATCTAGTAACTCTGCTATGTCATCATGATGCTCTGTTTCATAAATAAACCTATAAAATATATTATGTATCTGTTTTCTGATATAAGCTCTCAAGCCCAAGAATTTCCCATAGATTCTGCAAAGGCTGATTTTAGAAAAAGCTCTCTCCCAGGCCAGGCACGTGGCTTACACCTGTAATCTCAGCACTTTGGGAGAGTGAGGTGGGTAGATCACTTGAGGCCAAGTGTTCAAGACCAGCCTGAGCAACATGGTGAAACCCTGTCTCTGTAAAAAAAATACTAAAATTAGCCAGGTGTGGTGGCACGTGCCTGTAGTCCCAGTTACTCAGGAGGCTGAGGTGGGAGAATTGCTTGAACCTGGGAAGCGGAGGTTGCAGTCAGTGAACTATAATTGTGCCACTGCACTCCAGCCTGGGTGAGAGAGCAAAACTCGGTCTCAAAACAAACAAACAAAAAACTAAACAACAACAAAAAACTTCCCTGAGGATCTTCACTGTCAAAGCACTCTAAAAGCTGCAATACAAACTTCTGATCAATATATTTCTTTGCTGTATTAGGTTGGAAATCTGGAAACTCTAAAAATCTTTTTTTTTTTTTTTTTGAGATGGAGTCTCGCTCTGTCACCCAGGCTGGAGTGCAGTGGTGTGATCTCGGCTCACTGCAAGCTCCGCCACCCGGGTTCACGCCGTTCTCCTGCCTCAGCCTCCTGAGTAGCTGGGACTACAGGTGCCCGCCACCACGCCCGGCTAATTTTTTGTATTTTTAGTAGAGACGGGGTTTCACCGTGTTAGCCAGGATGGTCTCAATCTCCTGACCTTGTGATCCACCCGCGTTGGCCTCCCAAAGTGCTGGGATTACAGGTGTGAGCCACCGTGCCCGGCCTCTAAAAATCTGAAGAAAAATTCATAAACGAGCTGTAAATGGGGCCAAGTTGCTTCTAACATTGGTTTGTTTTTCTCTGGGCCAGATTCAGCTCCTGGACGATAGAAGGTGGTAATGTTTGAAACATGTCAACTTCAAACATATGGACTACTTCTGGGTAAACAGGCTCTGTGATCCTATTCCAATGATGGGTGATAAATTCTTCCATTTCACTTAAAGTAGCTCATTGTTCTTCCTTCCACTTTAAGTCATTTCATGGATCAGAAACAAAGTGGAAGAGGACACAACACTGATGTAACTTCCAAATAAAAAGTGTCTCTTGATCAGCAGGAGGAACATCATTTAAAGATGGTAGTGTTTGAAGTTCTTTATTATTGCTTGTGCTAAACCTTGACGAATTTTGCTGTTTGTCTTTCTTGGCTATGGGCTGAGAGATTGGTACATTAATTTTAGCAGATACTGTAGATGGGACAGCAACAAGGCTATTTTTCCTGAAGGAAGTTTGCTCTGATCTTACTGTGTCTTGTCCTTTTAAACTTTTTCCACTTTTCCCTGTTTTTGGTGATTCTTTTTCTTTTTATTCCTGTGCCACCCCCCAACACCCCGCCCCGGCCCCACCCCCACCCCCACCACATCATTGCCTGCTCCTCGCAGCAGCAGCGCCCCCACCTCATCATCATGTCTCCCTGGCCACAACCACCACCACTGCCATCAGGGGACTGAGTCATTCACTGTTCTCATTCCCCTTTTCTAGGCTCCCAGAGGCTGCGGTAGCTGTGGTGGCAGCTCAGAAATTTTTAAAAAGCAAAAATGTTGCTTGTTGACAGAGGGTAAAACTCAACTTTCCACACAAGACCCAATAAAGACAGCATGAGGCCAACCCGAATCTGACTTTTCTCTCTCTCCCTTCTCTTTTTTTTTTTGATTGTTTATTTAAAAGGCAAAACCAAAAACAAACAAACAAACAAACAAAAAAAACCTTTCATTATCTTTTAGTAATTACATGAAAATCTTGTTCAAAAGAGAAAGCCAAATTGCATCTTTGCATTAGTGTACTATTCTTAATAAAAGGCCCAGGGGTGGTGGCTCACACCTGTAATCCCAGCACTTTGGGAGGCTGAGGTGCGGATTGCTTGAGCCCAGGAGTTTGAGACCAGCCTGGGCAACATGATGAAACACAAAAAATACAAAAAAACTAGCCAAGGATAGTGGTGCATGCCTGTGGTCCCAGCTACCTGGGAGGCTGAGGTGGGAGGATCACCTAAGCCTGGGTGGTTGAAGTTGCAGTGAGCTGTGATTTCACCATTTCACTTAGCCTAGGCAACATAGGGAGACCCTGTCTCAAAGCCAAAAAAAAGGAGGCCCAGTGTGGTGGCTCATGTCTGTAATCCCAGCAGTTTGGGAGATTGAGGTGGGTGGATTTCTTGAGCTCAGGAGTTTGAGACCAGCCTGGGCAAACATGGTGAAGTCCCATCTCCACCAAAAAATACGAAAATTAGGTGGGCATGGTGTTTTGTGCCTTTAGTTCCAGGTACTCGGGAGGCTGAGGTGGGAGGATTGCTTGAGCTCAGGAGGTGGAGATTGCAGTGATCCAAGATTGTACCATTGCACTGCAGCCTGGGTGACAGAGGGAGACCCTGTCAAAAAAAAAAAAAAAAAGCTTCATTAAACCTTATAAAGAAATCTATCCAATTTTAATTAGTTGACCATAAGGTAAAATTCCCATAAACCTTTTATAAGCCTTTACAATATTTTGTTAAAGAAAAAATCAATGCTCCAAGAATACCCTGTTATCCAGACACATGGGCCCAGATTCTGGCTCTGAATTAGGTGTGGCTTTATTTTAATACTGAATTTACAGACGAATTGAAAAATATCCTTCAAATTTTAGCCAACTTGCTCATACTCACAGAACTTCCTTTACAAGATCAATCTTTCACAATTTACAGCTTGTTTAAACCTTCAGTTTTCTCCCGTTATTCTTTTAGGTTAGGACAATCCTTAAAACCTTCTGAATTAGACAAAATTACATTGGCCGGGTACAGTGGCTCACAACTGTAATCCCAGCAATTTGGGAGGCCAAGGTGGGAGGATTGCTTGAGGCTAGGAGTTCGAGACAAGCCTGGGCAACATAGGGAGACCTCATCTCTACAAAAAAATTTTAAAAAATTAGCCAGATGTGGTGGCACACGTCTGTAGTCCTAGTTGCACATGGAGCTGAAGTTGGAGGATGGCTTGAGCCAGGGAGGTCGAGACTGCAGTGAGCCATGATCATGCCACTGCACTCCAGCCTGGGTAACAAAGCGAGATCCTGTCTCAAGAAAAATAAAACCGAAAAAACCCCTAAATATTCCCTTTAACAAAGGCCATACTTCCATGCCTTCTTATAACCTCTTACCAAAAGTACGCTCTACTTTCCTTATAGACCTTGTGTGTTAAACTGTTTCTCTAGTAGTTTCAAGTACATGTCACAGTGTTAACTCTTTGCAACTTTTATTTTTGGCAAAAGACCTGGTAAGTAAGTAAGTAAGTAACTGCGTACGGGATTGTAGAGCTCAGGAGTAAGACAGAGCTGCAGACAGTGTCTGACTCTTCCCAGCCTAAATCCTATCTAAAATCTGTTAGCTGTAAAGCGGACAAGTCAAATGATTATCAAAAATGTCGGCCGGGCGTGGTGGCTCACGCCTGTAATCCCAGCACTTTGGGAGACTGAGGCAAGCAGATCACCTGAGGTCAGAGTTCGAGACCAGCGTGACCAAGATGGAGAAACCCTGTCTCCACTAAAACTACAAAATTAGCCGAGCGTGGTGGTGCATGCCTGTAATCCCAGCTACTTGGGAGGCTGAGGCAGGAGATTCACTTGAAGCCGGGAGGTGGAGGCTGTGGTGAGCCAAGATCACACCATTGCACTCTATCCTGGGCAACAAGAGTGAAACTCTGTCACAAAAGAAAAAAAAATTGTCATAGAAGCAGTTTATGACATTAAAGCATCTAGCAGACAGTATCTGACCTGCCTAATTTAGACCAAATGTATAAATTTTGAAGACATCTTTTATTTTACCAATAATCTTGAAAACTATATTTATTTACCAAAGATTACTAAAGTCATGTGAACTAAAAGGCATTAAATTGCCTATTCTACTGACAAAATATTTGATTTAAGCACTTGTTTTTCTTTAAGTCAAATAATTAGAGCTCTTTTATATAAACTTCACATACACAATACATATAAATACACAGACAGACAGAAGATGATCTGGTAGTTTGAAGACTTTTCATTTGCCAGATTTTAAGTTTCTTCATTGGATTACTGGCTTCAGGGTGGAGCCCTTTGAGGAACAGGGCCGAGAAAGCGTGGAGTTTCTAGGGCCTAACATTTAATCGTGTGAAAAACAGGCATCACTGGAAAGCAGAACAGATTTCCAAAAACCAAGGATTCCATTTTCACACCGAATCCTGAGTCCCCCAAAATTGAAGGAAATGATACAGGAAAAGACAGTACAATGGTTTCACTGGTGCATTTCACTCCAAGGACATTCTCCCGAGGCTGACGGGCAAACCAAAGCCAATCAGGCCATTTTATAATCGGCACATCCCCCATTCCATGCCTTCTAGGTGCCAATAGAGCATGTTTTTCTTCTTGTTTAAATGCGAGAAGAAAGAAATACCAGCCTGTAGTAACGCCCACTCACTGTAAGCAAGTGCCATTAGCCATCCCTAAAAATATATTTGTTACCTAGCTATTACACACCAAGGCTGAAAGTTCTACTGTAATGCAGAGTAATTTCTGATGCCCCTAAAAGTCAAAAAGCTCAGGTAACACAATGCAAAACGGAACAGAGCCTTAGATTTTGATAGGGATCTTTCTACTCACAATTCTTGGAGTTCCATGAGGAAAACAGAGGCTTCTCCTGAAACGGTGTCCGCAGTGCCTCCTCTGTTTCTCCCAAGGAGTCCCAGCCTATCAGAAATTACCTTAGGCCCTCTCATGTGAGCATTGAGGGTAGCATGAAGACAGACAGAGTTCAGTTGACTGAATATATGTATATATCTATCATATATAAATTATTATATAAAAATATATAAAAATTATATATGTTATATTATATGATTGTATATTATATATACTTATATAATATGTATATAATACATATCAGCATTTAGTTAGGCTGACTTTTAATGATAGAGCTTTTTTTTCTAAAAAAAAACAAAAAACAAAAATCTTTTAAAATCCCTTATTACCAGATTCTAGGTGGGAAAAACAGCTGACACCTCTGGCCTTTAGGCTTTTGTTTTTTGTTTTTTGTTTTCCAAAGATATTCTCCCAAGTGAAACCAATAAGCTTTAATTAAGGTTACAGCTTAAGCATGGATGTATGAGGTATCTCCAAAGAGATGGCAAACAGTTTTCACAAGATCTAGAATTCTCTGTAGGGTAGCTCAGAGAAAAGAAAATTCAAGACAGGAAACCAGAAGCTGTCCATGGAGGTGGAAAAGAATCAACAAATGGTAAGTCCCGTAACTATCAACCAGAAAGGACTTACTTCCAAAGGCAGGAGTTGAACCTAGGCTGTCAATGTGAAAGAGCAAAGCCTTAGCTACTGAGTTAGCACAAGGTGATTGCTATTGCTTTTTCCAGGAGTCTAGAGCAGTCACTGTTGAGCTTGCAAAGGATTTTAACCATTCAAGAGAATTAAGGCTAGACATGACATTATGTTGTGTCCTTTTTAGGGCTAAGGAGTCAAAGCCCTATAACTTAACAGCAGAAGTACTTTAAAGGTAATACAGAAAGTTACATGGATGCAATAACCTTGTCAAATCCAGAATTTGAATTAACTTTTAGATAACTTTCGAATTAGATGAAAGTATTCTTTTTCTCAATAAGAACACATCTTCTTTGGCACATTTTATGTAAACCTGGGAAGCAATAAATCCTGAACTGCCTATCAGATATTAGCATTTTATAGATGCAATATTAGCATTTTATAGATGCAATATTAGCATTTTATAGTTCACAATTTTGGAACATATTTCCCATATAATAAAACTTTCTTGAGTGGAAATGATCCAAATATTCAATAAGCATTCAAAATGGGCTAGGCGCGGTAGCTCACGCCTGTCATCCCAGCACTTTGGGAGGCCAAGGCAGACAGATTGCTTGAGCTCAGGAGTTCGAGACCAGACTGGGCAACATGGCAAGACCTTGTCTCTTCCAAAAATACAAAAAAAAGCGGGGTATGGTGGTATGTGCCTGTGGTCTCAGCTACTCGGGAGGCTGAGGCAGAAGAATCACTTGAGCTTGGGAAACAGATGTTGCAGTGAACAGAGATCACACCACTGCACCCCAGCCTGGGTGAAAGAGCAAGGCCGTGTCTCAAAAAAAAAAAAAAAAAAAAAAAAAAGATTTCAGATTTCAAATTATACAAAATTTTTATTTTTTCTAAGCATTTGTCTCATTTATAGGTACTCCATTTTCTCATTTTTAACCATTTATTTAGATTACTTCTGAAAACTAGGTTATGACACAAAGGTGGTCATTATTTAAAGTTATTTCTCTATTAACCACTTTTAAAGCTTGTGAACATCAGGCGTTTATTTAAGAACCTTATAGTCAAACACGTGGACATTTTGTTGATAACTTAGAACAGGGGTCCCCAACCCTCAGGCCATGGACCAGTCCATAGCCTGTTAGGAGCCAGACTGCACACCAGGAGCTAAGCAGCAGGCAAGCGAGTGAAACTTCATCTGTATTTACAGCCACTCGCCATTGCTTGCATTACTGCCTGAGCTCCGCCTCCTGTCAGATCAGCAGTGGCATTAGATTCTCATAGGAGTATGTACCCTATTGTGAACTGTGCATGCGAGGGATCTAGGGTGTGTGCTTCTTATAAGACTCTAATGCCTAATGATCTGTCACTATCTTCCATCATCCCCAGATGGGACAGTCTAGTTACAGGAAAACAAGCTCAGGGCTCCCACTGATTCTATATTGTGGTGAGTTGTAGAATTATTTCATTATATATACAATGTAATAATAATAGAAATAAAGTGCACAATATATGTAATGTGCTTGAATCATCCCCAAACCATTACCCTCTTCCCGGGCTCCATGGAAAAATTGTCTTCCACGAAACCAGTCCCTGGTGCCAAAAATGTTGGGGACTGCCGACTTAGAAGATTTAGCTGTTTCTATTAAACAACATTAAATGTCCTATTTATCAAAAATTACACAAGCAAAGATCATTCTTTTTGGGGCTAGGTTTATAGTTTTTTAACTTTTATGCCAAATTTTGATGCCTTATAATATCTGGCAGAGATAAGTATGAAACCACTTGATCAATAAATCTGAACAAAAATGTATATTGACAATTCATAAGACATTTCTAATATTATTTTACCAATAATTTTAAAGCCAGCTTATTTATTCAAGATTTTCCTTAAGTCTCATGAGTACTCCTTAACTTCAAGTCAATTTGGTACCTTGTAGCAGCAACATATAACAAAATACATGTGTGTACACATAAACACACATATACACACTCATATAAACAAAGATCTTATAGCTTTCATTTTTGAACTCTAGCTAAGAGATATCAATGCAAACTCATCTGTTTATTAAAAAACAGTTGAATCCAAATGGTGGTTTTTGTCTTAACACCGGTAAAGTAACAGCAGATTTAAAGCAGGCAGAAAAGAAAATAGAGGAATATATAGTCTGGCCAGCCTCTGCATAGGAGCCAGGTTTTACAAGCAGGGCATGAGAAAGAGGAAAAGGAAATAAGAAGAAACAGTAAAGCGATAGAAAGGGAGCTCGTGAGCTTCCAGCCACTACACGGCACAGGGTTGATACTCCCATCACCCCTGTTTATCTCCCATTCAGGAGAGCCTCAGCACCCCAGGTCCACATGATATGGGATGGGACCCTCCCACCTTCACAAGTCACTGGTCAAGATGAGCTGTTTCCAGTCATAGGGAGCTAGGGAAGCCTGCAGTTGAGAGGACTAAGGCTGTAGGTGGCTCTCTGAAGATAGTTAGAAGAGTGAGATTGGAGGTAGAGAGGAAAGAAAGAAATCAGGGCCCATTCACAAAGTACATGCAAACAAACAGCATACTTCCAAATGAGTCTCCAATCAAGGAGGCTGAGTGAGATGCTGAATGCCCCTCCCCAGGTCCAAATGGTTCCATAGGCCCAGCAAAGCTCCCATGGTGCCACACTTACAAACAGAAACACCTAAAATGCTCAAATGGTGTCACTAGCAGCCAAGTCTTAGGTAGAACCGGGCCCCAGTGACACCCCAAAAGAAGCAGAGGGTGATCAGGTGCACTTCCAGCTAACTCAGCCACTTCCAAAGTTTGCCGGGTCTTACAGAGGTCACTTTCTTTATACCAGCAGAGAGTTGAAGGCAGCAAATGTGCTGTGAGGCGAAAGGGAGGCTCCCCCAAACCAAAAGCATTTTTGGCAGCTGCTGAGAAGTTCCTGAATGTTCCTGTCATGAGATCTGCTAGCCATGAGCAGCTGGTGCTCACAGGTGACCCCAACAAAACCTTGCCCGGTAGCAAAAGCCGGCTGTCAGGCACAGATTCACCCAGAGCATGCAGCACTTTCCCTATATGGGCCACCAAAATTGTAACCGAAATGCAGGTTCAGCTATTTGCTGCTTGCAGAGTCCAGTTAATAAAAGTGAGTTCTGGTATAAAGAAAGTGATTTTTTTTTTTTAAATTATTCCAAAGCTAGCTGAGGGGAACAAGTACAGGCTTCCTGCCTAGGGGTATCACTTTGCTTTTGGAGCAGGAAGTAAGCACTTTTAAAGGGGGCTTAACATGAATGGCACATGGGGTCGGGGGAAGTAAGCAAGTGCAGCATCTACATGTTAGTTTGGTACCTTATCTACTAGGTAGTCAAGGTGGTGACTGCCTGTGTCTTTGTGGGCATGTGTACTTTGGGTTGTAAATTGACTGTTATCTCTCAAGGCAACCTCCTGGTGGGTGAGATTTCCTTTCTGGAGCTCCTAAGCAGATAGTTAGATGAACTTACCCTGTAGGGAATGTCTGGTGAAGGGGAGGTAAAAGGCTATATTTGCATTTCTAAAGGACTAACTAGAAAGTGGGAAAAGGAGGAAAGAGAAAAGAAGATAGAAAAAATAAATTATCTCTTAGAAAAATGGGGATGGTTGGTTACAGTTCCAGCTACTTGGGAAGCTGAAGCAGGAGGGTTGCTTGAGCCTGGGAGGTCAAGGCTGCAGTGAACCATGATCACACCACTGCATTCCAGCCTGGGTGACAGAGTGAGACCCTGTCTCAAAAATGAAAAGTGATACGGTTTTGCTCTGTGTCCCCACCCAAATCTCATCTCGAATTGTAATTCCCATGTGCTGAGGAAGGGACCTGTAGTCCCCATGTGTCGAGAAAGGGAGATGATTGGATGATGGGGGCAGTTTCCTCCATGCTGTTCTCGTGATAGTGAGTGAGTTCTCATGAGATCTGATGGTTTTCTAAGTGTTTGGAAGTTCTTCCTTCTCTTTTTTCTGGCCCTCTCACCTGCTGCCATGTGAGACCTGCCTGCTTCCCCTTCCACCATAATTGTAAGTTTCCTGAGGCCTGCCAACCATGGACAACTGTGAGTCGATTAAACTTCTTTCCTTTATACATTACCCAGTCTCAGGTATTTCTTTACAGCAGTGTGAAAACAGACTAATACAAAAAGAAAGAGAGAGAGAGAGACAGAGAAGCAGAGAGAAAGAAAGAGCAAGCAAGCAAGCAAGCTTTTTCTGGCCATCTTAACTGAACTTTTACTTATACCATTTTTTCCTTGGTTTGAGCAAATGATGGTACAATATATAGGACTAATGTCTTAGCTCTGTGCTTTTGAAATATACATTTTCTATCTCATTTCACCTAAGAATGTTCCTTTATAAAGACAGGTATAGGGTTACCTAGATAATAATTGCCTAGGGCAATAAAATAGGCAATTGGAAGAGTGTATGGGGAAAAAAAACTATTTAAAAACTGGCTAATGAGACTTGTATAAACCTTTAAGATCTGCTTCTATCTGTGTATCTGTGTCATGTGTATGATGTTTCACTACCAAAATATATAATAGAGCTCCAATTAATTGACTTAAAGAAAAAAAGTAAGTGCTTAAATCAAATACTTTATCAAAAAACCAGAAACTTTAACTCAAATGTCTTTTCGTTCACATGACCTTAATAATCTTTAGTAAATAAAGATAATTTTATAATTATTGGCGAAATAAAATAGAAACATCTTCAGGATTTAATATAGACATTTGATCTGAATTAGGTAGGTCAGATGCTATCTTTGCTAGAGATTTTAAGGTTATAAACTGTTTCTGGAATATTTTTGATGCTTGTTTGACTTGCCAGTCTTAGCAGCACCTTTAGATTCTAGGCTCTAAAAAATGACATGGTAAGGCCTGGGGACATGTGGAGTTCTCTCTCGCCTAACTATGCCTCCTCGCTGCGGTGGGAAGGGTCATGTATTATCTGCAGCTCTCTCCTTTTGTCCTGGGCTACACATCTGATACATAACTTAAATTGCTTACCTCCTAGGTTTTTCGTTTAAAAATTATGAAGAGTTAACATTGTAATTAATATATGTAATTAAAACCACTAGATAGAAGAGAAAAATTCTATATGTAAAGTATATAAGGAAAGTAGGATGTGTTTTTGGTAAAAGGTCAGAGAAATGTAGTGTTTTTTTTTAAGGGAAAGTGATTTTTCCTAGCTTAGACGTTTTTAAGTTGTTTTAAATGGAAGGAAAAATGATAGATAAAATGAAATGGATATAGAAAATTGGGAAAGTAAATTTTTGTCCTAAGATAAAATGATAGGATAAAACTGAAGCTTTCAGTAAGATTGTGGTGAATTGATCTTATGAAAGGAATTTTTTGTGTGATCAAGTTGGCTACAATTTAAAGGGTATCATTTAGTTTTTCTGCAAATTAAACATTAATATCAAGAGCACACGATGCAGGGCCAGAGTCAGAAACCCTGTGTTGGAATAAAAGGGTTTTCTTAGAGCACTGATCTGTTCTTTACTAGAAAATTCTAAATGGTCAAAGTGATTGAGATTGAATGGATTTGTTTATAAGATTTTATTAAAAATTAATTTCAGTGTTAATATACTATGCAAAAGCAAAATTTGGTTTTCTCTTTTAAACAAGATTTTCATGTAATAATTAAGAGACAATAAAATATGTTTGCTTACTTTTTGAGTAAACTGCCAAAAAAAAAAAAAAAAAAGAGGAAAGAAAAGAGACAGATTCAGTTGGCTGCACGCTGTTTTTATTAGGTCTTTTTGTTTGGGAAACTCAGTCTCCTCTCTATCAAAGAGTAAAGGTTTTTTTTTTTTCTTTTTGGAAATATTTGAGTTATCACTTTTGGCTAAATGAATAACCTGTGATCCTATTTTGTGATCTCAAATGTTTTAAACTTTTGATATTTGACAAACTTTCCAAAATCAAAATTTCAGGTTTGAAATCTATTCTTTTTGACCTTATTAACTTTTTTAGATATTAGGTCCCCTGAAGTCCAAAAGAGATTTTGGACTTATTTGCCTTATTTGGTGTGTTAAAATCATAAAGGAAGCATTGTCAAATATCAAATGTTTATTTAACTTTGAGTTAAATAAATATTAGTATGTGTTCCAAAATCATATGAGATTCCTGTAATCCTGATATGTCTTAGTATATATTATATTATCAGTAATAATTATGATTCTGATGTAAATTGCATGTCACAGAAATAAGCAAATTTTCTTGTCAATTGTATCTTTAACCATGACTGTTTTTTTGTTTTTGTTTTTGTTTTTGTTTTTAAGATAGGAGTCTGACTCTGTCACCCAGGCTGAAGTGCAGTGGCATGGTCTCGGCTCACTGAGCAACCTCTGCTTCCCAGGCTCGAGTGATCCACCCATCTCAGCACCCTCGTAGTTGGGACTACAGGCTCATGCCACCACACCCAGCTAATTACTTTATTTTTTGTACAGATAGGGTCTCCCTGTGTCGTCCAGGCTGGTCTTGAGCTCCTGGACTCAAGTGATCCACCTCCTCAGCCTCCTAAAATGCTGCGATTACAGGTATGAGCCACTGCACCTGGCCTGTCCTAAGACTTCTATCATCCATGGACAGTCCTTGTTTTACTTTGATTCTTCTCAAAAAGTAGTTTATGATCAGCTACAGTTCAAAAGTTACTTCTTCTTTAGGGAAGTTCATGGAGAGGACTCTGATGGGTGCTCTTGAATGCAGGTTTCTAAGTTTGGAGGCTGTGTCATTGGACTAGAGAGAAAATTGCCAGATCTTTCATTGAAGAGCTGATATGTTCATGAAGATTGCTGGCCCAGTCTTGGACAGAACAAAGGTTAATTACTAATTTATAACTGAACTAATTTATAACTGAAATAATTTTTTATGCCTTTTTTGTTTGAAACATTGCTGATACTTTTTTGTTTTGTTTTTCAGAGTCAAGAAAACTTTTTTTCTTTTCCTTTTTTGGGAGATGGGTTCTTGCTCTGTTGCCCATGCTGGAGTGCAGTGGCATGATCTCAGCTCACAGAAACTTCGACTGCCCAGGTTCAGGCAATCCTCCCACCTCAGCCTCTCGAGTAGCTGGGACTACAGGTGTGCACCACCACACTGAGATAATTTTTTGTATTATTATTTGTAGAGATGAGGTCTCACTATGTTTCCCTGGCTGGTCTTGAATTCCTAGGCTCAAGCTACTCTCTCACCTTAACCTCCCAAAGTACTAGGATTACAGGCATGAGCGACTGTGCCCAGCTGAAAACTTGAGTTATTTATAGCTTTTTTTTTTTGAGACGGAGTCTCGCTGTCTCCCAGGCTGGAGTGGCGCGATCTTGGCTCACTCCCGAGGTTCCGCTTGCCAGGGTTCCGCCCCCCAGGGTTCACACCATTCTCCTGCCTCAGCCTCCTGCGTAGCTGGGATTACAGGCGCCCGCCACCTCACCCGGCTAATTTTTTGTATTTTTAGTAGAGACGGGGTTTCACCGTGTTAGCCAAGATGGTCTCGATCTCCTGACCTCGTGATCCACCCGCCTCGGCCTCCCAAAGTGCTGGGATTACAGGCGTGAGCCACCGCGCCTGGCCTATTTATAGCTTTTAACAATTGAGTATACTCTCGTGAGTAAAATTTCTCTCTACCTGATTTCTCCAGGACTTGGAAACTATTTGAGTATTCTTAATTTATGTCAGTACAGCTATTTGCTTAGGTTCAATAAGAATCTGTTTTTGTTTTTGTTTAGTAACAGGTCACAAGTGGAGACACTGGGTATTTTACCAAGGCTTTGACTGGAATGGCATATTTTCAGATATGAGAAGACTGCTTTGAGGAATTGAGATTGACTTTATAGAGCTTATAGCCCATCAGAAAAACTGGCATGGTGGTGTGTGCCTGTAGTCCCACCTACTCGGGAGGCTGAAGTGGGAGGATTGCTTGAGCCAGGGAGGTCGAGGCTGCAGTGAGCCATGATCCCACCACTGCACTCCAGTCTCAGTGACACGGTGACAGCCTGTCTCAAAAACAACAACAACAAACTCCACAGACCAAAGTACAGATACAGTTGATCTTTATTCATGGATTCTGTATTTGAGAATTTGGCTACTTGCTGATATTTATTTGTCACCCTAAAATACTCATGGTATTCTTATGGTCCATTTTTTGGACCTGCACAGAACAGTGAGAAATTTGAATCTCCTGGTGTGCCCCACTGCAGCCAAAATTTGTTATCCTGGTGAGGTCAAACAAGACCAAGTTCTGTCTTCTCGTTCTGGCTGTCATATGGTAAAACAAGTATCATTTTTGTGGTCAATTTAGTGCTACACATAGCATTAAATTCATTTTTGTGGTGCTTTGTTGGTGATTTTGCTGTTTAAAATGGCCCCAAGCATAAGGGTAAAGTGCTGTCTAATGTTCCTAAGTGCAAGAAGGCTGTGATGTGTTTTTTGGGGAAAATAGGCATGGATAAGTTTCGTTCAGTCGTGAATTACAGTGCTGTTGGCCATGAGTTCAACGTTAATGAATCACCAATATATATTTAACAAGGTGTCTTTAAACAGAAACACACATAAAACCAGGTTATCTGCTTTTATTTTGTTTCTGCATGTTTATCAGTTGATACACGTTAAACATAGATTGATACATTTGTTTCTTTATATGTACTGATTGCTTGATGAAATTGTCATGAGCAGAGTCTCCCAGGAACCTAACCCCTATTTTCCCTATGAGCAATGGTTCAGTGTCTGTGATGATTTTGTAGAACAGAGCTACTGCAAATAATGAGAATAGGCTGTACAAGCAGCAGCATGGACCCATCTCACAGATGCGTGAGTCAGACAAGGAGTATAGGCAGTAAAATTCTGTTTGCATCATGCTCAAGACCAGGCAAATCTGATCTATGGAAGCCAGAAAGGCAATGACCTCTGGAGAAGCACTGACTAGCAAACAGCACGAAGGCACTCTTTAGGTTGATGAAAATGTTCTCTCTCTCCACCTGAGGGTTGCAAATTAATCTGGAATGTGAGATGTGGTTTTATTTTACCACTGCTGGGGCCAGGAGTGGCGGCTCACACCTGTAATCCCAGTACTTTGGGAGTCTGAGGCAGGAGGTTCGCTTCAGTCCAGGAGCTCGAAACCAGCCTGGGCAACATAATGAGATTCTGTCTCTATTAAAAATAAAAAAAATTAGCCAGCCATGGTGGTTTTATTTTATGACTGCCCAGCTCTTGCAATCTTTCCCTTTGGGTTTGCTAGTTGCATTGTTCCTCTTTAGCCACTTGGTGGCAGTGTTGGAGAAGTGACCAAAACGGCTGAAATTGAAATTCCGGTCTTTTCTAGTTCAATTAAAGGGCTGTTTGTTTCTGGCTGTGTCCTCCGTCCTCCTTTAAGGAACCTCTTGCCTCCACCAACCTCTCTTGTGACACGGTGCCAACAATCTCCTAAGGGGAGCGCCCTACAGAGGTTGGAGGAAAAATTGTGGCAAAGCAGTGTCAATCCTTGAACCTCTCTATCCCTGCGTCTTGCCTAACCCTCCCGCAGGCCCTTCACACCATTTCATGCCTGATCCCTTTCTCTGTTCCTCTCCTGCCCTGCTAGCCCCGCTCCTTGGGCACTGGGTGTGCCCTTAGGCTGTCAAATTCAACACACCGAGGCCGTGTGCGGTGGCTCACGCATGTAATCCCAGCACTTTGGGAGACCGAGGCAGGTGGATCACGAGGTCAGGAGTTCTAGACCAGCCTGACCAACATGGTGAAACCTCGTCTCTACTAAAAATACAAAAATTAGCCGGGCCTGGTGGTGTACGCCTGTAATCCCAGCTACTCAGGAGGCTGAGGCAGGAGAATTGCTTGAATCCAGTAGGTGGAGGCTGCAGTGAGCTGAAATGGCGACACTGCACTCCAGCCTGGACAACACAGCCAGACTCTATCTCAAAAAAAAAAAAAAAAAAAAAAATATTCAACACCCTGAGCCTGATCTTCTATCACCGGGAGAAGGTCACATACCGGGAAATTGGGACATGCAAAGCATATGATCCTGGTGTCATACAATTGATGTTTCTAGAAGTAAAACCTGTTTATCAACATGAAGAATGCTTCATCCTTTTCCAGTCAGCTGCTAACAAGAATGCATTAAATCCACACTGGAGGATGGGGGATTTTCAAGATCTCTTATTAAGTGGTAAGAGCAAACTGCAGAGAAATGTGCATAATAAAACAGTGACTGAACTTCTCTCTGTCTCTGTGTATTTGTATATGATTATATGAGCATAAAGGAAGTATGGAATGATACGTACCAGGCTGTCACCACTGTGTTCTTGGGATGGGATGGCCATGAGCAGATAAACAATGGAAAAAAAAAATCTTCACTGCAAAATGACTCATGCGAACGGTAACATGTATAACATTTTAATCTCATTTATTTAATTACAGGTTAAGATGTATATCTCTGTATAGCTATGTGTGTGCATACATAGACACACAGACACATATACTTATGTATAAATTAAAGCTATTTTTTCCTATATATTTTCTGCCTTTTACATTAGGCCTAGACCTTGTTCACACCAAAATTATAAAAGTATTTTATCTCTGGTTTCTCTGGATGGCTTTGTTTTATTTTACACTAATATCCTTAGTCCATCTGAAGCTTTTTTTCATATAAGTTGTAAGGTAGGGGTTTAATATAATAAAGTTTTATTTTCAAATTTTCTACAGTCTTTAAACAAGCTGTAGTGTATTAGCAGCCTCCACACAGTGACAGGTTAGTACGAGTATAAATTCAGCATGTAATTGTGAAGCCGAGGGGTGGCCCTGGGAGGGTGGAGTTCAAGATCTCCTGAGGTCAGCAGAGGTGGAGAAGGACCAACGTATGTGACTCTGGCTGCTCGTACCTGTAGCTCTTCCTGTTGTCCTGGGGCCTTTGGCCATTTCTGAATTTGCCAAGATGGGAAGAGGTCTGTTTCCAAGGGCAGGCTGCTTTCTAGGTTTTCAGAGTCCACCCCCCCAAACCCCTTTGAGAAACCGAGAGGCAGAGAGACGTGTTTCCTTGGCTTCAGGCAGAACGGTTCTATCCAGCACCCCCATCAGGGGCTATTCTCTATCAATAAGCAATCTACAGCCAATTGAAGCCAAGGCACCTGTGCCGTCTCTTTCCAGCTCATTTTCTACACCAGGTGGACTTCTCAGCGGTGGGGAGCAGCTCTCCTTCTCCCCTCCTTCTGTCTGACTCTTTATCCCAGTACTCAGAGTTCTCATTACCAAGTTATTTCACATTCCTGAGGCCTATCCTGATTTCCTGGATTTCCTAGGAAGGTATTAGATTCTTGCAGACATCTTCTCTCCTGTTTGTTCTATATACACTGCATATTACAGGTGCAATGGCTCATGCCTGTAATCCCAGCACTTTGGGACGCTGAGGTGGGAGGATAGCTTGAGCCCAGGAGTTTGATACCAGCCTGGGCAACAAAGCAGAAAACCCGTCTCTATACAAAATTAAAAAATTAGCTGGACATGGTGGCGTACACCTGTAGTCCCAGCTACTCAGGAGGCTGAGGTGGGAGGTTCACTTGAGCCTGGGAGGTTGAGGCTGCAGTGAGCCATGATCACACCACTGCACTCCAGCCTGGGTTATAGAGCGAGACCCTGTCTCCAAATAAATAAATAAATAAGAAATAGACATTGAAAGAAAATCCTCAAAGCTGGGAAATTTCTATTATACTGAACACTGTTAGAACAGGAAGAATTAAACAAAAGAAGGCCAGAGGGTAGTAAAAGTTTGCTCCCATTCCACACTGCAATAGAATGATAGAACATGTTAAAATAAAAAGAAAAATCTCAACAGATAGTAGAAAGTCAAGAGCATGGAGGAGTAAAATAAATACATCTTCAGAATTTATTAAAACAATGTCAGAGATGAAATGGGCAGGATTCCATGGTTTGTTGTATTATTTAAAAAAAAAAAAAAAACCGCCCAAGAGGAATGAGATGATCTGAAAAAATGCAACTCTGATTGAGTAATCCCAAATGGTTTCAGTAAGGATGGCAAGGGGGCTGTACTCGGAGAACTCAGTGTGTTGGTTGGGGAAGGGCTGAGATGAGCTCTTGAGTAGACAGGTACAAAGGAAAGAGAGGAGGCAGAGAACATTAGAGGGTGACATACACCTTGGAGAGTCATTGCTGTTGTTTGGAGCCTCCCAGGCTGTTGTACTTTGTGATGGTAGCCTTGGGAAACCAATAGAGTATGCCTTCCTCTCCCCTTCACATAATCCTCACCATTTGGTGAGGGAGACCTTGATAAGCCAACTGTAACCCCACACACATTCTTTGGCCAACAATATCACTTGAGAAGACCAAGTCTTCACAGCTGTGTCATGTGCCGGTGTCAGGATGTGGCACCAGGGATGCCTTTGCACAGCCTTTTCACGTTGGCTTAGGCAGACTTTCCCAGGCTGGAGTGCAGTGGGGTAATTATAGCTTGCTGCAACTTTGACCTCCTCGGCTCAAGCCATCCTCCTGCTTCAGCCTCCCAAATAACTGGGACTACAAGCGTGTGCTACCACGTCCAGCTAAGTTTTAAAATTTTTTGTAGAGATAGCTTGCTATATTGTCCAGGCTGGTCTCAAACTCCTGGCTTCAAACAGTCCTCCCAACTCGGCCTCCCAAAGTGCTGGGATTACAGGAATGAGACACCATGCCCGGCCCCATGTCTTTTTTTAACAGAGTTTTAAACCTGGAAAAATGTATACACAATGGTGTCTGGAATTAAGCAGGTACTTAACAGTTATCCCTGTGGATAAACTGAAAAAGTACAGGACGTGAAAAAGGAAAATTCAATAGATTAATTTTTATCGAGTAGTCAAATAAAAAGCATGCCGATGAATGGGACCATGAGAACTTGGAAGGCGGATTCTATTTTCATGATGTGGGGGATCTGTCAAGTGCCCAATTCTAGATACAATTTATCTTAATAATTGAGATGAAGGTATAGAAAGCACATAGAACAAATTTGTAAATAGACTGACACATGGAAAGATAGCAAATAATATCAGAAAAAAATCAGAGAAATGTCTTGTTGGCTAATGCATCTGATTTTCATTTTGGGAGAGTATGACTTCCAGTCGTGCAAGTGCCATGAATCTATTAATAACAGACAGCAGAACAAGGATGCCAGCGAAGCTGGAAGGAGAGTCAACTACATTGCTAAGTTCTAAGGAGATGAAAAGGGAAAGAATTTCATTTTCAAAATGCAAAACAGGAAGACAGGCTGGTAAGAAGTTGTGTGTACATTTAACAGAGAAGTATACGTGAAACAAAGGAGGCTGGAGAAACCCACCA
Organism: Homo sapiens; assembly: GCF_000001405.40. NCBI lineage: Eukaryota > Metazoa > Chordata > Mammalia > Primates > Hominidae > Homo > Homo sapiens. The sequence continues at coordinate 138,004,957 of NC_000007.14, read as the reverse complement.
CGAGGGATTGTGATGCTATTATTAGAGTACAGGTAAGTTTAACCAAACCATTTAGGGTGCCAATGATCATAATACATATTTTACAAAGGAAAAACCTAGTGGCTTAAAACAACATACATTTATTACCTGACAGGTCAGGAAGTTGAACGTGGCTTAGCTGGGTCCTCTGGCTTAGGGGCTCTCACAAGGCTGCAGTCAAAGTCTTGACTGGGTCTGTGGACTTATGAAGGCTCGCCTGGGGAAGGATCCACTTCTGTGTTCACTTACATGGTTATTAGCAAAATTCAGTTGCTCATGGGCTGCTGGTCTGAGGGCCTCAGATCCTCACTGGCTGTTGGCTGGACATATCCTTGCTACATTGGCCTTTTCACATTGCAGTTCATGGCATGGCAGCTGGCTTCTCTTAAAGCAGGCAAGCAAGAGAGGAAGAGGAAACAAGCAAGTCAGGAGCCATAATCTTTTTGACATCTTCTCGTTTTTGGCATATTCTGTTAGAAGAAAGTCCTCAGGTCTAGCCCAGACTCAAGAGGAGGGAATTACACAAGAGCGTGAGCACCAGGAAGTGGGATCACTAGATGCCATCTTGGAAACTGGCTACTACATGGGGTATAAGCAGGATTAGACTTTGTCAAAAGCAGAAATGCTTCACGGATAAATGTTTGTATTCCTACATTAAGGAAGAGGTACAGATGGTTCCTGACTTATGACTTATGATTTCCTGACTTTATGATGGTGTGAAAGAGATATGCATTCAGTAGAAGCTGTACTTTGAGTTTTGAATTTTGATCTTTTCCCGGGCTAGCAATACGCAATATGGTATTCTCTCCTGGTGCAAGGGAGCCATAGCTCCCAGTCAGCCACACAATCATGACAGTAAATAACTAGTACTGTGTTGCCAGATGATTTGGTCCAACTGTAGGCTAATATAAGTGTTCTGAGCACATCTTAGGGTAGGCTAGGCTAAGCTATAATGTTTGATAGGTTAGGTATAGTAGATGCATTTTTGACTTACGATATTTTCAATTTATGATGGGTTTATGTGGATGTAATCCCATTGTACATTGAGTGACAGATTAAAAAAATAAGAAAGGTCTTTAAAAATGGAAAGAGCAATCTATGGAAAGAATGTGATGAAGGGGATACCAGGCTGGAAAAGAAAAACCAAGAACCTAAGAGAAAAATGAGAAAACTATTATATAAGGAAGGTGTGTGCCCATAAACTAGAGCTTCTATTTAAGCATTAAAATAATCTCAAAAGCTGGGCGTGGTGGCTCATGCCTTAAATCTCAGCACTTTGAGAGACTCAGGAGAGAGGATTGCTTGAGCCCAGGAGTTTGAGGCCAGCCCAGGCAACAAAGTGAGATCTTGCCTCTACAAAAAATTTAAAAATTAGCCGGGTGTGGTGGTGCACATCTGTGGTCCAAGCTACACAGGAGGCTGAGGCAGGAGAACTGTTTGAGCCCAGGAGGTGGAGGCTGCAGTGAACTGAGATCGTGCCACTGCACTCTAGCCTGGGTAACTGAGTGAGACTGTCTCAAAAAAAAAAAAAAAAAAAAAAAAATCTCAAAAGACCCCAGAAGATAGGACCAGACAAATGCAATAGTTTATATGATAAACTGCTGCTTTAAAGACAACATAGAGTTCAAAGACATTTGTCTCCACCCGCCAAAAAATACTTGCCAAGGAAACAACACAATAGCTAATACCTGAATGTGCCATTGTAAGAAACTTCTAGAGCTAACTGGCAAAGACCTGCTTTTATATTTAAGATAGGTAAACTATATTTTTGGAATTAAAAAGGAGGAAGAAGAATCACAGTGTTCGGGGGAATTCCTTTAGAACAGGCCATCTCTTCCCTATTCTAGGAGGCAGGCCTGGTGCTCTGGCCCTGGCTCACCTTTCTGGCCTTTCCCACCCCTCCCTGCCAAGCACCTCTGCTGCAGCCACACTGGCCTCCCCAGCAATCACGTGAATACCAGCTTCCCCCGAAATCTCATTTCCTTTAGGAAGAACTTCCCTGATCAGCACGTAAAATAGCATCGATCTTGACGCATCCTGTTTTCCTGCTTTTATTTTTCTTTATAGCAATTTCCACTTTCTGAATTTAAATGTTTATTTCTTTGTTTATTGCCTGACTCCTCTGAGATAAAAGCTCTATGAATTCAAGGACTGGGCTCACTTCTGTAGGACCTGGAAAAGCATGCCATTGACTCTTATCAAGCAGATGAAAGAAAAACATACAATAAGTGAAGTCCATAAAAAATAGAAGAACCCAACAGAAAATGGGCGAAAAAGGTGAAGAACAATGACAATTTCCTAGAGCTGCACTAATATAAATGTATGTGCATGAGGAATATTTGTATTTTTGTATAATATGTAATCCATTAAAAAAATTCCGAGAGATTCAAATGAACTAAAGTACTCGAAAATGTTTAAGCCCCCCGCGCAACAACTCTCGCGCCCCCTGTCGGCGCGCTGGTAAATTTCTGAGGATTCTCAGCAAGAGGACTGAACTCACCCTCCCTCTTTTACAAAATGTATTCTTGTCGCTATTTCATTGGCTGTACCTTTCAGACGCCCCTTTCACATTAGTCAAGCCTCCAGTCCATCACTTCCGGACCCAAGCCCTCTATTGGTCAGCTGTAGGCGACAGCAGACAGCGGGCCGCGCTCAAGCAGGAGGAGTTCCTCGGTGACGTCACAGACACTCCCCGGCTACATTCCAAGGCGTGGGCGGAGACTTCCCGCGGCCTCTGCCTTTGGGGGCGGGACAAAGCCGAGAATGAGACTTCTGATTGGGTCTGCTAGGCAAGGCGGATATCCAATTGGTCAAGCCTTGGAGGGAGGTGGGGCCGCAGCTGGGTCCTGGAGCAGAGCCGAGGAGCCCTGGGGTCCCTCAAAGTTTGTGTCTGGAGCCGTAGCGGCAAGTGGGCTTGCGGCTAAGGGATTTTCCTGGGATGAGAGCGGGTCTTCTGCCTTCATTTTGGATGCACATCCCGCTTTAGCCCCGGCAGCCTTTGGTCCGGCTCGTGTCCCTGGGGATTCTCGGATCTCCGAGGACACCGGACGGGAGCGCTTGGCCATCCTCTCTCCGGCAGAGGAGCAGACGTTTGCTTTCCAAGTGCAAAACTACAGACACGCGCGCGCACACACGCAAGCACACGCGGAGAGAGAGGAACCTTGCCGGTCCGAGGCAGCTCTGCGCGTCCCCTCCTGCGCTTAGCATCCTCGGCCCAGCGCGGCCCGCACCGCCATGGAGGTGCTGGAGAGCGGGGAGCAGGGCGTGCTGCAGTGGGACCGCAAGCTGAGCGAGCTGTCAGAGCCCGGGGACGGCGAGGCCCTCATGTACCACACGGTGAGGACCCGGCGGGCGGGGCAGGAGGGCTTTCAAAGCGGGCAAGTGTTGTCACGCGAGGAGCAGCTGGAGTCCTGGGACCCGGGAAGGCAGGGTTTGGGGCAGGGCATGGTCAGAATCAAGAGGTCCTGGGCGAGGTGTACTTTAATGTCTGAGCAGATGAAGGCGGGCAGCTGGCCCCTTTACATTTCTCATGAGAGTAATGCCACTTTGTATTCCTTTAACAATTCATGCTTTTTTCCCTGAGGCTTTTTCCATCTGTAATATCATTTGCTGTTGTTAACAGTACTGTAATGCGGGAGAGGGAGTGTGTGTTTTGAGAATAACATGCCTCCGCCTAGTTTGCTATTGATTTTTTTTTGAGGTTTTCAAAAACTGGACAAGATTAAGTAGCATTTCCTTTTCATCTGTCTCGTATTCTCTCTCCCTCTCTCCCTCCCTTCCTCTTCTTTCATATTTATATTTTAAAAAGTACACGTGTGTGTGTGTGTGTGTGTGTGTGTGTGTGTGTGTGTGTGTGTTGAAAGGGCTCCTCTACGTTAGGGAGAAAGGCGGCTTTATTTGCTTTCTTAAACTGTACGACCAAGAAGTCTCCTTCCTCCCTCTTCGGAGGAAAAACCAGCAGAGGAGTATGGAAAATCTGAGACAGTTGCATATTTAAGAAAGGCTCTGGGGAAGGTGGGACAGCTCACCAGTTGCTTGTTCAGTCTTATACTAATGCCTCAGAGATCTCTTGGGGGATTAAGCTGTCCCAGAGCACGCACATTTCTTTTAAAGTTTTTAATGTCAAGTTTTTGGTATTAAGTTTGCAAAATGAAATTTTGTTTTCAATAGCCAGCACTGATCATAGGACTTTATGCAAGATCTCTTTGTTTGATTCTTATCCATGCAGACGTTTGTAATGGGGGTGGGGCTGGGGTGAGGGGGGACACTAATGAGAAAACCACTGGAGGCTTGGCTGCTTCCCCTTCACGCTTTTTTAATGGGGTCAGTACCAAGATATTTGAAACTTTCGCAAAATGGCCTGCAGGCTCCACCTCTTTGGCCTTTGACTCTGGCTGACGTTATTTTGAGACAAGGAATGAGGGCCTCCCTGCTGATTCCCACCGAAGTATTTGTGGTGGCTGAGAGTGGCTTGTTTAAAAAAAATGCAGAGTGCAGGGCTGAGAGGGAGTGGTAGTTCATGCTGGGGCAAAAGCCAGATGTTCAGTGTGATCTTCTGGGCTTTGCTTGCTGAGCTTGTCATGGGGACACTATGTGGGCAGCACGGAGGTTGGGGTACCAGATGTGCTTCCTGTCCTCAGTAAAGAACTTGGAGTATGTTGTTCCTCAAATATCTTTTGATGAATGGGTGCTCCAGGAGTTTCTACTGACAGGCTACATTTTATCCATATGCAGAGGGGCAGCCCTTCTCTTTTGTTCTTGAAGTATTCTTTCGCTGTGACAGTGTCTCATCCAGCAGCTGCAATGCCACAGCTAGGGGGTTGTCTTTCAGCTGGTGGGATGAATTACGCACAGGCATCTACCTTGCTGTTCTTTGGCCCTGTAGCTTGCATTTGTGAGTTCACAGGGAAAGGTGCGAGATGCTACCCGTGACTGTGGCATTCACTCTGGGAAGAACTGCTTGGACTGGCTCTAACTAACACCTTATGCACACTTTCAGGGAGTAGAGGCCTTACATTTGCTTTGATATTAACAGCCCAGTTTTTCTGTCATTGTGATAAAGCAGGAATGTGTGATTATTTTTCTTTTATTTCTATTTTTAAAAAATGCTTATTATGTCCTCCACTTAGGTACATGTCTGTTGTGAACAGCTCATTCCTGTAAAATGCTGCTCATCATTGCTGCAAGTCAGTGCAACAAACTGTGCATATGAATTACTGTTGAAAGAGGTATTGGTTTAGCAGCACAAATGATTGGGTTATATTTCTCTCAAACTAAGGGACGTTTGGGAGAGGTGGGGAGATAATTTTCCCATCTGTTTCCTGAACTCTGTTAGATATCCAGGGGCAGAGCTGTTTGTTACTCTAGCTGAATCTTTATGTAGAAAAAGGATGGCCTGATTATTCATTCAGTCAGAGAGATATTTGTTCTTTCGATTAATATTTGTGGAATATATAAAGCACTTGGAAACATGAGTGAACAGAAGCAGACAAAATCCCTGACTTCTAGAAGCTTATATTCGTGTGTGTGTGTGTGTGTGTGTGTGTGTGTGTGTGTGTGTAGGGGAACATAAACAATAAACATTATAAAGAAGTGATTATGTTGGATGAAATAAGTGTTATGGAAAACGTATAAGTAGAACAAGGTGAGGGGGATAGAGAATACAAGGTGGAAGAAGAGCAAACTATGGGATTGAACTGAGTGATCAGAGCAAGCTTCCCATAGAAAATGGATCTGAACAAAAATTGGAAGGAGGTAAGAGTGTTAGCTCAGCAGGATGAAGAACTAGAGCAAAGGCCTAAGGTAGGTGTGCATTTTCATGAGACTGTGTTAATATCATGTATTTCAGATTACTCATTTTGGTGAGTTATTTGTCTTATAAACTCTGGGTGCTTCTGAGACACCAGTGCCTGTTTTTGGAATGATTTCATAAAACTTTCCAAGTTGAAGAGAGCCTGAGGGGAGGGTGAGGTTCAAATACGAGTTGTGAGGGTGGTAAGAGATGATGACAGCTACCATCTATTGAGTGTTTATCATCCGAAAGGCAGGGCTGACCACATGGCCTGCCACCCATGCAGTGCCACGGGGTCCACACTTGGTTTGATGCTGTGCTGTCACCATCTTGAAAATCTTAATTCTTTTTGAACTGGGGACCTTACATTTTCATTTTGCACTGGGTTTCACAAATTACGTAGCTGGTCCTGCTGAAAGACATTGTGTCTAGTGCTTTACAAATATTATGCCATTTAACCCTTGTAATGACCCAGTGAAATGAGCCATTTTTATTACTTTTATTTTACATATAAGAAAAATGAGGCTTCGTGAGTTTAAGCCACTTGGCTCAGTTCCCACAGCTATTTAGTGATAGAACCAGGATTCAAACCCATGTTTGCCTGCCTGCAAGTACTTGCCTATCAGGCTGTCTGAGTGAAGAATCCTGACTTAAAGAGAAGGAACTGAATAAGAGGTTGGGAGAGAGTGATTGGAATATAGGAACTGCTGAGCCTGAAAGCAGCTAATGTTTAAATGAGGCTGACAGTGGCAGCCACCAAACCTTCCTAGTGAGATCACTTTTGTTGCTCTTACTAGGGATTTAGTTACTACATGCATGATTGCTAATGCTCTGTTTTAGCAAACCTGTCACATACTTGATTTAAACAATTTAGAATGTTCAAGTTACCCAAGGCTGAGATTATGATGTTTCTCAGGAGCCTTCTGTTAACCGTTAGGAGCAATGTTTTTTTTCATTTGGTTAGTTATGAAGACATCTTGGTCTACAAGGACAAAGGCAGACAGGTTCAGAGTCTACAAAATAATGAAGCATATGGATAGGGCAAAGATGGACTGATCATTAGATCCTGAATTGCTAAAGCTCTGGGCTTCCTCTTGAAGCTTAAAAAATTGTTTCCATACAGATGATGAAATGTTATTTTAATTCAGTGAGTACTGATTTTAGGAAAGCTGTTGCTTCAAGATGGAATACAGGCTAAAATTGGTTCAGAAAAGATGGCAAATCTAGAAATCAGGAGAATATCTCTTGGGGTTCGGTACCACCGTGAGAAGAAACCTTGCCTCTTTCCCCAGACCTGCCTGTATGTTGGACATTTCTGCCATTTGTATTGTATTCCTATAAAATTCTCTGAAAATTACTTTCTGGGAATTGTCTGTGCTTTTGTAATTTCTATTTTATTTTATTTTATTTTATTTTATTTTTGAGATGGGTCTTGTTCTGACACCCAGACTAGAGTGCAGTTGCTCAATCATGGCTCACTGCAGGCTTAACCTTCCAGGCTCAAGTGATCCTCCCACCTCAGCCTCCAGAGTAGCTGGGAGTATCAGTGTGTGCCACCATGCCTGGCTAATTTTTTTCTTCTTTTTTTTTGGTAGAAACGGGATCTCAGTATGTTGCCCAGGCTGGTCTCCAACTCCTGGGTTTAAGGGACCCTCTTGCCTTGGCCTCCCAAAGTGCTGGGATTACAGGTGTGAGCCACTGTGCTCAGCCCCCTTTTGCAATTTAAAGAGCAAAATAATCTATAAATTTTAAAATGTATTTTATATATGTATAAACTGTATCTGGAAGGATGCTCAAGAAGTGGATAATTTTTGGGAAAGCAGCTTGGGGAAGTGGAAGTCAAGAGATGAAGGGAAGCATGTCTACACACTATACCTGTTGGTACTATTCAGATTTTTACCTCGTCACTATGTCTAGAAAATGGAAGAAATACAACTTGTAGGCACCATGTAAAACTGGACTAGAGGTAATTTTCAACCAAGTGTTCTTGGGGGAAAAAGGGAGCTTCAGTACTATATAGAAACTCAACACCACTCAAGGTCAGTGGAGGCGTTGGATGAAGAACAGGGGAAGTGGGAAGGCCCCATGGAAAGAGGCTTTAGGGGGAGAGGTTGGCAGGTGGTTTGCCCATGATAAACATCAAGATCTTGATAATGTTCTCCTTTCTTCTATCTCAGTTTAGCCATCTGGAAAATAAAACAATTTTTGCAATTTTCGCCATGATTATATCCTTTTAAAAAAGTGTATCATAAAAACTAAGTCTTTGTGAAAGTAACAACAGAAGTTCTGCTTGTTTAAAATGCAGAATTCCTATAAAGCCAAGTTATTTGTAAAATCATTTGGTGGTTATGCTAATACAGTTTTATATCTGGTTGGTTCTTCAAGTGAAACCACTGGTCCCAGACAGTGGTAGGTAGGGAGTTGGGGGAATATTCGACCTGCCTGGTGTCCAGATGGAAAGGCCATCTGGCTTCCATGTCTTACTGAGTGCTGAAAAGGAGTTGGCTGATCTCACAGACTGTGTGGTTTCCTGTTCCTCCCGCCTGGCCCGGAGAGTGATATGATTTCAATGCGATATTGAAGCTTTTGGTTTGATGTTCCACTTTGGAGTTAACTCCTAGGGTTGGCCCCAGGCCAGGTTCTGAAGGGGCACCCGGGTCCTCATTGGCTGAGAATGTTATTACTTATGGTCACATGACCTCCACAAGCTGAATAAATGTAGTGAGTTCTAACGGGAGACAGAATTGGGAAGTAAGTATAATTTTTCCAGACCCTTGTGGCACCTTTCAACATTCTCGCCCCTTTTGTGTTCCCCTCCTTTCTTAGACATCAAGTGTTCACTGTAATGTTCTCTTTCCAATTTCATCCCTTCAAATTTTGCTGTCAGGAAAGATTTGATAAGCTTTCACTAGAAATTTTAGTGTTAGTAAGATTTAACATGTTAACCCTAAATGGGCATTTATATTTAACAATAATTACTTCAGGTCAAAAGGGTGAATCTCCACTTGGAGAACCTAGGGCGATAGCCAGGTAGTAGTGGGCGAATATTTGGGGAATGGGAGAGGAACCCTCACTGCCCTCCATTATTTCATAATGTGGCTCTTATTCATAAGGCAGCCTTGTTTATGTGTTGCTAATTTGTCTATGATCTAGAGGATTTCCCTTGGCTTAGCAAAAAATCTTTGACGGATTATTTTACTGTCTCTGAAATTGTTCTCATGATAGTAACATTGGTTGGGAGGTGGTAGACATAGGCACAGTCCTGAAAGATGAGAGGGCAGTACAGAGTTTTATATTTGCCCTCCTTCTCGAATGATCCCTGAGTTACAGTGTTCATGGGAAACAGGGGTCTCTGATGTGACATTGCTTTTGCAGGAGTTATAAGATATAGCATCTAGATTAATAATTGAATTAATTACAGTGCTTGCAGCTAGAAGTAACTGAAAATGGATTCAGATCGGCTCATACAGTAAGTAAATTATCTCATGTTGCAAGAGGTTGTGAAATAGAGCCCCTGGCCGGGCGCGGTGGCTGACGCCTGTAATCCCAGCACTTTGGGGGGCCAAGGCAGGTGGATCACAAGGTCAGGAGTTCAAGAGCAGCCTGGCCGAGATGGTGAAACCCTGTCTCTACTAAAAATACAAAAATTAGCTGGGCGTGGTGGCGGGCGCCTGTAATCCCAGCTACTCGGGAGGCTGAGGCAGGAGAATCCCTTGAACCTGGGGGGTGGAGGTTGCAGTGAGCCAAGATCATGCCACTGCACTCCAGCCTTGGTGACAGAGTGAGATTCTGTCTCAAAAAAAAAAAAAAAAAAAGAAAGAAAAGAAAAAAAAAGAAATAGAGCTCCTTGTTGGCTGATTCAGCAGTTCCTCAATGGACCTTGGTTCTGCCCATGTGCAGCTTTCATCCTCAGGTTGGATGTGTGATGGACATAGGAGTTACAGGGGTTACATTCAAAATGACAACATCCAGAGGAAGAAGAGAAGTTGTCTCTTTCTTGTGTCCCTTTTTTAGAATGGAAGAAACTTTTCTTACTAGCCCACTAGCTGATTTTTCTTAAAGCTTTATTGGTAAGGATTCGGTCATATGACCATTCTTAAGCCAATGGCTGGAAAGGAGAATGGGATTTATATTATCAGCTTAGATTAATCATATGGGGATGGAGACTCAACCAGCATGACCATTGGGATCATTAGTAAAATAGTCTGAGTTAACAATTCTTTCCTTAGTCAAAAGGTATGTTTCTTTTCTCATGAACATGGGCTAGCAACTAGAAAATTTAAAATTCACAGTAATTTGCCCTGGGCGCAAAACAGTAAACCCAAGTACTGTGCCACTCGCAGAGTTCTTTTGTTTTTTGTTTTTAAATAGAGACAGGGTCTCCTTATGTTGCCTAGGCTGGTCTTGAACCCCTGGGCTCAAGGGATCCTCTGCCTCGGCCTCCCACAGTGCTAGGATTACAGGCATGAGCTATCACGTCCGGCCCAGCAAAGTTCTAAGAATATTATTTAGCTGTGCTACCAATGCCCAGTGAAAGAAGACTATAGATGTAGAAATAGCCTCTTGAAAGTGCAGGGAAAGGCTAGGGAGGGGTGGGAGCCAGGAGGAGATTATGGCTATGTCTTGACTCACTAACTAGGAGATGTAGAATTAACTGTATTATCTGGACTCTTGGCGTCAGAGTAGAATACCAGGGCTGGAGGTAGCTAGCTGAGCCTGTAATCATGCTTACCATGCAGGACAAGAATGATTTGTTCTGTTTGGGATCGACAGCAGGTGGCAAGCTAAATGCCATTTTTCAAAGAAGCAATTTTTCCAGTTGCATATGGCTGTTCAAATATTGATGAGGGCACATGTGCCTGTCTGCAGCTAAAACTGCCGGCCTCAGCCTGACATGGCTCTACGCTGTCTGGTGACTCTCTTGGGGTAAATAGCCTTAAGCCTTAGCTGGGCATTTGGTAGGATTGAGGCCTATGGTTGCAGGGCATCTGAATTGTCCAAATGAGTGATCTTATGAGTGAGGGAGTGCTGCCCTTGTTTTCTGCCCCTGTGGAATCAGGATGGAAAGGAAATAATGAGACCCACTGTCTCTGGATCAACCTTGAGCCTATTTCTCTTTTTCCCTGCTCAGTGGATGCACCCTGGCCTTTCTAAATGAAGTGCTAAGGGATCTTGATTTTTCCTTGAATCAAATTGTATAGGTTATTCATGAGGCACATGGGAGAAGATGGGCCATTTTATCTATGGGGAATGTAAGACATAGAGCAGTAGAGATTTGCTCAGCACAAGTTCCTTGAGGACAGGAGACATGACTGTCTCTTCTATACCCTCATGGTCCTTAGTCAAGTGCAGGATGCCCAGAGAATCGTAAGTGCTTGATGCATAGTTAAGTAGAGTGAGGCAGTCCTGGAAAATGGATAAGCTGGGTGGCTTTGGCCTGTTTTTATATATTTTTAAAACTCTGGGCAAGACGTGGTAGCCCATGCTTGTAATCCCAGCGCTTTCAGAGGCTGAGGCAGGAGGATCGCTTGAGCCCAGGAGGTTGAGTTTACAGTGAGCTGTGATCACGCCTCTATACTCCGGACTGGGCAACAGAGTGAGACCCTGTCTCAAAATAAATAAATAAATGAGCAAACAAACAAATAAACTCTGGATTCTTGTAAACGGTTTTGCAAATGTGAAAATTCAGTATAATAGTGACTTGGGTAATTCAGTGTTGATATCTTTTCTTGTTTTGATTAGAGAACAAGGTGGGCGTGGGGTGATTGAAACAGTCCCTGTTTCCAGTGGGAGTGGAGTTGATGGCATGGTGGAAAGGGTGGGCTTTCAAGGCAGGCCATTTTGATGTTGAGGGACACAGGCTCTCTGGTGACCTTGGGTACATTACTTCACCTATTTGGATTTCAGTTTCTTTGCATGTCACTGCCTGATCCATAATAGAAGTACTTTTCCAACCTATCCCCTAAGTCAAATGTCTTCTCTTTGAGAACAAGGTGTCCCAACCTTAGGAGTCTGACATCATTCAGAAAGTGGAGAGAGCCTGTCATTATTCTCTCTCATGCATCTTTATTTCCTCTCCTCTCCAGCTCCTACATTGTGCTGTAAACACAGGCCTCTGCCTTGAACACATGTTTGCCAGATGCTCCCTCTTACTCATTTCTTTTCTCTTGTTTACTGCCAGGTTTTCTCAAGTGCGTGGTCACCAGCCATGGCCTCCATTTCCTTAGTCTCTACCCTGTATCCTCTGCCCGCTGGGTCCTACTGCTCAACCTCTCCCTGGCTGCTAAATCCAATAGTCTTTTCTCTGTCCTTACCTGCAGGGCCTCATGGGACTATTTGGCAATACTGACCACAGGATTGTCTCATAACTCGTTTTTGCTTTGGCTTCCATGACACTCTGGCAAGCTTAGTTCTTCCTCCTTTTCTGGCTTCCATACCAGCTGTTAAATGTGAGTGTTTTGGTACTTGGCCTTCTCTTCTCTCTGTATGTTCCCCTGGGCTCTGCTATAAACTTCAGTGCATCTGGTTCTCAGTTTTTTATACTTGTTATTTGTCTTTTGACGAAAAGCAGATCTTTGGAGTTTGACTCAAGCCTGCTAGGTCCACCTGAGCAGCAGAACAGCTCTGGCTGGGTAACCCTTGAATTTTCATGTGTTTCTTGATGTGTTTCAAAGAAGAGCTGGGATGTTGATCCTTCTTATCGCTGCACCCATTTATCTCAGGGCATGTTGAGTGACTCAGCTCTCTTGCAGTGTAAACCCAAGAGGAGCTCATGGGTCATTCCTGGGATTCAGCTGCTTCTACAGTCCGTGTCACTCATTAGAGGCAAGCTGTGTTTTGCCTAGACTTTTGCTTGTACTTTGGCTTGGGAAACCCTCTGTGGCATCCTGTGGGGGTAGGTCTAATCTTTTCGACTGTGTGGAAGGTCAATTCAAAAGTGAGACGTAACTTCTTAGATCACGTACCATATTTTCCTCTTGTGTGTACAGCTGCTCTGGGGCTCAGCTACAGTTACCTCATGTTGAATTGCCTGCTTTTGAGTTGCTGTATTCTGGTGTAGGTGTAATCTGTTTATTTGAACTTTACTGATATTACGAAGAGCTTTGGGGATTTTTTTTTAAAGAATTGAGATGGGTTATTCTGAACCATCCATATTTTAATGCCCGATTCTTGTTAGAATTATTAACAGTAGTTCTTGGAAGAGAGTTTTTCTTTGGAGGATAAAGCTTTTTTTTTTTTTTGAGGCAGAGTCTTGCTCTGTTGCCCAGGCTGGAGTGCAATGGCGTGATCTTGGCTCACTGCAACCTCCATGTCCCAGGATCAAGTGATTCTTGTGCCTCAGTCTCCCGAGTAGCTGGGATTACAGGTGCCCACCACCATGCCTGGCTAATTTTTTGTATTTTTAGTAGAGACAGAGTTTCGCTGTGTTGGCCAGGCTGGTCTCAAACTCCTAGCCTCAAGTGATCCACCTGCCTTGGCCTCCCAAAATGCTGGGATTACAGGCATGAGCCACTGTGCTCGGCCGTGCCTTTTGATCTATGAACTCATCACAGTACAATTTACTTCACGTCTTTGGTGATCACTTTGTAAATTCTACATTTTTATTACATGATCTCAAAATCCCAATGGTATTACATGTGTTATGCCCCTACCACTGAAGAATCTTTAAAAAATAAGCTATTTAAGGCCAGGCGCGGTGGCTCACGCCTGTAATCCCAGCACTTTGGGAGGCTGAGGTGGGTGGATCACGAGGTCAGGAGATCGAGACCATCCTGGCTAACACGGTGAAATCCCGTCTCTACTAAAAATACAAAAAAATTAGCCAGGTGTGGTGGTGGGTGCCTGTAGTCCCAGCTACTCGGGAGGCTGAGGCAGGAGAATAGCATGAACCCGGGAGGTGGAGCTTGCATTGAGCCGAGATCATGCCACTGCACTCCAGCCTGGGTGACGGAGCAAGACTCCGTCCCCAAAAAGAAAAAAAAAAAAGCTATGTAAAACAATGACAGCCACGACGACAGCAGCACCAGCAGCATTCAGTCGATTGTGTATTTCATTTGGGCAATTCAATTGGCAGGTGTAGTTTTGCGTTTTGTAGTCTCTGTTTTCTGACTTAAAACTTTGTTTAAGTGAAACCCAGACAAAATAAAGAATGGAAAAACAGAGACACAGAGGTAGGAAACATTTTTTTAACATTGGAAAAAAAAGTCCCTTCAGACTCCTTGGCAAATAAGAGGAGTCTGGGGAAAAAAAAATCTGCAAACAGTTTCCTAGTTGTCTGAGTGGAAAATCCTGGTTTTTCACATTTCATATCTTGGAAATGTCTGAATAGTTTTTGTTTAAAGGGAAATTCCTTTTGGCTGAGAAAGAGCTTGCAGGATTCAAACTGATAGGGTGATGTTTTTAGAAAACCTGGAGGAAATAGGATTTGTGATGAAAATGCTTTCTCAGTGGCCAATTGTGTTAAACCGAAATTTAAATCCAAGGTTACCAATCATAGAGTTTTAAAGGTTCAGCCATTAACTCCTTCCTTCCCCTCGCATCCTGTCTGTTTGCATCCTGGGGAAACCTCTCACATAGCTGGTCCTTCCTCCAATTCGAGGAACTTAACAAGCTGCTTGTCTAAGCATGTGCCTGTTCTAGGCAGGGGATAAACATTCTTGACCTGTGGCTTTCCAAGTAGAGTAGGAAGGAAGATGCGTCATTAAATTATAAGTCATTAAATGCCTGATACATGTTTTGCATGAGAGCTGTGTTTGAAGTATTTCTGTAGCAAAGCGGATGGAATGACAAATCTGAAGGGGGTGAAGAGTTGGGGAACACTTCATGGAGGAGCAAGTGATATTTGCAATGGGTGCTGAAGTATACATAGGAGTTCACCAGGCAGTGGGAACAGCAGCTACAGAATAGGAACGTGGAAAAAGTCATGACTGATCCTGGGAATCCCAAGTCATTTTATGTAGTTTGAGAGTAGGGTGCTCTATGGGGAGTCTTGGGAGATACCACAAGATCATGAGAGGTTTGTGTGCTTGGCAAATGACTTGGACATTCTTTTGTAAGCGGGAAGGTGGGAGGCTTTTAACAAGAGAGACCAGACAGGAGCAGAAATGTATTTTAGAAAGGATGGACTGGACGGCAGAATTGATAGTGACAAGTTGATCTTCTGGCTGGCTATTTCATCCATGGAGTAGAATAAGATGCCATGAGGGCCTGAACCCAACAGGGAGGAGTAGATGAATTCAAGAGAGGATAGGGGAGGTTAGACTGGAGATGTGATTACAGGGCATGAGGGCTATGGGAGATTTCTTGTTTTCTGGCTTGGAAGGCTGAGTTGACGGTGTTGCCGTTGACCTTGAATGGGAGTATTTGGAGGGAGGATGAGTTTGGCAGGGAAGATAATGAGTTCACTTTCAGGCACAGTAATTCTGGTGTACTTGCAGAACATTCACAGGAGCGACACGTAAAGGGCATTTGGAGACTTGGGTCTGGAGTTCTGGAGAAAGGTCTGGACTGGAGATGTAGATTTGGGTGTTAGGATCCTGGTGAGGGATTAGTGAAGCCAATAATCCATATAAGATAGTCCAGAAAGGTTAGAGTGAGAGGGAGGAGTTTGAGAGAAGGGCTGAGTGTGGAGCCCTGGGGGCACCAGAAGGATTGGCCAGGGAGAAGACCCTACAGATAGAACCCAGAAAGAATCATCAAAAAAAAAAAAAAAAAAACTGGAGAAAAGCCAGGAAAATTCCATCATAGGCTCCAAAATAGGGGAGAGTCGCTACAGAGTGGTCAGTACAAATAAGGGTTGAGTGTGCTATTCAGCTGACCGCCGAGTCCCCTGAGGACTTACTAGCATGTTAGCTCAGGGCGGTGTCTGTGTCTCTGTAGCCACAGGTCTTCTCTGTAGCAGACCTGTGTGCATGGGATGTGGCATTCTGCTGGGAAGGAGAGGCCTGGTTTCCAGGCGAGAGCACGAACTGCAGAAGGCCAGGAACTCAGAGTAAATGGACAAAGTGTAGAACACAGCGCTGCCTCTTTTGATTTTTTTGGAACAAGATTAATATCAGTCCTCAAAATTGGCATTGGAGACCATCACTGGTTCATTGGTGCTTGTGTAGTTTTATGAGGGTTCTTTCTTTCTCTCTTTCTTTTCTTTTTTCTTTCTTTTCCTTCCCTCCCTCCCTCCCTTCCTTCCTTTTTTTCCTTCCTTCCTTCCTTCTGTCTCTCTTTCTCTTCCTTTCTTGCTATGTTGCCCAGGCTGATCTTGAACTCCTGAGCTCAAGCCATCCTGCCCCCTCCACCTCTCAAAGTGCTGGGATTGCAGGCGTGAGCCACTGAGCCTGGCCTCTGAGGGTCCTTTCATCATTCTTCTCTCCAGATAAGTCCATCTATCTCTGGATGTCCTTCCCATCGGCTGGATGGAGTTTGTGCATGTGTCTGTTTTGTGACTGTGTCATTTGCAGTTCTTAGTTTTGGGGCTTTGCAAAAGGATAGCCTTTGTACTCATTAACCTGTTCAAGAGTGTTGGGATTCACCACATGACTCCAAGGTGTGAGTCTTTTCCTCTCTTTATTCTTCTGACTCTTCCACTAAGGAAGTATCAGGTGGATCCACTGAATGCCGAAAATGAGTTTGATCACAGAGGCATCAACAATATTCAAGTGGTAGAAACATAGAAACAAGCCCTAATTGGTTCCATTTTTGTATGACATAATAATAAGGACAGGTGAGGACAAATGGCTTTGTAATAAGAATATGAGCCTGCAGAAGGAACATTAAGTAAATAATTGTAGCTTCAAAGAAAATGAGCAGCTGCTGGCAATGCCCAGGTTTCAGGACCCGCAAAGGCACTCTGGCCAGACACATCCCTGCTCCCCTCTTGTGCCTCCCACGTGCCGTGGCTGGATTCTGGGTTCTGCCCTTGCTCTCTGTTTCACTGAATCTCTGTTCCTGTCATGGCCCTCAGGCCTGTCAGGGACATGAGGAACAGGTGTGGGAGGAGGAAGCCCTTCAGCTGGGCCTGAGGTCGGGCATGTGAGTACTGAGGACAGAGGTGGGTGCAGAGGAAGGAGAATTCTGCCTCAGACTGCACAGGGAGGAAAGGGCCACCCTTCACAGCCCAGAGCAGAGCAGGCTCTTTGAAGGAGACACAGAGTTTAGGATTCACTCCACAGTTTAGCTGTGTGGTGAATTAAATGGGTTTCTGAGGCCTGACTGGGAAACAGATGACTTTTTATCACATTATGTCAGTAAGAAAATGTCTTGTGAGTTTGAACCACCCGTGTTACAAACTTTTAAAAAAGGTAGAGAAAGGTGTGGTGGCTTATGTCTATAGTCCCAGCTACTTGCAGGAGGCCGGGGTGGGAGGATCGCCTGAGCCCAGGAGGTTGAGGCTGCAGTGAGCCATGATTGTGCCACTGTGCGCCACTCTGGGCAACAGAGCCAGATCCTGTCTCTCCAAAAACAGAAAGCATTTTAGAGCAGTTTTATGTTCACAGCAAAATTGAGCAGAAATACAAAAAGCTCCCGTGTATCTCTTGTCTCCCCAACACACAAAACCTGTCCCACCATCAGCATCCTGCTATTACAGACTTTTGGCATATGGAGTCATAAGCTGGGGTCACCTGTGGCAGCTTTTGATTTAAACTTAATTTTTAGAGATTAGTCACAGATAAGCCTCCCTTTGTAGTCCAGCAAGAAGCCAGATTGGCCACAAAAGCCTTGAACACCGAAGACTGTATCCTGTTTTTTGTTTTTTGTTTTTTTTTGCTACTGAAAACTTATTCAAACGACTAGGCACAGACCTATAGATTTCAGTACCATTAAAAAGTCAAACTGTGGTGCGGCATTTCCCTCCCTCTTTCCAGTTACAGATGACTTAGGCAGTAGATGTTATCCTTTGGAAAGAGATGGGATCTAGTGAGGAAACAGTATATATTTTTTGTAACCAAAGAACCTGACTCCGATCTTTGTAGTTTTGACTTTTTACTTCCTACCCCTGAATGGTATTCATTTCTGAGGCACTGCCAGGAATTGTTTTTCTGGTTCCACTCTGGGTTTGCAAGCTTTCTCTCCAGGCTCTCCTGCAGCCCAAGACCCATGTTGGAGCCGCTGGGAGAGCTGGGGCAGTGGGCTGAGGAGGCCAAGGCCCAAACCAGCTCCAGGCGAACAGCTGCAGCACAGCTGTGATGTTACCTGCATGGTGCAGTGGGGTCGCCCTTGGGCTCGAGGCATCATGTTCTAAGGCAGTCTTCACAGACACGTTTTCTTGTGTGCTAAGAGAGGGGCAGAAACGTAGCTGCCAAAAAACCATTTGGTTTCTCAGCTGTGTTTACAAGCTGAGGAACATGAGGCACGTCGAAATCCAGTGTTTCCTTTTGACTGAAATACAGACTTCTAGGAGGACACTGAAATGAGGGTGGGATGGCTGGGTAGATGGAGCATGAGGAAGTTTCAGCTTCTTATTCCCACCCTCCCAGTTTCGGTGTGGGATTCTGACTGTCCTCTTGTCTGCAGATTGCTCAACCACTGGAAAAGGCAGTTGGTAGGAGGAGCAGGGATTTTGCGGTCAGCACAACTTCATAGCCCTTATCACCACTGGCAAATGATTTCTTTAGTATCCCCGAGCCCTGCTGTCATGGCAGTCATGGAAAATGATGATATCTGCATGGTGCTTTGTGTCAAAGTAATGGATGAGCCTAATCATAGTGGGTGGAATCCATCTCAGGGGTGCAGTCGCTCCAGCCTCTGCTGCCAACTTGCCCTCCTTCCCAGTCCCATGGAGCTGGGGCACTCCCCGGCATACCTGTTGGGAAGCCCTGATAAGTGTGCTTGTCTGTTTTCTCGTCTAACAAAATGGAAACACCGTGAAAGCAGAGACTTTCTTTTATTCACTGCTGTTTATCTCCAGCTAACAGAACAGTGCTGTGCGCATGGTAGGTGTCCAGTAAAATGTTTGGTGAATGAATGGATGAACAAATGAATGAGTCTAGGCTTACAATCTGGTTCTGGCTCTCCCTACTGTGAGCACCTTTCTGAGACTGTTTCACAAGGCCATGGTGGAGGAAGATAAATGACATAAGTAAAGTGTCACTATGTCTGGTTTGTGGCCGCTAGATGGGGGATATTCGGTTCCTTTCTTCTATTTTTTTTTCTCCAATAGTTTCTGAGAGGCCTAGGAAGAAAATTTTTGCTGCATTCTGAACTCATGGATAAAATGAGTAAATAGAATAAGACCTCTGAATTGTGGCCTAATTGTGAAAGGCATTTAGGGAAAAAGACCTGAAATATTTCTTCAGTTCTTACCTGAATCCTCTTAGGTTCAACGCCTGGTATTGATTTGCATGACTGAATTAACACTTCAAATTTTCAGGCACCTGCTTCTGAGGAACTGAAATGTTTTTGTCAGTTTTGAGGGGGTGGGTTGGCAGCAGGTGTTAGCACTCTTTAAGTTACAAGAGGGAAGACAAGAAGGGGACGGCTTGTTCCATGTCCCTGTCATTTCCTGAAACACCATCTATCACTGGACACTGAGGTCACTTACATTATTTTTTCCTAATGAAAATAGTCTTTCTGGGGCTGATTGTGACCTGTTTAGGGGTCTGTTAACAGCAGGAAGGTGAGTAGGGGACAGCAGGATGGCACTGAGCAGTCCTGGTAGGGCTACTGCCTGCAGTGTCAGGGACAAGCTGAAGCGCTCTCCATCCACGAGGCCTGGGGCTTCCTGGCAGAGCACCTTTGGAATGCTGTCCATACACTGCAGCAAAGGCATTTAAGCCACGTTCTTCCTCCGACCCCTGGCCTGAACTGCGTCTAGCCTTGGCTGTTCCCAAGCAGTTGATGTACATATTGTTGAGCGAGAGAACCTCTCTGAGTCCTGCTTTCTTGGGAATCAGGTTCTAAGTTGCTCTCCTGTGCCTTCCATTTATCTGGACCAACTAGCATTTTATCAAACAGAGGTTATATGGAGATTCTGGCGTGTGAATGGGCCCCCTTCCCCCTTTCCATAATGTCTTATTATTGCTTTGGCAATTGCAGTAGGTCTTTGAAGAGGGAGCTGACTGAAAACTGTGCCCAAATCTCAATGTCTCTTGGAAGTTAAGTTACACATTTTTATTTTAAGTAAAAGCAAAAGAAAACAAACAAAACCCCCAGCTCCCCGCAAAACTCATTGCTGATAATGGAGTTCAATGAGAAAGGAAGAAAATGTTAGCTATTGAGGCTGACAAGCTTTAATGAGCTGCCTGATGGCTCTTCTCTACTGGGCTACGTTACTGTAGAAGAGTTTGCAATTTGGGAGACTTTGAGACCTTTGATCTTTCATGAAACGCAGACTCCTTTCATGGAGAAGTTTGTTCTTTGGTATTTGCCAACCGAAAGAAAAATATCCTGGTAGGTAGATTTTTTATTCCCCCATAGCTTTTTTGAGGAACTATTACTCGACCCAAGTTTGCTTTTAGAAAAACCAAACAAAAAGCTGCAGGAGCAACAAAATAAGAAGAATAAAAGTATGAAGATGACAAGCTTATCTGTCACTTGGCTTGAGCATTTGGTAATTTAAACATGTAAGGGCCTATTTATCTCATGAACCAAGCAGTCCTGAGCTAGGCCCTCCAGGGCTAGTGTAGTGCTTGATCAGGGCCAACGGGGCCCTTCCCGTGAGGCTGTTTGTCACCTTTGTCCTCATGACTACAAGATGACTGCTTCACTTCCAGCGTAACATCAGCCTCACTGGTGGAAGAAAGTGACGGGGCAAAGCAGAAAGGGTAGTACCTATATTAGGACAAGCCAGGGCTTTCTCTGAGGCCTCCAGCAGATTTCCCGTTAGGTTTCACTGGCCATCCCTAGCTGCAAAAGAGGCCAGGAAGGTGTGAGTGTGTTAGCTTAATACTTGCCACCCTGAATAAAATTGGTGTCTGATAGTAAGGAAGACGGGTAGGATGGATATTGAGTGGTCAAGCAGCAGTGTCCACCACATCCCAAAATAACATTTTCCCAAATTTGTAGAATCCAAGGTCTGGTCGGGACCTGTGAGATGGCTGAGAATGACGCCTGCATCTCACAGATAAGGGAGCTACTTTATTTCCTTCTACTTCTGTTCAGCCAAAAACCTCAGTGGCACTTTTTGGCACTTCTGGGTGTGGCTGCTCATCCCCTGATCCCCAAACTGTGCCTGGAATGTGAGTGGGCCGAGAAGTTCCTTCACTGGAGAGCAGAGTGGCAGGGAGCGGGCAGTGTGCGGATGGGAATCAAAAGGCCCGATTGTGCTTTCTCAGGAAAAGCAGCCGGCCAACAATAATGACTGGGCCGCCCCTGAGTGCAGAACCTGGAATCCAGCCTTCTGGAATGAAAAAGCCATGCAAGACTCAGTCCCTGCCCCTGAGGAGTGAAGGCCTAGTAGGGCGGACAGAACAACCACAGGGGAGAGGTAAAGCAGAGAGGTATGCGAACAATGAAGAAAGGCCATAGCAAACGGAGTGGCCAGGCCGGGAAGGTGGCTTGGAGGAGTTGACTTTGACCAGGGATTTATAAAGGTCTGTTATTTGGCGGCTCACAATGGTGTGTAAAAATACTAAGTGAGAGTCAGCAGCTTTGCCTGGTTGGAGCAATTTAACAACACCTGCCTGAAGCCTGCTGTGTTTTCTTTAGAAGAACAGCCTGAGTCAACAGTGCTTATGGATTCCTTGATGGATGCAGAGGGAGTATTAAGTTAGCCAGATTTATTGGAACATGTCTAAAAGACCACTAGCTCTGTACCAGCGTTTCCTCTGAAGTTTCAGTCTCTGTCCTCTCTTCCCTTCCCCACTGCCTGGTAGCTCTGATGTTGCATTTCTGCCCTTGCTTCTCTTGTTTAAGATTCCTTCTTCGAGGGCCCAGCCAGCCTCCTCAGTCCTGGGGCTGTGTGGTAGATAGTCCTCTGGAAGGCATTCACCACCTTGTCATAGGGCCGTGTGGTTGGTGGAGGGGGCAGAAATAAGGAGACTAGTGTTTCAGAGGCTCTTATGGCACACATGGGAACAGGTAGACTGTATTTTGGCATTGAGAGTATCTGGGTGTATTAGTCTGCTCAGGCTGCTATAATAAAATGCTACAGATGGGTGACTTAAACAACAGGTATTTATTTCTTACAGTTCTGGAGACTGGGAAGTCCAGGATCAAGGTGCTGGCTAATTCTGTTCCTGGTTAGGGCTCTCTTCCTGGCTTGCAGATGGCCATCTTCTCACTATGTCCTCCTGTGGTAGAGACAGCATCTTCTTTCTTCCTTTTTGCTATGTCCTCTTCCAATGAAGATGCTAATCCCATCATGAGGGCACCATCCTTTCAGCCCATTTAACCCTCAGGCCCAGTCTCCAGATACTGTCACATTGGAGGTTAGGGCTTCAGCATATGAATTTGCAGGTGTATTAGTCCGTTCTCATGCTGCTGATAAAGACATACCCAGGACTGGGTAATTTATAAAGGAAAGAGGTTTAATTGACTCACAGTTCCACGTGGCTGGGGAGGCCTCACAATCTTGGTGGAAGGTGAAAGGCACATCTTACATGGTGGCAAGCAAGAGAGAGCTTGTGCAAGGGAACTTCTCTTTATAAAACCATCAGATCTTGTGAGACTTATTCACTATCACGAGAACGATACAGGAAAGACCCACCCCCATGATTCAATGACTTCCCACTGCGTCCCTCCCATGACACATGGGAACTGCGGGAGCTAAATTCAAGATGAGATTTGGGTGGGGACACAGCCAAATCACATCAGCAGGGAACACAATTCAACCCCATAGCACTGGGGGTTCACTAGAGTTTCATAAGGTTCCCAAGGACTCATGGCGGTGACCAGAGCAGTGTGTTTTCTACTGAAAGAAACCTGTGGGAGTTGAAAACCTACAGACTGAAGGTTCTTAAGCTGAGTTTATGGCCTCAAGAGGGTCTGGGAACTTCTGGAAATGCTCTTTAGGGCATTGTATGTGCAGTGCATATGTGTGTCTTTCATCACATTTTCAAAAGGTTTGCTGACCTAACAGTGGTAAAAGCTAATGTCCCAGAGACTGTACCTCTAAAGTAGAAGCTGAGAAGGAACAGGTCTGTGCACACTGGTGTCCACCACCAGCATACCCCCCACCTCATTGTGCAGCCCCATCCCCCTGGAGCATTCCAGAGAAGCTCTGCTCCCTCTTGCTGCTGGGCACTAATTAGACCCTGACTGCTGGCAGGTGAGCTTACTGCCCAAGAACTAAAGAGAGAGAGCTCTTCCCCCAAAAGCTGCCCTGTGCCTCTGTACTCGAAACCTAACCCTTTGTTGACTTCTTTTACTTTTTATTTTTGGAGCAAACTCTATTTTTGGAGAATACATGAAACGAGTGGCTGTCTTACATCATAAACCAGAAAAACCACTGTGCTTATTAAAGGCATTTCGGAGTATTCTCAAGATTCGGACTCAAAGCAGACAATAGTAGAAGCTGGCTTTTCTGCCTCTAAATGGAGGGCTCTGGCCCCCACATTCATTCATCCCTCCTTGAGCTAAACCACTGCCTGCCTGGCTAACTGATCTCAAGAGCAAGGCTGGGACTCATGGGTATATATTTTTGGTCTGTGACTTTTTTCCTAGTTAATTTCTGTGGGGTCTGGACTGTTTTCTAGCCCCATACTTATTATTTTTTCTTGTTCTCTACTTCCTGGTTCTCCCACATGACTAATCCTTCTCTACACCCATGTTGAATTTTATTTGACCTCATTTGATATGTTTTCTCTAAGTCACTTCAGTCCTTTTTAAAACTTGGTAAACATGAATCCATTTTAAAAGCACAGGCCCTCATAGAATCTGGGTTTATCCTCAGGCTAGGTCACTGCTACCCCTGACCAGTCCCCAAAGAATGCTGGAGGCCTTTGCCATGCTCCACCTTCCTATTCTCCACCCAGGCTCCCTTTTCCTCCTCTCCTTTCTCTCCTTCTCTTTCCCTTTTTGTCTCCTTTGCTCTCCTCTTTCTTTCATTCACGCAGGCCTTCCCCTCCTCCTCTGGGCTTTAACTCTGCCGGTTTTCCTAGAGCTTTGCTCAGTCCTGACAGGTGTGAGGACCTGAACTCAGGGCTTGGGATCTTATCTCAGGTTCTCCTGCTTTATTGCAAGGACTCGGGGTCCTCAGCAGATCTTGGCATTCTGGAGGGTGTCACATTATTGGTGTGCATCATCGTTAAGGGTCTTTGGAGGGGATTTCTGTCTGGCATTTGGAAATTGCAGAATTGACTTTCTAAATGTATGGAGTAGCTGGCGACAAAGGGGGGTCACATTGTGGAGGAACAGGGGCCAGTGCATCAGTAAAGAGCAGGAGAGGCAAAGAGAGGAGCTGGTCACTCTTAGAAATTAATGAGGAATTTTATTGATGGCCAGTGGAAAATTGTTTCCTAGTTTGCCTTTCCCAACTCCTCCCTCTCAGTTGAAATCCTGAGGACCTTCAGCCTATAGCTCTAGCAGCTTTGGAGCCTGTATGGAGAAATCCCATGTCATGTATTTTAGGAGCCTGGGCCACTGGTTGGGGAAGTCTGAAAGTAGGCCTGATTTTTACAGGTGTCTGCAATGCTTGGGGTAAGCCCTGGGCACCAGCAAGTCTTCTCTTCCCCTTTCTCTGGTTGTGTTTGTCTAGGCCTGGGGTTGCCCCCCACCAGTTTGGAACCTTTTTAACTGAGCCTGTGGTCACTTGCATAACTCAGCCTGGGTGACCACTCTCCTGAGCTGCCCCAGGCCAGGCGAACCCACTGGAACAATGAAGCTCCTGCTCTGCCCATCCCCACGGTCTAGAGCAAAGAGTCTCAGTCTTGGCTGCACATCACACTTACCTGGGAGCTTAAACAACTTTGATGCCTGGGTCCCAGCCCAAGAGATTCTGATTTAATTGGTTCTGGGATGAGGCCTGGGCATCAGGCATTTTAAAAGCTCTCCCAGTGCTTCCAAAGTGAAACCGAGGTGAGAACTACTGGCTTGGAGTATGACTACTCAAAGCATGGTCCATGGTCTGGCAACATTCATCTCCTGGGAGTTTGTCACAAATTCAGAATCTCAGGCCCTACTCTAGACTTTCTGAATTATAATCTGAAGATCCCCAGATGATCCATGTGCATGTAAAATTTGAGAACTGCTGGCTAGAATATTCTGCTGCCTCCTGTGAGGCTGATTGGACTCACCCATCATCCGCATGCACCAGGTACTGATGCCAGATCAAGCTAGATGGAGCCCAAGAAACTGATGTGGCCTCCCCTGGATCCCTTCTTGGGGATCTGTTCTACATCTGAGTCAGGCTCCCTGCTGTCTCCATTTCTGACTGATCCCTTTTATACCTGTCCACTCAGAAGTCCCAGCATGTCTCAAGGCCAGAGATTGAAAGAGCCAGGCAGTGTTCTTTGTTGTTGTTGTTGTTGTTGTTGTTGTTGTTGTTGTTTTTGAGACGGAGTCTCGATCTGTTGCCCAGGCTGGAGTGCAGTGGCACGATCTCGGCTCACTGCAAGCTCCGCCTCTCGGGTTCACGCCATTCTCCTGCCTCAGCCTCCCGAGTAGCTGGGACTACAGGCGCCCACCACCACGCCCGGCTAATTTTTTTGTATTTTTAGTAGAGGTGGGGTTTCACCATGTTAGCCAGGATGGTCTCGATCTCCTGACCTCGTGATCCGCCCGCCTCAGCCTCCCAAAGTGCTGGGATTAAGGTGTGAGCCACCGCGCCCGGCCGGCAGCATTCTTATATTAAACTAAGGACTGGTAGGACCAGTTGCAGCCTGTGCTTTTTGATGTCTTGGCCTGATGACCCGCCCTTGCTGTGCTTTATTTGGTCAGCCTGGCAGAGCCTGCCATCCTGACCCTGGAGGGTAGGAACAGGAAAATCAGGCTAAAAGGAAAAGTTTCATGAAAGAAAATGGGTACAATATGCTAGAGCTGTGATCAATTAGAACAGAGATGACAGGCACAAAGCACTCGTATTCTTCCCTCACTGTGTGTCCTGAACATGCTTGTTTTTCAACACAGATCTTTCCCCTACTGAGCTCAGACTTGGTGCTAGTTCCTCTGTCAGCAGGGCACACCAGGCAGATATGGTCAATTACTTAAGATGCAACTATTTTGAAATTTCTTTTTCCCAGAGTAGCATCATTTACTGCTCTCGTTGTGAGTCTTGAGTTTTGTCCCACAGCTTCCAAGTTCTCAGATCACATCTCTGAGATGCCATCAGACCTTCGCCTCATCCCACCATGCATGGGGCCACTCTCTAGGCCCTCACAGGCAGTTGGTGAAATGAGTGTGTGTTTCTCCTTGAGGTTTTCATCCACGGCTCTCTTCCATAGATGTTTCCTGAGCCGCACTCTGTGCCCAGTGCTGCAGTGGGCTAGGAGTTGGAAGAACACAAACTTTGTGGGGACTCAGCTGCCTGCCTCAGCTGCGTCACTACTGCCCTAGTCAGGATAGCCCCCCTTCCTCTCATTCACCCAGGGGGAATGACAGCACACTGAGTCACTCAGCTTCTTGACCCCTGTGTCACTGCCTGACCAGTGTCTTACGTTCTTTTCCCACTCACCATTATTTGAAAACGATATGACATGACTTCCTAACCTTTACATCGTACCGGGCCTGCCATTGCCAACTTCCAGAACCACCTGCCATCTTGGTTGATTTGAGCTCAGGAGTCAGGCACAGGAAGGAGTGAAGCTGGTCAGAGACATCATAGGGAGGAGGAGGGACGGAGGGGATAGGAAAGTTCAGGACCTGCTTAAAGGAAGCAGCTGCCACTTAGCTCCAACAGACCCTTACCATATAGGAATTTGGACCCAGTGTTTTCAGCTGTTCTGACTTCAAAAGATGTTAGAAATACAGATTTTATATGTGTGTAAAATCTCTTGCTTTATATATAGACAGATAATCTCTAGAGAGATATATAGAGAGTTATCTCTGTATAGAGAGTATATCTCTGTAAAGTCGTCCAGAAGTCAGGATAGTTGCATTTTTGGGCTCCTTGTGCTCCATGGTCTCTGATTTGTTTTTATTTATCTTGGTCTCTCTGCTTCATTTGTAAGGTGAAATGATAATACCTATTGATTTCACAAAGCTGATATGATGACTAAGATTGTGAGGAATCTCTTCAGAAAAGGCTAATTGTAAGGCATCAAGTTTGAATTGTAAGGCACTTTTGGAAACTGCTTCTACCTTCCTCCCCTCCCCTCCCCTCCCCTCCTTTTCCTTTCCTTTCCTTTTTTCCTTTCTTTTCTTTCTTAGTCTCACTTTCTTGCCCAGGCTGGAGTGCAGTGGCATGATCTCGGTTCACTGCAACCTCCACCTCCCAGGTTCAAGCAGTTCTCATGCCTCAGCCTCCCCAGTAACTGGAACTACAGGTGTGCGCCACCACACTCAGCTAATATTTCTGTTTTTAGTAGAATCAGGGTTTCATCATATTGACCAGGCTGGCCTCGAACTCCTGACTTCAAGTGATCCGCCCACCTCAGCCTCCCAAAGTGCTGGGCGTACAGGCATGAGCCACCACGCCCAGCCCTACATTTCTTTTTAAACAAAACAAGATTTGTGGTTACATATGGTTATCTATCTGTCTAGATAGATAATCTATCTGTCATTTATTGCCTTCAAAATGAAATTAATTTTCAAGGTTTTTTGGAAATGGCTACTAATGATGTAGTTAGATGCCCAGTGGGTTATACCAAGATTCTTTCCTGAGTCACTATTTGTCATTCCTTTTTCCCAACCCTTGTAAGTATTAACTGTCCCCACAGTCTTATTTTATAATCGTTGTGTTGTTGCATAACCATTTCACTTGTGTGCTTTGGGTCTCTTAGAGGACAGACGTGGAGATGCTGCTTACCGGTAGCTTCTGCCACCTCGGCACTTTGGTTTTGGACTGTCTGGACTAGAAAATCTAGGCAGGGTTTATTGCTAATCCCACTTTCTTCCTTTTGCTGGATTTTGAGAAGCCCTGCAACCCCATTTCCATGCAGACTTCCACTGTGGTTGGGAGTCAGAATAACGGGGGAGGAACCTGGGAAGGATGGTGGGAGGTGCAGGGGCAGGGGCCGTGTTTAAGTGTGGAAGCTCAGGGGGTGTCTGTCTTTAGACCTGAATTTCCCCTTCTGCAGCCTCATTTCTAAAGGAATAAAGGGAATTTTCTCTTTCCACCTCCCAACCCATTCCTTGGCCTTTGCTTCATTTGTCGATGGTTGATGTTGTGTGTGGGTGTGTACGTGCAAGAAGATGGCAGGCTGCCGTCTGCGTAGCCTATATAGCTTATGATGTTCCACAGGCTCCACCCACTGGCCTCTCCCACTGTCTCTGGGCGGGGCTCATGGGAGGCAGAAGCATTCTCCCCTATCCCTTTGGTTGCACATTTGAATTACTTGGGGAGATTTTTAAAAAATACTAATGCCTGAGCCCCACTCAAAACTGACTAAATTAAAATGTCTGGAGGTGGGGCATAAGATTTTTTAAAATAGTCTCCAGATTGGATTTGTGTTTATATATACTGAGGTCTGCAACTTACTCTGTAATGCATAAAAAATAAAGTGGGGTGATGGATGAATATGTCAATGGGTAGGTTTGTGATAAGCAGGAACAATGAAATATTAATGGTGTTATTTAGGCAGTAGGCATATGGTATTCATTATAAAATTCTTTCAACTTTGCTCTGATTTGCATATTTTAAATTAGAATGCTGGGAAAAAAACAAACATAACCACTTCTCCAGATGATTGTAATATGCAGCCAGGTTTGAGGATCACTGGACGAAAGGATAAATTAACGAGTGGCCACTGCATTGAGGTGCTTAGGGCAGGAAATTTGGGGCCGATGCCACCCAAGGCTTGAGTGTGGAGGTAAGTGGAGAGAGACTACATTAGTTCTCTGGGTAAAGGGTGTTAAATAAGCAGATTTTGGCACATGCCTGGTGGCTGGGTGGCCATATATTTAGGAAAGGGACCCCAAGGAGGTCCAACTGAGAAAGTAGGTAAGAGCAGACTCCTGGCTGATAAAATATCCATATTGAACCCAATACTTGGCTAATCAGAGTTCTGAGGGCCATTGGGCCACATTATTAGCAAAAAGAAAGAGATGTTTTTGAAAGATGCTGATTCCCTAATTGGAGATGATGTCTGTGGAACATCTGGTTCTTACTTATGGGATCAGACTCTTGGAGCAGAGAAACATTGAGGGTCATCTGGCTCGGCCTCCCACTCAGTGTCTTTCCCAGTGGCCTGAGCTGAATTGTATTGGATTTATGCAGCTGGGTGGAATGATTCTAAGGTCAGCCTTTTAAGGGCAAAACTACTTTGAATTCCAGAGAATGAATATAGTTTAAAACCGTTTTCCTAAAAGAAGAATAAAAGCTGTTTCATGCAAAGCTTGATTGTCTCTCTCTTTCCTGCTGTTTAATTAATTTATTTACTTCTTTTTTAATTTTTAAATTTAGTTTCGGGCTCTAACTGAATCTTTCCTGCTATTTTACAATTGGATGTTGAGGTGCTGGAAGACGCAGAGAGCATCTAGGAGAAGTATGCCGTGTGCTACTTGTGTTTTACTTCCCATGCAGTCATGGGTCCTGGTCCTCCCCGAAGTGTGCAGAATGAAGTCCCTTTCTAAAGCTTTTAAGAAGTACAGAAGCAAAGGCTCTTCTGTCTTGCCTGTGAGGCTGGGGAACAAAGGACAAAGGCCCTTTAAAAAAGAGAGAAGGGGCGAGAGTCCTGCAGATGTGAGGTTGCAGTGTGTGTCAGCCCGCCTGGGAGCTGCAGCCAACTGATTGCAGAGGCCCAAATATGGGACTCATTTGTGGGTTCTGCAAGAAGAAATAGCCTGCTGGTTATGAGTAACCCTAAGTCCCCTTCTGAGAGCCTCTTGGGCTCACAGCAAATTCAATCTGTTCTCCTGGACTTTTGGAGCTTTGATATGGATTAAACTCCTCCTGAGTTCTGTACAACTGATGGCCTTGTTGAGTTTGATCTATAGCTTTTAATGTCAGAGAAATATTAATTTCCATGCCCTTTCATCTTTTAAAGTAACTAATATTTTTATAATGCTTTACGGTTTATAAAAGATATTCATATACCTTATCTTTCTTGATTCATGCAACTTTCTAAAAGGTCTGAGTATTTCAAGGCTTGATGCTGAAATGTCATTTCTTCTCATTCTGTAACTGTCTCTTGGGCAACACTCCAGTTGGCATCTCTATCATGATGGGCCCATAATTTATATCTTTAGCCTGGATCTGTCTCTAAGACCTGATTATCCAGTTGCCAGCTTGTCTCTCCACTGGACTATCTCAAAGGTTCCTCACCTTTCACAGGCTCTACCCCAAACCTGTTCCCTATCTCCAGCAAATGGTGCAGTCAAACATTCACTGGGGCAGGCCAGGCACCTAGGAGCCGTTCTTGATGTCATTCTCTCCTAACTTGTATCCCATCTGTCACTCAGTCCTGTGGCTCTTCCCTCTTGAATAGCTTGACTCCATTCACTTCTTTCCATCTCCTTGGTCACCTCATTAGAACTGAGCTATCCCTGTCTTTTGCCAGGACTATTGCAGTAGCCTATTAACAACTTTTCTCATATCTGTTCTCCCTTCTCTCTCTTTCGTGTCATCCCCAAGTTTAAGAGAAATCTTTTCAAAGATTTCTTCCCTGACATCTGATCTCTTCCCTGACAATCTGCGCTCCATCCATGAGTCCCCTTCCCCTTTTTAAGATCTTTAAATACATTTCTTCCTGCCATGGGGCCTTTGTACATGCCGGTTGGTCCTGGTTGGAACACTCTTTTCACCCTTTTCCCTTTGCCTGGTGCTTAGCCTTCAGATTGTGCTCAAGCCTTAAGGAAACTCTTCCTGCTTTTAGAGATCTGTATTCCTTTATTTCAGAGGGGTTATAATATTTCATGTTTTTGATTCATTATTTTGATTGTTTCACCTTTTCTCTCCCATTATTGTAAGTTCCAATAGAGCAAGGGTCTCTTTGCTTTTCATCACCGTTGTACCTCAGTACCCAGCTCTCAGGAATATTTGTTCAATGAATGAAACCAATGGGGTAGGTAGGACAAGTATTTTTATTCATTTTCTTTTTACACAAGGAGGTTGATTTTTTTTTTTTAAAGAGCAGATGCTTGGCATTATTTTATTTCTAACTTTATAATATGGATATTTCTGCCTCTGATAGGTTCCCTGTGCCATCATTTCTCGGTCTTGGCTCGTTCCAGATTCACTTCAGCAGAGACAATGATGAGCAGTTATTGGTTTGGAAATACTCCCCAGAACATGCAATGCCAGCTCATAAAATGTTTTCAGGTTGTTGGAAATCTTGTGAAAACGTGCATAGTTAACTATTGGAGAATTTAACTGTGAATATGAATGGGGGAGCCATTCATCAGAAGCCCTGTCTGAATAATTGATTAAACAATGCCAGGAGGTGTGTAAGAGAAGGATTTGAAGACTGAGTTGTAAAACTATGGCTGACTAGTAGGGTCCCTCTTGGCAGTCTCACTTTTTTGCCTCGTGGCATTAGGCATTAGTGTCTCAGATCCATCATAATAAGTCTCTGGGCTTACTAACTGTGATCTTGTGTCGGATGGGCCCTGTGCTGCTACCTTCTTGACTTTAGGATATCTCTTGTTACCTTTTTGCTACTTGCTCCCACCAAGGAGCACAGCAGACTCCAACTCACTCTAGGTGAGCTTTCCTCTAGCTCCCGAGGGTCATGTGCCTCTCCATTGTGTTCAAAGAGAATAGGCGCCGGTGGGCCGCTGTCTGGGAAACTCTGTGTTCCTTGGTGCGGTACTGAACCTATTTAGTTAAACTTGATCAACTTTAGCACACCCTCACCAGGAGTGTGTGGATTCTCCTTGGGACCCAAGTCTTCCGTACAAGGCAAACAAGTTGGAATGGGGACTTCTATGATTAAGGTCATCGTTAGTTGAAGAATTTCAAACCATTTTAGTTTTTCATGATATGCTATTTCTTTTTTTTTTTTTTTCATTATTATTACACTTTAAGTTTTAGGGTACATGTGCACAATGTGCAGGTTAGTTACATATACATGTGCCGTGCTGGTGCGCTGCACCCACTAGATATGCTATTTCTTCAATTTCTCATGTGGATTTGGGGTGTGTGTGTCTGTGTTCTCTCATGTGTAAATATTTTCATAGAGGCCCTGAAGCTTCTTTCCTATATAGGGATTTGGGGACATTCCCCCAAACAAGAGGACTTTGTTACCAGGGTGTCCATTCTGGGGCCTTGCTGGTATGAAAATGCTCCCTGGGTTGATCCACAGTGTATTTATTCATGAATGTTACAGGTGCCTTAGAGTTTAGTTCCCTTAGGTGACTGTGGAATTTAAAATAAGAAATCAACCTTTATCCTAGGTTTTTCTTTTTCTTTTCTCTCTCTCTCTCTCTCTCTCTCTCTCTCTCTCTATATATATATATATATATATATATTTTTTTTTTTTTTTTTTTTTTTTTTTTTGTAGAGACGGGGATCTCACTGTGTTGCTCAGACTGGTCTCAAACTCCTGGCCTCAAACTATCCTCCCACTTCAGCCTCCCAAGTAGCTGGGATTACAGATGTGAGCCACCAAACCTGGCTTCCTTTTATTTATCAAGAAAAAAATACTGTTCTTATTGTTCATTACAAAAAGAGTATTACCTCATTAAAGAAACTAAAAAACAAGCAAAAAAGACATCTCTCTGTTTTGTTTTGTTTTGTTTTGTTTGAGATGGAGTCTTGCTCTGTCGCCCAGGCTGGAATGCAGTGGCATGATCTTGGCTCGCTGCAACCTCTGCCTCCTGAGTTCAAGCAATTCTCCTGCCTCAGCCTCCCAAGTAGCTGGGATTATAGGTGTGCACCCTACTCCCGGCTAATTTTTGTATTTTTAGTAGAGACGGGGTTTCACCATGTTGGCCAGGCTGGTCTCGAACTCCTGACATTGTGATCCGCCCGCCTCAGCTTCCTAAAGTGCTGGGATTACAGGCCTCCCAAAGTGTTGGGATTACAGGCATGAGCCACTGCGCCCAGCCAAGACATCTGTCAAAAGCTCATTATGCACTCCCGAAACTGCTGTTAATTTCTCTTGTGTTAGAGTTCAGATTTTTTTTATGAATACTTCTTTTACATAGCTATTAATAAAACATATTCATATAACTATTGTGCCATGCCCTTTTGTATTTAATAATGGACATTTTCCTATTTTAATACTTAGCCATTATTTTTTTTTTTTTAAGGAAGTGAACAAATGAAAGAATGGCTACTCCATAGACAGAGCAGCCTATCTATCACTTTTTAATGGCCGTGTATTGTTCATTGAGTGTATGTTTTGTAGGTTCTTAAGTGACATCCAATTATTAGGATTTTAGGTTATTTCCCATTTTTCCCTCTTTTAAATAAGTTGGCTTAATGTTTAATTAATAGTTTTAGAAAAATGGAAAGAGCAAGAATATACATTAGAAAACAGACCCTGGCCTTTTTTTTTTTTGTACCATCCAGAGAAGTTAATGATTAAGGTAAGAACTTATGATAAGGTTATTTACAATGGGGAAAGAGATCCAGGGGATTCGGGTTGCAGAGAGTAAGGACCGGTGTTTTGTGTGCACTCACACATCACAGCCTAGCCGCAAAAAGATCAAGTTCTGCGGTGTCTGCAGTGTTGCCTTAGTGTCCTTCATACAATGTCTCCCCCCATCCAAAATTTTTTTTTTTTTTTTGAGACGGAGTCTCGCTCTGATGCCCAGGCTGGAGTGCAATGGCGCGATCTCGGCTCACTGCAAGCTCCGCCTCCCAGGTTCACGCCATTCTCCTGCCTCACCCTCCCGAGTAGCTGGGACTACAGGCGCCCGCCACCACACCCGGCTAATTTTTTGTATTTTTAGTAGAGATGGGGTTTCACCGTGTTAGCCAGGATGGTCTCCATCTCCTGAACTCGTGATCCGCCCTTCTTGGCCTCCCAAAGTGCTGGGATTACAGGCGTGAGCCACCACGCCTGGCCCCAGTTTTTTTTTTAAACATAATTCTGACTCTGGAAATAAGTAGGCACCTTTAAACTCTGTGTAGACTTGATTTTGTTTTTTCTTGAAGTTTGTGTGTATCTCTTAATATGTGTGCTAACTTAATTTAGGGTCTAGGTTCATGCTGATGTTGGAAGCATGCCATTCTCCAAGCTTTTTAAAAATATGGATATTCTTAAGTATCTCACACTGAGGCACCCAGCTATAAAGTAACCGTAGTGTAGGTAGGTGCACACTGCATAAACACTTCTTCTGTAAGCTGGAGAAATAGCTGGAGGAGAAATCTGTTCTTAGAACAAGGCACATGCTGTTGGTTCCAGACATTCTTTTTAGTGGAGGATACAAAAGTGTGTTTAACGGTTGCTGGCCCCACGCCTGCTGTCCAGCCCTATGGAATGTGCTCTGTCTGGGCCACACTGCCAGTCATCAAGGCAGTTACTGTGAGGAAGGAAGAAGCCAGCTCTTCAGTTCCTTGACCTGAGCTTTTCTGGCCAAAAGAAGGAATCTGTTTTGAAGATTAGGTTTCCCACCTGGATCCTGCCCACCCCACCCACCCCCTTCTGTGAACTGTCCGGCTTATCGAAGAAGACCCATTTTTCCTTCTTACAGTTGCTGTTTCTTCATTGCAAGTGATTCACCCTGAACGTAAAGTTAGGAAACTTAGTTTATAAGGAACTTTATTTGGTGGAGAAATGTCACCCCATTCTCTCGTTAAAAGATACGATGTCTGGATTGATTCCAATATCTGTGGTTTTTGGCACATGCCATCTTTCTGAAATTGCTTCTCTGTGTTTTATGTAAGAGGAAGAAAGAAAAAGAAAGTTCTAAAACAAAATGGTCAGCTTATTCTTTGGAATTCTATTTGGGCAGTTTAAGTGAGGATAGTACTATACATCCTGTCTTTTCTTATATCAATAATAATAATAACTCCTGTGACTTATTACATTTAACTCTCATAATCAACCCTTTGTATTCAATACTGTTTTGGGCACCATTTTACAGATGAGGAGACTGCGGCTTGAAGAGGTTAAGAAACTTGCTCTTTAGATGGTATTCCAGTGTAGGCAGCCTGACTCCAGAGCTGGATGATCTTCTAACCCCCCCATAACAGTGCTTTCAAGTCATCTGGAAGAACTTATTATGCAAATTAAAATACCCTGGGCATCTGGAAAACATTTGTTTCTTAGGTTGTGCCTATTTCATAATTTCTTTTCTTTTTTATTTTGAAAAAGTTCAAACCTGAGAAAGGTTGTAAAAATAATACAGTCAAGACATATATCATTTGACTAAATCCATCAGTTGCTAATATTTTACCATATTAACTTATTTTTCTGTCTTTCTGCGTATGTGTATGTTGTGTGTGTGTGTGTGTGTGTGTGTGTGTGTGTTTGATGACCCTTGAAAGTTAGTTGAGACATTATGACATTTCATCTCTAAATACTTTAGCTGGTATCTTTGAAAAAAAAAAATTCTGCTAAACAACCTCAATGAAAATCATAGGCCGGACGCGGTGGCTCACGCCTGTAATCCCAGCACTTTGGGAGGCTGAGGCAGGTGGATCATGAGGTCAGGAGATTGAGACCATCCCGGTTAACATGGTGAAATCCCGTCTCTACTAAAAAATACAAAAAAAAAATTAGCCGGGTGTGATGGCGGGCGCCTGTAGTCCCAGCTACTTGGGAGGCTGAGGCAGGAGAATGGCATGAACCCGGGAGGCGAAGCTTGCAGTGAGCCGAGTTCGTGCCATTGCACTCCAGCCTGGGCGACGGCATGAGACTCTGTCTCAAAAAAAAAAAAAAAAAAAAAAAAGAAGATCATAATGCTCAAAAAAATTTTACATTAATACACTGCTATTATCTAAGGCATTCATGTTCAAATTGCCCTAGTTGTCCCCAAAATGTCCTTTATAGCCACCTCTTTTTCTGATCCAATTTATCAAAAAGGAAACTTAGCTTTTATGATTTGTAATCTTGATATCATCATGCACATTCTCTTCTCAGACTGGGAACAGTTTTCTTTGGCTTAACTAGGAGACCAGGGATCTTGCTGGAGTTCCAGATTTGAGCTCTCTGCCCTTCCTGACTAAGCAGCCCCACAGTGTCCTCACTTGACACATGCTGTTTTATGGGGCGCCACGTCTTCTTCGTTCCTTCTCTCTCCTCTGATCCACTTTTTTCCTTGACCCTATTCTTCTCCTTCGTTTCTTTCTTCCTCATTTTCTTTTTGCCCCTTCTCACTTTCTTCCTTCTTTTCTCCAACCCCCTAGGACACACACAAGACTTGTTCTTATGTGCTGTAATTGGAAGTTGTAAATCAATGGGGTTGAAGGTGGGAGCCACCAAATTGGATTCATTTATGAGTTGGGATAGAGAGTTGGTGGCGGGCCTGAGCTGATGGTATACTGGGGACTGATCCAGCTGTACCCCCCATTGGAGGAGGTTCAGCTGGCTTGAAACAGTGTGAGGCTGAGAGGATACAAGAGTGGCCAGCTCCACTATTCACAGTAGCAAAGACTTGGAACCAACCCAAATGTCCATCAATGATAGACTGGATTAAGAAAATGTGGCACATATACACCATGGAATACTATGCAGCCTTAAAGAAGGATGGGTTCATGTCCTTTGCAGGGACATGCATGAAGCTAGAAACCATCATTCTCAGTAAAATATCACAAGGACAGAAAACCACACGCTGCATGTTCTCACTCGTAAGTGGGAGTTGAACGTTGAGAACACATGGACAAAGGGAGGGGAACATCACATACTGGGGCCTGTTGGGGAGTCTGGGGCTGGGGGATGGATAGCGTTGGGAGAAATACCTAATGTAAATGACAACTTAATGGGTGCAGCAAACCCACATGGCACATGTATACCTATGTAACAAACCTGCACGTTGTGCACATGTACCCTAGGACTTAAAGTATAATTAAAAAAAAAAAAAAGAGTAGCTAGCTCCAGTCCAGGGCAACATCAGCTGTGGAGGACAAGGAAGGGATGGGGTGTGCCAAAATGGGGTAGAAACGACGCTGTGTTGTATTGGAAAGAAAATAGACTTTAAAGTCAGAAAGAAAGGTGAAAATAGCAAGCTTTTACTGACTGGCTGTGTGATCTTGGGAAGGTTATTTAACTCCCTAAGTCTTGTGTGCTTCAACCACAAATGGGAAGAGTATAACCTACCTTGCAGCATTGTGTTGAGGATTAGGGATAATGCGTATTAAAGCAGAGATCCTGGCACACGGTGGTGCTCAGTCAACAGTGGCTGTTAGGTATTTACATGGTGTCCCAGGAAGTGGATGGGGCATCACAGTGAGGGGAGGTGATGGTTGGAAGTTCATGCAGGTGGCCAACATGAGGCTGAGCTGCCAGTGGTTAGAAGGATCTTAGGAATGCAGTGCAGGGCAGGCTTCCTGTTCCTGGGAGGGAAACTTGTGAGTCAGTTTCCAGCGATCGGGAGCAGGGGCCACAGGAACACTCCAGTTCAGAGACATGGGGCTTGGTGTCTGGGAGAGAATCGAAGAGCCAGAACCAAACTGTCTGATCAGGTTCAAATCAATAGCAAGGGCACTTGCGGCTGAGTCATCCGGAGTATCTCTTGTTTTGGGTTAGCATTAGGGAGAAGCTAGGGTTGGGGGAGTGACTGTGGGAGGAGGGCTGGGACTCAAGCTAAGCCTAGTGTTTGTTCTCCTTTTACATCCGCTAGTAGTGTGGTGACCATGATAACATTCCAGAGGCTCTTTTCTTCCTGAGTCCTTGGCCCAAAGTTAGGTAAATTGTCTCTAGGTAGATAATGATGTCCCGATAATGAGCTCAGAGTCCAAACTGCTAGGCTGATGGAGATTCACTCACCTTTTGCCTTGGTCTGCTCAGGCCACCTTAACAAAGTACCATAGACTGGGTGGCTTAAACAGCAGACGTTTATTTCTTACAGCTCTGGAGACTGAAAGTCTGAGATCAGTGTGCCAGCATAGTTGAGCTCTGGTGAGCGCCCGCTTCCTGACTTGCAGACAGCTGCCTTC
The DNA here is from genome assembly GCF_000001405.40 of Homo sapiens. Lineage (NCBI taxonomy): Eukaryota > Metazoa > Chordata > Mammalia > Primates > Hominidae > Homo > Homo sapiens. The sequence goes on along the minus strand of NC_000007.14, from coordinate 137,967,134 downwards.
TTTCTGTGTCCTCACAGGGCAAAGAGGAGTGGGAAGGAGAGGAAGGGAGAAAGAGAGAAGACTGAGAGAGAGAGAAGAAGGGGAGAGAGAGCAAGCTTTCTGGGCTGTTCTTATAAGGGCACTAATCCCATCATGGGAACCCCACCTCATGACGTCATGTAAACCTCCCAGAGGCCCCATCTCCAAATACTATCACATTGGGGGTTAGGGATTCAATATATGAATTTTAGGGGGACACACTTTCAGTTCATAACACCCTCCTTCCATGCCCTCATTCCCAGACACTTGAGAATCCATGTGTAATGAGAGTGTTACCTTGAGGAGTATGCGGCTCCTGCGTATTATATGGAGGCAGAGACAAGGATTCAGAAGCACAGTTCTAGCAGCTTGTCAGTAAGCCACTGCAGGGGAGCTTTGATGAACTCTCATATGGCATAGGTCCTTCCTTTCTACCTACGATTTTTCTTTTTAAAATTTCCTTATTATTTTTATTTGAGAGGCATGAACATGAGGCAAAATATGTTATTTCCTGTTCTTTGTAAAATCTCCAAATTGAGCTGTCTGTAGTCAAAAGTGAGGTAATCTTCTTCTTTTATCCAAAAGATTAACTTATTCTGAGCTTTCCTTCTATCTGAGTCGTGGCTAGGATCAACATACACTTCTTAAATATTCCAATTCCATATCAAGGATAGTGCTCCTCCTTCTCCCTGAGCCACTGGAGGGAGCACCAATGTATTAACAGTTTTCTTTGTTGACTGAATTTGCTTTTTTTAACCTGCTTTCTGAAAGTGCATCACATTACCATCCAAACTTATTGGACATAATTTTTTAAAGTATGTAAGCAAGTAACATATAATCTATTTTACAAATTATGCAGTAAGACATAGTGGGATATAATTTAAGAAGATGCAACTAGCCCTTATTTTTCCACTCTCTGGAGGAATTTCATAACTTTTCACATGTTTGCACTTCCTGTCTCTGATCTGTATCTTCTTTGGCTCCTCTGTCTTGATGCCCCTCCCAACTTCTGTTCACCTAAGTCCTTGATGCCATCAGTGAACATCAGATTCCTTCTTTGGAAGACCAGTGGTTCTCAGAGTGTGCTTTATGGACCAGCAAAGCATACGAGAACTTGGTAGAAAGACATATTCTTGGGCCCCACTGCAGACCTACTGAATTAGAAACTCTAGGGTGAGATGCACCCATTGTGTTTTAATAAACTCTCCAGGTGATTGTGATACACCCTCAGGTTTAAGCATTCCTGCCCTAGAGGAGGAGGCTAGATTCAGTAGGTGTTTCTCCCAGTTGCCCATTTTGACATAAATAATAGCACTTTGTTTTGCTCCTCCTCAGGCATAGAATCCCATAGTTTTAAGTGGAGTGGGATTTTGAGTGGACGTTACCCTGGTCAACTCTCTTTACCGTAGAAGAGAGAGCTTTGCAGATAGTTGCAGTGTTTGGCTGGAGAACCTAGGGCTTTCTATGTCCTTGCTTATAACATGGGCTGTGTCACTTCCTTGAAACTTTAATCAGTGCTTCCTGAGACCAGGGTTCTTTGTAAAATAACTTAAGGAAGTATTCCAGAAGAACCAATAGCATTGGTCTACTCACCTGTGTGTTCTATTAACATTTTAATATTAACAATATTCTGATATTTCAGATGTAGATTGCAAAGCCTCACAATCAAGGGGCTTTTGTCATTGATTCGATTTAATTATCCTAAGGGAAAAAATGGAATGCTTAAACTAGCAAAAGTTCACGTTTCTGTCTTTTTGGCCATGTTTTCCTCAACGAGTGTAAATATATTTGTGCGCATGTGTGTTGATACTGCGTGTTGGAAAGACAGAAGGAGACAGACTAAATTTCTGTTTATAGAAAAATCGTAAGTAATCTGAGGAAGCAGTAATTACTGGAGTTGGCAACAGTTTGAGCACTATCCTGTCCCTTGATCTAACTCTGGCTTTAGAGATAGTTGAATTTAGAATGTTACCTTATGGGCAGTTTCTTTATCTATTTTGTTTCCCCGGTTGGACAATCTCTGTAGTAGAACTAGAGTTTGGTCACTACTTGTATTAGTCTGTTCTTACGCTGCTGATAAAGACATACCTGAGTCTGGGTAATTTATAAAGAAAAAGAGGTTTCATGGACTCACAATTCCACGTGGTTGGCGGAAGGCAAAAGGCACGTCTTACGTGGTGGCAGACGAGATAATTGAGAGCCAAGCAAAAGAGGTTTCCCCTTATAAAACCATCAGATCTCATGAGATGTATTCACTACCATGAGAACAGTATGGGTGAAACCGCCTCCATCATTCAATTATCTCCTTCCAGGTCCCTCCCACAACATGTGGGAATTATGGGAGCTCAATTCAAGGTGAGATTTGGGTGGGAACAAAGCCAAACCATATCACTACTGGATTATGACTCTCTATAATTTGAAAAGAATGGTAGAATTTAAAGAATTTGAAAGCAGTCCGTTTGTTTTCAATATTGGATTGTTCAATATTGATTACCTTGCATATCATGCTTGTTCCCTCCCCATCTTTGTGGGAGTGCAGGAGGCACAAAGAAAGCCTTTAACTGAATGATCTGGTTTTTCTAGATGGCTTAACATTTTTGTATTTGATGGGTCAATAGCCTTGGGTGCTTTAGTCTAGATGCTGAGTGCTCAAAAGGCTAAACACGGAGGAAAACATTCCCCTGTCGAAACACATGATTGATTTGGTAGTGACAAGTGTTTTGGGAGCCAGAGACATGCTAGTGGGTTAAGCAAGGGTTTGTTTGTTTGTTTGTTTGTTTTGCTTTGTTTTGTTTGTTTTGAGAGGAAGTCTCGCTCGTGTCCCCTAGGCTGGAGTGCGATGACATGATCTTGGCTCATTGCAACCTCCATCTCCTGGGTTCAAGTGATTCTCCTGCCTCAGCCTCCCAAGTAGCTGGGATTGCAGGTGCCTGCCACCACGCCTGGCTAATTTTTGTATTTTTAGTAGAGACAGGGTTTCACCATGTTGGCCAGGCTGGTCTACGAACTCCTGACCTCAGGTGATCCGCCCGCCACGACCTCCCAAAGTGCTGGGATTACAGGCGTGAGCCACCGCGCCTGGCCGCAAGTGTTTCTTTAACATGGCCATCTTAAAAGGGATAAAGGATCTTCTAGGAATTTATTTCAGCTGAAAACAGATTGTGATACATTCTTACTTTGGTGTTGTCATCATTTGTTCATTTCTATTTTTTCTTTCTTTCTTCAACAGATATGTCAAATACTATCCTAACATTGAACAAAATAAGTTGTTTAAAAAAAAACACCAAAATAAAAAAGGCAATAACTATTTTTAAACTTATAAAAACAAATCAAGTTTGGCTTGACATAATTATCCCTGGACATAATTATCCCTGCTTCGGCAATTTAGGGAAGAGGATTTCAAGATTTCAAAAGATCCTGGGGGAAAATTAGGTAAGCTCCATGGCCAGAGACTCTAATATAAATACAGTTCGTGAAGGAGGAAGTTAGAAAAACATTTAAATTTAATCCAGTAAAAATGAACAATAAAAACAAAGATGGGAGGGGTGGATCATGATACCAGAGAGTGACTAGAGACATTTTGCTCAGAATTTAAAATAATGTATCCAGAAGCTAGAAAGATTGATGTTTACCTTAGGATAAATACAAAATGGCGTGAATTAGAAATCAGTTTAAGGACTAACAAAGTCAAGTACGAGGTGCCTGAAAACTAGAAAGAAGTGAATACCGTACTGGTTTTTGAAAAGGGAAAAGCTTGACATTAATACCTGGAAAACTGGTGGAGCTGGTTATTAAAGAGATCCTTTGTGAATAGGAAGAAAGCAGTGCTGACTAAGTGGGAACAGGGACTTGCTAAGAGGTCCTGAAGAGCAGGTAAATTCTGGCTTAGAGCCTCCGGAGAGGGGGATCTTTAAATGAGCTCTGTTTGCTCAGCCTTTTTATCAGCATATCTGAGGATGACATAGACCATAACCCTTATCTAGACTTTCCAGGCGTTGCAGGCTTGGGATCCAGAAGGAACGTGAAGGAGGGGGGCTGGTTGAGTGAGATGAAGAAGGAGGGAGACATCTTCATGAAGATCCAAGGGCCCCAAAGCTGAGAGGGACTGCTGGGATGTCAGATGTCAGATCAGTATCCAAAATCACCTTGCTGTTTAGGAAAGCTGGATATGCAGACCAGTGAATGCAGAGAGAAAGCAAAGAGGTTTGTGTGTGCTGGGGGATGAGTGCGAGGATGGAAGGGAGTGGGAATTCATTTATTGATATATACATACAGAGCACTGCACCCACTTTGTGCCAGGTACTGTGTTCTGGGTGCTGTTGTAGCAGTGAATCAAGTAGACAAACGTTCGGCCCCCATGGAACTCATGTGTAGTGCAGGAGATCGGAAGCAAACATACATGTAATTTCTTAGGGGGCGATTCATGTTATGGAGAACAATAAACCACGATGGGGTAAGAGAATGCTGGTGGGGGGTGGGAGGCTCTGACTGGCTTACACAGGGTGGTGGGGAGTCCTGCCTGATGTTGTGATATTTGAGTCTGGGGGCAGTGAAGGTGCAATCAGCCCAGATGGCTGGCAAAAGTGGTTCCCCAGGGTGTATGCTGGAGCTGGGAGAGGCAAGTGTGCCTGTAGCAGAGATCCCTCAGGGAAGGGGAAGGAGGATGGTGCGGGAAGAAGCTCAAGGTGAGAAGGCAGAGAAAGGGGGCCTAGAAACCCTTTGTTCATCCTGATGAGATTCAGGATTTGAGTAGAGGAGGGACAAGATCTGGGAATACACACTCAGGATCCTTCTTGATGACAGCCTTCCAATGCTTTAAGGGAACAGTTCCAAAGTCAGAGCCATGGCCATCTAGTGAAAGGTACCAAGAGACAGCTTTTAGTTCAGTGTATGGCAGCTTTAGAATTCAAGTCGCCCAAGCAATGGTCTGTGCTGCTTCATGAGTTTAGTGTCCCTGGATTTGCGCTTAAAAACCACCAGGGTCCATTTCAACGTGAACATTCAGTGAGTCTTCCCCCTTGTTCTACAAGTGTTTCCTGACATTGGTCCTGACTTCGGTGGGGTCGCAGATGGGGAAGAGCAGAGCAGGCGCGTGGAGGTGCAGGGGATGCTAGGAGAGGAAGTGGAGGCTGGGTTCATGGAGACACAGGGGAGCAGTGTGAGTTCCTAGAAGAACTTCCTAGAAGTTCCCATGGTTCAGAAAAGTGAGGGGGCCTGCCACGGAGAGACTGAGCATTGGGCATGAAGAGGGCATGGGTCATGAGATCATGGAGGAAAGGCCTGGGGTAGGCTAGAGATCTTTCAAGAAGCAGCAAAGGATGAATGGAAGAATTGCCAAGGGCAGAGCTTAGAGCGGAGTGACCAAGGTGACCATCAGAGTCTTGTGAGGTGTGCCCCCCGGGTGGGAAAAGGAAAGCTTTTGTTTCCTAGGGACCACAGGTACCTGAGAGAAAGATAGAGGACTGTCTGGCATAGAAATGGGGAGGGGAGGACAAGAGATGCCACAGGGGAGGGACCCCCAAAATGACAGGAAGAGTTGAGGCCTAGAGGTTGGATCCACAGAAGACGCATTCTGTCTGTATCCTGTGATGGCAAAGGTGGGATAAAGGGCCTCTGCCTGAGAGGCTGAAGTAGGAGAAAGCCTGAGATTCTTCCAGGTTTGGGTTGCCTGGGTGTGGGGAGCAACAACTGACTCAAGGAGAGAAAGCCTGACTCAGCCTGTGCTTTGACTGTGCAGGGGGAGGGCCCCCATGATGTTCCTTCCCCAATTTCAATTCAGAGACATACGTACTTTCCTCCAAACTGCCACTTAATTATATGCTGGCTTGACTGCAAGGACACTGAGCAAATTCATTTACATTGAGAAAATTGAGGACAAATGAAAAATTTTAATGTTCTCATGTCCCCCACCCCCCACCCCCCAGTTTATAATTTGGAGGAAGGAAGTAAATTTAATGCAGAATATAAACATTTAACAATGTAGGCTTCTTCCTAAAATAATAGATTGGTTTTTTAAGCCCACATTTCTTTCTGAGTGAAAGAAATAATTCTTGGGAGGCCAAGGTGGCTGGATCGCCTGAGGTCAGGAGTTTGAGACCAGCCTGGCCAACATAGTGAAACCCCGTCTCTGCTAAAATTAGCCGGGTGTGGTGGCACACACCTCTAATCTCAGCTACTCGGGAGGCTGAGGTAGGAGAATCACTTGAACCTGGGAGGTGGAGGTTGCAGTGAGCTGAGATCGTGCCATTGCACTCCAGCCTGGGCAACAAGAGTGAAACTCTGTCTCAAAAAAAAAAAAAAAAAAAAAGAAATAATTTAGTTTTAAGTTTAAAATAATTGGTAAATAAGATTATGTTTATTTGTTAATTTAAATGAAATAAAACACGTGCTTCTGTAGTAGTTGTACTATGGCAAAACTGTTCAAAATATGCACAGTTAATTAATTGAATTTCAGATGGTTCCCCTGTGGATGTCTTTCCAGGTATGTGCTTTAGAGCCAGAGGTAATTGATCCAATGTTGTCTTTTATTAGATACTTCCAGGCTAATATCCCACTGACCCTAACTGTTATATATTCCTGATTCTCTCTCTAAGCCTTGGAAAGGCTTTGGACAAAATCACTAATATTCTCTTTTGACGGAATTTGAGTTTTCACAATTACTTCTTTCTTTTATTTTCTCTCTCCCCACCCCCCTGTGTGTGTGTGCATGTGTGTATGTATAAACACACACATATGTATTTATTCTGCATTTACTTATAGTCACTGTATTTTAAGCTTGCATTCTTATGGAAAGTCTATGTTACGAACTTAGCACTTACTCCTCAGAGGCAGTGTTAGATAATGGAAAATTCATGAGCTATGTAACCAGACAGATGGTGGTTTAAATTCTAGCTCCAGCACATGCAAACCACATGTTCTTGGCAAGTTACTTAACCTCTCTGAGCCTTGGTTTACTGCCCTATAAAATGGGTCTAATTATTACTTATCTAATGGGTTGGTTATGATAATTCACTATATAATGAGAATTATATATTTTTTACTAGATGTTAAAAGCACCTAGTAAAGTGCCTCCATTAGTGGAAGCTACTGCTGCTTCTGTTTTTGCTAGAGGAGTACAATGGAGACATGAAGCCATGAGAATTCTAAAAACTAGGGAATGGGAACATGGAAAGTAGACCTCTGAAAAATAAAGGGAAGAGAGTGAAAGTGAAAAGTTACTGAGGTAAATAAGTATTTTATCACTCAACTTTCTGTTGTACTGGTGAACCAGTAATTACATTACCTTACATTTTCTAAATATTGCACGTACTTTCCTCGCCGGATGGCAAAGGATGCAGTTTACTTCGGATAATTTAATTCGGTTATTATACTTTGATTCTCATCATGCTTTCTTTTACCCTGGTTTGTAGAATGTTTGAGAAATCATTGATTGGGCTCCCTGTCTTCACAGAGTTGAATGTCTTTTCAACATATGGTCATGTCTTCTCTCCCAAAACGTTTTTGGGAATGGTGTTTAAGGTTTTGCTACATAACAAATCACCATACAACTTAGTGGCTTAAAACCACCATCATTTATTTAGCCTGCAATTCTGTGAACCAGCAATTTGGACTGGGCTCAGATGGACTTTTCTTCTGCTGGTTTCAGCTGGGTTCACCTATGAGTCTGTGCTCAGGTGCTGGTCAGCCAGCTCTGCTTCTAGGGAATGGGTGGCGATCAGCTGGGGTGATAGAGAAAGGGAATGGTGGGGAATATGGACCTTGGGGGTCACTCATTACCCAGAGACTAGTCCTGTCTTGTTCAGATGGCAGCTGAAGGTTCCAGGAGGGAGACTGGAAGTGCCAAAGACTCTTGGGGCCCAGTTTCAGAACTTGGACAGTTATACTTTACTTCATTGTGTTGGCCAAAGCAACTCGAAATGCCATTGCAGAATCAAAGAGCAGAGAAATAGACATCACCTCTTCATGGGAGGACCTGCCAAGCATTGAGGCCATTTTCACAATCCTCCTTAGGTGGGGACTCTACAGTCCTCATTAACAAGTCAATTCTGGTCTCTTGGAGTCAATAGGTTCCTTCTCAGACATGAGACAGACATACACACATACTGTAGTAACTTCTGCTTTAATGTTAGTCTCTTTAAAAATGACTCGGCATTTTGAAGACTGAAAAGAATTACTTAAGTTTTTACATCCCTTGTGTTGCAGACAGATCTCAAGTGTGTGAAGTGTTGGCGCCAGAGGATTGATCCTGACTGCACTGGACCTTCCTTGGATTTAATCCTGACCAGATCCACTCACCTGTGTCTAAGCAGTGGTCAGGCAGAATGAGGAAGTGTTAGCTGGTGACCTCACTAGAGGCTCTTCAGGTGGCCCTGGATCAAGAGCAGCTTATTTGTTGTCTTTGATGCAGAAAGTGAGACATGGGAGAAAGGGCCTGCCCTTAACTCACTGGATTTCTTAAAACATTTAAACATTGCATTGTACCAAATGCCAAGCAGATAAGTGAGTTCCTCAAATACAGCTTTTTAAAACTCTTATCACTCATCAGATATCTCAAGCTGTTTGGCTTGTTTGAAGCAGCCAAGGATTTCTTTTCTTTCTTTCTTTCTTTTTTTTTGAACAGGCAGGGTCTCCACTATGTTGCCCAGTCTGGTCTCAAACTCCTGAGCTCAAGCGATCCTCCTGCCCTGGCCTCCCAGAGTGTTGGGATTATAGGTGTGAACCACTGTGCCTGGCCAAAGGTTTATTTTCTGATCATTTTGAGGGAAAATAAATTCCAATATTTCTCCCAAGACAGTAGACTTAGGATCTCAGTGGTTTGTCTCCAAGTCGCAAACTTAAGGGGTTCTTTTTTTACATGAATTTTACCTGAGTTCTAACTTGTGTTGGGCCATCAAGTTTGTTACGCATAGCCTTGGGCTTGTGTGCCTTGGGTAGTGTGAACTGTTCAAATTGACTTCTGGCCTGTAAACTCTACTCTCTTCCCACTGAGGACTGACCCCAGGGAATTGCATGAGTCAGGGAGCTGCCTGTTTCCCTTGGTGACCATGGAAATTAGGAACAGTGATGACCTGGATTTAGGGGAAAACTAGAAAGTGACTGATTCAGTTGAACAGCTCCTGGGACTTCAGTGGGCCAGGCCTAGGACGGAACACGCCAGACACAATGTTCCTGCCTTCTGGGAGGAGGTCCTAGATTGTAGCCATTATTCCCTTGGGACCAAACAGTCTTCCACCCTGTGATACAGCAAAAATTAGTAGGAATGCATCTGAAGTGTTTTTGCTTATTGATGAATTAATACCTTAGCAGAGGAAAGAGATAAATGTCATTGCATTTACCACTCTTCTTGTACAGCCAGTCTTCTTTCTTACAGGTGCGTTCTTTGAAGAAAACTTGTGAAGCCTGTAAATTGAGTGGAAGGAGTAGGAATTATTTGGGTTATTAATATATTCTTCACTTTCTAAAAATGAAGAAAAAATATCCATCTTCTCAAGTTTAAGAGTTCTTTACTAGTTGAGGGGCTGGGCCTAGTTGTTGAGTTTGGAGTTACTGTATTTTTTTCTGATGCGAAGTAGTCTGGGCCCAGTGGAGATTCTAGGGTGAAGGAGGACTTGGGGTTGTATAATTAGGCACCCCTGTGGACAGTCAGGATGCTGTACAGACGGTGGGGAAAGGAATGAGGTTGTGATGTTAATGGATTTCTCAAGTGTTTATTTGCCTTCTGTTATGTCTAGGCATTGTAGATTCCTGTAGTCACATCTTTGAAGAGAGAGAAATAGGTTTAAAAAAAATGCAGAAAGTAAGTGGTAAATGTGTTAAGAGAAGGAAATGTGTGAGTCCTTGAGTGCACTTTGGGTGCCTAGTGACATGATTTCCTGGGTGAGTGGAAAAAGGCTAGATTGTGGAAGTAGCAGTTTTCCAGGTGGAGAAGGGAGGGAAGTGGAATTCCAGGCTGTAGGAACCTGTGTTCAAGATGGGGAGGAGTGATGAGCGCTGTGTTCAGGGAACTCCACGTCATCATTACATCTGACTAGACCAGAGTGGGAACCCAGTGGAGTGGAGAGGCCGAAGAAGAAAAGACAAAACATTTTATGAGTTTTAATGTACACTGGGGGGTGGGGGGCATTGGATTAAATCCACACACACTGCTTTTCTAAAAGGCCTCTGTTTGACAAAAGGAAATGCTGTTCAGCTCTAAAAGTAGCTCTTCACTACTGGGTTAATTGAATTTGCCTACTTTCCTGTAAGTGACAAATCCCTTTTTCTAGAAAAAGGTGAACAGATTCACCTAGCTCTGTGCGGAATGTTGTTTCACCTGTCTGAATGGTCTAACTCTTTTAGGTGGGGCCTTATGCTGTATGCTAGCAATCGCAAATGTTTGCCCAACTCAAAGAATTCAGAACCTGGATTGTGAAATTCAAGTTAAAGTAAAATAACTATCATTGTTAAATTGTGCTGTTTCAATATGGCTTACCTGGGCTGCTGGCTTCTCGAGAAATATTCGGCATGGCTGTCCGTGTGAAGGATTGCCAGGACCTGAAAGATGGAAGGTAGAGAGTGCAATGGCAGTTTGAAAGCAGCTCAGGTGGGCTTAGGAGCTTTTGTGAATAAGAGAGAGCTCAGATTTGATTTAGAAGAAATTGACTTCAAATTAATTCTATTACTGGAAACTTGCACTGGGGAGGAAACCCGGGTATTACTGTCCACTGCTAACACTGCGAAACGATTTTCTTCTGGCAAGAGTGGTAGTTGGAATTTAAACCAGACACTGACCTGAGATGCTCTCTAAAGTAAATTGACTAAACACTTATTTGAAAATGCTCTATAATGAAAATGTTCAATTAGATTGAAATTGTATTCTACTCCTTATAGCTTATTCGTCTCACTCGGTTTGTGCTTTTTAATTTTATTTCCACTTGTAAGTGGGAAACAACTGTTTATAAATAATTAGAAGGCCTTTGGGTCTTCTCTGATTCAAAGTCTTACATTCCTGAGGCAAACTGATGGTTCTGTCTTGCCACCAAATACCTGGTGCCTAGTAACACAAGTGGCAGCAAAATCTGAGACCTGAAATTAAGTGCCTTAGCTAGTGTTTTAAACATCAAAGTATGAGTGATTTCAAGTGATTGAAAGGTACCCACTGAGAGAAATTTTACTTGCAGCAAGGAAGACTAGGACTTGAATGTGTCCAGTGACTGTCCCCATACATCCTGGGGTAAGTTATTTAACCCCTTTATGCCTTAGGTTGTAATTTTTTGAATTTTTGCATGAATGAAACATCAGACCTTGGCGATGACCTTGAGCAGTAGGATATAAATAACTCCCGCATGCTTAGTGTTCCAGTAATGGAACACGAGGCATATTAATCTTTCCGAGCTTCAGTTTCTGCCTTTATAAAAAGGAGAGGATGGTGCTCAGATCTGCCTCTTTGAGGTGGGTTTTAGTTTTATTGGTAATATTTCAGTTCTTTTTCAAAAATTTGAGGCCAAGATTGCAGATTTACATTTGAAAAGTCGAGGTGGTGGATTTCAGGGGTGCCTGTTAAATTATTTTCTGAGTTATGTTTGTTTCAGATTATCTTCCAATTAGAACAATAATTGAATCACAAATTAGAAGTGAAAATGCCAAGTGCCCTCACACATATTTCTAGACTCCATGAGTATTTCTGAACCGGACGTGTAAGTTTGGCGTGTGGGGATTAAGGGGAGAGGAGTGAGGTGGCCGTGCTGAAGAACTAATCATAAGACTGCCATCTTCGCCCTCCCCCATCCTGTGGTGCTTACCAAACCAGGATGCGACCAGCTTCAATCCACCAGGGCTTTGCTGCTTGCTCCTTAGAGAAACTGTCTGTGAACACGTGCTTTTTCTATACCTGTTGGATGGATTCTTACTGTACTCATTGAAGATGGAAATGGGCAAGGATTTCAGGGGGTTTCTAATGATGAAGTAGTAGCGTATCTGTAACCACTTATAAAAAGGTCAGCCTGGTGAGAATTAGGGGTCAAGAGAGTGATTGGTTTATCATGGTCATTCATTATTTACTTTTAAATGTAGGTTAACGTGGTGGGAGAATGGTGTCTCTACCAGTGGCTCTGTCCAGGGAACTTTAGAGTTTTATGTTAAATAAGAACCCAGACTCTGGCAGTTACAGGACCTGGTTTCTTGGGTCTGGGTTCTCAGTCACTGGGAGTCTTGAGTGACTAATTACACTTGTGCTTAGGCAACGTTTGTAGTCTTCTTTCTATTCCTTTGTAGGTTGGGCAGTTGTTCCGACTTCTGTGGGACTGAGAGATATCCCAGGATGTGGAACTTTACAACCAGAAAAGTCTGAGGCAACTGGGGCAGCTGGTCTTCCTACTTTCTAGCCTCCATGCCTTCCTCTTCTCCTCTTACCTCCTCTCTCATGGCCAGACAATACCATGAGCATTCCAAACTCTTTAGGCTGCTGTTACAGATAAACTTTACATGTGGTGGACCTGGGGAGTTTGGCAACACAAAGTTATTCATTTTAAAAAATAGGAGTGCTCCTAGGGTAGTTTGGACGCAAGCATAAGCTGCCTTTATAGAGCTTAAATGTGTGCTGCCTGCAGTGCTCCTGATGATTTCTTTGTGGTTCTTTCCTTTTTGCTAAAAGTTTTCTGAAAATAGAAAGCCGTGGCCATTATAGTTAGAACAGGGAGCAAACAGGAACCTCTGAGAGGATCCCTAGCCCCCTGCCCCCTGCCTGGGTCCACCCCTACTTCTGGGTAGCTATCTGCTGTCACCACCTGCAAGAGCAAGAGTATTTGTAAGCTGTGGATTATGTCCCTAGGATTACTAGTCTTTCTTTTTCAGGAAAAATAATACACAATTCAAGCCAAATGTAAACAAGCACTAAGATCCTACACTTTTGTTCTCGGTGATCATTAAATGCTGTGGGTCATTTCACAATTTCAGTTGTCATTTTAGTTATCCCTCATGCGTAGACAGGACAGGTACAACCTGTATCTCAAGGTCAAAGGGCAGGACTCTACTTATGTTTGTGGAACTTCAGAATACCAGACAGAAACCCATGCAGAGAGGTAGCCTCTCAAGATTTTGATCTTGTCTCCTCCGTGAAGAATGACATGAAGAATTTCTCTTTCCCTGTGATTCATCAGGAGAGTGCTGTTTATTCTTCCAGGTTTACAGCTCACACACCCCTGCTGCTTTTCCCTCCTGGAGAGGTTACAGGACCTTGTGATCTTACTGGGCTGTGTGAAAAACCCATGATGATGCCTTTCCCTTCTGCAGATCTTTGTTTGACCGTCTGTTTTAAGTGCCCCTTTTTCTCTTGGTTATCTAGCTGCCAGCTGTTTACAAACTAGTTTGCATCAAGCGGTTGCCTAGAAACCATCATGAAAACAGGATTAGGCAAAGCATTTTTTCTATATTACAGCTGCTTTCTGATGAAGGCTTGGCATTAGAAAGAGCTCAGTGTCTACCCCTTCCCAGCCTTAAAACACAATGCAAGTGAAACAAGGACTTTCCAACAGAGATGAAATGATTTCTCTAGAGTCACATTCTGAGACCGTCATCACCCACCCAACTCTCCCCTCCTCTGCAAACCCGCATACCTTTCCCTTTCAGGAGAGTCGTGTGTTGGGGATGGTTGACGCTTTTTAAAGAACATTTAACATACACCAACAGCAGGTCTCAGATACTGTTATTTATCCATCTATTCCTCAGGCCTCAGCTAGACTGGAGTGGGTGCAGAGAAGTTAGAAGGCTCTGGCAGTAATTTGGTCATAAGGAAGGAATGTGTTATGTGGAGTAGCAGTTAATCAACTAAGCGGTAAGCAGGTTTTCAGTGAAACACCACCGGGAGCTAATCCCACTTAACATAAACTACAGTGACTTAGAGGGAACAAACTGTCTAACCCTGAGCTCTCTTGTTTCCCAGGAAATAAATCAGGATGAAGTCAAGAGACATCAAGGAGTTTACATTAAAAGGTCTTACTAAGTGATTGAAATATTCTTAAACTGGCTGGGCACAGCGGCTCATGCCTTTCATCCCAATACTTTGGGAGGCCGAGGCAGGCAGATCACTTGAGGTCAGGAGTTCGAGACCAGCCTGGCCAACATGGTGAAACCCTGTCTCTACGAAAAATACAAAAATTATCCAGGCGTGGTGGCAGGCGCCTGTAATCCAGCTACGTTAGAGGCTGAGGCAGGAGAATCGCTGGAACCCGGGAGGCGGAGGTTGTAGTGAGCCAAGATCACGCCACTGCACTCCAGCCTAGTTGACAAGAGTGAGAGAGAGAGACCCCGTCTAAAAAAAACAAAAACAAAAACAATTATTCTTAAACTCCTCCTGGAGTAGGATAGATAGGTAAATAAGTGATTATATCTGGATTTGGGGTCAAAGGAGAAAGAGGAATCAGGAAAAACTTAAGAGTTAGTAAGTCAGCAAATACTTACTGAGCACTTCCTTCTAGGTGTGGTAGAGTTGGGGTGGGGTAGGTAGGGTGGCTGTCAAACACTGAGCAAGACAGACAGTCCCTGTATATTCTAGTGCAAAGGCGGGAAAGCAGGGGCCAGATCATAAAAACTGGAACAGATAAATCAGTAAGCTAATTTCACAGACTGGCAAATGCAGTGAAGATGACAAAATGGGACCTGTGGCTACCGTAGGGGTCATGGACACTGTTTCTCTAAGGTGACATTTGAGTTGAAAGGCTGAGAGCCTGAGGGCTGGGCGGGGATATCCTCTCAGCCATGGGGAAGTTGGGAAGGAGGCTGAGTATGTGGAAGAGATGGTTAATAGAAATCAAACACAAGGAGAACCTTCAAAGTCAGATGATAAATCAGGTCCATACTAGGAAGATCTTTTCCAAGTTTCCCAGAAAAGTAAATCAAACCTCACCAGGCCTCTAGATGGTTTTAATTACCTTTTTGTAGGGCTGCTGAACAGGGTATTAGTCATATACTTGACAATAAGGACTTGTGGATTTTTCTCAGAGATATTAATGGATGGGAGTAAATTTGCATTTGAAATTTTATTTTTAAATTACGAAAATAACATATTACCAAAGTTAGAGAAATAAGAAAAGAAAAACTCTTATGTTCCCACTATCCTACCAGCCCTATTGTCTATTTTGTATATTTCTTGAAGACTAGGTCTCACTCTGTCACCCAGGTTATAGTGCAGTGGCGTGATCCTGACTCACTAGAGCCTCCACCTCCTGGGCTTAAGCGATCCTCCCACCTCAGCCTCCTAAGTAGCTGGGACTGCAGCTGTGCACCACCACGCCCAGCTAATTAAAACATTTTTTTTGGTAGAGACAGAGTCTCCCTATGTTGCCCAGACTGGTCTCGTCTCGAACTCCTGGGTTCAAGCAGTCCTTCTGCCTCACCTCCCAGAGTGCAGGGGTTACAGGCATGAGCCACCATGTCTGGCCTGTTTTGTGTGTTTCTTACAGTCTTTTTCATGTATATGATTTTAGATAGTTAATACATTGCCCTTTGAATGCATGACAGACATTTCGCCAATAATTCCTTGAGCTTATATACCATACTTATACATTTCAATAAGTACAATCAATTCTTGTTATTTGCAGTGGTTATGGTCTCTTAAGTCACTGTGAACACTGAACTAGCAAATACTAACCCTTTGCTGCTAAGGGAAATAGAGGATTAGGTTCTTGCGGGTGTCTGATTACATTTTTATCACTAATCAGTATATAACCTTGTTTTATGTGTGCTTCTGTTTAAAGACACCATACTTAATGTATCAATATATTGTTGGTTTATTAACATTGAGCTACAGCCAAGAGTGCTATCACCCATACCTGAACAAAGCTTATCGAACACGTGGATTTTTTTCTGTGAGGCATATCACAGCCGTCTTGTACTTAGGACACTAGATAGCACTTCAGCACTGTGCTTGGGAGGTGTTTTAGACAGCAACGTCACCAACAAAAAGCACAAAGATATGAAAAACATGGCACTAAATAGACCATGAAAAGGAACCTGCGTAATAGCCTGAGAGCTACAGCAAGAAGGCAGAGTGTGCCCTTTTTCAGCCTTAGCTGGGCACGTGCATGTCAGTGACTCAAATTTTTTGCCACTCTATGCGGATTCTCAAATGACCATGAAAGTGCCACAAGTATTGATTTTTGAGGTTACAAATACATTTTATCAATTAGACACAATTCAGAAATATGGAATCTGTGAATAGTGAGGATCAGTGTATTATTCTTCAGACTGTACCATGGCTGTACCATGAAACTAGGGATCTTGAAACTAGGGAAAGCCTCCCCAGGCCTTTGAATTACTGGAGTGGAGAAATGAAAAGGTTCCCTTTCTCCTGTAATATTGCAATTAAATGAGAATATGTGAGTCCTTTATAAAGTGTGTTTTGAGATCTAGCTTACACCTTACAACGACACAGTTTCTGATATGTCCTTTTGTTTGTTTGTTTGTTTTACTCTGAAACTAAATCATAAATGGCTCACCTTCGGATGCATACACAGACACTGCTACTCTGGTGTTTGTGGAGCCTTCGTAATACCTCCTCACTCCCCACCCCAAACAAACCAAATCCTGAAAAAAAGCACTACTACGGAGTAGCTCAGAAGCATGGGGTAGAGGAGAAACAGCCCTTTGTGTCTCAGTAGGGAACAGTGGTGATAATATCACCTTACATTTATGAGAGGCGTTAGCATTTGTGAGCTTCTTTGATGTGGTCCAGTTTCCCCAGAAAAAGACAAGTGTGGACTGATGGTAATCATACCTGACCTTACCTGAAATGACTATCAGACGTTTTGCCCTCTGGAGAAATCCAGGGTGTGAGTCTTGATCCTTTCTTTGACCAGTGCCTGTTTGGTGAGAATAGCTATCCCATTGGAAAACACAGTACCCCTCATATGACCCACAAATCCATGACAAAACCACCCACATTTTCACCATCGAAGATCAAGAAGCATATGGTGTATTGGAAAGAGTGTGGCTTTTGCAGTCAGAGGAACTGATTTTGATTTCCTAGTTCTACCCCTTCCTCAGCTGTGCAACTTTGGGTAAGTTGTAAAGCCTCTCTGAGCTTGCATTTTCTCATTGGTCTAATGGGGATAATTATGACCCCACTCATATGTCTGTTGTGAAGATTAAATAAAATAATATACTTAGCCACTTCCCTTATTATACTTCTGACAGTACCTCCGTTGACAAGGAGCTTATCAATAGATCCTTAGAGAAAATCAGTGAGTCATCTTGACAGTGACCTTTGTTTCCCAGCAACTCGGCCTGGAGTTGATCACTCTCAATAACACCATTATCAAATAACCAGTGCGGATTGGGTTTTGCATCCATGAGTGTCTAAGCAAATGTCACTATTTAATTTTATTCTTCCAAAACATGTTATTTTTCCCTGGTGTGAGAAACACAAATGTTCCAAAGTAAACATTCATGAAATATCCCTTAGATTTTTTTTCTAATCTTGATTGGGGTGTTGACAAGCTTTACGTCTGTGTTAGCTGTTGAATAAAGTCATAGAAGAGACTTGGTGAATATAACATACCCAGGTCAAAGGGGTGTGGGAAGAGGCTAGTGCAACACTGGTGTCCATTTGATCCATGGGAAAAGCGAAATATAAGGAAGTAACTTGCACAGAAGGATCTTGAAACTAGGGAAATCCTCCCCAAGCCTTTGAATTACTGGAGAAACAAAACCTAGATTCCCTCTCTCCTGATAATTTTGCAATTAAAATGAGAATACGTGAGTCCTTTATAAAGTGTGTTTTGAGATCTGGCTTACACCTTACAACGACACAGTTTCTGACATGTTCTTTTTTAAACGTCTGTGGGAAGTTAGCAAGTGAATCCCAACTGCTGGATTGCCCATCACGGGTCCGTATCAGCCTCACTGTGGCAGAGATAATGGGGTCAGCAGTTTGAATGCCGAACTCCAGGTCCAAGTGGCTATTTCCGTTTGCACTTTGATAGCTGGCATTTGCCTAAGAGAAAATGATATTTCTTTGGGCTGACTTGGCCTTTGAGATTGCCATGAGACGAGTGATCTCTGTACCCTGATGTTAGGTGTAGACTTATTTCTCAACTAGGAAGAGGGACAACTTCATGTAAACATGTTTGGAACTTTGTTCCATTCTTGTGTGAATGTCCTTTATATTTCTGATGACTCCTATGGTGTAAGTTGGTAACAGACAGCCATCCTTAAGCCTGGGATAGTCACAAAACTGATGATCCTGCTGGTTTTCATCATCATCACTGAAACTCATTTGAATGGCCAGTTGTTCATTATGTTGTGCAGGTCACAGAACAAGGACAACAAAATGCATCTGATATACCTTCTTGGAGCTTGCAGTCTATAACAGATAACTGGATAGGAATGGTCAATTCGTTTTCATGAGGCTATTCTTCAGTTACGTGCTAATACTCATGCTGTGGATTCAGTAGGAAAATTGAAACTAGAGAAGTCTTATGGTGAGCCCAGCACGCTTTTGAATAGCCAAGATGATCCTCTTAAATGCTAATATTTACCTTGGCCAAGGTAAATCAATATCCTGTTTCCTTCTGTTAACTTGCAGTGGCTTTCTGCAAGTAAGTAAACAGTCTAATAGTGAGAAATTTAGTAGGGACATGGAACTGAGACACCAAAATTCCAATACATTTGTTTTATTCCAACTTTGTAGAGTTGGAGAGTTGGAGGAGATGGAGAAGCTATGGGTAAGTTTTGGTTCCTACCATAATGTCCCCCTGGCTACTAGCAAGATGAAGCTTAGGCACTAGTTGAGAAAAACAGTTTAATCGTGAATTGAGTTTCAGCATGATGTAATAC
Organism: Homo sapiens; assembly: GCF_000001405.40. Lineage (NCBI taxonomy): Eukaryota > Metazoa > Chordata > Mammalia > Primates > Hominidae > Homo > Homo sapiens. Next base: position 137,948,306 of record NC_000007.14, on the reverse strand, counting down.
CAGCTTCAGTAATGAACTAGTGAGCATGTTTTAGGTAGTCCTAGTAGGCTTTGAGCTGCAAGACAGCATCTATGCATCTCCAGAATTTAGCACAATTGACTGACACATTATGAATTTTGAATATATCTTAGCTGAATTGAAGCCAAGGTGGTAGACACAAGAGCAGAGAGGCCTGGAGACAGGGAATCATGGGAAAGCACTGTCTTGTGAGGTCCTCGATATTAGATCCAGGTGAGGAATTGTTGAGGTCAGGTATGGAAGTACCTTGTTCATCCAGGGAGCCAGAAACAGAGCAGGAGGACTTGGTGGGGTAGCTGCAGAGTGGCAGAGCCCGAGGCTCCAGGCTAGTGAGGGAGCCAACTCAAATGAAGGTCGGGCCGGAGGAGGCCTGGCACAGTTATAAACCTCCTGTAAAGACAGGGCAGGGGAAGGAAGTGGATGTGGAGGTGGATATTCTAGACGTGACACCAGCCAAGCCAGGCTGTGACTGGTCTTCAGTTAAGAAATGTGTCTTATATAAATGTGTCTACTTTGAGCATTTCAAAAATTCTTCTTCCTCCCTCCCCTCAGTTTTCCTGTAAAAGTTTCTTTAAAAAACTCAACTTGGTCTTGGCTAGACCATCAGGAATAAAGAGATTTATCTAAACTTAGGCCAGGGCAGAACAACTAACCTGTGATCTGGGAGCCCAGGTATGAAGTCACAGGCGCCATCTTAGTCTGACTTCCTTTTCTAAAGGAGTGAGCCAAGGGGGGCAAATGGCGGGATCAAGACACAGGTGTGGAGAGGCTCAGGGGAGCCCCGGAGGGCACAGGCCAGGACTACACCCCCAGTTTGAGGCTGACTGAAAGTGTCACAGGTTCTCCAGCTCTCCTGTTTCTCTTCAGGATTCATTTTTCCTCCTCAAGAATGTCTTCAGATAGTAGACCCAGAGAAGCGAGGGTGTAGGTGAGGGAGTGGACAGAGATGTAGCCAGTTAGTGGGTATATTAGTTTTCTCTTGCTACGGGTGTTGAGCGGGTGTGGCTGCCATAACAAAATACCACAGCTGGGTGCAGAAATGTATGTCTCGTGATTCTGGAGGTTGGGAAGTCTGAGATCAGGGTGCCAGCATGGTTGGTTTCTGGTGAGGGCTCTCTTCCTGGCTTGTAAACAGCCACCTTCTTGCTGTGTCCTTAGTGGGTAGAGTGGAGGGAAGAGAGAGAGCGAGAGAGAGAGAGAGCGCTAGGGCTTCAACATTTGGATTTCGGTGGGACTCAGTTCAGTCTATGGATTGAACTATATATATATATATAACTATATATATATAACTATATATATAACTATATATATATAACTATATATATAACTATATATATATAACTATATATATAACTATATATATAACTATATATATAACTATATATATAACTATATATATAACTATATAGATAACTATATATATAACTATATAGATAACTATATAGATAACTATATATAGATAACTATATAGATAACTATATATAACTATATATAACTATATAGATAACTATATAGATAACTAAACTATATAGATAACTATAAAAAACTATATATAAAACTATATATATATAACTATATATAAAAATGTATGGACAGCCTTATAGCTTATATATATAGCTTATATATATAGCACTACACCTAACAAATTACCATAAACATAGTGGCTTAAAACAACCACATTTATTATCTCACATTTTCCATGGGTCAGGAGTCTGGGCATGGCTTAGCTGGGTCCTGTCCTCAGTGGCTCACCAACCTGCAGTTAGGTGTCAGCTGGAGCTGCAGTCTCATTTGAGGCTCAAGGTCCTCTTTCAGGAGCATATGGTTGTAGACAGAATTCAGGGTTGTTTTTTTTTTTTTTTCTGCATTTGTACATCTTCTAGTGGTTTGCCTCTTCCAGGCCAGCAGGAGGAAAATTTTTCTCATTTCTAGACCTTCTTTTAAAGGGATCACCTTATTAGATCAGACCCGCTCAGGATAATCTCCGTTTTGATGAACTCAGAGTCAACTGAATTGAGACCTTCAAGACACCTGCAAAATTGCCTTCACCATTGTAACCCAGCACTCACAGGACTGCCATCTGTCATAATCACATGTTGCACAGGCCACACTCAAGGGAAGGGGGTTATACCGAGCATGTTACAGCAGGGAGCAGGAGTCTTGGGAGTCATCTTAGAATTTCAGCCTATTACAGTGGGCAGGAGGGAGTGTGTGGCCAGTGCCTGTTTATTCTTTGCATAAAAGCAGAGGGATTTAACAGACTATAATTTGGGGGAGGGTGCATTTGGAGAGCAGGATCAAAAATATTATTTTAAGTATTTGTGGCTGGTGGCTCAAGTCATGAGAGAACAGAAACGGCCACTAAATACAATCTAAAGATAAAAGCTTAATTGTAGCGGCTCAAGGTGGAAATTTGGATTTATGAAAGAAAAAGTGTTTCGATAGGGCAATTTGTTAGGAGTCATTTCAGAGCCCACCCTCATGAGGAGGCGGGTGAATAAAGAGGAGCTCCTTTCCAGCATTTGAGGTTCTAATACAAAACCTGCGTGTTCACCTGTAGGTAACCATACTTGTTGGTGAAAGGCCCAGTTCTTCTTAGTCCAGATTGCTGTCTACATGGAGGGCAAAATTAGAGAGCAGATTTCTGCCTATGTAACATTTAAAGTGTCAGAGGAAAAAGGATCTGTGATTTGGGGTATTATTGCCCTGCAGAAAAGTCTGTCTTTTAGGCCTGTGCCTACCAATGGGTTAGTTTGTTTATTTGTTAACATGCATAAAATATAGAATATCTATCTTTTGGGCAGAAAATATTGTCTCTAGTCAGTTGTCCTCCCTGGTTTTTGTTCCCTGAGGACTATTTAAACCAGGTCTCACGCAATTCAGTTAAACAGAGGCTGTTTTGAAAAAGCAAATGCTTTTTTCCTCCCATTGTAAATTAGAGGTCTTCATTGTTAGAAATATAGATAAGAAGAATTAAAAAACCGTATTAACACTACACAGGAGTGCATCAACATTTTGCTATAAGGCTGTCCATACATTTTTATATTCTAGCACTTATAGATAATTTCTACTTTCAATTAAAAGTTATAAATTTGGCTGGGCGTGGTGGCTCACGCCTGTAATCCCAGCACTTTGGGAAGCCAAGGCGGGCAGATTACCTGAGGTCAGAAGCTGGAGACCAGCCTGGCCAACATGGTGAAACCCCCAGTCTCTACTAAAAATACAAAAATTAGCTGGGCGTGGTGGCACATGCCCGTAAGCCCAGCTACTTGGGAGGCTGAGGCAGGAGAATCGCTTGAGCCCGAGAGACAGAGGTTGCAGTGAGTCGAGATCATGCCACTGCACTCCAGCCTGGTCTACAGAGCAAGACTCTGTCTCAAAAAAAATAAAAAATAAAAAATAAAATAAAAGTTATAAATTCTAAAACTATAAATTTGATTATTCATTTATGAAATAGATAAAAAGACATTGATATATAAAGTATGTAACAACATATATAAATATATAAAGACAATTATAAATTAGGGAATTCAGTTTTCACAATATATTTTTCATTTAGATATATGACGTGGACATTTCTGTATATTAACAGATAGTTTTCTACAGTAGCAGTTTGTTTTCATAGCCACTTAGATATACCTTAATTTATTTAAATACTCATATGTGGGCTATTTTAAATTTCACAGATTGATGGATCACAATTCAGGGATATCTACCTTTGATCAGTAAGCTGTTCTTTCTGATTGTGATCTTGTTGCCTTCACTCAAATGGTCTAATGTTCATTGATTCAGTGCTTGCTGCTTGCAAAGGCAAAACTTGTGCTTTAGGTTTACTTTTTCCGTGGTCGGTTCCCAAGGCTACATGCAGAGTTTTTAAATACCTCTTTTGTGAGCCAGAAGACCTAATAAACAAACCACTTTGTTGAGACTGGGAATATTAGCATTGGCACAATTTCTTAATTTTACTGTGCGTTTGCAGACATCATGAGGCAGAGAGGTGGTCCAGCTGCACCTTCGTTCCACACACGGACTCTGTGTACAGCTTTGTGAATTGCTATTTTTCTTTCCCTTTCCCTTCTAAATGGGCTCCCGGTGGCAAAAATCTGTTTAAACAAAGGTAAGCAAAAGATCAGTTTAAAGCCCAAACTTCAAAAGTTAAGAGGTTTAACCTATTAGACACCCAGACTTTGCAAATGTGAAGAGTATTCAGATCAATGGGGAAAGGGGCATTTGGATATTGGTGGGTCTTTAGACAGTGAAGAGAATACAATTTCATGCCAGAGACAGTCACGAAGAGAAGTTTTTGACACAGTGCTGCATTTTGCATGAATGCTGAAAACAGACCCATGGAAAGAACCTAAATCAACGTTATGGATCCCTCTTAGTTGAATCTACATTTTGAAAGCTCCTTTTTTGGCTTTTGGAAATACATGGCGGCATTTTTGGTTGTTGTCATAATGGGAAAGGGGGATGTTACCAGCACTGAGTGCCCAGGGGCCCTGGAATGTACAGGAAAATCCTCATTAATGAAGAATCATCTCATCGACAATATCAACATGGCCTGGTTGAACATCTCTAACCACTTCAGAAATTGTTAGTTTCTTATGAGGAATAGGGCAGAAAACATGAAACTATGGCCCTGAATTTTTTTCTAGGCTTCCTAGAAATGGTCTAGTGCCATTTCCCTCCCCCATTTCTCATGGAGGTTCTGCATAACTGAGGCTAGAAGATACTGGTAGATGAAAGGAGGTTTGGTTGAGGAGAAAGTAGTACAGTAGTTTTAAGTCTGATACTGCTCTCCATCTATGCTTGGCCTCCACAAGTTGAGTCATTTTTTCTGATAAAGCCTGTCTGGTTGTTTGTCTCAGAGACCAGCTGTTGAAAGGGCAGAGATCACCCAGTACTGCCCAGCTGTTAGCTCAGCCATCCTCAAGGGAAGCCATTCTTTGCCAATAGAATCTCAGAAAAGGCCAGAGAAGGGGAGTTGCAGGGAACATTGACTCAGGCTTAAGATTTATTTTCAGGCTGTTTTACTCTTTTAGGTGTGAGTGGAAGCAGAAGCTACCTACGTCATAGTTGGTCTCAGAATACCAGAGCCGCAGGGGGCCTGGGAGACTGCCTGGTCCCACCTCTTATTTTATTTCCTAACAAAAGAGACCCAGAGGGGTTCAGTGACTTGTCCAAGGTCACAGAACCAAGTAGTGACAGGGCTAGGTCTAAAACCCAAGCGTTTTGGTTCCAAACAAGGCATTCTTTCTGCTATGCCAGCAACTACCCCTTTGACTTCTTACTTCTTAATGAAGCTGTGCTGACTTTCTTTCTAGAATATCTCCCCCACCCCCGAGGCATTGCATCATTATTGCATTCAAACCTTGTGTACTTTCTGATGCCATTGGCTTTATAGGTAACAGAAAATAATCTTTTGTGACTAGAAGGCAAATGTGTCCTATTCATGATCCAATAAGCAGCTATCCACCATTGTTCAATCATGAACAAACATTCAGAAGCATTGCTCTACCTCGTCTTTTGGGAGAAAAATACTCAAACTGTTTGGGAATAACTTTTAACATATGGTGATTGCATGTGTTTTCCAGCAGGACTGCAGAATATCTCTGTTTGCTTGTTCTTATAATAACCTGCTGAGATCACTAGATTCTATTTATGGTCTTTCTTAGAAAGAGAATATTATGGCCTCGTGTTTTATTTTGTTTTGTTTTGTTTTTCCTTCTTAGAAATTCTTCAACTCTACCAAGTTGAAGAATTGAAGCTCCATTGTTTTCAATAAAGAATCTGAAGCTAAGGTACACTGAACCACTACCACTATCCCAAAAGAAGCAGAGTTTGATGTTTCCCTATTCATTTAGAATGGTTCCTTTCTGTTCCAAAAGGGATGACAGGACTGTGGCTCAATGACAGGGGAGATCCGCCTGAGGGCAGAAGGATTTAGAGGGATACTTTAAGGAGAACCTGGACCCCACTTCCAGAGAAAGATTTGAGAACCTGAAAATATTCGTCTGGTTTTCAGCAGTGCCACCAAAGTAGGAACTTGATAGTGCAGTTCAGCTTTAAACAGTTCCTTCATAAAAGTTTGAATGAGAAGTTTGCCTAAAAATTATAATTGCTGGTTAAGATGAAAGGACACTAAAGAAGCTTATGGATGTGAGCACAGTGTGGCTGGTGAACTGTGGAGAAATTGCAGGGAATGAGAGAGATGGTTTGAGACTGGAGATATGGGCCTAGTTTTCAAAAAGGGGAAAGGAAGATCAATCAATCAATTATGAATTGATGAACTGAAAATGAGCCCCCTGGTAAGCAAATGGGAAAACTAGAATCGACCGAGTTCACTAAAGAAAAATGATGTTTTATGACCTTCATCATTTTTTATGGTATTAAGAGACTGATAAGTCAGAGAAATACTTAATAATTTTGTCCCAGTTTTAGCGAGGCATGTAATACAAACAACAATAAAACAGCTAACATTTATTAAGCTCTTATTATGCCAAAGTAATTCTTCTAAATGAATAGAGAAACATCAAACTCTGCTTCTTTAGGGTAGTGGTGTAGTGTACCTTAACTTCAGGTTCTTCATTTAAAATACTGGAGCTTGCCTTTCTGATCTCTCTTGTTTCTAGAAATGTGATTGGAATGAATAACCTGGCTGGGGCTAGCAATGTGGGATAACAGAAAGCCAACCGGGGCCCTTTACTCCCCACTGCTCCAAGATAGTCTGTCCTGAGCAGGCCTCAAAGCTCTTGGATTCTGGTAGCACTTAGAGATAGAAGAGGGTTCATTGCCTCAGCTGGTTGAGGTTTATGAGAGGAAGGAACATGCAGGAGCGGACAGCCAATGGCTACTGCGCTCCCAATAACTGCGGTTGCTAACTGGCTGGCCACGATGGAGATAAGAACTCTGTGGATGTCTGGGAAGTCACTTCCGTGTTCATAGCCTGCACATGGTTTTCTTAGCCAGTTTTCATTTACCATAGCACCATCTTGTATCTGGATTAGACTTGTATCGATGAATTCATTTTTATCTTCACTACAGTTTTGAAAGGCAGATTGGATTTCTCATTTTCTAGTGGTGTGGAGAGAACAAGTGATTTGACCCAAGGTTGCTGCTAGGATCTACAGAGCTGATGTAGACTATATGCCTTCTGTCCCATGAGTCCGGTGCATAACACAAGGGTTTCAAAGGCTAAGATCCCCTGGTATGTCTCAACACATGTCATTCCAGAGAGGTGGGGCATACATGTGAGGTCTCACAGAGCAGGAGCCAAAGTGGCTAGAAGCCAGAACCTTCCTGGTCTCCCATTTGCTGACCTGCGGGATTCCCTTAGCTCTTATCTTGGGGTGGAGGGGTACCTCCTGGCAGAGTCATGCCTGAGCATTTAAACAACACAAACAGTACTTTGTACCTCTCAAGCACTTTCCCTTTTCCCCAGTGTGGCCCTCTAGGGATGAGATTATCTCAGTAATGCTTAAGACATATTTGGCTCATAAATAAAGCATAGGTTTCTAGGAAGCATGCATGCCGTTCATTTTTTCCCACAAACTTCATCGCCCGTTAGTGTTTCATACCTGATGTTTTTGGCATTAGATCTTGACTTGGAGGCAGAATTGTTCCATTGCAACATGCACGTTCTGTTCAGAGAATTCTGTGGGGGTCGTCTGTGGAACACTTTTCAGTCACCCATTTGGTGATCTTTATGTCTGGTCACCGTTTCTCTTGTTAGAGAGTCTGTAGTGTAGATTTCAGTTCTCAACTCTTTGATTTCATGTGCCATTTTGGACCTCAGTTTTCTCAAATTAGAGTGACCAGGTCAGGCCAGATGATATCCAGTGTTTCCTCAAGCTTCACTAGTCTGTGATTTGGAGCCTGCTGTAATCCAAAATTTTTCTGGAATGAATGGCAGAGTACCAGATTGTATTCTTTTAGGGTAGGATGCAAGAGTGTAGGAATAGTAAATACCTTAGCTTGTGCCTTCACTGAAAGATATGAGGGAATGTCCTGGGTGTCCCCTGGTGAGGTAAAGACTGAAATGGAGATGGAGAGTGTATACTGTGGGAGAGGGAATGGGGATGCCTTCTGTTTAAGAGAGTGGAAGATACCAGAGAGGAGAAGCTTATGACTGCAGAGAGGGCAAGAGACCTCATTACAGCAGTCTGACCAAAAAACCCTCCAAATTTCCTTATATAATGAGCATGTAAAAGGGTTGAAAACTGCAAATTGAAGGATAAGGGACAGAAGGAGGGATATCAACAACACCAATTAGGAAGAGTATCTAGAGAATTTAACTGGGTAGTAAGAAATTTAAATCTACTTTAACTCTCACTGTGGGGAATTTGGACATAGGCTGAGTTATGTAGGAGGCTCTTAAGTGTGGGAGGGTTAAAAGCAAACATTTTTTGGCCTTGGCTTGTGGGATAGATCAGGCAAAAAGCCCCGCTGGGCCTCCAGCACTCCCATCCAAGATTGCGGGGGTAGAGTCTAGACTCGGGGATAGAAGTGGAGAAAAGGGAGAGGGAAGAATTGGTGGTCCTGATGGCAGCTGCTTTCAGCATCCCAGTCTCTGTGGCTTCCCCACTATGGATGACAAGAACAGAATCACAGGTTCTGTACTGCCTCAGCCTTGAACGGTTGACTTGATCATGGCTTTGATGGTCTTTCACTTGTTGGTGAGATTCAGCTGTCTGTTGTGGCAGAAGGAAGGGGCAAGAGGACTCGGGGATGGTTTGAGTTTCTTGAAGCATATCAGAGGACTTCTCTACCTGATACGGGTATTTCTGGAACAGCTCTGTCTGCTCTAAAAGGATCCTGAGGATTTCCTTCATTGACATGAGGAGATTGCCCTTCTCTCAGGCCCAAGTTACAATTCAAAAAGCATTTTTGGGGAACAATTAGAAATCTGAGCTCCAAGTCCTCTGTGTTAGTGATTGAGAGGCAGCAGGGACTATGCCGAACGTGCCTGGGAAGGGGTCCTGCCCTACTCCAGGCTGCCCCACTGTCTCTACCCTCGGGATAATTCTCCGTCTTGTGAGGATCAGATACAGTCATGGTGTGCAAGTGTTTTGTCATATGTAAATACTATGCATTGAATATGGAAGGTGCTATTATTATTAAATTTTCTTCGCATTATTTTTATTCCTGTTGGTACTTGTTGGATACTCTTGGGCCATGGAAGGACAGGCCCTACTAGGCTAGAGGCTAATTTGGGTTCAGAAAGAATGAAGAAGTGCATTTTGGGGGTATTTGCAGCTATATGTGTAAATAAGCCAAGAAGTAGGCAGATTGAATTTTTATGTGCTAGCTAATTCTGAATCTTGCAGCTCTCCTTTGTTATCAGGAGCCACTTGTGGGGTGTTTCTCCCTTCATCTCATTAACTGATTTATTTGTATTGTGGGCAGATGCTCTTAAAATGAAACAGTGGATTTTTTTTCCACATCAAATTCTAATAACTGCTATAGGCCATTCAGGATTGGCATGCATTTGGGAAAGTGGATCATTACTTGTTTTAATGATGAAAAATTATGTAGTTTAAAAGGAATTAGTATGGTGCATGACCCTTGAAGCAAATATCATATGTAAAAATTCATTTTTACTTAATATATACATTAGGAATTAGTTTTTAAAAATAAACCATTTCTGGCCAGGGGCAGTGGCTCACACCTGTAATCCCAGCACTTTGGGAAGCCGAGGCGGGTGGATCACAAGATCAGGAGTTCGAGACCAGCCTGACCAACATGGTGAAACCCCGTCTCTACTAAAAATACAAAAATTAGCTGGGCGTGGTGGCGGGAACCTGTAATCCCAGCTACTCAGGAGACTGAGGCAAGAGAATCGCTTGAACCCAGGAGGTGGAGGTTGCAGTGAGCCGAGATCGCACCACTGTACCCCAGCCTGGGCGACAGAGTGAGACTCTGTCTCAAAAAACAAACAAACAAACAAAAAACCCATTTCTGAAAGCAGTTTGAGGTTCAGAGCAAAATCGAACAGAAGGTAGAAAGATTTCCCATATGTCCTCTGCCCCACACATTCATAGCCTCCGCCACTGTCAACATCTACCATCATATTGGTAGACATGATGGTAGATACATTGACACATTGTTATCACTCAAAGTCCATAGTTCACATTAGGGTTCACTCTTGTGTCGTACATTCTATAGATTTGGACAAATGTATAAAGACGTGTCTCCACCATTATAGTATCCGTGTCAGAGTTCCACTGCCCTAAAAATCATCTGTGGTCCACCTATTTATTCCTCCTTCTCCCAGGGTGACTCCTTTTACAAAATATTGAATATACCCTACCAATGGATTTATAATAGGTTTCCTTTAAATATCATCTCTCAATGCCTTTATTGCTTAATCTATTTCACATACTTCATTTACAAAAAAAAAAGGTTCATCTGGATACTACCAAGCAAGGTGTACATATATTTATTTATTTAATTTTTTTTTTTTTTTGGTAATAAGCCTCTTTAAAACACAGCTTTTGTTACTGCTAGTGAAATTTCAGTAAAGCAAATATCACTTCAGAACAAAACACCCTCCCCAAAATAACCCCCACCACAAATCTCCAAAACTCTGGTGTAATAAAGAGTTCGAAGCTCAGCCCCCATTTTTTAAAAATTAAAGAAATATGTAATGGGCCTACATTTTTGTACTAGAAAAGAATTGGGTATCCTTGAAATTTCACTGTAATGGAGTTTGACTTGTGAGCCATTTTTTTTTCTTGGGACTTTGACAAGGTCACCTTTTTCCTCATGGTTGGCATCTGGCCCTTTTCTGTGTGTTGTGTGCAGGGTACTTGTGTGAGAGCCACTCAGGTCTAAGGTGCACTGGTTTTGAAGGCAGGTCCCTTCTCTCCCTGCAAGGGGAGGAGGGAGGGTGGCCTAGGGGATGCCAGGAGCCCAGGGCAGCTCCTCCCTGCCTGAGCAATACAGTCAAACTATGTTTTGCTGGAAGGAGGCCTTGGTTTCTAATGTGAATTTGAGCTGTGTCCTCTGAATCATTTATGGAGAGGATCAGCTTGCTCTTGCCACACTCCCTTCTTCTATGGCTCCAGTCTTTGGGAGGCATTCTGTGCTCTAGGTAAGGCTCCTAGCCACGATTTTTAAGTACAGAGGCTTCTTCTCCTGCCTGCCGGAGAACTATCTTTTCAGCCAGAGACTGGCTGCAAAGCTTCCCTGTTTCCCAGAGGGCAGGGCTGGGAATTGAATGCTTGGGGAGCTCAGAAGGAGCCCCGGCAGGCCTTGGGCCTCTTGTTGCCAGCCCAGGTTCTGCTTTCTGAATCCTATTACCTGCCGTGGCCACCTGCTTCACTGCCCATGGGCTGGCATTACAGGGGCAAATCTAAACAAACCCGGGAGGCAGAAAGAGGGTGTTCTCTGTCCTCCTTTTCCCAAGTTGAAAAACCTTCGTAGCTCCATTTTATGTTGCCTGCAACATTTTAGAAAATGATAGGGTAGTAGAGCTGAATAGGTTGTTAGCAATGACTTATAAATATCCCTGTGTTATTACTACTTTCTCTGCTGGCAGGGTTTAGCCCGGGATCCATGGAATCCCCCTGCCGTCTGCAGACAGACTTCAGGGGCGGGTCAGCCTCCTGAAATGCTGGGCTGTGTTTGTGTGTTTGTGGCTGTGAGCATTTCTCAGGCAGGACTGTCATTAGATTCCCAAAAGGAGCATTAGGTTGTCAGGCAGGAGCATTCATTAGATTCCCAAAAGGGTCTAAGAATTTAAAAAAGGTGAAAAAAGGTGACAAACTACTGATCAGGTTTAAAGCCTACCCTCATCCCCAGTACACATAGCACTCACACACTCACATGCACACACGCACACACACAGAGGTTTACAGGTAAGGAAACTGAGTCTAGAAGAGGCAGACTGACCACCACTGAAGTGCAAGGCTGGGACTAGAGAACTCCTGTCCCTAACTGGTCTGGTGCAGCACTCTTCTGTTAGCCTGTGCACAAAAGAGGCCTGTTGGGCTGACTATGGGATGGCACAACTGCTTTAGAACACGCTCTGCAAGTTCTCTGGATGATGGGGCACAGGACATACATTCTGGCTAACTCATTTTGCACCTTGGGATAACTCTGTCTTTATAAGACTGACCTTTATTCATCTTTCTGCCCATGCTCCCACTGTATTTGTTGAGTGGGCGAACCTTAGTGGAGAGTACTGTACGGAAGACAGGTCGGTAGCTTTATGCAGCCAGTTATTTGAACTAAAGAATTATGAATCCTTCCTTTTCCTCCCACTTTGTTCCCCTTTCCTCACCCTCGTGACCTCTGATCTTAGGGCAGTTGTTAGCAGCAGGAAGTGGCCCAGATCATAAACCACTCCTTCCTTGCAAGCTACTTTGGCAGTTCATTAGTGACCTGAAAACTCAAAGCGTAAATGCTTCAGAGCCGAGGTAATTTTTTATAAAATAAGTAATTCTTATAAGGATAAAAATTTCTCCTAATTTATCTGATTTGTAAATTTGGATATACATTTTAAATGTTTGAAGGCACTTATTTATAACTGTTGGGAGATCTAGCCCTAATTTGGATTTATCTTCTATTTCGTTAGGATGTTATAGAATGATAATAGATGCAAATGAGATAGTTGTTGAATGCAGCAACTATCTACGATCTATGATCTCTGATCTGGGCTAGGTCCAGAGAGAGGGGTGGGTAAACGGTTTACATCTGGGCCATAGAGTTTGGAAGGCCTAGTGATAAGATATTTAAGTAACTTGGCAATGAAAGGAACATCAAAGAAAAGGAAAAATGTGTCAAATTAAGAGATACTTAAAGGGCTTTACTTGTTTAGGGAAATGAGAGATCAATTCAAGGTGTATCTGTCTAGGGATGACTTTCTAAAAGAAGTACATTTGTTCTGTCTTAGGTAGTTTCCTGTTTGGTAAAGATGAAAATGAAAGCATATTCTAGGAAGAACAATGCGAGAAGCTGGTGTGCAAGTAGAAAATGCCAACATTTTATTGTTTTAATTATGTTAGTTTTTTAAAAGAGCTTTTTAAAAGATTGCTATGCAGTGAAGTGTTAGGTGTATTACGTGCATTATTTAGTTTAATTCTCATGACACAAGGCCGGAACTATTGTTAACTTCACTTTGCCGGCATTATTGTTAACCTCATAAACCAAGGTTTGGAGTATGGACATATCTTCCTCAGGCTTGCACAGCCAGGATTCAAATTTAGGGCTGACTGACTCCAAAGCTACATTGCCACAATGCCATACTGTGACCATTAGGATTGCAATGAAGGTGTTGTGTTTATAAGAATAAAGGGAGACAAAACTTTATGGGATAGTTGCAGGATGTTTAATTCAGAATCTTAAGATAATGGGGAGATAAAACTTGACACAAATTTTTAAGGGAAGTTGCCATGTGTATTCTCTGAACTGGGTGAAGAACATTTATGTTGTGAGGCAGGGGTTCAATCCTATTAGGAGGTTTCTTCCAACTGAGAGATTCTGTGATGTTGCTTGAATCCTTTGGCAGAAACATGCATTAAGGCCGAATAAGTATCTCCATCCTTATTGCTGATGTATCACAGCAAGTGATACCAGGAGCCTCTCCTTCTAACAAACTCTTGGCATGTTTCTACAGGTTTAGTGCAGGAGACCATGTGTTCATAGCGGATGACCGTCTGTGAGCCTATCTTTATCTAGCTTTAGAGGCTGACACAAATGAGGGAGCATGCTGTAGAAAGTGCCTGTGATTTGGAACTGGCTGAACATGGGCTAGAATATCAGTTTCACCTTTCATCAGCTGTGCATCTCAGGGCAAAATAGCTAATTATCCTGAGCCCCAGTTTTCTGATCTGTAAATGGGGACATGTTTTCATTTTCTGAAAATCGAGTATGTCAAGTACTTAGTCCATCACACAAGTCTAGCACCTAATCCTGACAACATCATTATCCATGATCATCACCATCATGGTTTTACACTTGTTAGAACCTCTCCATACAGTTGTATTGTGAGGCTTAAATATCTCTTTCCTAGGAGAAACAATAAGGAAAAAAAATTCAGTCAATTTGACATGAGTACCCTAGCTCAAGGTCTCTCAGTAGGGGACAGAGATCTTGGACAATGGACTAAAAGCCAATTTACAGGATTGTCGTGAGTATTGAGTGAGAAAAAGGTTATGAAATTATTTTGTAAACTCATAAAGTTTGATTCAAATATTAGAATGCTAAAATGTTATTATGCCATTGCCTTTGAAGGAATTAAACTAAAATCCCATAACCCTTGGGTTCACATGAGCAGTACTTCGCTAAAGCGTTTGCAGTATCCAGAAAGGCTTCCTCCTCGAGGCTCACTTTGCTCCTTTCTCTGGTTTTTGGCCTTCAGGACCATAAGGCCCCTTTCCAACTGGCTGGCATTAAAGATGGGCCCACTCTGGCCCGATCCTGGCACCAGCAATGGGATGTTGACCTGTCTGCTGAGTCTTGGAGCCCACCACTGCCAAGGACACCCAGCTGGAGCTAATTTGCTGGGCTGAGTCATAGCATCTGGTTGGAACCGGTTTCTTTTCCATCACAAGGATCTCCCTGAACCTACTGAGAGCTCACCACCTTGCTAAATTCTTGGGTGTGGGTGGGTGTTTAGGCACAGTTAGACTTCTGAGGAGGATCCTTTTCCAGAGGGGAGGTTATGATAATAAACTTGATAACAACTGTGAATGCTTCAAAACTGTCTATCGTTAGTGCTGAATGGTTTGTAACATGAGAATTACTGCATAATCCAAAGTAGGGGGAGTTCAGGGAAAGTTAGCAGAGTTAGAGAACGTTTATTATTGGTTATCCAGGGGATGTTCATGAAAACATTCATTAGTGCTGCTCAGAAGAAAGAAAACAGAGTGTCAGCAGAGTGCGCCAACCTGGGCAACTTCCATAGGAAAGCCTGGCCAATCAAAGAGAGCGTTGCCTCGGGATAGAATGGGATTCCAGAGCTTTAGTGGCCAGCACAGCAGATCGGGACTTGACCTTGTAGTTCAGGGAACAAAACTGTGGCTTGGAAATGCAGGGACTGTGGGTTTACCTCTTGCATTTGCGTGTTACATTCTGTTATTTATTTCTCTTTTTGTTAACTTAGTTTTGTCTTCAAAGGATCTCTGTCAAACAGTTGTAGAATAGTCACCATCAGGCAACCAGGAAATTTGTCCTTGGGGAGCTACTTAAGCAATCAGATGCTGACTTAGATTGTTGTATAATCAGGAAGTCTGGTTCTAATCTTAGCCTTGCCACTGTTCTGCTCCTTGCTGCCCAGAGTGTGGTCTGTGGAGTCACAGCGTTACCTGGGAGCTGATGAAAAATGCAGAATCTCGGGCCTGCTTAGACCTGTGAGTCAGAAGCGACGGCTTAGGAGCCCCAGGTAATTTATCTGCACATAAAACTTTGAGCACTGACCTAAGTGGTAAACTCTGGCAGGGCATGGGCATTTTCTAGTTTCTTATTTATTATTTTGTATCCCCAGCGTCTGTCTGAAGTTTAACACACAGTAGCTGCAAAATCCTTGAATCTTCCTCTTACCTTGGGCATATTTGAACTTGTAGGAACTTTGTAAGCTTCTAGGGACTTAACTGTAAAGTGGCGTAGGGAGAGGACTGTTGAGTGGAAATGGAGCCAGTGATTGAGAAACTGAGGTGAGCATAGAAGGACTGGTGGTGTGAGTTTTTTGTTGTTGTTGTTGTTGTTGTTTATTTTTTGTAGAGATGGGGTCTTGCCATGTTGCCCAGGCTGGCCTTGAACTCCTAGGCTCAAGCCATTTGCCTACCTCTGCCTCCCAAAGTGTGGGGATTACAGGTGTGAGCCACTGCGCCCGGCCTAGGTGGTAGTTTTAATATAGACGTCTTTAACTTCCTAAGTCAAAGTCTCTGAGGGTGGATCATCAAATTTGTATGTTTTTATTTATTTATGCCTTTAAACCACATTCTGAAAACAAAACTTTTGTGTTTTTTAAAGTTCTCTTTATGTTAAGGAATTTTTTTTACAATGTTACATACAATAAAAATGTGAGGGTTCCTCAAGAGGAAATGGATAAATACAATGGAATAGAATTCAGATGTTTAAATCAATGAAACAGGGCTACGTGTATAAACATGAATAAATCTAAAAAAATGTTTTTGATAAAAGAAAATTGCAGAGGAAATATGAGATATGGTACCATTTACTTAACGTTTTAAAGAATCCTATGTGTAATGGATACATGCATATGTAGTAAAAGGATAAAGACCTGGATGGGAAAGATAAACACCAAGTCTGGCTAATGGTTAACTTTGAGAGGGATGAAGGGAATGGATGGGAGCTTTAACAGTCCTTCATGTTTTATTTCTTGAGAAAAAGAAAGAAAAAGCAACAAAAGAAAGATTACAGCAGCAACCATGTAAAAATAAGATTTTTAAATTTTGTATTCAAATTTTTTTAAATTGTATTTATTTATTTTTAAGACAGAGTCTCACTCTGTTACCCAGGCTGGAGTGCAGTAGTGTGATCTCGGCTCACTGCAACCTCTGCCTTCTAGGTTCAAGTGATTCTCCTGCCTCAGCCTCCTGAGTAGCTCGGACTATAGGTGTGCACCACCACCCCCAGCTAAGTTTTGTATTTTTAGTAGAGATGGAGTTTCACCATGTTGGCCAGGCCAGCCTCGAACTCCTGACCTCAAGCGATCCACCTTCCTCGGCCTCCCAGAGTTCTGGGATTACAGACATGAGCCACCAAGCAAGCCTGGCCAGTTTTTTTTTTTTTTTTTTTTTTGAGACGGAGTCTCGCTCAGTCACCCAGACTGAAGTACAGTGGAGTGATCCTGGCTCACTGCAAGCTCCGCCTCCTGGGTTCACCCCATTCTGCTGCCTCAGCCTCCTGAGTAGCTGGGACTACAGGTGCCCACCACCATGCCTGGCTAATTTTTTGTATTTTTAGCAGAGATAGAGTTTCACCATGTTAGCCAGGATGGTCTCGATCTCCTGACCTCATGATCCGCCCATCTCAGCCTCCCAAAGTGCTGGGATTACAGGCGTGAACCACCGTGCTTGGCCTTTTCTTTAAAGACAGGTTCTCACTCCATCACCTGGGCTGGAGTGCAATGGTACAATCATGGTTCACTATAGTCTTGACCTACTGGGCTCAAGGAATCCTCCTTCCTCACCCTCCTGAGTAGCTAGGACTACAGGCGTGCACCACCATGCCTGGCTAATTTTTGTATTTTTTGTAGAGACTGTGTCTCACTATGTTGCCCAGGCTGGTTTAGAATTCCTGGGCTCAACTGATCCTCTTGCCTCAGCCTCCCAAAGTACTGAGATTACAGGCATGAGCCACCTTGCCCAGCCCAGTTTCTTTTTTTTTTTTTTTAAAAGGAATGACTACATAATTGTTCATGATATGTATAATCTTTCTGAATGCTTACAATATTTCATTATGAAATGACTAACCCAAACTTCCCTGGTAATTGTGATGCAGGCAGTTGGCATGTGGCCTTAAATACTCCTAAGGACCTTCCAGTTTGAAATGTATTTGTACTCAGAGAGCTCTCTCCCTGACCCTGTCTCTTGTTCTCATAGACAATCATGCCTATAGGACATGCCCAAGTCCTGTAGCTTCCCTGCATTCTGTCCTGATGAAATGCCATGTCCCGTGTTTGTGATGTCAGTGAATTTCACCGTTCTAACTCTTTAGGGACTGAGCCTGCAGAAGCTTCCTCTCTGCTGTTCGCTTTTCTTCTTTATTAAAGGAAGCATCCTGTTCTACAACTACCCTGATCTTAGAGCGCCAGCTCTAGGGACATCTCCCATCTTCCCTTCTGGTGTTCATTTTCATAACGCCTTCATTGACACTTCAGTTTGGTGGTGGGACTTAGGTGTCCAAGTGAATCCCAAGAATTGTATTGCTTACCCCAAGCCTCATTATTTGCCATCGTTCTCTTATTGCTGTGTCTGCTTTCTTAACTTCCTTTCTATACTAGAAGTGTCCCTAAAGTTTAATCAGTAAGGATGACACCCATTGGTCTGTGATTCAGAGAATGTTAAGAAGGCAGAAATCTCTAATAGCTAGTGCCAAAGTGGGCTTTAAAATTTCATTTTATTGGCCGGGCACAGTGGCTCACGCCTGTAATCCCAGCACTTTGGGAGGCCAAGACGGGCGGATCACGAGGTCAGGAGATTGAGACCATCCTGGCTAACATGGTGAAACCCTGTCTCTACTACAAATACAAAACAAAAATTAGCCAGACGTGGTGGCGGGTGCCTGTAGTCCCAGCTACTCAGGAGGCTGAGACAGGAGAATGGCGGGAACCTGGGAGGCGGAGCTTGCAGTGGAGATCGCGCCATTGCACTCCAGCCTGGGCGACAGAGCAAGACTCCGTCTCAAAAAAAAAATTATTTTAATTAATTAATTAATTTATTTATTTATTTTGAGATGGAGTCTTGCACTGTTGCCCGGGCTGGAGTGCAGTGGCTCGATCTTGGCTCACTGCAAGCTCTGCCTCCTAGGTTCAAGCGATTCTCCTGCCTCAGCCTCCCGAGTAGCTGGGATTACAGGTGCCTGCCACCACACCCAGCTAATTTTTTTTTTTTTGTATATTTAGTAAAGACAGGGTTTCACTATGTTGGCCAGGCTGGTCTCAAACTCCTGACCTTGTGATCCGCCCACCTTGGCCTCCCAAAGTCCTGGGATTACAAGCATGAGCCACCGTGCCTGGCCCTATTTTATATTATTATTATTATTTCTAATATAGTCAATAGCAGTGATTCTAAACCAGGGGTGACTTTTTCACCTACAGACATTTGGGCAGTGTCTGGAAATATTTTTGGTTTCACAACTGGGGGAGTGCTACCGGCATCTAGTGGGTGGAGGCCGGGAATGCTGCTAAATATCCTACAATGCACAAAACAATGCCCCACCCCTGCCCTTCACAACGAATTATCCAGTCCAAAATGTTATTAGTGCCAGGTTGAGAAACCCTGCTCTGAAGATCCTCATACCATGAATATAGACCTATCAAGGAGGGAGAGTGGATGGGGCTGCAGCTCCTTTAGAGTGGTACAGTGTCACAGGGGATATGGGAATCCCGGGGAATTTATATGGGCTAGTCCTATATTATGTCCAAAGCATGGTGGGGGCTGGAAAGTTCATGGTATTAGAGATGAAGGATGGGAGCATATTAAGGAAAAACCAGAGAGGAACAAAGTCTAGCCCATGGGGAGACTAGAGAGAAGCCACCTCTAATGTTTTTGAGCATGGCACCTTAGTGTAAACTGCACCTTTGTGCTATAGAAACAGAGGATTGCTTATTTAAACATATTATCAGTGCAAAATGTGGTAGGTCATGATAGCAAGGACCCCCAGTGAATCATGCCCCCCGCACTGTCCACACTCGTCTGCATTGTGACTCTGCCATTCCTCTCATCAAGCAGTGGAGTCTGTTTTCCCGCCCCATGGGTGTGAGCTGGTCTTGTCCCTTGCCTTGACCAAAAGAATGTGGAGGGTGTAATGATGCGTGATGTCTGGGGCCACTCAGCTTTGGTTTTTCTCCCTCATGGAAGATTTCTGCCATCATGGGAGGAAGCCCGGCCTGATCTTTCCTTTTGAGAAAGAGGCCCAAGTGTCCAGGGGTCCCAGCCCAGCACACTCCCAGCCAGCCTTCCCACTAATGTGCTGTGTCAGGGAACACAGATGAAATCAGCTCACCCACCCAGCCCAACCCACGGAGGAGGGAGAAGTAATATATTAATATTATGGTTACCTTCAGCCACTAAACATTGGGGTGGTTTGCTACACAGCACGAGCTAACTGGACATTGTGTGTGTAGAAGGGACTTCATATCGAGCAGTGGATGAGGTATTTGGTATGTGCGTAGGGTATCTGTCACATTATGGTTAAGAGAAACTGAGTTCTTCCTCCTTTGTTTCTTGTAGCACTTCTCAGAACTTCTGGATGAGTTTTCCCAGAACGTCTTGGGTCAGCTCCTGAATGATCCTTTCCTCTCAGAGAAGAGTGTGTCAATGGAGGTGGAACCTTCCCCGACGTCCCCGGCGCCTCTCATCCAGGCTGAGCACAGCTACTCCCTGTGCGAGGAGCCTCGGGCCCAGTCGCCCTTCACCCACATTACCACCAGTGACAGCTTCAATGACGGTAAACTCAGAGGAGGAGGAAGACCTGGACCTTAGCGCCTTTGGTTCTGAGCTCTTGAGGGTGTGGAGTGTGTATTATATTAAAGAGGGTGTCAGCACCCTTATTAGTGAGATACCTACAGTGTGTACGGCCTTGTGCTTGGGCTGTGGGGAAAAGCAAAGAGGCCCAGGACCCATTTCTCTACACTGCCCAGGTTCCCTTGGAACTTGCTATAACTGAAGGATGGTCATTACTCTCTTTCACCCTATGGCTTCAGCAGCAGAGCAGCCTTTTGCAAATCAGGCCGGCCTATCTGGCTGGTCATTCCTACCAGTACAGTAAGTCTCTTGTTTCAAGGGGTCATGCCATTTTTTTTTTTTTTTCTGAGAAAGAACTATTCCTCTATAGAAGCTTCTTGGGCATCCTCTCAACCCAATTCCATCATGTTCTATTGACCCCATGTCCCCCACCCCAGATCTTAGTGGACATTCCTAGACTTTCTTGTTGATTACCCTTTCATGCCCATCATCAATGCCATGAGTGTGGTATTTGTTGAAGGTCTAGTTTTTCTGGCCTTAGAGATGTTAAGATGTTTTGACCATTACTCTACAGCCCTTAATTGGTAAAAGCTGTATCTTGTTCCAAACTCTCCAAGGCATATATATCTTTTAAGTGTAATTTTCTTTTCTTTTCTTTTCTTCTTTTCTTTTTCTCTCTCCCTTCCTCCTTCCTTTCCCCTCCCTCCCTTGCTTCCCTTCCCTTCCCTTCCTTCCCTCCTTCCCTCCCTTCCTTCTCTCTTTTCTTTCTTCTTTTTCTCTCTCCCTTCCTCTTTCCCTCCCTCTCGCTCCCTCCCTGCCTCCCTTCCCCTCCCACCCTTCCTTCCTTCCTTCCTCCTTTCCTTTCCTTTCCGTTCTGTTCCGTTCCGTTCCCTCCCTTCCTTCCTTCTTTCTTTATTTTCTTTCCTTCCTCCCTTTCCTTCCTTCCTCACTCCCTTCTTTCCTTCTTTCTTTTTTAGACAGGGTCTTGCTCTGTCATCCAGGCTACAGTTCAGTGGTATGATCTCAGCTCACTGTAGCCTTGACCTCCTGGGCTCTCATGTAGTCATTCAGCCTCAGCCTCCCAAGTTGCTGGGACTACAGGCATGTGCCACTACACCTGGCTAATTTTTTTATTTTTATTTTTTTGTAGAAATGGGGGTCTCACTATGTTGCCCAGGCTGGTTTTGAACTCCTGGGCTGAAGTGGTCTTTCCTCCACAGCGTCCCCAAGTGCTAGGATTATAGGCATGAGCCACCATGCCCAGGTTTAAATTTAATTTTCTATGTTTTGTTTTCCTAGAGGGATAGCCAGCTATTTTAGTACTTTAAATTTTAAAAACTCTATTTCCTATTCCCAGTCCAGCATATGCCTTCTTCTTTACAGGAGGATGACATGGTGAGGAATACTCACTAACTTGACCTTCTTGGTGTTGGTGTTCACCTCTTGTTCTTATACCACTGTACATATGGCAGCATCTTTTGAAGGTGGCTGCACCTATCAACCCATCATGTAGGGATTTGTCCTAATGCTGTCCCTCCCCTTGCCCGCTACCCACCGACAGGCCCTGGTGTGTGATGTTCCCCTCCCTGTGTCTATGTGTTCTCATTGTTCAACTCCCACTTAGGAGTGAGAACATGCGGGTCCTGTTCTGTTCCTGTGTTAGTTTGCTGAGGATGATGGTTTCCAGCGTCATCCATGCCCCTGCAAAGGACATGCACTCATTCTTTTTTATGGCTGTATAGTATTCCATGGTGTATATGTGTTACATTTTCTTTATCCAGTCTATCATTGGTGGGCATTTGGGTTGGTTCCAAGTCTTTTCTATTGTAAATAGTGCTGCAATAAACATACGCGTGCATGTGTCTTTATAGCAGCATGATTTATAATCCTTTGGGTATATACCCAGTAATGGGATTGCTGGGTCAAATGGTATTTCTGGTTCTAGATCCTTAAGGAATCGCCACACTGTCTTCCACAATGGTTGAACTAATTTACACTCCCACCAACAGTGTAAAAGTGTTCCTGTTTCTCCGCATCCTCGCCAGCATCTGTTGTTTCCAGACTTTTTAATGATCACCATTCTAAATGGCATGAGATGCCCTTTAATTGTGAGGCCAAAGCATTCACCATTCAGTTCCCCCAGCTGGGGCTTTGTTCTATTTATAGCTCTTAGGCTGTGACAGGCCGTGCTGGTAATTTGCTGAGAACAGGTACAGTGGGTCAGATATATTTTACAAAGGGTTTCTGATCCACAGTTCAGCTTTTTTGAAGTACCAGTGTCTTATCTGAGTAAAAGTCACTTTCCTAGGCCAGCAAAAGCAAGACAACAAACACGGGATACTACTCATTTAAGATGTGTGAAATCAGAGTGAGGCAGTGTGGATGAGTGGATGGGGAACTTGTTCAGCAAAGCTTTGTCTGGATCTATTTTTCTGAGTTGTGTGGATGGGCAGATGTTTGGGAACAGAATTATTTTATTCATGTGAACCCCAGTTTGCATCCCCCTTAAGGTGGCGATCTGTAGGGTGGGGGAATCAATCCACAAGTATTCCTTCCAAACCCAAGTGCTCTGTTAGAGCAGATAACCACCCTGATGGAGAAGGATGGTTATTTTTAGGCAACACATAAATATGTAGCATGTATAGACAGCTATATACATTACATTTTATATTCTTTATCTGCTGCATGGTGATAATAGCTTAAGCAAAACTAGGAGTCCTTGTGTTCAGTGATAGATGGGGAATTAATATTTCATTATACCTGGGAAAGCCAGTGATTCAGCTCTCACTGTCCAATTGTACTTAGATTAAATACAGTTCTTCTGCAATTGCTTCTAAGCCTGGAAAAAGAGTGATGACACACAGTTAAGTGGAAACTCCCTCCTAATTTATTAGAGTTTTTCTCCTTTTTTCTCCCTCTGCCTCCTGCTTCCCCTCTCTCCTTCTCCTTCCCACTAGAACTCTTCTCTTTCCCTCTTCCTCCTTTGCCCTTTTCCTCCTAACTTTCCCTTCCTCCCTCCATCCTCCACCTGAACCCCAGGACAACTGAAAAGGGCACACACAGATGTTCTTATCCTATCATTCTATCACAGACTTCAGATGAACTGTGGACCCCTAAAACTGTATACAAAAATGTGGGCTATCTACATTTGTTAATTTTTTGAGAGTTATTATATCATTTCTTAGATTCTCAAAAGAGTTTGTGACCAAAAAAAGTTAAAAATAACTGTTCTAAGATTCCACAGGAATCATCTGTCTCAGGGGGACTTTGTAGACTTCTGAAACACTAGAGCTAAGGAACTTCATGTGGCCCAGCCACCACAGGAGCCAACCCTAGAAATGTAGGTGCAGCCTTCAAAACCCCCAGAAAGACATCCTGCATCCAGCTCAGCCATTTCTCCCTGTGATTAAGGCTGTGAACCAGATGCTAAGCAAGGTTTTCTGTTCTACAAAAAAGGCAACAACAACAAGAAAACACCAAAAAAAAAGGAAGAAGGAAGAAGAAAAAAAACATGTCATGAGGTTAAGAGAGAAACGCAGAAGCATCCCAGCAAAATATTTATGATACTTTTATGCTTTGAGAAACAAAAGCTTGTATTTGAATGACCAAGTCTTGTACCTCACCACATGGAGGTTGTCTTTATGAGTTACTATATTTCAGTCATGTTCCTTTGTGTAATTCAGTTGGGATGCTAGGTATGCATTTGCATTGTCCTTTAATTTTGGTGTTCTTCCTAAAGAAGAAACTAGTGCTGGATGAGGGCTGTTCAGAGAGAACCAGACATGGCCCCTATCCTCTAAGATGATACAAGAACAGAGCTAAAGATTATATAGACTATCAACAGACCTTAGCATAAAATAGGCTAATACAGAAGTGGTCTAATACTACCTTTGCATCACAAATGTAGTCAAGGGTGGAACAAAGGACCGTGACTATGGCTGTCCCAGGTCTACACAGGGTGGGCCAGGAACATGGATAAGAATCATCTTCCTCCTGATGAATTTAGTAGGGCTTTCAGTGGCAAGGGATGGCTGGGTAGGCTGGTTCACTACAGATACCTTAAATTTATGGAGCTGTGTTCTCAGGTGGGAATGAACACAGTAGTCTGTGAGGTAAAGGTGAGCGGATATTGCTGGAGCAAAGTCACATGGGGTAAGTGGGACAGGCTGGAGAAGGGCAAGGACTAGGGTTTTATCTCTGCCTGATGGGAAGCAGGGACTGAGAAACATAGGATCACATTTTTTGGAGCTTAGATGAAACACAGAAGATCTTATGGCTGCCATGCGAGAACAGGGAAGGTGTGCACTGATATAGTTATCCAGGGAGAAGTGGAAAGGTATATAACATGATGGCAAAGAAAAAATGGGTTTTGAAATGATTTGATGAAACCTGCAGCAGGAAAAGCACAGGATCGAATATGCTGAGGAAGGGGCAGAGATGAGTCAGAGATGACTTAGGTTTTTGCTTTGCAGTGTTGAAGAGATCTTGATGTTGACATGGTCCATAGAAGTGAGACTTGAAAATCACAGAAATGAGGTGCATAACGGTGTCTTCATCACATATAGCGTGAGCTGATGACAAGAACATCACTCTGAATCATCGTAGAGTAGCCAGACTCAGGGGTAGAAGAGAAAAGTATGTGTATCTACTGAGTCACTGGGTCCTCTGTCATGCACGGCCAAAGAGAGAACCTGACAGTGATTGGGGAGGACAGGCAGAGGAACAGTTGACCTCTTCCATCTGAAGCTTGGGTTTGTAATACACGCTATTTTGCTATTCCTCCGCTTTTTTGGTGTTACCTTTTACTTTTTTCCAAACAGATAAAAACAATAGTGATGTTTCCCCTTTTTATTTTTTGAAAAAAGTAAAATAATGACTTCTCTGCGTAGCCATTGCAGTGCTAGATTAGTATAAGAAAGCAATGTTCACATTAATCCAGCGATTACAGTTACTTTGGATATTCATACATGAGAGTCATAACTTCTCCATTGAAGAAAAAAGGATGTAGTAAATATTTTCTGTTTCTACTACTATCACCACCTCTTCATGCCATTCAATACTGAAAGTTATTTCAGGGTTAAGATACTCAGGAACGGGCCAGGGGGAGATAGGCCTGTAACTTCCATTGGAGCATGTAGTGGGCTGTAGTTTAATATGATTCTGACACATTTAACTGAATTCTTGCCCCTTTCCCCAGCTTCCAGAGCCTAGCCATTATATTTTTCCTTTAAGAGATTTTTACATAAAAAAATTGTTCAAGATTTGCCAACTCCTTTGAAAATTCTCAAAGGGCAAACAAATGAAATGCTAAAGGATTTAGATGAGGCATATTTATTTAATTTATAAAATTTTCTTTTCACTTTAGATATGTTACATAAATAGTAAATGGATGTACGGTCCGCCCTCCCTGTGCTTGGGTTTTGCATCCTATGAATACTGTATTTTCAATCCACGTTTATTTGAAAAAAATCTGCTTGTGAGTGGACCCGCATGGTTCAAAACCCGTGTTGTTCAAGGACCAACTGCGTATGTGTTTTTCTCATGTAAGTGGTAGTACGTCATCTGATTTCCCTTTTTAAGAATAAATGCCCATTCTCTCTATGTTCACATGTATATATATATATTGTGTGTGTGTGTGTGTGTGTGTATATATATATGTGTGTATATATATATGTGTGTATATATATATATATACGTATATATATATATATATATACATATATATATATATATATATATATATATATACATATATATATATAGTAAACCAGAAAGTATCTGATACAGGTCCCAATCAATTTAGGAGTTTATTTTGCCAAGGTTAAAGACATACCCAGAACAAATAAACACAGAATCACAGAAAAAATCTGTGGTCTGTGCCTTTCTCCAAAGATGACTTTGAGGACTTGAGTATTTAAAGGAAAAGTGGCTGAATGGAAAAGAGGGAGGGTACGGTAATCCATATGTTGCAAGAGAGAAAAGGAGCAGGTAGGGGAATAGTCCATTACACATTCATCTTGTGCTCAGTAAATCAACACTTTTCATAAGATAAGATGTATGTTGAGCTGGGTGCTCATGACTGTGATCCCAGCACTTTGGGTGGCTGAGGCAGGAGGATTA
Source organism: Homo sapiens (assembly GCF_000001405.40). Lineage (NCBI taxonomy): Eukaryota > Metazoa > Chordata > Mammalia > Primates > Hominidae > Homo > Homo sapiens. The sequence continues at coordinate 137,922,012 of NC_000007.14, read as the reverse complement.
CTGGAGCCCAGGAGTTTGAGACCAGCCTGGGCAGCAACACAGTGAGACCTCATCTCTATCAAAAAAAAAAAAAAAATAGCTGGGTGAGGTGACGCACGCCTGTAGTCCCAACTTCTTGGGAGGCTGAGGCGGCAGGATCGCTTGGGCCTGGGAGGTCAAGGCTGCAGTGACAGAGCAAGAAAAGAAAAAGGTGGACATAGAGTGTCTACCTGTGGAGATCTTTAACCTTTCATATATAACTGTGCTTAGGAATAAAAGGAAAGGCAGTTTCTTGGATGACTCAGCTTTCAGCTTGATTTTTCCCTTTGGCATAGTGGATTGGGGTCATGAATTTTTATTTTCCTTTCATAATATATCAAGATAATGCCAACTCCCAATTTAGGGTTTTTTTTTCTTTCTTAGCAATCAGTATCCATTCAATGCGCTTAGCTACGTGGCACCTATGGAAATGATGGAAGATCTGCATTTTGATGTTGCTATTACCTTGGCTTTGAGTTCATGTCTTTTTCAGTCTCTTTGATGATTTGCCTATCTTGATGATTTGATAACTTGGCATCTAGCCCCATTGCTCATGGCTGCACCATTTTGTCTTTGGATGTAAAGGACTTGCTTCTCACCACGATCAGTGGCTTGTTTTTATTTTCTTGCTGACAGTTAAGTGGTGAAGCTGAGGAAATGTGCCAGTCGAGTTTGACCTTTGACAGGAAGCTGTTTAAATCAGCTGATATGGGGGTTGTTCTTCTTACTCTCCAAACTGTGGACTGCTAAACTTTACCAGGGATGTTTTTCGTCTGAAATGACATTTAAAAGACTTATAAACACAATGCGGAAAGAACATTTTTATTTTTTCCACTCGGTATCTCAGCTTCAAGTTTTAGAAATTAGAGGGTGTGGAGTGTCTACTGACTCTTATGTTTGTGGTTTAGCCAATAACTAAGACATCCAAGGATAATTCCAGTTCTAAGCCAGGGTGGCCCTACTGATCTTTTTGCCAATAAAGTAAAACTACAAAAGTAAGGACATGGAGAAACATTGTGATACATATTCTGCTCCTTCTCCTCTACTCTGTCCTTCCTTAACCCTCACTTCATAGATTACATTTGTCATTTTGTTTTCTGTGATTTGATATTTATTTCCATTGAGTAAGAGAGTACAAGCCAACCTCCAGTAGTTCAGAATGAAAGCTGTTTTCTTTCATTTCAGCTACCACTGGAATGCTGTTCTCACCAAACTACTTACTGGCTGACTTTCTTCATATGAAGTCATTTCGTATTTTGTGATGTAACTAGTAGGTCTGATCAGCCAATCTACAAACATTTATTGATATGATCCATAGTTGATGGTTTAGAGAATTATTTTGGAAATGAATGTAGTCATTTCATTGTAATAGATTCTAATGTAATGGGTTTAATTTATTTTTCATACATTCGGCTATATTGTATCAGCTAGCTCTGTTGCGGCATAACAAACCACCCCCAAACTCAGTCACTCAGTCATTTATTATCGTAATCTACCTGTCTGTTTCTGTGTGGGGGTCAGCAGAGTGGTTCTGCTAGTTTCAGCTAGATTCACTGGCATCTCTAAGGTCAGCTAATAGTTGGCTGGTCTTGACTAAGCTCCTCTGGAGGTGACTGTTCTATGTGGCTGTCATCCTTCTCCTGAGATCACTAGATTATCCTAGCTCATTCTTCTCATGCTGATGGCAAAACTACAGCAACATTAGTTCCATCCTGCAAGCACATTCCAAAACTCCGCTTGTATTAAAAAGCTCACATACCAATGGTACATCAAGCCACAGGACCAAGCTGTGGGTGGGGATCAGCCCAAGGTGGGAGGTCACTGCAAAATTCTAAGGCAAAAGACATGGATGGAGGGAGGAGGAAGACCTGGAGCCAGGAATGCAACTTATTTACATAATAAGGGTCTCATTGACTCTTACTGAGTCAAGGGCTTCTAAACACCCCCATGGGCAATTACAACCTCTACCCAATAATTACCATCCTAAGCCATGAAGTGGAGCAGGCCATGTCCCTGTGTGTTCATCCAAAGACAATAGTGTCCCAAGGTTGGAAATCTAGAAGTACCATAAAATTTAAAGAAAAAGTCATTCATGTTCTGAACGATTATCCAGAGATGCTTACTATTTGGCATATTTCTTTTGATGCTTTTCTATCACTTTCTTCTTTAATAGTTATAGATTTTTATCTAGAGTTTTTGTCTTAATATTTCATTATAAGTCTTTTCTTTGTAATTAAAAAGGCTGTATACATGTAATATTAATGTCTGCATAAATATTCCATTGTATGGATGCACCATAATTGACTTAACCTTTCTCTTGCTTTTTAATGTTTTGGTTATTTTCAGTGTTTTGTCATCATAAACAATGCCCTAGTGAGCATTATTTATGCATAATCTTTATCCACATAGAAAGTTTTCTTGTTAATGGGAAGATTACTGGCCAGAGTGCAGAGATCTGGGTTCTGCCACTAATTTGCCATGTGACCTAGGCCCAGGTGTCATTTTCCTCATCTAGAAATGATAGGCTGGGTGTGGTGGCTCACACCTGTAATCCCAGCACTTTGGGAGGCTGAGGCGGGTGGGTCACCTGAGGTCAGGAGTTTGAGACCAGCCTAGCCAACATGGTGAAACCCCGTCTCTACTAAAAATACAAAACTTAGCCAGGTTTGGTGGCACACGCCTGTAATCTCAGCTACTTGGGAGGCTGAGGCAGGAGAATCGCTTGAACCCAGGAGGTGGAGGTTGCAGTGAGCCGAGATCACACCACTGCACTCCAGCCTGGGTGATAGAACAAGACTGTCTCAAAAAAAAAAAAAAAAGATATCTTTGAGCTCAATGGCCTTAAATCTCTTTATAACTCTAAAGCATCTTTCAGGATCAAGGACTAAATTGCTGTATTGGAATGGAAGCATGAAAGCAGCGCCTGTTGTTTGCCCTCAAAAAAGCTCAGGGGAGGAGAGGCCGCTTCCTTGGGCTTCTCTCTTGGAAATGTACAGTTGTCCTTGAGAGAGAAGGTTTCCTTTTATAGTTCAAGTACCATCACTTGCCCTGTGGTTTCCATTCCCTGAGGCAGCACTGATGATATTTGTATGTTTGTAAAGAGGGCTATAGGACACTGGGCATTAAGAATATTAAATGGTCTTGACTTGTTTTACGAATGTGCACACTTTGAGAATGGCCTCACTAGATTGGAATAACTGATTCTATCTATCACCCATCTTCATTTTGTTTTTTGTATTCACTTTTTTTTTTAACTTTTGCCTCTTCTTTTGTTTGCCTTGTGAATTAAGTTTCATCACAGTTGCCTTCACTGCACAGTCAAGGGATCTGGCCTTATCTCACAATTTCCTGGTAATTGTGTGCGACCTTTTTCTCAGGGATGCTTCCTTACCGTCCATTTCAGCCTGTACTGAGGCTATATTTCATCCTACCGTCTTTCTTCCAGCCTTTGCCAGGGATAAATATTACTCAGTGTGGGCAGGCTTTAAGTGTTGACTTCAAAAAGCAAAAGCATGGCTGTTCACGGTGGCTCACACCTGTAATCCCAGCACTTTGGGAGGCCGATCACCTGAGGTCAGGAGTTCAAGACCAGCCTGGTCAACATGACAAAACCCCGTCTCTACTAAAAATATAAAAATTAGCTGGGCGTCGTGGCGTGTACCTGTAATTCCAGCTACTCAGGAGGCTGAGGCAGGAGAATCGCTTGAATCCGGGAGGCGGAGTTTGCAGCGAGCCGAGATGGTGCCACTGCACTCCAGCCTGGGTGACAGAGCAAGAATGTCTCAAAACAAAACAAAAAGCAAAAGCATCACCATGTCATTGCCGAATGGAAAAAATGGGATCTATGCGGTCTCTGTCTCTCCAGCCCTTCCCTAACTGTCCTAAGCGGGTGTTCTTTGCAGCGGACATTGTCTTCTAGCTCCTAAGCTCCTTTGGGGAGAGTCAACGGAATCTTTTGGCTCGTGGTCCAGTTGCTCCATCTCTGGGCTGAGCTGGGGCACGGTCTGAGTCCAGTACAGAGTGGTCTCCCTCCTCTGGCCGCCATCAGAGAGCCCTTTGTTCCCCCGCCCTCCCCTTCCACCAGGATGTGGCGCACACCCCATGAAGGATGGAAATCCCCGTCACACCATAGCACTCAGCAGCCCCACTCTAAAAGCAAAACATCTTCCACCACCTGCCCATCCTGTCTTTATTTCACCTTGGGAAATAAATTGAGGCTGGGATAATTCATCAATTATAAACTGGATTTAAGGGGGAAATCATTCCTCAAATATGAACCTAACATTTTTGTGCTTTAAAGAAGTCACTTATGAAACATAATTTTAATAATCGTAGATTTTAGTTCTTAGTTTCTGTGTCTACCCTTCCCTTCTTCTTAGCGGTTCTAAATGATTGTACCTTTTCATAAGAAAACTGGAGTCACATTCTTGAATGTAAAATAAATTTATAATGTGAACGACTTTGCTCTCCTGACAGTCATGGGTCACTAAGTATGTGAAATGTGGTGTATGTGTGTAAGCATTTTGAGAAAGCAAAGGAGCGTGTCTTTGCTTTATTTTAGCCTCATTTTAGTAAAACTGGTATCAGCTAAGGAACGTTGCCTTTGGCTTGCTTTGTCTTGTTCTGTGGCTGTTTCCAACCCTCTGGTCGTTTCCTTTCCTTCCCTCCTCCCGGCTTTTCCAGGCAGTGCTGAGCGCTAGCTCCAAAGTAACTTGTTAAGAAATACAAATTCTTATTCTTTTAGACTCTGAGAAGAATGTGCATTAAGTGGCAGAGGCACTCTGTCTGTTCCGTCTTGTCTCTCGGTTGTTAGCTATCTCCAGGCCTGGTGATAATCAGGAAAGACAAGACCCAGACTCACCAAGATGCAGCTGTTTTCTCAGGAAGAGTATTTTGTCCATTTCAGCAAAGGGCAGATGGTTATTACAAACCAAAGTCTCCCAAAGGGCTAAGCAGAGTCTCTGAAAGTCTAAGTTAGGTTTAAGGCTAGGTGGGATCACAGTGAAAACAGAAGAGGACAAAAACAAACAAAAAAATGGAGTGAGAAGAAAAAATATCAAAAAACCAAATAACTTTCCTTTGGAGAGAAGGAGAGAGAGACCTACTCACCATGTTCTCTCATCTTCTCCCGTTGGTTACCAACCATTTGCTTGCTTCTCTCTCTCTCTCTGTCGCTCTCGCTGTCACTCGCTCTCGCTCTCGCTCTCACTCTCACTCTCACTCTTGCTTTCTCTCGCTCCCCCTCCCCCTCCCTTCCCTTTCTCTCTCTTTCTTTCTTGACAGGGTCTCACTCTGTTGCCCAGGCTCTGGAGTACAATGATGTGATCACAGCTCACTGAAGCCTCGACTTCCTGGTTTAAGCAATCCTCCTGCCTCAGCCTCCCAAGTAGCTGGGACCACAGATGCTCACCACTGCACCTAGCTAGTTAAAAATTTTTTTTTGTAGAGACAGAGTCTTGCATTGTAGCCCAGGTTGGTGTTGAACTCATGGGCTCAAGCAATTCTCTTGCCTTGGCATCCCAAAGTGCTGGGATTACTTGCGTGAGCCACTGTGCCCGGCTGCTTCTTTCTTTCATGTTTTTAAATGTGCTTATTTATCTATTTTTGAATAGATAATACATTTACATGATTTGACAACCAAAAAGAGTAGCTCATTACATATTCAAAATCCTCCCTCCTATTCTATTCCCCATCAACCCAGGTTTCTTCCTGCCTTTCTCAGGAAGCCAAGTTTCTTTCTTTTCTATGGATTCCTTCCAGAGTTTCTTTAGGCATACTCACATGCAAGCGAATACAAGTATAGATTCTTTCTTTGCTGTTCATATCTATCAATCTTTTCCCTCACATATTTCATTTTCTTTTATTCTACTTTCAATCATCCTTCACTGAGCTTTTTTGGGGAGAAAGACTAGTGGTCGCTTGTTTTGCTTATGCCTGATGCCCTGAACAAGTTCACATGTGTGCTTGTCTTTTTTCCTGCAGATGAGGTGGAAAGTGAGAAATGGTACCTGTCTACAGACTTCCCTTCAACATCCATCAAGACAGAGCCAGTTACAGACGAACCACCCCCAGGACTCGTTCCGTCTGTCACTCTGACCATCACAGCCATCTCCACCCCGTTGGAAAAGGAGGAACCTCCTCTGGAAATGAACACTGGGGTATGCTCAATTTTCGTCTGTTTAAACAGGTTGGATTAAAAGATACAGATAGATCCTCATTCTCCAATAAGGTGTTTAATCTTTTTGGAGTTAGTGGCTGTGTACATTTAAGGACATGCAACTTCATATGTGTGTATATACATATGTATACATTTAATAAGGGTATGTTGATTTGGTGCCAACTTCCTTTAAAGCCATTGTTCGGAAAAAATTAGTAGCTAAGCTGATTTCATTCTCTTTTTGATTACTGTTACAAAATAAAAAACACAGAAAATATCTATGGTAAAAAAAATTTCTCTATGGCACTGATTTTTAAGCAGTGGAAAGGGAGTGATTGAAGTGGTGATGTAATCCATGGCTTACAGTGCATGGCTACTGGGAATGTGAGCTCCTGTGTAATATTTTACTTTCCTAGTGAGATGCTGAGTTGTCCTTACTCAAGTCAGGAATGTCCCACGTATTGATTCATATAATAATATGAATAATATTAACAATATTAATAACATTATAATAATAGTAATAGTAATAATAACACCTATTATTGTGTTACCCGTGGAAAGCATAAGAAATCAGGATTTTTTCCTTACTAGATTCCATGCCTACCGCAAGTAGAATTTAATTCTACTCTACCTTCTTTCTGGATATTTCCAGTGTCTGGCCATGGACCAGCATTGTATTTGTACATCTTCTTGCAAGTGTTGGAAGCCTGTCTTAGCTTCCCTTAAGTTCAAAGCTTCAGGTTATAAACAACAACTTCATTAACATTCCTTAAGTCAGATTTCTTGTGAGCAAGATAGAATGTCTATCTGCAGCCGGGCACGGTGGCTCATGCCTATAATCCCAGCACTTTGGGAGGCGGAAGCTGCAGTGAGCCGAGATCGAGGCACTGCACTCCAGCTTGGGCAACAGAGCAAGACTCTGTCTCAAGAAATAAAAAAAAAGAAAGAAAGAAAAAAAGATGTAGTGTCTACCTGTTCAGAATATGGTAACACAGAATCAGTAGACTCATTAAAGTGTCACTGCTTACTCCCTTGTCAGTCCATCTGTGTAGATGATGAAGGGTTGTAGACAGAGGCCTCTGCAAGTGTGCTAGGATTCCTTTCTCAGTAGCTACCTGAGTCTCTTTATTAGGCTGGGCTCTCTGGTCTATATTAGTCTCCTTGCTCCACAGAATTTTAGTTACTTTATTTATTACTTTTTTTTTTGAAACAGAAGTCTCATTCTGTCACCCAAGCTGGAGTGCAGTGGCATGATGTCAGCCCACTGCAACCTCCGCCTCCCGGGTTCAGTGATTCTTGTGCCTCAGCCTCCCAGGTAGCTGGGATTACAGGCACCAGCCACCACGCCTGGCTAATTTTTGTATTTTTAGTAGAGATGGGGTTTTACCATGTTGGCCACGCTGGTCTCGAACTCCTGACCTCAAGTGACCCGCCCACCTCAGCGTCCCAAAGTGTTGGGATTACAGGCGTGAGCCACATGCCCGGCCTAGTTGAATTATTGTAAAGTATGTAACTAGCAAAGCTCAGAGGCATGGCCTTGCTCCTGTGTATGGGCCAGATAACTTTTCTCCTTTCCCTACCAGGATTTTCGTGATTAGATACCATCAGTCATTAGGAAGCCTTAATAATAACATCATTAATATTAATTATTAATAATTATATTAATTGTATTATAACATTATTAATTATTAATATTAATAAAGTTATATATAAGAGAAAGGATGTGGCTTGGTGCACAGTCCCTACCCCAGGGCAAGCTGGTGGAGGCCTTTGACTCTTTAAAATTTAGTTCCCATTTTCCATGGTGATTGACTCGATTTAAGTGCATTGTGGCTATATGTAATTTACAGGCTGCTTTACGTTGCAGGCAGGGAAAACTCCCAGGCTGGTGTGAGGCTGAACTGGGATAAGAGACCCCCTGGCCCCTCCTTATTCTGCTAAGGTCACCACCTCTTAGAAGGTCTCTTATTTTCTTTCAGTGATCAAATGCACAGTTACGCTCTACAACTAAATTCTGTAGTCTTGGGAATCCTCACCAGTATCAACTATAAGTTGCTTTTTAAAGCCCCCAAAGTGGAGTGAGGATAGGGGGAGTGGAAGCAGTGTTTGGTTCTTACTTTACCCAAACTATGTATAAAGAATAAAGTTAGCAGAATGATGCCACAAAAAAAAAAGTACCAGAATATTTTGTAATAAAATGCCTTTATAGTACTATAAAAACATAGAAAAGAATATTGATATAGTTTTGGGCTTGAGCATTTGGCTTTCAACTTTAGAGTTCTGAGTGTTTTTCTTTTTCTTTTTTTTTCTTTTTTCTTTTTTTTTTTTTTTGAGATAGGGTCTCACTCTGTTACCTAGGCTGGAGTGCAATGGTATGATCACAGCTCGCTGCAGCCTCAAATTCCTGGGTTCAAGTGATTCTCCTGCCTCAGCCTCCCAAGTAGCTGGGACTGCAGGTGCACGCCATCACAACTGGCTAATTTTTGTATTTTTTTGGGGAGACGTTGTCTCACTATGTTACCCAGGGTGGTCTCAAGGAAGTTCTGAAGGTCCTGTCAGCTGTAATGCCAAGTTTGGCAATGAGAAAAAGGTTAAGAACTAAAATGACTCCCTGTCAGGGAAGTTGCCTACACTCAGCTATTCTCCAGGATAGGCAGGGCTGTCCCGAGAGGAAGACACAGGTGACAAATAGCTCTCCTGCATGTGTCTTCAAGGCTGTGATTGGTTTTTAAAAATTGTGTTTGAAATTCTTCCTCCAGGTTGATTCCTCGTGCCAGACCATTATTCCTAAAATTAAGCTGGAGCCTCATGAAGTGGATCAGTTTCTAAACTTCTCTCCTAAAGAAGGTCTGTCTGCCCTCCCTGTGTCCCTTTGGGTTATGGATATGGTCTCTGGGTCTACAGAGAGGGAATATGGCGAGAGAGCTGGGATGAGTTTGTACCACAGATGTTGTAGCTGGCTTTATGAAATAGCTCTGTTCTTAAAAAATAAAAATTTTGCTTCCAAATAAAAATTTTGCAAGCTAACTATTATTTTCCCATATATGCACGTGATTAAATTTCAGCTAAGTGTTACCATACTTTTACTTCTAACCAGGGTGATATTTTTCAAAACTTTTATGGACTGCTACTACAAACACTATCGAACAAGAGAACTGCAGCCCTTATTCATCCAGGCGTGAACCCTACGTAGCCCCACAAATCAACAACCATCTACAAAAGCACCTTGCTTATTTCAAACAACTCTAGTTTCAACTCTTTGTGAAGTAAATTCACAATTAATTATGTGGCCAATTCATTGTTTGTAAACATTGACTTTGAATGACAACTATTGCAAGGAGCCCCCTCTCTATTTGGTCATGTTCATGGTTCACAATTGTGCATCTTTTTGGGCTTCTTGACATCCATCCATTTAGAATTAACACATCCTTGAGGTGATCATACTTTTTTTTTTTTTTTTTTGAGACAGAGTCTCACTCTGTTACCAGGCTGGAGTGCAATGGCACCATCTCGGCTCACTGCAACCTCTGCCTCCCAGGTTCAAGCGATTCTTGTGCCTCAGCCTCCTGAGAAGCTGCAATTACAGGCGTGCACCACCACACCCAGCTAATTTTGGTATTTTTAGTAGAGACGAGGTTTTGCCACATTGGTCAGGCTGGTCTTGAACTCTCAGCCTTAGGCAATCCGCCTGCTTCGGCCTCCTGAAGTCCTGGGATTACAGGCATAAGCCACCACGCCTGGCCAAGGTTGTTATATTTCTATATTTATCTTTCTCTATGTCAGTTTCTTTCTGAGTTTCTCCCTCTTTGTTCTCCTATGAAGCCCATAGTTAGGAATCCTGGATGCAGACCCCTGAGCCTCATGAGGTCTAATGAAGCTCTCTCTGCCTTGCGTATGCAGATTCTCCGGCATACATCCTGCTCTTCTCACTTCTGTGCCTTCACTCATGCCATCACTTCCCTTTTCATTCATACTTTTTATTTATTTATTTTTTGTGTGTGAAACAGGGTCTTACTCTGTTGCTCAGGCTGGAGTGTAGTAGTGCCATCATGGCTCATGGCAACCTCAACCTCATGGGTTCAAGCGATTCTCCCACCTCAGCCTCCCAAGTAGCGGGGACTGCAGACATGCACCACCACGCCCAGCTAAATTTTGTATTTTTTGTAGAGATAGGGTTTCACCATGTTGCCCAGGCTGGTCTGAAACTCCTGAGCTCAAGTGATCCTCCCATCTTGGCCTCCCAAAGTGTTAGGATTAAAGGCATGTGCCACCTCACCCGGTCCCATTCATACTTTCAGTACAAATTTCAAAGTACAGTTCACTACTGTGGTCAACAAATAAGAAATTGGCTTATACAGTTGTCACCGAAAAGGTATATTTGCTACGGTATATAAATGTGAGGATGTTTACATATGAGCACTTCTCATGAAAATATCGTCTGTCTTCATTCCATTAGAAACTAACTCAGGATTTGGTTTGTAACAATGTAATCAGGGCTGGCCCTTTATTTGCCTTTATTATCAATAAAGAAAGGATTAAATTTTAAAAGTTAATAATACTTAGTGAAATAATACTTAGTAAATAATACTTATTTACTTAGTAAAAGTTAATACTTAGAATCCATATTGAGACACTATGTCTTTGCACTGAGTGACAGACAGTAGTGCCTTTCAGCTTTATGTACTGCTTCAAAGTAATTGCTTTCGTTTGTATAACACCAGTTATTACTATCAAATGCATCTTACTCTTTTAATTTATGCTGTGATGTGGTTCAGAAGTGTCATCACCATAACAATGAATCCCATAGTGGCTTCTGAATCCAGGGTTATTGGAGGAGAAATGTTTCAAGAATGAAGTTAAGGACAGCCCTTCCTCATTATCCTGGATAAACTGAGATAAGGAAATTCAATATCCTTGACTGCATCAGTTTCTAGGCACAGTAGCTTGTTGTCCCCAGACCTTGCAGTAACCCAAAAGCAGCATTTCAAATGATATTTAGAAATCTGATCCTGAGGTGCCTCTGGCCAGCTCTGTAGCTCTTAATAGATAGGAAAGACAAGATTTTACTTGCTTCACTTGCTTCAAATTCTCTTTCTGTCTTTTGTGGGGTGCCCTCTGCTTGGACGGGAGAACGGTATTAGAATAATTTGGCCCCTACCAAGTGAAAGGGACAGGGTGGCTCTAGGTACTCCTGGCTAGTTCTTGGGAATGTAACAGCACAAAGCCCCTATTAGGTTCGTCTGCTTCCCGTTTTTTTGTTTGTTTGTTTTTTTGTTTTTAAACCATGAAGTGCCATAATATTCATGGCATTCGAGAAACCTTGATTAACACGCTTAGGACTCCTCACTCTTAGCCAAGCACCTGCATATTTTCCCTTCCTGGGCTGCCTGCACCTGTGGCAGTAGTGGGAATAGCGCGATTAGGATTATTTTAGCATATTCTTTAGCTTTAAGAGTGCCCACAGAGACTAAAAAGCCCAGGGACCTCTTTGGCAAGACTGGCAGAGAAAAAGGGAAAGAGGAAACATCTAGAGAAAAGCTGTATGTGGCAGAAAGAGAAAGAAAGGGTGGGAGAGAGACAGGGAATCGCAATGAGAGAGAGAAGAAAAAAAGCATGCCAGGGCCGGGGGGACCAGGGTTGGCTGACGGGGCATTGCCTGTTGTGGCCTCGGCTATTCAGGTATTCCTGCAGGAGAGAGATGCTGATTGCTGCTCATCCTCTCTGAGGGCAGTGTATTAGTCTGTTTTCATGCTGCTGATAAAGTACCCAAGACTGGGCAATTTATGCAGAAAAAGAGGTTTAATGGCCTCACAGTTCCACGTGGATAAGGAGGACTCACAATCATGGTGGAAAGCGAAAGGCACATTTTACAAGGCGTCAGGCAATAGAGAAAATGAGAACCAAGCAAAAGGGGTTTCATCAGATCTCATGAGGCTTATTTACTACCACAAAAACAGTATGGGGGAAACTGCCCCCATGATTCAATGATCTCCCGCTGGGTCCCTCCCACCACATGTGGGAATTATGGGAGCTACAATTCAAGATGAGATTTGGGTGGGGACACAGCCAAACCATATCAGGCAGCTATGGGTAAGGTCATCTTTTTTGGGTCAGTTGTTGTGTCTCAGGAGAGCCCTTCCCATCCATAGTATGCTGGGTGGTCTCCATTGGAAGAAGGGACAAGGAGGTGATGTGCTGAGGCTTCCCGTGGCCTTCAGCAGTTAGTTCTCTGGCCGAGCAGAACCAGCTGTGTGGGCCATGCCCACCACGGGGCTGCTGTACAGGGGAATCCATTGTCCTGGGGGCTCCAGGAGTGAAGCGTTTACCTGCAGTTATCTCCCTTGGCTCAGTAGCAGTGGCTGGTACAACAGAAATGTGCACTGTTCAGAAAGAACAGTGAGACCCAAGAGTGCTTTCATTCACGTGGAAGCCTGGTTGGATTCCTCCTTCAGAAGCCCATCTCTGCTGCCCTGGAGATGCCTGATGGACGCTGACCAAGGCTCCATAGGCCCTGGCAGAGAGGGTGTTGTGCCTCCTTGAGGAAAGACGCGGGAGACTTTAGAGGAGAAAGTCCCCCCACTGCACTCTCACTTATTTTTCCTGTGCTCACTCCCGTATCTGAAGATGGATTTCATGTTTTCTGAATGAAGAATGCCTGGCGTCTTGCCTGCGGGCATGACCACGCACATTGCTCCAGAAACAAACCGGCTTTTTTCAAAGCAGCCACTCCGGCTTTTTGAGATGGATTCTCGCTCTGTCACCCAGGCTGGAGGGCAGTGGTGTGATCTTGGCTCACTGCAACCCCTAACTCCTGGGTTCAAGCAATTCTCCTGCCTCAGCCTCCCAAGTAGCTGGGACTATAGGTGTGTGCCACCACACCTGGCTAATTTTTTTTGTATTTTAGCATGATCTCGGCTCACTGCAATCTCTGCCTCCTGGGTTCAAGCGATTCTCCTGCCTCAGCCTCCTGAGTAGCAGCTGGGATTATAGGCACGTGCCACCACGCCAGGCTAATTTTGTATTTTTAGTAGAGATGGGGTTTCGCCATGTTGGTCAGGCTGGTCACAAACTCCTGACCTCAGGTGATCTGCCCACCTCAGCCTCCCAAAGTGCTGGGATTACAGCCATGAGCCACCTTGCCTGGCCCCTGGTCGCACGTTTATTGGTTTCTTGTATTCACTTCCAGTGTTTCTTTCTGCCAGTATAAGCAAATGTGGGTCTATATCCTCTTTCTCTCCTTTTTCATACAAAAGGAGGACTCCCATATCCACGCTCTGCACCTTGGAGATCTGTCCAGGTCAGCTCATGGAGGCCCCTCACACTTTAGTTTGCTATGCCACAAATCAGTTGTGTCCTGCTTTGTGGCTCTGGGATGGATGAGATGTGCTTCCTTTTTTGCAGCCCCAGTGGACCACCTGCATTTGCCGCCCACCCCTCCGAGCAGTCACGGCAGTGACTCAGAGGGCAGCCTGAGTCCCAACCCACGCCTGCACCCCTTCAGCCTGCCTCAGACCCACAGCCCCTCCAGAGCTGCACCCCGGGCCCCCTCCGCCCTCTCCAGCTCCCCTCTCCTCACGGCTCCTCATGTAAGTATGCAGCGGGCATTCCTGGACCAAAGGGAACCCTCTCCATTCATTCCCCTGGGGCTGTATCCAGAGCAGGACCACTCAAGGCTGTTTGGTTTTTACTTTTGTCAAGAAGTTTCTGCTTAATGGCGAAAGCAGAGTGATGTCAACCCTAAAGAACACTTTCTAGGAACTGCCCGCACATCTCACCTTTTACTACCACAATTCTCTTCCTTTTCACATGCACACTTCCAGTTTTTATTCATATGTTTATTTTACAGAGCTATAGACATGAGGAATAAAAATTTGGGGTTTTTCTCCTCAAAGTTCTATCATAAATATTTGCATTAATTTAATGGTCCTTGTGACCTATGTCATAGGAAATACCTTTTATATTTTAAAGAAGCAATTTTTGGTGAACTTAAAAATTACTCTGAGATTAATTTCTTTGATGCCTAAAGGTCAAAAACAGTTTAAGCCTTTTCTGTGTGTCATATGACTCTTAACCCAGAAACTCAGATCAGACATCAAGACCCCTCGTTCATCCCTCCCATACATGAGGACACCATAATAAAGAAGAATAGATCGTTAACTCCTTATTGTTCTAGGAGTGAATTGATTTCTATGAAATTTTAAAAATTATAATCAGCTATTTTGAATTCACAATCTCACAACTAGAAAATTTAAATGAAATGAGATGTTTTAAAATTCTGTAAGTACCATCCGTCCATTAATTAACATAACTTTGAAAATTTGTATTGATTCTGTCCCTGAAAGTTCTAGATCTGCAACCACATTCTTAAATTTCATCGTTACTGAGGACAAGGGAATTCACCCTTCCACTCTTTCTTCACCTTTTCACCTTGAACCTGACTTCACTCCTTGGATTACTAGAATAGCTTGTATCCTATATACCTGTGTGTACTACTATGATCTGTCCATTCTACATGTTTATGGAGGAACTCTTCCCCATGTCGGATGCTTGCCCAACAACTATGTTGTATTTCCCTGTTACTTGTTGGTACCAAGCCCTGACACCTTTACTCATTATCAGGTATCCAACCCTCCGCTGCTTCAAGAACTCCTTACCCACACTAGGCAGTGGCTTCTTCAGTGACTTTTCAAAATACTGCCTTTTGCTTAGAATGCACTCCTCTCTCTTATGTAAATCATCCCCTTTCTTTCAGGAGGCCCAATTCAAATCTCATCTCCTGCCCTAAACGTTTCCTGATCACACAACTCATAGTAGTGTTCTCTTACTTCAAATTTTTAGTACACCTTTAGCTAATGTATTAGTCCATTTTCATGCTGCTGATAAAGACATACCCGAGATTGGGCAATTTACAAGAGAAAGAGGTTTAATTGGACTTACAGTTCCACGTGGCTAGGGAAACCTCACAATCATGGTGGAAGGCGAGGAGGAGCAAGTCATGTCTTACATGGATGGCAGCAGGCAAAGAGAGAGCTTGTGCAGTGCAACTCCTGTTTTTTAAAACCATCAGATCTTGTGAGATTCATTCACTCTCACAAAAGCAGCATGGGAAAGACTCACCCCATAATTCAGTCATCTCCCACTGGGTCCCTCCCACAACACGTGGGAATTATGGGAGCTATAAAATGAGATTTGGGTGGGGACACAGAGCCAAACCATATCAGCTAAGATTACAGTTTAGCATTTAATTACTCTTATCCTTTCATGGGTATCAGTTCAGTCTCACAGTCTTGATCACAAGCTGCTTGAGAGGTAGGGTTTGTTTTGAGTCCTCCATGGCATTTAGTATGGAGCTAAAATGCAATAGGGACTCTGTTTGATTAATTATAAACATGCCATTCTACTGTGGGTTCCATGAGATGTGCTACTGTTCTTGTCTTCATTGTTGATGGACATTCTGAGACTGCTGAAGCCAGAGGCTTCTGTGGAAAGAGTCTGCAGATGTGTCCCTGGGTGCTCTGCACTCTTAGCTAAAAGTGGAGGAGAGAATTGACTCCTGTTGTGTAGAGAGCACCTTATAAAACTGCATTTTCAGAAGGAGAACAACAAAATTCTTGCACAAAGCAGGGCTGCAAATGAATCCTTCATCACTCCAAGGCCAGGAAATCTCTAGGGATGTGGGAAATGACTTCTCTGCTTTTTCTTTTCATGTTTTAGCGAGTAGGGTGCTTCCCGGGAAATAATGGGTGGAGGCTTCTTTATTCTTTCCCTTGAATTATAATCCCTAGGTTATAACACTCACATGGGGGTGTCTTCCCCATCTTCCCATGCCCTTCAAAATACCCATCTGTCACCCAAAGCAGATGGGGCATCCTTGTCTCAGAGCCTTCTGTAAGACATTGTAACAGATTCTCATCATCCCATTGGGAGGTGATTCTTCAGTGGTCCCAGTTCTTTTTCTTTGACCCTTTTCTGCTCCTTGGTCTGCACAGAAACTGCAGGGATCAGGCCCTCTGGTCCTGACAGAGGAGGAGAAGAGGACCCTGATCGCTGAGGGCTATCCCATCCCCACCAAATTGCCCCTGTCAAAATCAGAGGAGAAGGCCCTGAAGAAAATTCGGAGGAAGATCAAGAATAAGGTGAGCTCTTCAAATCTAGGCACTTCTAGAGCAGAGACGAGCAGAATCGAGTCAGCATCCCTTTCCCTGCCTTCCCAACGGCCAGCACTACCCCATCCCATGGTGGAGACCAAGGCCCAGCCCTTCCCTTCCCTAAGCCCTGGGAGGAGCACCCTCACCACGTGCCCCTCTCTTCCTCCAGCCCATCCCATCCCTCTTGAGGCCAGCAGACTCCCAGATCAGTATCTACCTCTTTGGTGCCCACGATGATACATTTACGGGTGGGAGGAAGCTATTAGAATTTCCATCTAGTTTTTTTTTTTTTTTTTTAACTCAGCCTTTTAAATTTTGGGTGTATGATATATACAATAGTTTCCTCTAGTAGACATATATATGTACTCTATGTATCTATATAAAATACAGCATATATATATATTATATATATATAAGATACAAATACATTGCAAGTGCTTGGTTAATTTTTTTTTTTCTTGGTAGGGTTTTGTGATCACAAAACTTCTGCAGTTTGCTGGTCTATATTTGGACTCAGTAGTCTCCTACCCCTGGGCCCCTCAGTGCTGAGCAGGCCTGATGAAAACCAGGGGGATGGCTGAGGCACAGGCCTACCAGGAGGGAGGGGGCAAAGAGGGAAGGAAGACAAGAGCTTAGTGTCACTCTATCCATGTGCGGAACCAGCAGCAAGTTGATGTATGACCAAGCCAGCTGTCTTATTTTATATATGTACTTCAGCCAGCAGAGGTCCAGGAGTTAAACTCATTTATCTGAGACCACACTGATGGTTTGTGAGCCACATGTTCTGGCCTGGCTCTTCACTCAGTGTCCATTGTTTTCTTTTCTTTTCTTTCTTTCTTTTTTTTTTTTTTCATACAGAGTCTCACTCTGTCACCCAGGCTGGAGTGTAGTGGCATGATCTCGGCTCACTGCAACCTCTGCCTCCCAGGTTCAAGTGATTCTCCTACCTCAGCCTCCCAAGCATCTGGAACCACAGACGTGTGCCACCATGCCCGGCTAATTTTTTTGTTTTTTGTTTTTTGTTTTGAGATGGAGTCTCTCTCTGTCACCTAGGCTGGAGTGCAGTGGCACAATGTCAGCTCACTGCAACCTCTGCCTCCCGGACTCAAGCGATTCTCTTGCCTCAGCCTCCCAATTAGCTGGGATTACAAGCATGCACCACCGCGCCCAGCTAATTTTTGTATTTTTAGTAGACGGGGTTTTACCATGTTGCCCAGGCTGGTCTTGAACTCCTGACCTCAGGTGATCTACCCGCCTTGGCCTCCCAAAGTGCTGGGATTACAGGCTAGAGCCACTGCGCCTGCCATTTTTTTGTATTTTTAATGGAGACAGGGTTTCACCATGTTGGCCAGGCTGGTCTCGAACTCCTGACCTCAAGTGATCCGCCCACCTCAGCCTCCCAAAGTGTTGGGATTACAGGTGTAAGCCACTGCTCCTGGCCACTCAGTGTCCATTTTACTGGTGGCCTGGTTTGTAGGAAAGTAGGTGTGAGTTTGGCAGCTAGAAACCCGGGAGGACAGACTAGTCAATGAACCAGCAGCTTAAACAAATGGCAAGCAGCTTGCAGAAGTAAGCAGGGCTTTGGTGACTTCTACGCTAACCACCTCCCATCTTAACTGGTTTACTTACAGAGCTGGAAATTAATCATTCTCCTCCCACTCCTCTCTCTCAGATTTCTGCTCAGGAAAGTAGGAGAAAGAAGAAAGAATACATGGACAGCCTGGAGAAAAAGTAAGCCTGCTGGCAAACTGTTGCGTTCATCGGGCAGTATGCACAGGGAAATATGGGTGTGCGGAGAATCGGGGAGAAGCAGTTCAATTCCTCTTTCTGGCCACCTTGGAAACCCGGTGGTTTATCAGCTGTGGTTTGCCTGCCACCTAGTGGTTATTTGGAGGAGACGTCTATAATAAAGCAAGAAAGAAGTGAAAGTACCTTAGTAGGTGTTTGAATCATACCACTGCCAGCCAAGGACCCCGGAGTCCTCACAGACTTCTTTTCAAACACATACAAATATTAACATTCCTGCACATTCCTGGAACTTCTAGCAGGAGAAGCCCTGTTTTAGCTGAAAGGAGCAGTGCTACTTAATCAGCCCCCATTGGCCACACTCCTTCATGCTCTAGAGAGGGCACATAGGGAAAGAAAGATGTCAGGTTGGCAGCCTTTATTTTCCAGCCACTACAATTCATGTTTTTTTTTTTTTGCAAAAACACTTGAAGGCAATCTTTGTTCTTTTGAAAAGTCTGTAATATCAGGCGGGCTGTTAGAAAAAGATGAATTAAATACAGTTTTGTCTTAGCCCTGGAAGTTAGTTCTTTAGCTAACAAACCAAGATATTTTTAAGATGGGCATGAGGCCCCAGACCCAGAAATGAACTTCATGTGGATCTGGGGAAAGGAGTGGCTGGTGGTTCCTGGCTGTTTCTCAAAGCTACTATTGAAAGTTTAGTGCTTCTATCACCTGACTTAAGTACTGGTAATGCAGCATTAAGTATAGTTGGCTCTCCATATCTGGGGGTTCAGCGTCCTCAGATTCAACCAACCATGGGTCTAAAATATTCAGAAAAAAACTTCAATAGGCTGGGTGTGATGGCTCACTCTTATAATCCCCGTGCTTTGGGAGGCCAAGGTGAGAGGATTGCTTGAGCTCAGGAGTTCAAGACCAGCCTGGGCAACATAGCCAGACCCCCTAAAAAATAAAAAAAAATTAGCCAGGCATGGTGGTGCACATCTGTGGTCCCAGCTACTCAGGAGGCTGAGAGGGGAGAATCACTTGAGCCCAGGAAGTTGAGGCTGCAGTGAGCTGTGATTGTGCCACTGCACTATAGCCTTGATGATAGAGTGAGACTCTGTCTCAAAAAACCAAAGCCAAAACCAAACAACTCAATAAAAAAAAACTACAACAATAAAAAATAATACAACTATAAATACAAGATAACACATATTTACATAGTATTTACATTGTGTTTGGTATTATAAATAACCTAGAGATGATTAACATATACTGGAGGATATGTAAAGGTTATATACAAATACTACACCATTTTTTAATCAGGGACTCGAGCATCTGGAGATTTTGGTATCTGTGGGGAGTTCTGGAACTAATCCCCCCTGAATACCGTGGGAAGACTGTAGTCCCATGCTGTCCCACCATTTTCTATGGGCATCCAGGGTCAAGATGTTCCTATGAAAGTCTCTTTACTGTCTCTTTTGGGCATGCGTGCCCCAGCACCAGGATTCCTAGTCCTGGGCTCTCGTCCTGCCCTTTGCTTAAGTCTCTTCACTTCTTATCAGTCCTGGTAAGAGTGTAGCTGGGAGTATCCAGATTACTGTAGTATAGAGGGAGAAGTATGATGGGCATTGAGAACACTAGGGAGGAGGTGAGAGGAAAGAGGTTGTAACACCCTAAAAGAGGGTCATATTTTGTACTGTCACTATTCATCTTTCATTATTCAGGCACTCATCACTCAGCTCCCTCTTTTTTTTTTTTTTTTTTGGAGACAGAGTCTCGCTCTGTGGCCCAGGCTGGAGTGCTGTGGCATGATCTTGGCTCACTGCAACCTCTGCCTCCCAGGTTCAAGTGACTCTTCTGTCTCAGCCTCCCAAGTAGCTCGGATTACAGGCACACACCACCATGCTCAGCTAATTTTTGCATTTTTAGTAGAGATGGGGTTTCACCATGTTGGCCAGGCTATTCTTGAGCTCCTGACCTCAAGTGATCTGCCTGCCTCAGCCTCCCAAATTACTGGGATTATAGACATGAGCCACTACGCCCGGCCCCAGCTCCTTCTATTTTTCTTTTTTTTTTTTTTTTTTGAGACAGATCTTGCTCTGTCACAAGGCTGGGGTGCAGTGGCGATCTTGGCTCACTGCAACATCTGACTCCTGGGTTCAAGCGATTCTCCTGCCTCAGCCTCCCGAGTAGCTGGGATTACAGGCACGTGCCACCACGCCCAGCTAATTTTTGTATTTTTAGTAGAGACAGGGTTTCACCATGTCGGCCAGGATGGTCTCTATCTCCTGACCTTGTGATCCGCCTGCTTCGGCCTCCCAAAGTGCTGGGATTACAGGCGTGAGCCACCGTGCCCGGCCTATTTTTTTTTTTTTCTTAAGTCTCTTCATCCTTCTTTCAATACTTTCCCACACTTCCATGGGGTGGCAGATCCCCCCAACCCTCCTTTTCCTCATCCCCACCTACCTCCACCCTAGCTCCTAGCTTAGTGTTTGCTCTATGGATAATAATTTTCTTCTTTCTCCCTCCTTTGTAGAGTGGAGTCTTGTTCAACTGAGAACTTGGAGCTTCGGAAGAAGGTAGAGGTTCTAGAGAACACTAATAGGTAAGTGTCACTGGACTGAGAGCTGATTGCGCTACCAATGGAAGATGGGGAAGGAAGAGGATAGAATCCAGAACCAGGGATGGCAGAAAAGTGGAGGAGGTCACAGTGAAAGTGCAGTTGTGCTGAGATGCTCAGCATGGCCAAACTCCACCCACCCACTCCTGCTACACACACACGCATGCACACGTGCTACTCTTGCACATATACAAACACATATGCACACATGCTCTCATGTTCACATCCACAATACACATATGTACACACTCTCATATGCACATACATGTACACATACATGCATATTCTTTACTTTTCCTAAATGATACAGGATTGAAGAAGAAGCTGATCATGACAAGGACTATGACTAGGGGGTTAAAAAAGAGGCTTGGAGGAGAATAAGATCAACAAGCCTGATTCTCCTGAAAATGACATCAAAATTTAGAGGTGACCAAGGAGGCACTGGCCACTTCATTATAATCTAATTTTAGTAGCAAATGATACTTATTAGTTTAAAAAAAGAGAAAATCATTGGTATTTTTTTTTTCTTTTTTTTGAGACGGAGTCTTGCTCTGTCGCCCAGGCTGGAATGCAGTGGCATGATATCGGCTCACTGCAAGCTCTGCCTCCCGGGTTCAAGTGATTCTCCTGCCTCAGCCTCCTGAGCAGCTGGGACTACAGGCACGCGCCACCACGTCCGGCTAATTTTTGTATTTTTTTTTTTTTTAGTAGAGATGGGGTTTCACCATGTTGGCCAGGATGGTCTCAATCTCCTGACCTCATGATCCGCCCCCACCTTGGCCTCCCAAAATGCTGGAATTACAGGTCTGAGCCACTGCTCCGGCTGCAAATCATTGTTTTTTAAATTAGTTTTTTAAAATTAGCTAGTTTATTAATTGCATTTCAAACCCATTTTACAAAAATTGTAACGGTACCAAGTTGATAAATTCCTCTAGCACTTGCTGTGCCCAGTGCTATTTTAAGCACTTTACAGCTATGAACTCATTTAGCCCTATGAGATGCCATTATTATCATCCTCACTATATAGAGGAGGTAACTGAAACTCGGAAAGTCTAGGTGATTTGTCCAAGGTCACACAGTAACCGCTAAAGCTGCATTTGAACCCAGGCAGTCTGGCTCTGGAGCCTGGATGTGGGAGGAGTATATGGAGGTTTATGCCTGGCTCATATGCAAGAGAAAGGGGTGAAAGTGCAGGGTTAAGAAACTGGCTTTTGGGGAGTTTCATCCAGAATGTATGTGTTCATGTGCACACATGATACATACCTGTGCTGTGACAATTATTTCTTAGAGACTCCTGTCACCCTGAGTGTTAGAGATCCAACAAATTAAGCAGAGAAAAATGGACTTACTGGGTAAACAAAAATTTAATCAGATTAAGGGTCAGTGTTAATGCCCAGTAACAATTGTGCAAATATTAAGGGATCAGTTTAAATCTCTTTGCATGTTATTTGATAATAACAAATGAATTTAATTCCCGTTTCCTGATGCTTCATGGTTTGTTGCTCAAAAAGCCAGCTAATATAGACATAAGCTAAAACTACCGCCAGTGGGATCCCCCTGAAATTTTCTCTGCATTTCTGGGAATGTGTGCTCAGATAGCAGTCAGGGGCAGTTCACCCCAAGTGCTCTGTAAGACAGACTGCCCAAAGGGAGGAAGTGCCACCAACTTAGTGTGGCATTACCTTGATCTCATGAGGCAAGGGAGCTGGTTTCACTGCTTGCCTTTGGCCGTTAGTCTGCTGGGGCTTCCTCTGTTTTTATCTCCACTTCCTCTCCCTGGGGGGATTGCCTGAGGCGGCTCTGTTTCTCTGGATCCTGCTCCCCGAGCCAGCATATGTATGCATGTTTTTAGCATCCTGAGCCGATAGGCGTTCCCGGCACCCATCCTGGCACTTGCTTCCGCAGCAGCCCCATGTTCATGGGTGGGTGGGACAAATCCTGGCCAAGAATTGGCGAAAAGGGGAAGAGCAAAGACCTCCTTGGAGTTTGTGTTCAGGTTTCGTCCTCTACAGGCTCCGTGTCAGGCCTTCCCTGGGCCACATGGGGGCAGCAGAGGCACAGCAGGGATGTGCTGGGGCGAAGTCCGGGTGTGTGAGGGAGAAGGACCGACCCCACTACCTTGCCTGGGAAGTCTCTCCTCTCCTCTGCAGGTGGACTGTGCTGCGTGTTCCTTCCTTCCTTCCTTCCTTCCTTCCTTCCTTCCTTCCTTCCTTCCTTCCTTCCTTCCTTCCTTCCTTCCTTCTCTTTCCTTTTTCTTCCTTTTCTTTCTTTCTCTTTCTTTTTCTTTCTTTCTTTTTTCTTCCTTTCTTCCTTCCCTTCCTTCCTTTCCCCTTCTCCTTCCTTTCTCCCTCCTTCCTTCCTTCCTTCCTTCCTTCCTTTCCTTCTTTCCTTTGTTCCTCCCTCCCTCCCTCCCTCCTTCCACATTTTTATTTTTGTTTGCTTGTTTGAATCAGATATCCAAATAAGGTCCATGTGTTCAAACTGTTTGATATGTCCATTACATATCTTTTTGTCTGTAAGTTCTCTTGCATGTCTTTGCTGTTATTTAGTAAAGGCCGAGTCAGTTGTCCTGTAGAGTCTTCCTGGTCTTAGTTTACCTGTAATGTCCTTGTGGTGTCCGTTAGCACAGTCCTTCGTCCACTACAGACTCTACTTTGTTTGGTTTTGGTTTTTGGTAAGAATTCTTCATAGGTTCCACTACATGCCTCCATCAGAAGGAACATAAAAATTGGTTATTCGGTTCTCCACAATGTATACTTATTGGCTAGAGAGATCAATACATTAGGGGTTTGAAAGTAGCCTTATAGAATTCTATCATTTCTCCTCCAGTTATTAGCAGAATATTTTTCTAAAGCAAGACTCTTCATCGTTAATGAACATGGGTACACAAGTAACCATGAGATGCTGATTTCATTGTCTTTGGGTATATACCAGCAGAGGGATTGCTGGGTTATATGCTAGTTCTATTTTTAATATTTTGAGGAACCTCTACACTGTTTTTCATAATGGTTTTACTAATTTACATTCCCACTAACAGTGTGGAAGGGTTCCCTTTTCTCCACACCATTGCCAACACTTTTCGCGCCTTGTCTTTTTTATAATGATAGTACTAACAGATGTGAAGTGATATCATGTAGGGTTTTGATTTACGTTTCTCTGATGACTAGTGTCAGTGAGCACCTATTCATATACCAGTTGACCATTTTTATGTTTTCTTTAGAGACATGTCTATTCAGATTCTTTGCCCATTTTTTAAAATTGGTTGTTTTTGATATTGAGTTGTATGAGTTCCTCATATGTTTTTAATATTAACCCCTCATGATGGTTTATATGGTTTGCAAACATTTTCTCCCAATCCGTGGGCTGCCTTTTCATTTTGTTAATTTTTGTTGTTGTTGTGCAGAAGCTTTTTAGTTTGATATAGTTTTACTTGTTTATCATACGTTTCGACTTAAGGAAGATGCATACATAATATGTGCTCCTTGTAAAAATAATTTAGGAAAAAAAAAGAATCCTTTCACTCAGAGGTATCTTTATGTTTTGGAATATCTTATGTGTATGTATTTATATTGTACATACTTCTTTGTTAAGAACTATTTCCACATAACAAAACACTGGACATATTCTCATACATTTCTACAGGATCTTTGACTCACCATTAAAAATAATCTACCTTGATCAGGCGCAGTGGCTCATGACTGTAATCCTAGCACTTTGGGAGGCCGAGGCAGGTGGGTCACCTGTTGGTCAGAGATCACCTGACCAACATGGTGAAACCCCATCTCTACTAAAAATACACAAATTATCTGGGCGTAGTGGCAGACACCTGTAATCCCAGCTACTCGAGAGGCTGAGGCAGGAGAATCGCTTGAACCTAGGAGGCAGAGGCTGCAGTGAGCCGAGATTGTGCCATTGCACTCCAGCCTGGGCGACAGAGCGAGACTCTGTCTCAAATAATAATAATAATAATCTACTTCATGCTATTGGGATCTGAGCCTTCCCTGACAGTCTGCTGTTACTGAATGTGACCAGGGCTAGCTTAGCCACCTGTTAAAGCAGGGAAAGTTTTTTGTTTATGTGTTTTGTTGTCAGCATTATTAAGGCATAATTGACAAAATTGCATATTTTTACAGTATACAATGTAACGATTTGATGTATGCATATATTATGAAATGATTATCACAATCAGGCTGATTAACACATCCATCACTCCACATAATTACCTTTTTTTTCTTTTTCTTTTTGGTGCCAATGCTTAGCACACTTCTAGTATATAATATGGCATTTTTAATTACAGTCACCATGCTGTACAGTAGATCCTCAGAATGTATTTACCTTATAACTGAAAGTTTGTATTCTTTGACCAGTTCTCCCACTTCCAGTGCCCAGTGACCACCTTTCTATTCTCTTGTTTCTGTGAGTTTGACTTAAATTTTTCTTTAGATGTAAGTGATACCATACAGTATTTGTCTTTGTCTGGCTTATTTTACTTACAAAGCAGAACAAGTTTGTCGATGTTCCTCTTCCCCTTGGCCTCCTTCCCTGTACTCTGTGCCTTCCCTTGAGTCTCAGGAGCGCAGTGGCTCTGTGTGTCTTCTTCTCCCATTTCTTCTCCCTCTTCAAGACTCACCTCTCCTCGTGGATAACGCTTTTATGGTAGTAATGGCTGGCAATGGATTCATCTGTGATCTTCCCACAGATAATTGTAGCGGGGACCTCCTAAGATCATAATATTTAAGACCTGGCGCGGTGGCTCACACCTGTAATCCCAGTATTTTGGGAGGCCGTGGCTGGTGAATCACCTGAGGTTGGGAGTTCGAGACCAGCCTGATCAACATGGAGAAACCCCATATCTACTAAAAATACAAAATTAGCTGGGCGTGGTGGCGTGTGCCTGTAATCCCAGCTACTCAGGAGGCTGAGGCGGGAGAATCACTTGAACCTGGGAGACGGAGGTTACGGTGAGCCGAGATCACGCCATTGCACTCTAACCTGGGCAACAAGAGGAAAACTCCATCTCAAAACAAACAAACAAAACCAGTAGCTTTTAATGTATTTTGGCTTGAGAGGGAAATAGATAAAAGCAGGGCTGCTTCGCTCAAATGGGGAATAGACCTAGAGTTCCTCTAACTGCTCTTCCCCCTTTCTCTTTGTTTTCTGCCGAGGGCGTCTGTGGCGCTCAGAGAATACCACAGTAACCAAAATGACTGATGTAAGCATTGGCAATGCCCTGCCCTAGAGCCAGCCATGGGGAGCTGGTGATTGGGGTACTGGGCAAGGGAAGACGTTGGGACCCTTTACTCACATCACCCCATGCAGGTGACCAGTGTTTGGGCAGTGTGCAGGGCTGGGCTGGGGAATGCACACCTGTGTGTGTGTTCCTGTTGATGCTTCTCATATTATCATTCTTCAGAGGCAGCTGGATGGAAGTAGAACAACTTTGATAAGTGAAGAGGATCCTGGGTCACCAGAAATGGGGGGTGGAGAGGCCTTGGGGGCCATTGTTTCATATGCATGGCATGGCAGGGAAGGTGAGTGGCTGTTTCATCATTGACCAAATGAAAGAAAATGATACCTCTTTACTTTTTTCCACCCCTATACAATACCCCACAGGGGACTTTCGCATCTACCCAGATGAAAATTTGTGCTCAGATTATGAGTCAATCCTGAGTATGGTTTTCTTTCTTTTTTTTTTTGTACTGGACTCAGCAGCAGCCACCTAGCCTATTATTGATTTCTAGATGAAAAGATCTTTTATCTGAGCTATGGAGAGTGGAAGAGGACAGGGCCGGGAGAGTAGATGAGGAAGTCTTTTTCATCTTTCTTCAGTTTTTCTCTGGGAGACTCTGGGAACAGAGCTGAAGTGGTGCGAAAGCACCTTCACACTTCCTTTGCTGAGGTGATCCGCTAATTGCATGCTATCAGGAAATGTGTAAGATGGGAGTGAGATGGTTTCCCAGGGGGCCCTTCTTCCTGTGCTCCATCAAGAAATACATTTTCACTTGCTGGTGTCTGAGCAGTGCCTGTGTGGCTGCTAGAGAATCCTTCTGGCTTTTCTAAGTGAATGCACCTCTCTAAGCTGCAAGCTTTCTGGATGGCCCCACCCTGGTCTCATCCCTGAGAAATCTTGTCATTTTTTCCCACTGGTATAGTTTTCTTCTGCATGAGTGATGCACATACACTGCCCGGCCCATTAGTTGTAGGCGTTTGTGGCTCAGTTTGCTCCATTTATTTCTTATTTTGTTCTCAGGCATCTTTAGGGCTGTGAGCTACAGCTTTTCTCCTTGAGCATGGATTTGTAGAATCATAGGAGCTTAGACTTGAGATACACCTTAGATATCATTGTATTGAACTGCTAATCACCTTATTTTACAGAAGGAGAAACTGAGGCCTGGTGGGGTTAAAGTCATCTTAACATTTAGAGGTAGAATGGGGACGAGAACTTGGTCACTTAACTTTTGAACTGGTCCTTACTTTGGTTTCTCTTGCTGCTATACCTCTTGCTCCTTCAAGGACCTTGCCCCAGCAAGAGCCAACTTTAGACTTGGACACAAGGGCCCTTGATTTGGACTCAGTGTTTTAGAGGGCCCTGTGCTGGCTCTCCTTCAGCCATGTCCCCCTCCATGGGATGTGTAGTTGGCAGGACCAAGGGGATGCATCCATCTGGAGCTCTCACCCTAGCCCTCTAGAACTTACTCCAGTACCTAGGATCCTGGAATTCCCTGTCCAAAGGTCTTAGCTCATTTCCAGGGCCTATGTGGACTTCTACCCCAAATCTGTTCTCCGAAGGGCAAACCTGGTGACCAGTGGGCACCCCTGAAGCCAATGGGGTAGACAGAGACAGCTCTTTGTGAGGGCTGCATATGGAGTTTGAACCAGGCCTGGTGTGTGCACGACATCCTTCACAATATGTCAGGTCTGGATTCAATTTAGCCTTATTTATAGAAGATATGAGATTCCTGGGTCAAAGACAAAGGATTCTATTGCTCAGTAGACAGAGTGAGCAGCAGCATATATGTATCAGTTCTCCTTGCCCCCAGGTGCCAGGACAGATCCGGGTGGATGCTGTGCTCTCAGTGGGGATTGTGTCACAGCTAAGGAAGCCTGAGCTTGGAGAATCCACTGCTTTTATAGCAAGCAATCAGTAAACCTGCTTCTTGCCCAGGGAGAGACATTACCTCATCTGTCCAGGTTACCAGCTTCATAACAACCTTGAGAGGTGGCCCATCATAAAAGAGCAGTGAGAGCCTTTCCATCTTGGCATCCACAGCAGAATGTGTAGGAACACAAGAAGACCCAAGAGACTGTCTCTCTCCAACGGTGTGGAGCAGGCTGAGGCCTGGAGTAATTCTGCTTATACTACCACATTTTGGCAAGCAGCCCTGGGAAGTCCAAGAATTCTGTTCAAACCTGGCCATAGAGGGAGCCGGAAGGAGCAGGTGTTGGGCTGCTTGACTTGTAGAAACCTTAAGATGTGTGGCATGTGGACTTCATTTGTACACTTTCCTCAGACCTCACAGAATTAAGGGACATGCTTGCCTGACATTTATCTCTATTGTTATCAGAAATAAAATTCCTTAATCTTTTTCTTTGATCTTCCTCTTAGCTATAGTCTTTCTAACTCTACTTTTCTTGTTCTTGACAATCTCTATATGATTCCTATTAAAGGTCTTTCCAGCCAAGTCTACTGGGTTTTGACTGGATTCTGGCTCTCCTGGTCTGTTTGTTTAGCCCACACAGCTGTGTCTGTTTGCACTAATTTTGTGTATTTGTTCCCTACACACTATTATGGTTTTCTGTGTGTGGGTTCATCTCTTCTCTCTTAGACTGACAATAACTGGCTGAACCCACCCCCAGCTGCACACAAAGAAGCTATTTGAGGACTGATAAATGACCCAAGTTACTCTACTGTACACTTTTACCTTGGTTTTAATTCACTTTTCATTTCTGCATTATCTCTAACTTCTGGTTGTGTGAAGAGTGTGAACTTTCTTTCCACATGGAAATATTTCAAACTTCAAAGGATTATTGGGTACTAAACTAAGTTCCCCAGAGGGATTTAAAAGGCATTTTAGTGTAATTTAGTGTAAAGTTCAAAATTCCACAGCCTCAGTTTTTGTTCCTTGGCCAGTGTTTGTTCCTGGGCCAGTAGGTAATATAGCATTTCAGAAATGCCCTCTGGTTCCTACAAAATAAAGAAGCCTCTTGTAATGTAGCAATTAACACAGGAAGAAAAAGGAGAAAATTTATACGCTTTTTTTTTTCATTTAGGCCAGAGCCCCATGAACAACCTTCAAAACTTAAGTAAAAGGCCATAAACATATAGGTATTTACTCAAGGTTTAGGAGTTTGAGCTGATATGGTTGTCTTTTGTGTATGACACACTTTAGTATTTAAATGTCTTTGAGATTGTTCATGATTTTCCTTAAATATCCTTATGAAATGTGTAGAACTTATAATTATTAACATTGTATCCCGCCACCTCCCTGCCCTCCATCCCAGGATTTTGAGGTAGAGGTTTCAGCTGTTGGACACCCCCTTCTCACCTCAGAACCTCCCAGGCACTAACTCTAGATGTGACTCGGGTGGGGTGGGAAGGGATTCAGGGGGGATTTTGCCTCAGAAGGACATGGATGCTCATCTCTTCCATCATGAGGTCACCTGATCATCACCTGAGTTTTGTTTTTTTGAGATGGAGTCTTGCTCTGTCACCCAGGCTGGAGTGCAGTGGCGTGATCTCGGCCCACTGCAACCTCTGCCTTCCGGGTTCAAGCGATTCTTGTTCCTCAGACTCCTAGGTAGCTGGGATTACAGGCACACACCACCACCCCTGGCTAATTTTTATATTTTAGTAGAGACAGGGTTTTGCCATGTTGGCCAGGCTGGTCTCGAACTCCTGACCTCAAGTGATCCGCTCACCTCAGCCTCCCAAAGTAGTGGGATTATAGGCATGAGCTACCGTGCCTGACCAAGTTGTTTTTTTTTTTTTTTAATTGTGTGCATTAGATAAGTAACACTCAGGCTTTTTTGATTGTACAATTATTTTACATTTTATGTAGTGTAAATGGCACACCAGACTACCACATGAACATGTACATATACATCATACACCTCACTAATATGAATGCTTCACAAATCGATAGTTCTTTACAGCATACAATGCCCTCTGATATTGTGTATTCTATTTGACTCCATTTCATTAAAAACATATATCAGTCACAACCCAATTGATTTCACAAACCCACAAATGGTTCATGATTTGGAATTTGGAAATGACTGCTCTAGGTGCTTCCATAAGGCTGTGAAAAAGTTCCTTCATCTCTGAAGGAGGCTGATTTACCCAGGGAATAGTTTACACACATACATATGGGCACACACACACATATGTGCACCCGCACACACCACTCCCCAGAGAGTTCCATTTCTAAGATGTGTTGTAAGATTTGATGGAAGTATGTGTGGCTGGGTGTGGTGGCTCACACCTGTAATCCCAGCACTTTGGGAGGCCGAGGTGGGCGGATCACCTGAGGTCAGGAGTTCAAGACCAGCCTGACCAACATGGTGAAACCCCATCTCTACTAAAAATACAAAAAAAATTAGCCGGGCGTGGTGGCATATGCCTGTAATCCCAGCTACTCAGGAGGCTGACACAGGAGAATTGCTTGAACCTGGGAGGCGGAGGTTGCAGTGAGCCTGGATCACGCCACTGCACTCCAGCCTGGGCAACAAGAGTGAAACTCCGTCTCAAAAAAAAAAAAGAAAGTATGTCTACAGAGAGGGCCTAAGTTGAAGCTCCCAACACAGCAAATAATTGGGAACCACCACTTTTTTTTTTCCTGCTCCTGGTTTCTGACTCCAGTGGGAAATTAGGTTCCTGAATGTTCAAAGTCCAACATTCAATAACTGTATGACTGTTCTCATTCTTTCTTTTGTAAATAAGGAAACACACACAAAAAGCAAAATTAAACCAAAGACAAAGAAAACATGAGACTGTTGATGCATTTCCCAGTTATTGTAAGATTGTGTCTCCCACTCTTGGATTCTTTTGAATGTTTTGCCCAATTTCCTTTGATATGCCTCCCAAGATACAGGGTGATGGTTTATTTTGGGCAAGGCTGACAGCTGCTTTCCACTGCTCTTTTGCAAGGAACTGCATGAGGATAGCCACTGAGTTTATTTTTACATCTCACCACAGGACAAAATCCACATTTTCAATCAAGTGTTGGACACTCCAATTTAACAAATTGTGAAAAATCTGTTGGCCCAGATAAACGTATGCTAAGAGTATTCCTTTCTCTAAATTAAGATTTTGTTCCCGGAAGCCCAAGAATTCATTAAGGCCATAATTAGCCATGATCACTGATGATTTAAAATACAATAATAAAGAGGAAGTTTATACTGAGCTTCATAGGCACCATTGGATCTGTCCTGCGGTTGACTTTTTATAGCTGTAGTTTAAAAATAACTTTTCCATTTCATCTGCTGGCTGTCTTTTCTCCACCCAGCCCTTCATGCAAGTAGGGTGGGGGCTGTCATCCAAGCTCCCATTGCTGCAGGCAGTGACATCTGTCTCAGTGACATCAGAGAAAGTGCCACATCATCTCAAACCAACATATCAGTTACGAGGTCACAGGCTTTCCCATAAAAAGGACTGGCCTCATCTGTCATCAGTGAAAAGAGACAGCAAGCACTCTTCAAAGATGTATTTGCTTCAGCAAACGCAGAGTTACCCTGGGAGGGGGCATTTTCTCATTATTCCATGAGCTGATGTGGTCAAGGGAATTCATCTGAGTAGCTGCCTAAACTCAGAACTTAACTTGATTAAAGGCACATAGCAGTCATCCTCTGATTGAAACTCAGGTGTCTTTGCCTTTAGAGCCAATCCTCCTGATATATATATGCATCAGCTTAGCAATTCTAAAGCCATCTCATCAGCTTTTTTGGTGTTTCACAGAGAGACAGGTTTTATATTTTCCATTTTTCTAAATAAAGCCCAGGCTTGACTTCCTGAACCTTAACTAGGCAAGAAGTACCCTTGATTCTTTTATCTATTATCTGCATTTTATCTTTGATGTATCCAGAGAAAATACCACACAATATTTATTTGCCCTGATGGTTTTTGTGTCATTGTTACTGAAATTTTGTTAGTATGCATCTCCTTGCCGTCAGAATGGGTTTTATTGTGGCTCTTCCGTCTATGGCTTAGTCTCTTTTAATAGTAATATTTTCATATTTAATGGTGGACATATCTCAGTTGGGCTGGTGTCAACATAATATTAATGTTACTGGAGTTAAGAAAAATCTACTTAACTAAGACATGCTTTATTATTAATTTTAGTAGGTTATTGATTAGGGTACCATGCTGTACCATGTTGGAATGTACACAAGCTATGGGGTCAGATAGGTTTTGGTTTACATCTTAGGTCCTCTACTTATTAGCTACGTGACTTTGAGATGCTTGCTTAGTATTTTAGCGTATGTAGTTCTTGGAACTCAAGTAGTAGGCACTCAGTACTCTGTCATTGTTCATTTTCTCTTTTTATGATGAAAAGGAGTGTTTCTGTTGTATGGATGTGTGTGAATTTCCCAAACTCTATTGGATCATAGAAGTCTGTTTGGATTCTGGGGATGACTGAGCGAAATGCCTCAGTGTTGCTGATTGATGGGGCCTTGCACATGTTGTCATTTCCACCATCAGTTCCGTTTACTTTCTCCAGCACCAGTAGGAGAAGCAATGGCAAACAGCATATTATTAGTCACTGTTGCGCTTTCCACCAACATTTCGAACTAAAAATGTGTATTTTAAAACACATGTTTGCTCATCTTAAAGAGTTAGATTATAAACTGTTAGAAATCAGGGACTATTAAACAACCATTTTCATTTGCAGTGGATTCAGAATATAGTCATCTTGAGTTGGGAAAGGATGTGTCCGTGAATGCCAAGCAAAGTGCTGTGCAGTCAGGAAACACCAGCCCTCTCTGCTCTCTCCAGCCCTTCTTGAAGGGTCCTTCTTCCCAACTTGTAGCACTTTACACCTGTGACTGGGGAATGGGGGATTCCAATTTGAGCCTAAGATATTCTTTCAGTGGGCTTCAGGTGTAGCTGGCCTGCTGAAAGTCTGTTTTCAGGAGGCACTGGGGAGCCTCCTAGGAGACTGTTCATCCTAGGGGAAGGGGTACAGGGCCCAGAGATATCAACCAGAAATTGGAAGGGAGGACTGATTCCTTGTGTGGATTTTTTTTTTAAAGCTATTCATGCTCTAAGGACTAGGCAAGGGGTAGGGGATGGGCAGGGAGGAAGTACGGGCTGGCTGCTGGTCAATAGGGATTGTTGGTAAAAAATGGAAGTGGTCATTCCCCTTTCAAAACAGCTTAAGACTTTGGAGCAAAAGTAACATGCTTTGGTACCATCTGGAAAGGTACTAACTGAAGCCTGGATGGAGAAACCTTACCCCCTCATGCCCAGAGCATAGCTAAACTTCAGCACCTTGCGGCCACCAGCTTACAGGCAGCAGGAGCGCCCAGTGGAAAACTGAGGTGCCCAGGAAAAGTGGCAGCTGTCACTTACAGAAGTAGCTCTTGAGCAGGCCAGGGGAACAGGAGACCGCTTTTCATAGCTTAGCAGGAAGGAGAGACCCATTCCTACCATAGAGAGTGGTTGGCAATAAGAGGAAAGGGTTTGAGCCATGTGGTCTTTTCTGTGGGCTTACCTGGAAATTTGCCCAAGGACTTGAAGAAATATCAGCAGGGAGAACCCAGCAAGGGCTTTGGGGCTGGCATTACAGGTGATAGAGAGTCAAATATATGCTTCGGCCAGTGAAATCTCGCTGTGAGAATGAATGCACACTCAGGAAGTGGCAGTGCAGAAGGAAAAGGCAGCTGTGCTGTTGGGTAGGAAGGGAATTTTCTGGGGAAGTCCTGGGAGAACAGAGAAAAAGTTTCATGAGGAAGGAAAGGTGCTGCATCATAGAACCATTTAGTTGCAAACTTTCTTTAAGTAGAATTTAGAGTAATTATGCTGTTGAGTATTTCTCAGCATTAAGTAAACATACAAAATGCTTTTAAAGAAAATGGTGCTGGGTGCAAGTGGCTCATGCCTGTAATTCCAGCACTTTGGGAGGCAGAGGTGAGAGGATCGTTTGAGCTCAGAAGTTCCAGACGAGCTGGGCAACAAAGTGAGAGATGCTGTCTCTACAAAAAATAAAGAAAAGAAACTTAGCTGGGCATGATGACTCACACCTGTATTCCCTCCCAGCTACTCAGGAGGCTGAGGCAGGAGGATTGCTCGAGTTCAGGAGGTTGAGGCTGCAGTGAGCTGTGGTCACACCACTGCACTCCAGCCTGTGCGACAGAGCAAGACTTTATCTCCAGGAAAAAAAAGAAAAATAAAAATTGTACCTGAATACATTTAAATACAAACCAGGTCTAAACTACATTCAATCATACTTCTATATAAACAGAAACAAAAATGTACGATTAAGTACAAAAAAAGATCTTCACATTAAATAGAACTTAAATTAGTGATATTAACTAACAGAATGAATGATTCTGTGTTGCTTAAATTAAAATCACTATACCTGGGGAAAATGTCATGTAGATAGAAACGCATAGAAATTTTTTTTTTTTCTTTGAGACGGAATCTCGCACTGTTGCCTGGGCTGGAGTGCAATGGTGCAATCCCAGCTTACTACAACCTCTGCCTCCTGGGTTCAAGCGATTCTCCTGCCTCAGCCTCCCGAGTAACTGGGATTACAGACGCCCGCCACCGTGCCCAGCTAATTTTTTGTATTTTTAGTAGAGATGAGGGTTTTACTATGTTGGCCAGGCTGGTCTCGAACTCCTGACCTCGTGATCTGGCCACCTTGGCCTCCCAAAGTGTTGGGATTACAGGCGTGAGCCACCGCGCCTGGCCCAGAAAGGAGTTTTGAGTCCAGAAAGCATCTACTCTGTGTGCTGAGGGCTGCTCCAATTCACCCACCACTCCTATCCATTTAAACTGCTGAAAGCAAAATCATTCTTGTGGCCA
Organism: Homo sapiens; assembly: GCF_000001405.40. Lineage (NCBI taxonomy): Eukaryota > Metazoa > Chordata > Mammalia > Primates > Hominidae > Homo > Homo sapiens. The sequence continues at coordinate 137,887,312 of NC_000007.14, read as the reverse complement.
ACCTGTCCTTAATTTGCTCAAATTGGGAGAACTTGTTTCATTGGTACTAGCTGGGGGTGAAGATGTAAGCCCAGGAAAAATCTGCTTGTCCTTCTAGCACCTGAATGCTATTCGGGGGTAGACTGTGGTGAGAAGCAAGTTATCTGCGAAAGCCCACAGCATTCTGTGAACAAATGATTTGATGATGTTTTCCAGTGAACTTATGTGGCTGTCTAACATTGTTACATCACAGCACACATTTTCCGAGAATCCTTGAGACCCAAGAGAAAGCATCTGCTCATAAAATCTTTCCACTTTGCCATATGCACTGGGTTTGGGGGTGGGGGATGAGGATGAGGAGGAGCTTCAACTCTTTACACCACTCACAGGGAACTCTTCCCGGGTGCTCTAACTCAGGAGGGTGTGTTGTCAGATCCTTTTCTATGCCTTGCAGTGTTCAGAATTTGCAAAGAATTTTACCATCTGCTCTGTGTGCTGATGTCACACAGAGCAGAGTATATAAGACTGTTCTTATCCCTCAAACTTTGCCTTTTAAGGAGAGGCACAGTTGTCCAATTTTAGGGATAAAACGTCTCCTTTTTTTTTTTCTGCTCTTGCTCTCTTGTCTTTTTCCTGGAGAAAGGCTAGAATCTGTTTCAAAGGATGGTTTTAAAGACCCTTGACTCTGGGCTTGAGGGTCCAGTTGAGCAGGCATCTTTGTTCTTTCATATGTTGGCTTCGTTTCCTGACTCTGGAGGTGCTGTGAGCGTTTAAGAACCACAGGCTTGAGCTGCAGGTGGCTGTTTGCCTCTCTGCCTTAAACAGAGCCGTTCTTGTTTTTCCTCTCCTTTCTCTCTCTCTCTTCTAACCTGCCTGTGAATGCCTGTTACTCTGTGTTGGCATTTCCAGTCACAGCCCCCACCTCTGGCCTTTCTCTCTCTCTTCTAACCTGCCTGTGAATGCCTGTTACTCTCTGTTGGCATTTCCAGTCACAGCCCCCACCTCTGGCCACTCCTTCTGTTGTTCTCTGCTGGTCATTTTTTATTTTTCCTTCTCTTTGCCTTTGTCCCTTTTTTATGTTTTTGTCAATGTTTCTCATCTCTTGCTTAAATGAGTTCTTCTTTTAATCGACATTTTCTTAGTCTGTTCAGGTTGCTATAACAAAATGTAATAAACGAGGTCACTTACAAACAACAGAAATTGATCTCTTACAGTTCTGGAGGCTGGGAAGTCCAAGATAAAAGTGTTGGGAGATTCCGTGTTGGGCGAGGGCCTGCTTTCTGGTTCACAAAAAGCAGCTTCTTGCTGTGTCCTCTCATAGTGGAAGGGAAGCACTCTAGTCTTTTCAGCTCCTTATAAGGGCACGAATCCCATCAATGAGGGCTCCATTTATGACTTAATCATCTCCCAAAGGTGCTGCATCCTAATACCGTCACATAGAGGACTGGGTTTTAGCATAGGAATTTAGGAGAGACACAACCATTCTGACTTTAGCCACCATCCAATCAGAGTGTTCCTTTTCCTTTGTTCTCAATCGCTGAGAAACAAGCCACAGCCTGTCAGGGGTAATGTGGAGGCAGTTACCTCTAACTCAGGGCAGTGCAAGAACAGGACTTTCAAGTGTGAAGGCTGATTCTGAGCCCCAGTGAGCTCTGTGACAATGGTGCTAGAAGGTACTGGTGTTCGTATCTTCTTCCAGAGGAAACTGTCCCTTGGGGCTCTGTTGAAATGCAGGCACAAAGGCACGGCGGCCTTCTTGGGTCACATGGAGAGATCAAAAAGCATCTCTTCTCTGTCAGACTCCCCTCACGGCTGTTGTTATCATTGGCAGGACTCTCCTTCAGCAACTCCAGAAGCTTCAGACTTTGGTGATGGGCAAGGTTTCTCGAACCTGCAAGTTAGCTGGCACGCAGACTGGCACCTGCCTCATGGTGAGCTTCCCAGCAGGGTAGCACAGTGACCGCCCCTGGCCTGGCCCCTGTCTCCCCTCTCCCTCCACTTGCCAAGGCCAAGTGCTGTGCTGTAGGAGAAACCACATGGAGGAACTCCACTCTGAGGCTGTTCCTCGGTGAGGCACTCTGGTGATGTGACTGGTGGGTGCAGTCCACTGGCCTGAAGAGGAGAGTCTGTGTCCCTGGGTATAAAGCTGTGCTGTCCAGAGGCTGAAGTCCACAGCCCCTCGTGTTCTCTCTCCCCTCTTTCTCTCCCACAGGTTGTGGTGCTGTGCTTTGCCGTTGCATTCGGCAGCTTCTTTCAAGGCTACGGGCCCTATCCTTCTGCCACCAAGATGGCTCTGCCCAGCCAGCATTCCCTGCAGGAGCCCTACACAGCCTCCGTGGGTAAGACAGCATGTGGCAAGTTGGGCAGGGTCTTGTTTTATTTCCCTAGAGCTGGGTTTCTCAGTCTTCCAAAAGGAATCTTCTGTGAAAGTCCAATGTTTAAAAAGTGGTAAAAGTGGAGCTTCTCCCTTTGAAGAGGCAAGTGGGGGTTCCCCTGGGGCCCCTCATCCACTGGACTGCGGCATCACTGGGAATTCTCCAGAGCTTGACAGAGCACAGTTTGCAAACTGCTGTTCTAGACTGTGTTCCCTGATCCATTCTGACATCTAATTTTTGAGTTCTGATAAGGGAGAGGGAAGCAGATGAGGGAAAGAGTCTGTCGCTTTCTGTGACGTTTTAAGAGAACTGCTGTGTTTCTGCCTCCACTGAGTGGAATTGTATGAGTAATGTAATGCAATGTATATAGTAAGGGCTTGTAAAGTGAAATTAAATAAACAGCAAGGTCAGGGCCGGGCGTGGTGGCTCACGCCTGTAACCCCAGCACTTTGGGAGGCCGAGGCGGGCAGATCACGAGGTCAGGAGATTGAGACTATCCTGGCTAACACTGTGAAACCCCATCGCCACTAAAAAATACAAAAAAATTAGCCGGGCGTGGTGGCAGGTACCTGTAGTCCCAGCTACTGGGGAGGCTGAGGCAGGAGAATATTGTGAACCTGGGAGGCGGAGTTTGCAGTGAGCCGAGATCGCACCACTGCACTCCAGCCTAGACGACAGAGCGAGACTCCATCAAAAAAAAAAAAAAAAAGAATCAGCAAGGTGAGGAGTTCAAGACCAGCCTGGCCAATATGCTGAAACCCCGTCTCTACTAAAAATACAAAAATTAGCTGGGCATGGTGGTGCATGCACCTATAGTCCCAGCTACTTGGGAGGCTGAGGCAGGAGAGTGGCGTGAACCTGGGAGGCGGAGGTTGCAGTGAGCCGAGATCGTGCCACTGCACCCCAGCCTGGGCGGCAGAGCAAGACTCCATCTCAAACAAACAAACAAAAAGAATCAGCCTGCCTTCCAAAACCTTATGCCCAAGATCTAGAGAATATGGGGACTCCGGTGTCAGATAAGAAGCGTATGGTGTTCTCACCTAGAAATAAAGGGATGGTGAGTAAGGAATACACACACAAATTCACACCTACACCTATAGGAATGAGCATGGGGTTAGGCAGTACAGTAGTCCCCCCTTATCTGAGGTTTTGTATTCTAAGCTTTCAGTTACCTGTAGCCAATGAACATACCTGCAGTTACCTTAAAATAGCTGAATACACTATAGTAAGAAACACTACCTGCAGCCAATAAAAATACCTGCAGTTATCTGAAAATAGCTGAGTACACCACCATAAGAAATTTTGAGAGAGAGAGGCCACATTCATGTAACTTTTATTAGAAGATATGGTTAGAATTGTTCTATTTTATTATTATTGTTAATTTCTTACTGGGCCTAATTTCTAAATCAAACTTTATCATAAGTACATATGTATAGGAAAAGGCATATGAACCCTACATGCTATATGCCCATATATAAACCCTGTATGGTTTTTCCCATACATATATACCTTATACCATATATATAGGGTTCAGTTCTATCTTCGGTTTCAGCCGTCCACTGGGGGTCTTGAAATGTATTCCCCATGGATAAGGGAGGACTACTGTACTGGATTTGGGATAGGGAAAATTTTGCCATCTTGAAACGTCTGTGGTCTTCACCAGGCAGGTGTGTCTCTGCCAGGTATGACAGAAGTGCTAGCATTCCAATTAAATAATTTCAGTGGCCTGTTGAGAATTTTTCCCCCCAAGGAACTATCTCTCTAAATTTAATTGGAAGCATAGTTTCTATGTCATGGAAAATTGCTACAGAGCCATCTAGCTGTGTGACTGTCCTACAAAACAAAGGAGATTGTCTCTATCCTTTGATTTATGGCTTTGGCTTTGTGTCTCCTCTTCCCTTTCTAAATGAGATGCCCTGTACCTCATCCCCCTGCCAGACCTACTCACTGGGAATGCTGCTTCTTTTAGCTGGGTCTGGACATCTCCAAGTATTCCACTCCCATTCTCCATGAATCATTTTCCCTAGATGGTTATGGGTGGTAAGGGGGGAGTTTTATATTTTCAAAGCAGTGGGGGTGGTAGTTTGCCTTGTGTTTATTTGCTTTTCTATTGTTCTTCCAGCACTGTATAATTGGTATAATTTTTCAATGCACAAACTCCGAAGCTCTAAAGTCTTTATAGAAAGCCAAATTCTGTTGGCACCCATGGTTCTGGGCAACGAGAACACACACATTGTCATCTGCCACCAGCCCTGAGCACCTGGAGTGAGGGAATGTGTTGGACCCCTGTGGTCTTTTGCTAACACCTTATTATTCTGCTCTGTCCTCAGTGAGATCCAGAAACCTGCTGATCTACGAGGAACATTCTCCCCCAGAGGAGTCATCCAGCCCGGGCTCGGCTGGGGAGCTGGGGGGCTGGGATAGAGGTTCCTCCCTGCTCAGGGTGTCAGGGCTGGAGTCCAGGCCGGATGTGGATCTTCCCCATTTCATTATCTCGAATGAGACCAGCCTGGAGAAGTCAGTGCTTTTGGAGCTGCAGCAGCACCTGTGAGTCATAGAGACACAGAGCCAACTCCTCTAGTGCACTGATGGTGGGTTATGAGTCAGCAACCTGAGATGTGAGGTTGAGACTCTCCATAGGCCTGGTTCAGTCCCTCAGCTCTCTCAGGACCTATTTCCAGGACCTGGGACTGCAGAGAGTCTGTTGCTGGCCAACAGTTGCCCTGAGCAGAGATGAGGAAAAAAACCAGCGTGAGCTCCCCTATGTCTGCTGCATCAGCGGGGAGCTGGCGTGGTGGCACAAAGAAGTGCTTGAATCCCTTCCCCCACTGTCTCCATCCTCCCTTCCAAGCCACACGAGTGAATGCACAGCCCAGGTAACCACAGTGTGTTTGCTGTGCAAATCCAACTTTAAGACATGTTTCATGGCTTCAACTAGGGAGTAGATATATATTGTGCTATATGTCAATATATGTTTATGATTTATATGTAAATACACATGTGTTAATTAAAACTATACATATTATAGTTTTATACTTATAGATGTATGTTGAGGGGTACCATTTAAGAGGCACTGTGCACACATTTCCATATTGAGAACAACCTCTATTTGGCTCCAATTCTACATGAGTTGTTTCTCAGTTTCTGGGAAAAATCCCTTTGTAAACATAAAGGCTTATGCGACTGCAAGGTATTGTTGTTGTAATAGGGGAGGTCCCTGGGCCTGCATGCATGCTCCTGGTTACGTGTGACATGGTTGGTGATTTAGCTGAACTCTGCTCCTATGCCTCCCAGAAATGAGGCCGTTCCGATGTAAATGGGAAAGATTTTGTTTCAGATTCTTCAGCTTTCATCCCCTAATTCTGCAGGGGAAGGTTTATAATGAAGTACTTTTATGTGTGTACATTATACATACATATTTAACATTTACTAGCACTTACTATTTTAAGCACTTTACAGATGTGAGGCAGGTTGACTATCCCTTATCTGAAATGCCTGGGACCAGAAGTGTTATAGATTTCAGATTTTGGAATATTTGCATTATACTTAACAGTTAAGCATCCCTAATCCAAAAATGCAAAATGCTTCAGTGAGCATTTCCTTTGAGCGTCATGTCAATGCTCGGAAATTTCTAGATTTTGGAGCATTTTAGATTTTAGATTTTCGGATGAGGGCTACTGAAACAGTATCATACAAATCCTTTTAAGTATCCCATGTGGTAAGGCATCATTATTATTCCCGTCATAGAGAGACTTGCCAATGTAGCCACCGCTGGGATCTCTAGAAGACCCAGTGCCTTCTTACTTGGCTCTGGACACAGTTTCTCTTCTCTCAGCTAAGCTGTTCAAGGCCCACTTCAAATCCCATTTGTTCTGTGATGTCTCCTAGATAACAAAGCCTCCTAGCCCTCCTCTGAATGCCTAGAAATTTTCCAGGTTGTTACACAATTTAATAATGTATTTATTTTCTGTTATGGATTTATTATTATTTCAAATTAGCTCATTGTTAAAAATCTTTATCTGGATTATTAGCTCTTCTAGGCCAAGGATCAGCTCTTATCATTTTATTTTCTCCTTCCCTGAGTTTAGCATAGGGCTAAACATCCTAAGTAAATAGAATAATTTAATGCATCTCATAGCAGATCAATATCAAGCCACCATGATTATCCTTAGTAGGGTTGGGATGCCTTGGGTGTAGATAAAGGTAGGAATGTGGACTAGTGGAGAGGCTGGTAGCAGGGGACTTTGGAAACAGAGAATTGCTACTAGGAGAGAAAAGGACAAGAAACATGCCCAGGCCGTCTCACCAAGTTGCAACCCCTGAATGATTGCATCACGCTACAAAGCATGAGAATTGTAGCTAACAGCTGGTGACTAATACTTCGTTTTCCTTTTAATGCCTTCACAGGGTCAGCGCCAAACTGGAGGGGAATGAAACACTAAAAGTTGTAGAACTCGACAGAAGAGTGAACACCACTTTCTAAAGAGGCTGCCTGCACCCCCTCCCTTTCCCTTAACTCTACTTTTACATCCCCAAACCACCTTTGTCATCAGCTTTTCCTCTTTGCCACTGGATCTTCATGGAGACATGGGCAAGCATTAGTGGCTTCAGATTGGAGACCAGCCTGGGACTTCCCTGCAGTGAGAGAGCATCTCCCCCTGGTCCATGCCCCTCCTGTGCAGAAGGGAGCCTGCATCCCTCCCTTCCTTTCTCTTACTGCCATAGGAAATTATTTTAGGGGTTGGAGGTGGGACAAGCAGGCTTGTTTCCACCAATAGTGCCAAAAAGATATTGCCTAATGTGCACCTGTGAGGTGTAACCCCCCGCTTTGGAGACGAGATGGCTCTTGTTCAGTCAAGACCCCAGACTCTGGCCACAAAAATGCCATAATGCCTGTTGGTATTTGGCAAAGCACTGACCCGTGTCCTCCGTTGCTCGCACTGGGGTCTCTGGTGTGAACACCCCCGACAGCAGCCCTCCGCCCACTCTGCCCCCTGGGAGCCCTCGCTGGATCGTCTCGTCTCCTGCAGCAGCACTGGCAGGCGAGGGCTCTCGTTCATATTCTCAGGCCGCAAGTGCAATGCCTGAGGGGATCAGGCTTTTCTACTCCAGGCAAACCTGCCCCATCTTGTCGCTTTTAGGACCTCCCACAACCTGGTTCCCCACACATCCATAGTTCTGCCTCCCCAGCTTCTCCTCCCCAGTTGTAAATAGTATTTATTAGCTTGCCGAGGCTTCCTGCTAGCAACCACACTGAAGAGATCGATGCCTCCTTTCAAGCTAGCCAAGTTTTCTGCGAGCCTTCAGAGCTAGGAGGGCACCCTAGGCTCTGGGATCCCGTGTCTTTCCAGACAATGTTTTGTTTCCTTTCCTTTGTTTTTTCTTTTAACTGGAATAATTACCATTGAAAAAGAAGTTCCTTTGAGCATGTATGTGTCTGCCTCTAGGATGAGCTCAGAGCGAGAGATGACACAATGCCTCACTCAGGCCCCGGGCTCCCTGGCCACAAGCTTTTTCTATCCTGTTTTCATGACAGAGAAGGGGAAGCCCTGTTCTGACAACAGACATTTCAGACAACCTTGCTGGCTTTCCACACCTGCCTGGCCCCCTCCTCCCTCCACACTTCCACTTTGTCCTCCTCGTCCCCTACCTCAACAAAGCAGGGTGGGGTAGGTGACATTTGTGTATCCACATTCTTACCTTTGGTAGTCAGGTTTGGCTACTTTGCAGCTCGCCCAAAGAGATACAACCTAATCCCCAACCTACTTTTAGTTTTTTTGTTTTTTTTTTATGGTTAAAAGTAACTTTTGTAGTTTAAAAAAATCTTTCCTCTTTCATATAAATAAGAAGTGGAAATTGCCTTTTTATTGTGTAATGTAGAAAACCCTCAAGTGTTTTTTCCGAGCTTGGGAAAGATTTTGTGTAGGAAATGTGCATAGAGTTTGTATTTTATTTTTATTAGCAGCTGAAATGCCTTTGGTTTTGGCTTCTCTCTCTCCCTCTCTCTCTCTGTCTCTCCTTCTCTCTCTCCCCCCACCACCCACCCCCACACACGTCATCTGCATTGTTATTGGAGCCTGTACTTAGAGGGATTAAGCCCACACCCTGGCTTCCATTCCATATCAGGTACAGGATTTGATGTTATTAACATTTGTCGTCATACCTCATAAGTCGGTCCCTGCCTTGTCTGTCTAGGCCCATTTGGGGCTCCCTGTGAGTGATTCCCCTCTCTCTGCTATGCTGGAGACGGTTCCAGCCTGGAAAGCGGCCAAGTTCATCTTCTCACTGTGAGTGGAAGCTGGATCGGGCCCCCGTAGTCCTGGCAGCCCTGTTGTCTGGAGGGTTCTTGTTGTCCCTCCCATTAGCCAGGGCGGAGACTGTCTGAGCTGTGCAGGAGGAGGGTTGCTAGTAGGTTCTGCTTCTGCTTCTCTCTGCTCCACTGTCTGCAGCCCAGATCCTGTTGGGCCTGGCTGGTGTCTGGTAACCATGGGCCTCCACTGACCCATCCCTCTCTTTTAAACTGTCAGGTCATTATCAGGCATAGGCAGCCTATAGGGCCCAAAGAAGGCAAAAAGATAAGATTTACTCAAGTAGCATTTGGGCAATGAGGAAGGAAAGGTTTCAAATTTAGGGGCAGAAGTGAGAGAATGAGCCAACCCATGTACCTGCTGCAACTGAACCAGACTGGGTTTTCAAGGCTCCCAGACGTAGAGTAGGAAACGTGCTCTTCTAAATGAGGAGGGAGAAGATAAAGGAAACTTCTAGCCCCTGTCCTTAGTGCTTTGAGGATTTTATTTTCTCCCTTACTACGCTTGCTTGACGTCACTCTCTCTCGACCTCCAAACAGCAGGACTCTTTCTCTGGGAAACCATCCTTCCAAAACGGAATCTATGTAGACAATGGGACGTTAGGCAGAGAGCTCAGATGGCCCTTTTAAGGGGGCTCCAAGAACCAACATCACTGCTCTTTTAGATAAACCTCTGCCCTCCACTCCTTGCTTGAGTGGGTTAAAGGAACTAACAGTTGTCCCTTTAGGAGGACAAAATGGGGTCAAGAGGACACAGAAGAGTTGTATAGCACCAGATTGGTTCCAAATAGTTAATGGATGTGTGCACATTTTCTGTTCAGGGATTAAGACCAGAATATCAGTGGATTTGTTTTCCCCACCAAGTGGCCTCTTAGACTAGTCATTAACTTATGATTAGCTCTAAAGATTTCAAATAGTGGCAGACAGTGTCTTCTGAATGTAAGTTTTGAGAAATACGAGTCTGTCAGAGCGGCCATAAGCCATAAAGAGTCAATCTCTTAATTATATTTTTCATCATGTAAACAAGTTTCCCATTTCCCTTTCTTAGATTGCACCAGTGAAGGAGATGTTTTGCAAAGATTCAGAGAACTAATTTTTCACTGGATAAGACCTGAGTAACCCAGACCCCCCACCGTGGTTCTTTTCACAGCCCTCGACTTTGCACTTAAAAAGGGATATTGTAAATGAAAGGCTGCAGTGCCAGTTTTAAGAAAGAATTTCTGTGAAGTGTGAGGACTCTGGAGTCTAGCTCACATAAAGAGAGTGTTATATAAAAATCCGACAGCTGAACTAGGTTGCTCTTTTTTGGCAGGGAGTGGGGATGAGATTTGACACCAATATGGGCAAAATTAGATAACCTTTTGGTTAATATAAATGATTTTGATTTGGAGGCCTAATTTGTAGATTGTGAAAGCAGCTTTTAGTTTAACTTATTCACAGACCCCTTATAATTACCATGTTTTTTTTTTTCTTCCTAAATCTCTTGGTTCAGCTTGTGAATCTTACGTGCCCGTAAAGTTGGGATGTTGAATTGGCTCTTCTTTGTTCTGGCAGTGAGTCAAGTGTCCAGCATTTTTTCATAAGTGTTTTTTAAAATTGTTCTCCAGCATTTTATGGCTCCTCCCTCCCATGTCCTCAGACCCAGCAAAAGCGTAGAGGCAGAATTAGAGGCCTCTCCAGGCCAGCTCCTCTGCCCACATGTCATACAAGGTGTGAATTTGAGCACAGTCCAGAAATGGAGACATCCCACCCCCAGTTGAATAATGGCCCATTCATGCCAACCTTGCCAACACGGAGAGGGCAGAGATGCACTAGAAGACCTTCATCCTCCCCTTCCTCTGCCCCAAGTCACTACAGTTGGTTCTATTGAAGCCAGTCTTTAAGAAACCTGGGTTAAAGACACCAGCACTTCTGCTTGCTGGGCTGGCTGGACCTGTGAAGCCATGGGCAGGTAGTGCCCTCTTGAGAGTCATTTTATTTGGCCACCTTCAGGTGAGACTATCCATAGACACATGCTAGGATAGGCCCCGCTGGGAGGGCAGTTACAGGAGAGAGTAGGTGGTGGTGACGTGAGGGCTGTGAAGGATCCAGAGACAAGACTTAGATGTTTCGTTCATTCACTCACTCATTCAGTTACTCCTAAGACTTTTCAGTTTCATAAGGAAGAGTGTTGCCTGAGGCCCTAGGGAATATTGGGGAATAGAAGGGATTGAGGAAACATTAATAATAGTTATTCAAAAGACCCAAATGCTTATACTTCTCTCTCCCTTCTTCTCTCTCTGACACACACACACACACACACACACACACACACACACACGTGCACATTCCTCCCTTACATGCTCATTTGTGCCTTAAATGTGCCTTATAGGTAAATCCAGGATGACTGAGGAATCCCTCGTCACTGGGAGATTTTGTATATATTCTTTTATTATTAGATTGAGTTGGGTGTGGGGAAAAATTTTTTTCTGAAGGCTCAAAAGTGGTTTCCTAAAAGTGAGCCACTATCAGATTTGCACATCAGGAGAAAAGAAATAGGGTTACGTCCATTAGGAAAATCCCAGTTTGCAGGAGTGCAATCACATCAAAAAAACAACCAGCCAGGATTAAAGGTATTATAAATCCTCATAGCGGAACATTTCTCAGGGCAAAGGAACCTGGCTCATTTGAAGATTAATGTTCCATGCCTTTGTGGTCAAAGGGTCAGCACTTAACACAGGAAAAAACTAGGTGTTGTTTTGTTTTGTTATTTTGGACAACATAAAATTCAGGAATGTTTTATTTAGCCTTGGTTTCTAGAAGGAAGGGAAATAATATTTCTTGAGCATTTACTAGGGTGTTGCGTGCTGTGCTAAGTAAATTTTAAGTCTTTCAGTTTTATAGATACGGAAAACAAGGGTGACTCTTTACCACAGGATGAATAAAGAACTAAGTAATATGGGAAATGCAGCAATTTCTGGACTAGCTGAGCCGATTCCTTCCTGTGAGCACACTGTAAGCTTTCAAGTTCTCTGGGCAGGAATTACAGCACCTGTCCCCTGCAATGGCCCTGCTGTGTGATGCTCATCGCTTCCCTTCGTGCTGGAGCAGTCCCCCAGGTGTCCATCTCCTATCTTTTTGTTCCAATCTTCTGTGAGTTCCAGCTAGCAGGCTTTACATCTGGGGAAAGGAAAACCAGGGGTTTTAGCTCTGTTCTCTGCTCCCATCCTTCGCTCACCAGCTGAGTGAGAACATGAACTTTTTGCACCATGTACCCATGGCTTACACTACTTAGAAAATCACCTTTTCAGATAAAACAGTTTATGAGTTCATAGAGAACACCAGCACTCTTTGACAAAACTGTGAGTGACCCTTTTTAAACAATGCTGAGCAGGCCCTGAGCTATAATCAACGGTGAGCTTTAATGTCTATGCTGACAGTTAGGTTTTGCTCTCTTTTGTAACAGGTTACGTAGACCAGCAGTGTTTAAATCTAAATACGTTGTGAGTCTGTTATCTGTCCTATCGCGTTTTTTAAATGACTTTTTATTCTTTATCATAGCTAAGTAAATACCAAAAAAAAAAAAAAGCTTTGTAGGACACTTGTACTTAGTTTGGGAAAAAAAAATAAATTGAAATTGTTATGCTTTTGTATTTCCATTTCTTGCAAATAAATATTTTTTCTTAAATAGTAAGATGTTGCCCAGTCTTTATAATCTTGGTACTAATTTGAAAAGCATGTTGTTTTTTTATGAACATGGGTTTGTGTATGTGTGCCGAACCGTTCTTTCCTGGATATCTACTTGGCCTGAAAGAAGAGCCTCAAACCAGCAATTGGTATGTTATATAGGACTGAATCCAAGCCTTAGTTGGAGGAATATTGAGAATGTAATTGTTTTTTCAGGCAGCCACGGGAAGAAAAACAGTATCCTCTAGAGACTTATGCAGCATGACTGTTATTTTTATTGTCTCCTCTAACTATTCCCTAACTAGATTTCAACTGTCTGTGGATTTGATTTTGCTTTCCCCATCTCTGGTTGCTTGAGAAAGATCCTTTGGACTTGAGCCAGAAAGGAATGATCCTTCTTCCTACGAACAGTTGCAGAGGATGTCTAACAGATTCATGCTCCAGAAATTCTGATGAAATGGTTGATAAAGGTCAGTGCACTCAAGCAGAGTAATCTTCGTTCCATTACAATGTCTGAATCCAAATGTAGCTTTCTTCACTCAGAGAGTGGGGGCTTCGTTTAGTCTCAGACTGACTTGGGATGTGAGAGACTAAGGCCAGGGACTGTGCTTACTTGGAAAAAAAAAACAAAACATGGGATTTTTTTGTTTGTTTGTTTTGTGTTTTTTTTTCCTTAGCAGCATGCTCAACCCTGCCCTGGCCTTGAGGGTACATTAATCTGCTCTATCTTGTCCTCTTCAGAGCACCTTGACCTTTTGTTGTTACACAAGGGGGCCTTTCCCTTCAGAGGCTTTCATTATCATGCCCCACTCTTTCTTTTGTGGGGAGCCTATTTCTGAAGCTCCTCCACCCCCCAATATGCTGATATCTTTTCAGTGGTGTGTGGAGAGGGCAAATACTCACTGATTTGAGAATGTTCTGTATTAATCATGCCTTTCCATTTTCTGAATTCCTAATGCTTTGACATCTAGGGCCTTGCCGACCCTGGAGGGACCACCCGTGCGAGGGCTAGCCCATTCCTAGCTTAGGAGCATGCCTTTCATATACAAACCGACCTGGAGCCCATAGCCCAGCCACCTCCTCTGTGGCCTTTCATACTCTGGGCTACTCTCCCCCTGCCCTAGGTACCCTAGGGCCAGGTACCAGACAACTAGAGACAGTCTCTAACCCCGCAGCCTACTGAAATTATTCAAACTAGCCAATCCAAAACCTGTGTACCCTGTGTTGCCTGTTTTTTCCTGCATAAACCACAATAAAAGCCCTTGCTCACATTTTCCCTTCATTCTTCCTGCTTCTTGAGCCACCCTGGTGCTTCCCCAGATGGGCTTGCGTGACATCCCCTCTCCTCTTGGGAACTATGAGTAACAAGCTGTCTTTTCTTTTCAATGACCTCACCATCCCCAAATAATCATACCATAAAAATCTGCTGGCCTCACCATACCCGAATAATCATACCATAAAACCTACATTTTAAAATGAATATCAAATGAGAGGCTGATCCCAGACTCATGGGCATCTGGGGTTTCACAGATGGGCCTGCTGTGATTTAGTTTGAGGGAATACAGATCTATTATCTCTTTGCACACTGGTTGCCACTTAAGTTCTGGAGAGGAAAAGTGAGATCTCTACGGAGCAGTGTGGCTTGTTCATGGCAAGAGAAAGCAGTGTCTAAAACCCTAGTCCTATGCTCAGGTTCCAAGTAAAGTCATACTTGATATCTCTGAGAATGAGTGCCATAGAGGCAAGGGAACACCTGGATACAGTGGGGGGAAGAAACGAGTGGGACTCAGAACATAGAGGTGTATGGGTTCTTGCACTAGTTATACCATTAACTTGCTGGCCTGGAAAAGGAGACACTTATTGAGTGCCTACCATGTACCAGGAAGGTCTCATGAATTACCTCGAACTCCTGGGTTCAAGTGATCTTCCCACCTCAGCCTGCTGAAGTGTTGGGATTATAGGCATGAGCCACTGCACCAGGCCAGTTTGCATGAATTATCTATGATAGTTAATTCCTCCAAAATCTTCGTGGGGATACATATACCACCTTTTACAGTTGAGGAAACTGGAGTTCAAAAAGAGTAAGAAACTTACTCAAGACCATCCAACAGATCAGCTGCAGATGAGAGGTTGAGTCCTGGGTTGACACCAAGTCCACATTCTTCAAACTACATTCCACAAGGTTGTAGGGCATTTAAAAATTATAGGTTAACTTTTCCACATTCAAAGGACTTTCATAAAACTCCAGATTTCCATCTTCTCTTGAAAGACTGAGAGACACAGCAACTTCAAGAGCTGAAAGATATCGGCCCCCAGGATGGCATTGTCATTTCTGGTGGCCACATTGCCCCACACCCAAGCTGGTTCACTCATTCATGGTACTTACCTGGTCCTTCTGTCATCAGAATTCACTGCCTCTGGTTTAGGTGGTGGCTAAATTTTGGGGAGCAGTGAGAAGGAATAAAAGCAAAGATCCTGTATCAGTGATGGAACTAAGAGGTGGGGAGGGCAGTTAGTTTCACCCTCAGAGGCCTGAGCAGGAAGGCAGCTTGGCTATGAGCTGTGGCGTAATCTGCACATTGGAGACCTCTCTTCCCACTACCTGAAAGGAGAATTGAAGTTTGTGGTCTGGTCTGGTCTTCCTATTCTCAAAGATGAATATTCATTAATCTCAAAAATTATATCAAATAGATAAACTACATGCATACACATAAAACAATTCCCTCACCCATAGATAACTCACGTGTATACATTGGTGCGTATTTCCAGACTCCCAATAAAAACATGAATATGAATATAAATGAGTATTTACATATTTAGTTTTTTCATAAAAACAAAATCGTTTTGGACCTATTGGTTTTATGACTTATTTTTGTCCACCAAACAGTGTATCATAAAATCATTCTATGGGAATCAGTGTTAATCTACAGCAACATTTGTATTGTCTGAATACTATATTATTTTATGTAAATTATTATAATTTAACTATTATATAGCATTGGGAATTCAGGGTTGCTCTTTCTTTTTTTTATTATAAACATGCTGAAAAGAGAAACACAAGTATACTAAAAAAATCCTAATGATGTCACTTGTCTAGGACCTTGTGCCTTACAGCAAGTCTGTCTACATGTTCTCTGCTGGACTGGCTGATCTTCCATGGGGAGGGTGGAGCAGTCACTGTTGTCCCTGTTGCTCAGCTGAGAAATAGAGGCCGTAGAGATGTGACTGGCTCCACATTAGGTCACACAGTGAATGAGGGCAGAGCAGATCAGGAATCGGCTGTCCTGACTTCCATCCTTGTGCCATTTCCATTAGCCATGCCTCATCTGGGCAGGGAACACTGGCTGTCCAAGTCATCCATGACCTTCCCATGGAGTTTCATTTATCCATGAAGTGAACCTACTTTGCAAGGTGCCAGCGCCATGCTCTTTTTTCTTAGTATCCTCAGGACTGAGTTGTAACCCCGGATTTGAGATGCACCCGAAGGCGTCTGTCTCTACAGAGAGGGAAGAAGAAGGAAAGTGGTTCATCTCAGTCATTTCCTGCAAACTAGTCCACATCACTGTCTGAGAGTCTGATTCCATGTGATCCCTCATCATTTGACAGGGCTGAGCAGGTTGCACAAGTTGATGTTGTGTTCCAATGGTCACAGCTGTTGCTAGATAGTTTGGCAATTTTAAAGACGAGTTCTGGCCCCATGAGGAGCCCATGTGTTCTCCTCCTCCCTCTATGCTGTTGTTTTTAGATGGAGGGACAAAAATATCCATTGAGGAATACCATAAAAGCTGCCAGAGAGGCTGTTGTACTGTTCTCTGAGAAGTCTGTTTCAAAATGTTTAATGTTTCTTAAGTGAAAAGAATTTGGGAATTGAGGCTGCCAGTTCATAACTAATGTCCTCCCCAGTATCACTGCAAAACAGATGGCAGGTTCAACTTCCTAATGGGTACATGAGAGCTTCTATATGCCTGGGCTAGTTCAAAGACAATATCTCCTTGAAAAGGAAAATTCTAAATGTAAAGCAACCCACACAGTATTTAGAGATCTCTGGGACAGGAAAGGGATCCTCAATCCCCACAGTGTTTACATTCTTTGGTTACTTTCAGTGGTTGATACAGCTTTTTATCATGGGTTGAGATAGTAACTGAACACAGAAAATACAGTTTAGATGGTATTTTTGCTATTGCACAAATAATTTCATGCAACTGCACTCCAGGGGCAAGACTTGACTGGGGGATGTATGTTGAATTAGGACAGATGCTGTAGAGATAGTCAGCATTAGAGAGTGCCATTTATGGAATAATCAGGGAAAATACTGAGTAGAAACAATGCTATTGGGACCAATGACAAAATTTTCCTGTAATACAACTAAATGAAAAACATTATCATGGTGATATTGTACATAGCTTAAAATATTAGAGAATTAAAAAGCTCTTATTGAAAAATAGAGGTACATTGTTTTATCTCTTTTCCATCCACAAGTCCTACTGCTTGGAAGTAACCAATTTCAATTTCTTTTCACATTGATCTCTATATTTCTAAGTAATGTGTTTATGCTGCTAACAGTTGATATATCAATTTTAGACATTTACTATTAGCTTCTTATCATGGTACATAAAAATTTGACCCCCCCGCCACACACACACATTTCTCTGTCCTCATTTTCCCAATAGTGTGTTTACATTAATATAATGACATAAATGTTGTTTTTTGCTGAGCAATGTATTATTTTATTAGAATTAAGTTGCCTCCCTTGTATAGATTTGCATCTTTCCTGGGATTAATAGTTGCCTCATTTTTCCATTTGGTTAGTGTGTATATGGCTCATATTTAATATATAGAAATGATTACTTTTAAAAACTCACTTATATAAGTATTTATTATATTATATAAATAATATAGTAAATATATACCAGCTGTGTCAAAAGTTTTAGTGCTTATTATTATATGTTCTTGATAGTTAAATGAATTAGATAATCTATCAACATTCTTTTTTTTTTCTTTTCTTTTTGAGACAGAAACTCCTCCAAGAGGCCTCTAATCACCTGGTTTAATCCATTTGCTTTGTAGTCTGATTTTACAACTGTTATTCTAGGATTCCCCTTCACAATGGTAGTGGGAAAACCCTTTCCCATTTTGCCCTGTTGGAGTCCCTGTGTCCTGGATCACATGTCTTGTCTTTTCTTGGTTGCTTCCCTTGTTTAGCTGGAGTACATTCTGTATTAGCTGTCTACACAAAGCTTCATTGGTGGTAAATTACTTGATGCTTGCAAGGCTCATAATATCTTATTCTTTCTTACGTAGTTGATAGTTTGGCTGGGTCTAGCATATTTGGCTGAGAAAAATCTTCCTTCAGAATTTTAAAGGAATTGCCCTATAATTTTCTATCTTGCAATGCTGTCATGGAGAAGTACAATGCTATTTTGATTCTTGTTTCTTACTATTTTTTTCTCTATTTCTGTTGTTGCAAAATGATGATCTACCTTATGGAGGGTCTTTTTCGTTTGCTGTATTGGATCTCTCATTCTGATGACTCGTGTCTTTTCTGGGAACATTTTCGAATGATTTCTTTGATTAATTTCCTTTCCTTTTTTTTAGAATGACTGAATTGAGCCCTTATATTTCTTATATTTTCTCCTGATTTTCTATCCTTTTTCTTTTTTAGATTATAATTTCTTCTACTTTAACTTCCAGTTTTTTAATTAAAATTTGGTTCTTCATTTGTTTTTAATTTCAAAGCTTTTTTTCTTTCTACAGTTTTTCCTGTTTCTAGCCCTCTGTTCTGAATTTTAGAAGCAATGTCTTTTACCTAAGTGTATTAATTATAATATATTAAGACTTTTCTGATTCCTGCTTTGGTTTTTTATTTTATTTTATTTTTTTATTTTGTTTTTTTATTTTTTGAGACAGAGTCTCGCTCTGTCAACTGGGCTGGAGTGCAGTGGCGTGATCTCGGCTCACTACAAGCTTCGCCTCCCGGGTTCATGCCATTCTCCCTCCTCAGCCTCCCAAGTAGCTGGGACTACAGGCCCCCGCCACCATGCCTGGCTAATTTTTTTGTATTTTTAGTAGAGGCAGGGTTTCACCGTGTTAGCCAGGATGATCTCTATCTCCTGACTTCGTGATCCGCCCGCCTCAGCCTCCCAAAGTGCTGAGACTACAGGCGTGAGCCACCGCGCCCTCCAATTCCTGCTTTCTTTTAATTTTATTTCCCTATTTGCTTATTTGTTTGTTTTGGTCTCTTTATTTTGTATTATCAGCCTTCCTCAAAGATCTGAATAGATGGATATTGCTGTCCATTCACATGCATCAAATAACATTAATGATGCACAATGACTAATTGTCTTAAATTTGTGTCAGGGTAAGTGGATTTTTTTATTCTTTTAGCTTAGTATTTTTCAAATTGAGGGTCAAAAGGTTGAGAAATCAATTTAGTATGTTTTGAACAACAATTTGAAAAAGAGAAACAAAATGAAATGAGATGGAATGGAGTGGGATGGGATGGCCTGGAATTACACAGAATAAATAGAAATACCAGAATGCATCTAAAAGAGGTTAATACTGTTTCATGTAACTTTCATTTCAGTCCTGTATGTGTATGTGTGAGTGTTGTTCTGGGTCACAATGTAAAATTTATGTCTTTCTGATGGTCACATAAAAAGGCTCAAAGATCCCCCCACAAAAAAAGAGTATTAATGAACTGATTGAACTTTCTGTAAGGGGATAGGATGATAAGTTAACATTTTTTAGGGTTCTCAAAGGGTAGTATATGAGTACCTGGAGCCATTTAGTTTTTCAAGAGGAGACTGTTTCATGTCCTAACTGCGGAAGGTGCAGGTATTCTGGGATCACAGTGAGCAACAGAGCCAGGGGGAGTCAGTCTAATCATTCAGCATGTAATTTATTTAATCCTATCTTTGTCCCATACTTCACTTTTGCTCTTTTTTGTCTCTGGTGGCCTAAACTCTGTTCTATTTTTATTGCCTCCATTAAAGAATCTCCAAGAATTTTCAAGATGATTCAACACTTGCTTTTACCATTGCCTAGTTGATGTAATCAATGTGGAACACCAAGGACAAGCAGTGATTGAGTATCCCCTGCTCAAACTCCATCTCCCTTGGACATTACTAAGCCAGCAGTAGTCTTGGATGCTGTTTTCATTGCTCTAGAGGTAACTGAGATTTGCACAAATGAGAGTAAAGTAGCTCTGCATGTCTAAAAGAGCAAATGTTACTAACAATTAAGAGCTAAAACTTATGTTAAAATTTTAAAAAACAATTTTCAAGCTGGGATCAAACATGGATGAGAAGCTGAACATATCCTGGGGTAAGAGGGAGAGATGATAACATGGCAAAAAGAGCCCTCCCAGCAGGAATCCCTGGCACATCTCACATTCCCTTGTCCTTTCCTGGATGCCTGATTACAGCAGCTTATGCAGCCAAAACTGGGGGTAAAGTGGGTGGTAGCAGATAGACGCAGAGTGTGGGGAATCTCTATATTTAGGTCCGAAACCTTACCTTCCCAATAATAGATTGAGGAAGCTCTGGCTTGGCAGTGTATCTGGAAGTTTGTGTTGACATGTTGGAATGTGACTGCCCTCAAGTGACAGCAAAGTTAGAATCTGTCTCAAGTCATTGGAAGCAAGAATGTGGCCCCACCTTGAATTAATCGATTCCCATATGTGGTATTTCATCCTGTTCTGGGTACCACATTTTAAAATGCATATAATGAACTTTCTTAGGTATTGACAAACTCTTATCAAAATAATTGTATCAATTAACACTTCCACCGGCAATATGGGTTCCTATTTCCTAAAACACACACCAACGTTTGTTGTTGGATTTTAATTCTTGCCAGTTTGATGGGCATACAATGACATCTGGTGGTTGTCGTTTTTATTTAAAGTAAAACCCACTCTTTTTGTTCTTTTGAAACACATGATTTTTATCATTTTAATGCATATTCTACTTAAATGTCTAAAATTAATCAATCAGTATATCTCCTCCTCCTGAATAGCTTAAGGGTCTTAGAATGCTTTAATACTGAGCAGCTCTTCCATTTTCATGCAATTTCTGTGCAATATTTTAGTTGTACAGTTGACCCTCATTATTCACAGATACCTTATCTGTGATCTCGTGTAGTCATTAAAACTTATTTATAACCCTAAAATCAATACTGGCAGTGCCATCATTGAAACTCACGGGCATGAACAGAGTGGCAAAAAAATTGAATTGCCTGACACACATGTTCCCAGCTGAGGTTGAACAAGGTGATGCCTTGGCTTTTTGTTTTAGCTCTTATAATTGTAAGCAAGTATCCTTTTCATAGTTTATTTAGTTGCCACATTTTCCCCAATTTTGTGCCTTTTGTTGGTGATTTTGTTATTTCGAATGGTTCCCAGGCATAGTGCTGAAGTGTTGTCTAGTGTTTCTAAGTGCAAAATGGCTACAGTGTACCTTATGGAGAAAATACATCTGTTAGAGAAGCTTCCCTCAGGCATGAGTTAGCATGCTGCTGGCCATGAGTTCAATGCTAATGAATCAAGAGTATGATAACGTCCAGAAAAAGGTATAGGAAATGCCAATCTATTTGTGAGGCCACTCTGGAAAGTGTTAGAATAACATCTATAGTGAATGATGAAACTACAGAAAAAAAAATTCTAAAGTGGCTATATTTGTGGATTCATGAGATGAAGACTGATTTTTTTTAAAAATCATAATGGACAACATTGTTGTGACACTGAAAGCCAAAATAAAATGTACAGTTGCATTACCCAGGGTCAGGAAAATGTAAAAGTCTTCTCAGCTAGCTGGCTACCTCACAGATTTCAAAAGGTGATAAGGCAGGAAAAATATTAAACTTGCAGGCAAATAAGCTACTTATAGATCAGAAGGCAGCAGAAGAATTTTTAAAATATGTGCCAAGTGTTATGTAGGAAAAGGGCTAAGTGAGGGTCTTGTTCTAAGCCTTAATTTGTCTATAATTGTCTTTTATTCATCCTAGTTCATAAAAGATAGTTTTGCTGGGTATACAACTGTACGTTGACAGGTATTCTCACTCAGTGCTTTGATTGCATTGTCTTCAGGGTTTCAATTTTGCTGTTGAAAAGTCAGTTTTTCTAGTTCTTGATTATCTGAAGTTAATATGGCATTTTCTCTGGCTTCCTTATAATCTTTTCTTTGTCTAATAATGGACTCAATGATGTGTTCATTAACCTATTAAACTTGAGATTCATTGCATTTCCTTAATCTGGGGATTGGTATATTTCATCAATTTTGGAAGTCCTCTGCCATTCTCTTTTCTAATATGACTCTTTACCTTTCCTTCTGTTACACTTATGTAACTCTGATTGCTCTTATTACAGAACTCATTCTATCAGTAATATCTCTTAACTTTCATATTTGTTTCCCTGGGAGCTATTGCTTTAAATCTATTGAACTGCAAGGAGTATGGTTGGTCAACTGACAGGCTGTCAGTTCCTTCAGGATCTTCTTTAGAAGACACAAGTTGCCTTTCTAAAGGTCACTGGAGAAGCTAATATCCTGTTTCTGAGCAATGAGAGGATATAAAGACCCTGACTGTTTCTTCCCTGTGCAGAACAAGGTGTCTGCTAGGAAATATTCACTTCAGATGTCTCTACTGGATTGGCCCAGGTTTGTTAGGACTCTATTTCAGTCTGACTCTCTGCCAAATCTTGCTTCTTTCTCTTTCCTTCCATAGATTAACTGTTTGTACCCCAGACTCAAATTCAGCATCTTATTCCAGAGAATGCAACCTGTGTCACAGCAGACTAGACACAATCGTAAGGAGACCGAGTAAATTGGAAACACTCCTATAAAGGTAGAGGCAATGCTGGTTGATTTATGAAGGCTTTTCTAGCCCTAACATTCTAAAATCCTAGATATATAAGGGTCCTTCTTTAGAAGGAACAGATTTGTCTTCAAAAGCAAGAGTAGAAGTCATAGATAGAGATGGAAAAGAGAAAATGTTTAGATCAGTGTAAGGAATCATAGATGAATGAAGTGGTTCCACAGTGGAGTTCTGACCTAGAGACATACTACTATTCTAGAGTTTTTAAGGCACAGATCCTGGAGCCGGATGCCTAAAGTTCAAAATTCTGACTTTGCAATGTACTACCTTTATGATCTTAGGAAAGTCTTATCATTTCTCTGCTTTAGTTCCTTCATGTGTAAAATAGTAATAAAAATGATACCTACTTTACAGGGTTATTGTGAGTTTAGAGTAAGTGAATATAAGTAATATATTAATAATTGGCACATAGTATTCATGACATCAGTGTTAGTTATAATTATTATTGTGTGTGTAAGATTTCTAGACAGAAATTCTTCATGGATTTACCTATAATTTAAAACTTTATATGAATCCCACTAATACCACAAAACTTTTACAAATGAAATCTCTCCCCTCTGGAAACTACTTTAACACCTGTTATTTATACTGCAAGGGCCTTGGGGAACCATGCTACTTTATTATTTGTTCTATTATTTATTTATTTTTGAGACAGAGTCTCACTCTACCACCAAGGCTGGAGTGCAGTGACATGATCATGGCTCACTGTAACCTCCGCCTCCTGGGTTCAAGTGATTCTCCCGTCTCAGCCTCCCTAGTAGCTAGGACTACAGGTGCACACCACCATGCTCAGCTAATGTTTGCATTTTTTGTAGAGGTGAGGTTTCAGCACGTTGGCCGATCTCGAACTCCTGACCTCAAGTGACCACCTGTTTTGGCCTCCCAAAGTGCTGGGATTACAGGCATGAGCCACTGAGCCAGGCCCAGTGCTATTTTATCAGGTACTCAACACTTCATGACTAGTGCCTAGAGTGCTGGGGCCAGAAGAAACCAACAAGCTTTCATATCAAAGGTTTTCAGATCTGGCTATATGTTAGAATTATCCGGAATGTTTTTATCAAAACGTTGAAGCCTGGGCCCCATTCCAAGAGATTCTAAATAATTTGTTCTGGGGTAAAGTTCAGGCATCAGTATTTATGACATGCTTCTGTTGAGACATTCACTCACATTTTGACTCATGTAAGCATTTCCATCCAGCTTAATGGACATGCATGTGCAAAAAAAAATTAGGCAGGTAGGAAGGGGGAAATGAATTTGTGGATTTTTTTGACATGTAAAAATGGTTAGTTGAATAGACCGGTATGTGGCAGAAGACAAGTACCAGGAAATAAAAATGGGTCAGTAAAATTGTGGGTGGAACGGAGAATGAGAGAGAAACCAGTGAATTCACTAGAGGTTCCAAGAATTCCTCAAAACCGATTATGATTTTTTTTTCTGATGTTAGTTTCAAGTAATGCCCTGAATGATTTGGGGACCTCATAAGTTGAGCACATATTTTAGGCCCCCCAATTTTTCTACTTTTTGCATGAGCCACTGGACCACTGAAATAACTGTGGCCAAACCTTGGAACTTGGTGGACAGTTAATATAAGATGATACCCAGACTAGGAACTTGGTGGACAGTCCAGATAGCCACACCAGAAAGGATGATCCTAGTACTGAAAGCTGCAAAGGAGGCATGCCTTTTAGTCAAGGCCCTGAGACAAACACCACCATCTGTGTGGGTGCCTTCAGCAATCAGCTAGCTGAGCTAGTGGACCTTTTCAGAGCAGGGGCTTTGCCAACTGGAAGAGAGGCTGCTTGTCTGTGCTTCATCTGGCAGGAACTCTTAGCAGCAGAGGGATATCTGAAGGTCTCCCCTCTTGAC
The DNA here is from genome assembly GCF_000001405.40 of Homo sapiens. Taxonomy (NCBI): domain Eukaryota; kingdom Metazoa; phylum Chordata; class Mammalia; order Primates; family Hominidae; genus Homo; species Homo sapiens. The sequence goes on along the minus strand of NC_000007.14, from coordinate 137,863,252 downwards.
CAGACTTCTTGCTGCAGACCCACTGAAGAGAGGAATGACACCTTCCTTACCTTCACTTCTTGACTATCCGCATCTGCCTGGGAAGCCCAACAGTCTGACTGCACTGGTGCTTAGGATATCACAGGCTGGTTGGCCCACGTAGGCAAAGAAACATCACAAGCTATATTAGGAGGCAGAGATATTAGAAAAGGGGAGCTCAGGTGAAACAATCAGATTAGGTGCTTTCTATGGAAGCAGAACTAATGGAAGAACTGAACACAATGTCAATAAAAATGTAATTGGGGATCAAGAGATGTTTGCTTGAAGAACAAATTAGAGTTTCTGGAATCAAAAGAGATTCTGAATTAAAAAAATTATTAGAGGATACAGAAAGTTTATTTTCTTTTGCTTTGTCCCATAACAAATCTACTGATATTCCCATAAGATAGTAATTAAGTCAGCCATTAGCTTTTTCCTTTTCAAACTCAAAAAACATCTCTCATTCCTTTCCTTTTCCCCATTTTAATTTTTTTCAGTAATCTTCATTACTTGTCTCTTAACTCTCTTAAATCTCTCCATATCCTTTTTAAAAAAGTAATAATGATTTGAGCAGCTCAGGGAAGCCACTGTGTTCCACGTGATTACATGTTCCTACAAGAGGTCAGAGGCTTCCACATCAGCAAATGTCAGAGTAGCATTCAAAACTCAGTCAGCATTCACAGATACGAAGCAAAACGCAAAGTCATTTTGGCAGCTCCAGTGCTGTGAAGAACAAACACATCTCCTTTTATGTGAGTTACAACTTTCTGCATAATGTCTTCCCTCCTCTTCCTTCCTACTTTCTTCCCTCTCAACGAATTCAGACAGAGCTATTTTAATAGTATCTTTTCTGTTATTGTTATTTAATGTTTATTGAGTAATGGAGCAGGAAATACATCAATGAGCTCTTGACTATCAGACTACAGTTATCCATTAGCTTGGATGAAGCGATCATTTGGAAGTAGTTCAATGTTCAGATTGGCAAGCACACTCGTGAATTTACTTTCTGTGATGGAAAAGCATCAGAAGGATCCATATCTATTCCTGAGAGCAAGGGAACACAATGGTATCTTTAAGAAGTGCTGCTGTTACTCCCTGTGAAAGTGCTCCTGATACCATTGCCTTTCTTCCTTTTTGGTAGTCACAACCTGGAGAGAAAAGGGAGGAATAAGAGAAGGAGGGAGAACATAGAGAAAGAGAGAGAGACTTTTGTTTGTTTCTCAGGAGGAAAAAATGGAGCAATTTAGTAGTAAGGGCCTCTTTCAGGATGTTTAGGGCAACAAAATACACGATAAGGTGGAGTCGGCCTCAAGTCTCCAGTTCCCACCTCATTCATATTTATTAGATTCTTGGAGCAAGAAGGAATCTTGGAGAACCTCTCTTTCAACTTTCATTTTATAGATAAAAGAACTAAACATTAGAAAAGTTAGATGACCTGCTTGAAGCCACACAACTTCTTGGTGATAAAGACAGAGCAGCCAGGGCTCCAAATTCTCATCAGCATCCTTTCCACGACCAAGTCCTTCTGAGACAAGTTGTTGACTATGGCATGTTTGGTTTAGGTTTTCCTGTACTTGCTTTGTTTTATTTTAATTTTTAAAATTTAATTTAATTTAATTTAATTTAATTTATTTATTTTAAGATGGAGTCTCACTCTGTCACCCAGGCTGGAGTGCAAGGGCGCAATCTCAGCTCACTGCAACCTCTGCCTCCCAGGCTCAAGTGATTCTCATGCCTCAGCCTCCCCAGAAGCTGGGATTATAGGTGTGCACCACCACACCTGGCCATCTCCATTCTCTAGCTCAGGGCTCCAGCAGGAGGTGTGAGTGCTCAGGGGTTATGATCTGAATGCAGGTGGCAGGCAAATGGAGCACTACTGTGGTAAGCCGACAGAACCTCCCTTCATGTCTCAAAATGGCTCATATTTGGTCTGAACCCATTTTCTGTAATCTACAATAATAATGTCTTCTCTAAACCAGTGAACTGACTGGTACAGACTCTGAAGTATTAACACTCAGGAAGCCTTAATCAATCATTGAATTCAGCAACCTCTGAAGCAAGCAATCAATTGATTACTCATAATTTACTATCCTGGGCAGAGCATTATTGGATACTGTCGGGGAAGCAATAGAACCATAAGGCTTCTTGCTCTCAAGGAGCTGACACTCTAACTGGCAGAGACAAATAGAAAATAATGAAATGCTGTATTTAAGTATTAAATAGATAGTAAGGGCAGCATGGTAATAGAGTAGTGTTCCTCAACCAATCCCAAGAACCTCTGCTATTTCTCTTCAAAATTAAAATTTTTGTTTTAATTTATATGGTCATTTAAAAATTAATACAGTGGAGATGTATTCTGTATCACTTAGACTCTTCTTTCGATAAAAATTGCTCTCTGATTTCAGGGGCCCCATTTGCGCTGATCACCAAATAGCACTGTTTTGTGACTGTGGGCTAATGAGTAAAGGATAGGAATGGAATTATTATGTAAATGCTGCCTTTGTGCTAAGAGAGGCCAAATGGCATCATGACAGGCTGTGTGAGCAGAGGCTCCACTGTAATTGCAGCATAGAAATATGACCAGACAACTGAGTGTTCTCACAGCACCTATCTAAAAAGAACCTGCTCTGGAGCAAACAGGTGAAGGTGGTGATACAATTCAAGGAAAAACAACACTGTCATACAACATTAATATTAGGATTTTGAGTGTTTGGGTTATATACTCACATTGTATTTGAATATTATTTGGTTTTCATTATTGTATAATTAGTATTGTGACTTTTAGGCTTATTTTTGTAAAACATACTTAATTAAAATTATCATTAAAAGAATTTAAATGGGCTGGGGGCGGTGGCTCACGCCTGTAATCCCAGCACTTTGGGAGGCCGAGGCGGGTGGATCATGAGGTCAGCAGATCGAGACCATCCTGGCTAACACGGTGAAACCCCGTCTCTACTAAAAATACAAAAAATTAGCCGGGCGTGGTGGTGGGCGCCTGTAGTCCCAGCTACTCGGGAGGCTGAGGCAGGAGAATGGCGTGAACCCGAGAGGCGGAGCTTGCAGTGAGCCGAGATCGCGCCTCTGCACTCCAGCCTGGGTGATAGAGCCAGACTCCGTCTCAAAAAAAAAAAAAAAAATAATAATAATAATAAAATAAAACAAAAAAAGAATTTAAATGAATCTGTGAGAGTCTGTAAGAATTTCTTTTTCCTTTTATAGAGTTCGCTACAGGACTGAAGATTGAGAACCAGAGGTATAAAGTATGAATGAAATAAAAGTTCAAATAAATGTAACGAGAGCAGCTTTTGAATCCGTTGGGCAGCAAAAGCAGTGTTGTAACAGGAAGGTTCAATTACCACAATCCAGTTAAAGACCTGACTTGCTTGAAACAAAATGGGAAATGTAAATGGTTTCATGTGCGGCTCCCTAATGGTGAATTGGCCTGGATGAGTATCGCTGATTGCACTGGGCTCACCAGAGCCACTGAGAATAATAACAAAAGCACACCTCTAAGCATTCTGTTTTTGCTACAAGCAAACTCTGGTGCTAAGAGCGTGAGCATTTGTCCTCAGAAAACTTTTCTCGCTCCAATCAGCATCATCTCAGGGACAGAAAATGGAAAACTCTTTGGCAAGTAATTCCATTCTGTAATTCTGCATTACCTTTGATTAATGAAGAGGGGAGGGCACGCTCCAACGAAAACTGGTGCAGGGATTGGCATCACAGTGTAGATGACTCCATCAAGAAATTATTTCTTTCCTTGCTTTGCAAATTGCTTCTACCTGACTCTTAGTCATTTGGGCCTATCTTCTTAAGAGAATTTATTTTCCTTGCTCATGGTCTGAGACTTAAAGTCAGAGATGAATTTCAATAATTTGTGGCCTCAGTGTAAATTTATTTTCATTGTTGCCCATAACATAGTTTTTTACCCTTCTTTCAGAGGTTTTCCACCACTAGTATTCTTTTTTCAAAAATTCGATTGTGGTTAAGAATATATATAAAATTTACCATTGTAACAATTTCTAATTGTATAATTCAGGAGTATTAAGTATATGCACATTGCTGTACAACCAATCTCCAGAACTTTTTCATTTGCAAAACAGAAACTCTGTACCCATTAAATAACAACTGTTTCTTTCACCTTGCCCTGGTGCCTGGCAATCACCATTCTACTTTCCATTTCTAAGAATCTGACGACTCTAGATATCTCTTATTAAGTGGAATCATACAGTATTTGTCTCTTTGTGACTGGCTTATTTCACTTAGCATAATGTTTTCAAAATTCATCCAAGTTGTTGACTGTGTCAGAGTTTTCTTCCTTTTGAAGGCTAATTAATATTGCATTGTATGAATAGATCTCATTTTGCTTATCTGTTCATCCATTAATGGACACTTGCGTTGGTTTTACCTCTTGGCTATTGTGAATAGTGCTGCTATGAATATGAGTATGTAACTATCTCTTTGAAATCTTGCCTTCAATTATTTTGCATATATATGTGCAACAGTGGAATTGTTGGATCATATAGAAACTGCTACACTCTTTTCCTTGTGTCTGCACCATTTTACATTCCCAATCGTGCACTAAAGTTCCAATTTCTCCTTATCTTTATCAACTCTTCTTTCCCTGTCTTTCTTTCCTTCTTTCTTTCTTTTTTTTTCTTCCTTCCTTCCATCTTTTTTTTCTTTCTTCTTCATTCTAATGGGTGTGAGTGATATCTCATTGTTGGTTTTGATTTGCATTTCCCTAATGATTAACAATGTTGAATATCTTTTCATATGCTTGTTGGCCATTTATATCCGTTTATATATCACTTTTGAAAAATGTCTGTTCAGATTTTTTTCCATTTTTAAATCAGGTTATTTTTTTGTTGTTGTTCAGTTGTAGGAGTTCTTAATATATTCTGGATATTAATTCCTTATCAGATGTATTTACAAATATTCTCTTTAATTCCATAGTTTGCCTTTTTACTCTGTTGCTTGTGTCCTCTGATGCACAGAAGTTTTATATTTTGATATATTTCAATTTGTCTACTTTTACTTTTCTTGCCTGTGTTTTTGGTGTCATGTCCAGGAAATCTTTGCCAAATTTAATATCATAAAGCTTTTCCTCTATATTTTCTGGTAAGCATTTTATAGTTTTAGGTCTTCAGTTTAGATCTTTGATCCATTTTGACGTAATTTTTGTATATGGTGTAAGATAGAGGTCCAAATTCATTCTTTTGCATATGGATGTCCAATTTTCCCAGCATCATTTGTTGAGGAGACACTGTTTCCCCATTGAACAGTCTTGACACTCTTGCCAAAAATCATTTGACCCTATGTATGAGAGCTAATTTCTGAGCTCTCTTATTCTATTCCATTGGTCTATATGCATGTCTTTATGCCAGTACCACATAGTTTTGATTAATATAGCATTTTAATAAGTTTTGAAATCAGGAAATGTAAAACCTCCATCTTTGTTCTTTTTTTAGAAGATTGTTTTGGCTATTTGGGGTCCCCTGTGATTTCATATGAATCTGAAAATGGATTTTTCTATTTCTGCAAAAAATGCTACTGGTATTTTGACAGGAATTGCATAAATCTATAGATTGCTTTGGGTAGTACTGATATGTTAACAATATTAAGTCTTTTAACTAATAAACAAAAATATATTTCCATTTATTTGTGTCTTATTTGCTTAAACATTGTTTTGTAGTTTTCAATATACAATTTTTTGACCACCTTGGTTAAGTTACTCCGAAGTATTTTATTATTTTTGGTGCTACTGTAAATGGAATTGGCTGCTGCTTCTTATTTTTTTGGATTGCTCATTGTTAGTGTATAGAAACACACCTGCTTCTTTTGTGTTGAGTTTGTATCCTGCAACTTTGCTGAATTTGTTAGTTCTAGTAGTTTAAAAAATAATAATTGGTGAAATCTTTAAAGCATTCTACACTTAAGATTATGTCTGCAGACGGAGATAATTTTACCTCTTTCTTTCAGTGTGTAGCCTTTTACTGATTTTTCTTGCCTAATAGTGCTGGCTTAAGCTTCCAGGACTGTGTTGAATAGAAATGGCAAAAGTGGGCATAATTGTCTTGTTTCTGATATTGGAGACAGAGCTTTCAGTCTTTCACCATTGAATATGACGTGAGCTGTGAATTTTTCATATATGGCTTTTATTATGTTAGGGTAGTTACCCTCTATCCTTAGTTTATTGAGTTATTTTATTGTATTATTCAAGGTTGTTGAATTTTGTCAGGTTCTTTTTTATATCAATTGAGACGACTGAGTTTTTTTTACCCTTCGTTTTGTAAATGTGATATACTACATTGATTGATTTGTTAATGTGATATATTACATTGATTGATTTTCATCTGTTGAATCATCCTCACATTCCAGAAATAAATCTCACATAGTCATTGTGTAGAATCTTTTAAATATGCTGTTGAATTCTGTTTGGTAGCATTTTGTTGAGGATTTTGTGTCAATATTCATCAGGGATATTAGTCTATAGTTTTCCTGAAGTGTTTTTGTCTGGGTTTGGTATAAGATTAATGCTGGCCTTATAGAATGAGTTTGGAACTCTTTAATTTTCTGGAAGAGTCTGAGGATAATTAGTGTTAATTCTTCTTTAAACGTTTAGCAGAATCCACCAGTGACACCCATTTGGTCCTGGACTTTCCTTTGTTTGATAGTTGATTAATAATTCAATCTCATTACTAGTTATAGATCTGATTCATATTTCTATGTCTTCCTGATTCAGTCTTGGTAAGTGTGATATATATTCTTAATTCAAGATCTCCCTTGCAAAACTTGCATTTGATTACCAAGAGATTTGATGTGCTAATTATGGAAGTTTTGAGCATCACTTTGTGACGTACAGATAGGAGCAAATTAAATTCTTTTAGGGTTTTTGTGTTATTTAAATTTGCCTAAAATTTCTAGAGCTACTTATTGATTAAACTACTTCAGGATGGTTGGATTTAACTCTTATTCCACCATTTCCCTATTTACAACCAATTTGTTAAAATTTTAAAAATTATACCTCAGAAATATCTTTCAAGTATTTATTCCCTTTCCTAGCCCACTGTCACTTCCTCATATCAGGTCCTTAGTATATCTTGCACAGACTACCTCAATAGCCTCATAACTTGTCTTCCTGCTTCTTCCTGTCCAGCTTTGTCCTCCACACCTTGATACATTTCTGAAACTTACATTATATGATTATACCATTTTTCCTGCCTAGGAATAATCCATGTATTTTATCTTCCTATTCCACAAATTTCAAAATCCTCAGAATAGAAGAATCTCTCCAAGTGTCTGTAACTTGCCCCACTCTAGCCTCATCTGCCTCCCCTTCTTCCTTGCCACCTACCCCCATTCCAAATTTGTGCCATATCAATGTATTCTGCATTCTGTAGAACACCCAAGTTTTTCATTTTTCTGTGCTTTTGCAATGTGCTGTTTCTGGGTGGTAAAATTTCACTCAAACCTTTAGAGATAAGGCAAAAGTCATTTCTTTCCTGAGACTTCTCAGACACCAAATGTTATGTTATGTCCTTCAAGGTCATGCCCCAAGGCACATGGAACTTAGTAGAATGCAAGTACTTATATCAATATGTCTTATAATTATTACCCTAATGTTCACCCCACAAAACTCTGATCCTTTAAGGGTAGGATATGTCCACAACTTATCTTTGTGTAGAGTGTGAAACACAGTGTCCCGTATATTCACAGTGTCCAAATACAGCTAGCACAGAATAGCTAGCTACTTAATGAATGCTTATTTAATGCGTGTTTATTCTGGGGGATGAATAACATTGAAAAAGACCTGAACTTCATTGCTCCTTCTCCACTGACTACTTATGTGACCTTGGGTGAGTCATTTATCTTCTCAAGGTCTGTTTCTTAATTTGTGAGTGAAAGATGATGACAGATAATCTCCAACATCCCTTACAGCTCTGACATCTTATTATTGCCATTTTCATTTGTGCAAAAGACAACCTTAATTATTAAAATAACTTCATTGTGCATGACACTCAAGGAAAACAAAACCATAACCAAATTTCTTTACCTTATTTGACTTTACATTTCATGTTCATTCTTGAGTGGAACCATTCTAATCTTTATGAGCATTCCCAATTTTACCTCTATATACTGAATTAAAATGTTTTATGTTGTTTGTTTAAATCTATAGCTCTGTTTATATTTTTCCAGTGTTCTAAACCATAGGTTTATAATACCTCTGTCCCTGGTAGAGGCACAAGAGAAGATATATTTTAAAATAATACAGTATTTAATAAAATAATATTTATCATTTAAAATGTCTTACAAGTGTAACACTATAAATAATTTAAAAATTAAGAGTTATCTTTAAAGTCAACTAATTTCCTGTTTTGTGTTCCTTTTCTTTGTTTATTCATATTCTATATAGTTTCAAGGATGGTATCACTTAATTTTATATCCTAGTGTTTTCATTTAGCACATCATCAGCAATTTGTATTATTTCTACTTAGACCCACAACTATTATTTTGGAGGTCTGCATAAGGTTCCTCCACTGGACATTGAAAAATTTACTTAATTATTTTCCTATTGTTGACCAGCTAAGTCACTTTCTTTAATTTAACATTATAAACAATTCTATAACAAATATCTTTCTTTACTTGGAATCTTCATTTGGGATTTTTTTCTTAAGATGCATTTCTAGAAGTGAGATTATTTGATTAAAGAGTAATATTGCTAATTTTATAGTTAAGTTTGGAAATTATCCATAAAAGTATAATTTTAGGGACAAGATAGTCCAAATATCTTATTTTATATGGATTATTATGAATATTTCAATCAATATATCAAGTATTTTTCTGAATTTATTTGTGCCATGTTATAAGAATGCATTTGGCTGCAAGTAAAGAAAAAAATAAATCCACTTAACAGTGGCTTATACAGATCAGAGTTTAATTTCCTTACATAATAAAAAGTCTAGCAGTAGGTGGACTGTAGTCGGCTGGCAACTGCTCAAAGAAGTCATCAAGGACTAAGGCCTATTACATTTTCTGACTCTTCCATGCTTAGTGAATGGTTTTCATTTTCATGGTTGCAAGACGGTTATTATACTTGTGGGCATTGAGCTCCTCTCTAAGCATGAAGAAGGAAAAGGGCAAAGGACTGAGAGGGCATATTATCTTTCTGTACTAATAAAACACATCTCCAGAAGAAGCTCCATTTGATTATTTTGGCTTTGATCTCCTTGTTCAGAACCAGGTCACATAGTCACACTTCACTTAAGGGCAGTGGAAAAGAAAGCATTTCATCTTGTACATCTCTATATTCTAGGAAGATGGAGAAAGGGAATGTGAATGGCTTTTAAGTTAAAAGGTCAAGGTGTTTGCCACTTGACTTTCATTACTCTACGTAAAAAGAAGTGAAGACGAAAGGAAATGGTTTTCATTTATTACAATTAAATGGTAGTCTCTTCCAGGGAAGTTATCTAATTGTATCCATCTTTGAATCCTTAGCATTAGCAGAATGTTCATACACGAAGAGGCTCAAAAAGTCTTTGTAATATGCTGAAACAGTAAATATATGTTCCCTGCAAATCTAAATGGATTAATTAAAAAGTCATATTAGATTAGCATCATTTTCCTTGATAGCATTTCTTGTTTGATACCTTAGGGAAATGCAATAAAAAGAATATTAGGCATAGTTTACCAACCAAACTTTGCACACAAATACAGGAATGCAGATTGAATGAGAGTCCAGCTGAATGTTTTAATATGGATTTTAATAACTATACACAGAAGTTATTAATTAGTGGAACATTGGAATGTTTAGCACCAAAAGAGCAGGGTCTTTAGTTTTTCCTCACTGAATTACTGGTACCTTGAACAGTACATTATAATTACAAGTAGACATTTACCAACTGCCTGTAAAACAAATGACTGTCAGAATGAATTAAGGTTTCCAGGAGTGCATTGCACATTCTGAGGCCAACCTTATCCTTTTTGGGAGGAAATTTATTGGTGACTTCATTGAGTTTGCTGCAGATCAGGCCTGCTCTTGATAAGTAACCAAGAAAAATAGTGAATGCAATGAATGTCAGACTCTGGATCCCAAAGACTTTTGCCTGAGAGAGTGAGAGTCAGAACACAGCAAGAGGAAATTGAGTGGGAATGCAAGCTAATTCCTCAATTTGCCCCCCGCAAACTAGCTGCTCAAGTACAGTCATTGTAAATTATACATAGGTTTTTTTGGTACACCAGCAGTTCGAATGAGGAATAATGATAAAAAAAAAAAATGGAAAGCACTTTATGACAGAGCCTGTTGAAAATGACTAGGTTGTCTTAGAAAGTAGTGACTCCTCTGTAACTTCAATTGTTTAAGTCTAAAAAAAAAAATCACATGAAGAGATGCTGTGGGAGCACCATGCATGAGAGGGGGCTGGACTGGGTAATCTAAAGACCTCTTCCCTCCTTGCAATATAATAGTTCTATTTTTAGTTAAATCTAGCTTAGACACTGCCTGTTGAAATCAATTCCTATCAATAGAACCTAAAATATTTTTCTCCATACTAATTCAGCAAGCTCCCACTGTAGCTTCATATTTTTTATGGCCATGATATAAGTCTGACAATCTTCAACTCTAGGTTGAACACGGGAACAGTTTAACACAGACACAGTTCTATGTTAGCTAATGGCTGAGAAGGGCAGTTTAGGGAGCGAGAGGCTTCTCTGATGAGATAACATGAGAAGTAAGACCTGAATGATAAGAAGAATTGGAGCACATAAGACACAATTTATGTCCCCAGAATGGCTGGCTTCCATCTATTCTCTCACACCTTTGTGTCTTTGCTTGCTCAGTGGCCAGCCCAAGCCACCATTGCCATTGCCAGTGCCTCATATCCCAACTGTGCCAGTGACCTCAGCCTCTCCCAGTGACTGGATTCCACTGAGATTGCATTAGAAGGAGACTCACAAGTTTGGTGCTCAGGTGCAATCAGTCTGTATCCTCAGAGGTTCCTCCAATCACTGGGGGATCTGGGTTCCCTAGCAGTTGCCATAAAGAGCCAGTAACAGAACCTGGAGGTGAGGGTGAATTAATTAGTTCTCTAAGGGACAAACTTCAACCAGTTTCAACAGGAGACAAGAAGACATTGGCAGAGAATCTCCACTCTCTCCTGTGGACAGAATGTTTCTGGATATAATGATGTAGGTCCTGTCTGGAAGAAGTGCTGGTGACCAAGAAAGCAGGTATGTTGTTTTGTGATGCTGTAGTCATTCATAACTCGCCACCTTGAATTTACTTTCCCCTCCTTTTCAGCCTTGATTCTCTTTTTCCTTCATTCTTGAGTCCTGGAATTACAACTTCACATAAAGTCTTGGCTTGTAAGTTTTGCCTCAGGATCTGTTTTCTAGAAAACTCAGACAAAAACAAACACAATACAAAAATATGAACCATAGTTCAGGAATTGTGCTCAGGTTCATGGAGGTGCTCAGGTTTCTGCCGTATATTCACAGGGGCACCGCAGGATATATTAAAATTTTGAAAGAAACTCAGAGATACTTGACATTTGTTAGACACCATGCATACTACTGACTCAATGTAGTTGATAGTTTCAACACTAGATTACACTACATTCTTTCAGTGACATCATTATGTTTGCAAAGCTGGGTTTTGGTGGTTGCAATTTCATGTGGTATTAAGGAGCAATACCACATGAAAATTAGTGTGGAACAGGAAATGAAGGTGGTGGTGTCTAATATGATCCTAAGATTTGAGAGGTTGTGTCATGCCCATTACTATCCCATTGGTAAGTGATTGTGGCTGCTTACAAATGAAGTACAAACATTTTTTCTTTCAATTTATGTTTTTTTCAAATAGCTACTAATGTTGTCAAGAAGTAAATGTTTATTGAATTGTTAGCATCTGAATACTTAATAAACATAAGTGTTAGGTTCATCTTCATAAATCTCAGCCTAGAAGTGCCAGGAAAAATAATTACTGAGACATTCAGTAAAGGGTGGTGTGAACTGAGAAAGTCTGGGAACCTCTGAGGTAGAGCTTTACGGGCAGGCAGGAATAAGCTCAGCATGTGATGTGGTTTGGCTCTGTGTCCCCACCCAAATCTCATCTCGAACTGGAATCCCCATATGTCGAGGGAGGGACCTGGTGGGAGGTGATTGGATCATGGAGGTGGTTCCCCATGCTGTTTTCAAGATAGTGAGTGAGTTCTCACGAGATCTGATGGTTTTATGAGGGGCTCTTCCCCCTTCACTCTCTGCTCTGCCTCTCCTACGGCCATGTGAAGAAGGTCTTTTCTTTCCCTTCATCTTCTGCCATGATTGTAAATTTCCTAAGGGTTCCCCAGCCATGCAGAACTGTGAGTCAGTTAAGCCTCTTTCCTTTGTAAATTACCCAGTCTCGGGGAGTTCTTTATAGCAGTGTGAAAATGGACTAATACAGCATGTATGAGAAATGGGATGTTAGGAGAGCTGAGTCAGAAGGTGAGGGACTGCAGGGATGGAGGAGGCACAGGAGAGACCAAGTGGGGCCTTGTAGGCTTTGACAAGAGAGCTCAGTTATCATTTCTGTACAACATGATACATCCTGGAAACTTAATCCTGGAAACTTCTTTTTCTTTTTTTCCTCAGTGACAACATTTTCAAAAGCTCTATTATCTTTTCCTGGTTTTATACATAACTGAGGTCTCCAATGTGTGCATATGCATGTTTAAATGTGTCACTTTTTAAAAAAACATTCTGTGTTATTTCTGGAAAATTCCTGAAATTCCTGAAAACTACATACATTTAAAAATGTTAAATATAATGTTCTCATTATTATCTGGTCTTGCAGTCTTATCTAGACTTAAATTTTTTTTCTTCTTTCTTTCAAACTTCACATTGAAGCCCTTTTATCAAGCTCGGCATTTAGGAGACTCAAGGTTGGTATTTAAGACTAGGATGACACCTGTTTTAGATTGAACAGTAATTAATAATAGAAAGGTGAGTTAGGAAGCTCACCAAATGGGGCATGGCTTTGGGCCCAGTCATGGAAATATTGTCCATCTGAGGTCTGAGATTATACTTCCAGGTCCAGACACTGGATGTTTCAATATACCCAGAGATGCTCATTTTCTTGGTTATGTACTTATGTTACTCAAAATCACATGCAATGCAGTTTCAAAGCAGAATGTCAATTTATTTTTGTGATTAGAATGCTTTTGACCCATTTTCAAGGATTCCACTTTTTAGTGTCAAGGAAACTAAGAAGCAGGATGAATAATTACAAGGTTACTTGGTGATCGTTGAAAAATAGAAAGGAAAATAAATTGTCTAAGAGAATGACTAATATTTTAAGTAACTTCTCAGGAGATCACCCCACAACAGAATTCATTTGTCTTTTGCTGGAATTATTTGTGCTTCCCAAATGTCGCTCTGTCTTAAGTTAGAGTTAATGTTCAATGACTGTTTTTTTAAAAACCCAATATTCCTCTGATTAGCAACCCATTAATACACTATTTAAACATATAAATACACACTTGAGAGGTCCAGCTGGCTTTTCTGATAGGCTGGGAGACATTCTGTTGGCATGTACTTATTGAATCAGGCAAAACCTCAAGACTCTAGCTAGAGCCATTCAACTCCGCTTCACTGTGACCATTTTCTTATGTATCCTTCCAGAAATATTATATCTCTATAGATCTTCTTTTCTCCATAAATGATAGCATACTACTAAATACTCTGAGCATTGTTTTTCTTTTTTTGTTAACATTATATATTTGAGATTGTTTTATATTAATGAATGTTAACTTGCCTTATGTATCTTGACAGTTCCAGAGAATTCCATTGTTTGGATGAATAACAATTTAGGTTGTTTTCAATCTTAAATCCTTGTGTATACCTACAAGTATATCAGAGGACGAATTTTTAGAAGTGAAATTGCTTAGTTAATTAGGTCATGCATTTCAAACATGGATAGATATTGTAAAATTTACCATCAGAGAGATTTTACTAGTTAAAGTATATCAAAAATTTGAGGAAGCATTTGTTTTCATACCCCCTCATCAATACCATCTATTATCAAACTGTTTGTTCTGAAAAATGACGTCTTTCATTATGTTCACAACGATGTATATTTCTTTTCTCAGTCAATAAACACTTCATGATGGTCTATGATATACACACTTATGCAATTATGTTACCTGTTTATTATTACTGAAGATATAGTGATAAACAACATATAGCGTTTATATACATGTGGGATAAATAGACACATGACAGTTGCAGTGGTCCAAGTTTAGTACAATGGTGCAATGGGAGCTATGGGAGGTACGTCCATCACAGTCTAGAAAGGGATCATCAACGGAGGCTTCTAGTGGGGAGAAACATGGGGAGAGACATGTAAACTAAAATCCGATGGAGGTGTAGAGTAGTTGGCTTGGCAAATCTTAGGAAAAGGAGAAGCAAAGAAGAGGAGACAGCAGACTCACACGTGCAAAAATGGGAATGGAGAGAGCAGAGAGCGTGTGGGGTTTGCACAAAGAACAGTTCAGAACCTCACTGTCATGACAGTATGAAGGGAAAGCGGGCAGTACTCCACCACCCACCAATGTAGCCCTCAAAATCAGCTGAGTTGTTTGAACTTTACCCTAACGGCAATATGACATAATCAAAAGATTTTTAAGTGGAGGCGTGAAAAATCAGAAGTATTTTGGGGCTCACACTTGAGATTGGATTGGGGAAGATACGGCTAAAAGTAAGTGGGAGTAATGAGGGGGCTGTCCCAGTAATTGGGTTCAGATGACATTTGCTTGATTTTAGGGATGTACGAGATATTCGTGGATCTTGTGTTGAAGCACCTAATACACGATGTCCCTTCTGAAGACGGGTGCATTAAACTGGGGTGAAGCACAAAGGCCACTGAGCAGCCTGGCTTGACTCCTGGCTTTGCCAGTTTGCATTTGCACGTGTCCAAGCCCTTGAGAGGTGCTGTGAAAACATAGAGGTGGATGAGGGAAGTGCTTATACAGCACATACCGTATAAAAAGAGGGCTTCATACTTGCTAGTTGTTTTAATTTTTATTATTACTTTTCCTCGCTGCACATGGAAATGTCTTTACCTTTGTCTTATTATAAGGTACATACGAGGAGAGTTACAGAACATGGGTGTTAGAAGAGATTTGACATATCTGTTCATTTTCCTAATTTTAGTGATGAGAAAATAAAGGGAAAGAAAGCAATTTAGATTTTTGCCAGTATTACAATTCTTTGTTCACGGGCACACCACGCCAGCCTGAAACTGTTCATTGGTCTGGTTCTCTTACCACCTCGTATATGTAGGTTTATAGTTTGGTTACGAACACCACCTTGTCTTAACCATAGATAGTTCCTGTGTTTGCCGACAGCAGCGATTTCTTGTGTGGAAACCCCTAATTTGGGAAACAATCTGTTTTAAACACTTTGTAGCACATCACTCAAACCGCACAGTTTTCGATAATCTTAGAAACAAAAACTGGGGTTGAGGCGGACAGTTAAATTCTGCAGACACCACAAGCTTGGATTCGTTTCAGCAGTCGGTCCTAAGTGGTTTGAAGCCCCTTCCGGGATGCCTCTTCTTATACGAACAACGCAGCGGCGCCAGGCGCCAGGGTCCTCACTTCTGCCTCCTGGATTTCCTCCGCCTTTCTGCTTCACCGAGGGCCCTGTGATCCGATTCCATCGAATTAACCGCTGTTTACCGAGGGTCTGCTGCGCCTAAGGAAGGCACCGGGCGACGAGCAAGGCGGGGACGCAGTTTGGGGACGCAGGGGTCCGGGCCCCAGTCCAGAGACAGGAGGTCGGCGCTTCGACTTGGCACCCGCCGACGAATTCACTCCAAGGTTCCCACTGGCGGAGCTCCTGCTACCTCCCCCCTCCCCTAAATGCAGCTCCCGCTACCTTCCCGCGCCCAGGGGCTGCTGCCTGAGCCCAGCTCTGCTCACTGGAGGGCGGCGGTGGAGAGGGTGCTGGCCCAGCGTCGGCAGCTGGGCTCAGGACCAAGGTGGGCGCCCGCCGGTCCTGGTCCCCCCAGCCTCACGGTGCAGGACCCAGGGCGCGGCCACTCGAGTTCCCCGGACGCTCTCCTTCCTGATGCTCGCTGTCCCTGCCCTGGCGTCCCCAGCCCGGGGTCGCAGCCTGTCCTCCTCTCTCTCCCCCTCCGCCGCAGCCCGTCGCCTCCGGGCAGAGTTCATGTTCAGCTTGGGCTTTCGCTCGGGATTTAGGAAGAGGCCGGCGGGGCTGGAGGGTGCGGGCCGGCGCGGGAGGGCGCGGGAGGCGGGGAGCGGCGGCCTCTGATTGGCCGGGGCGGGGGAGTGAGCGGAGTTTCCCACAATGCCCCGGTGCGGTGCAGCCGCGGATGGATGCTGCGGGAAGGGGCTGCCATTTGCTGCCCCTGCCAGCGGCGCGCGGACCTGCCCGCGCTCCTGCAGCCGCCGCCGCCGCCGCCGCCAGCCCGCCCGGCCCCTGCAGCGGCGCCGCCTGCGCTCCCTCCGCGGCCGCCGGAGCGGGCGCCATGAACCCCAGCTCCTCGGCGGGAGAGGAGAAAGGGGCGACGGGCGGCAGCAGCAGCAGCGGAAGCGGCGCCGGGAGCTGCTGCCTGGGCGCCGAGGGCGGCGCGGACCCGCGGGGCGCAGGGTCAGCCGCGGCGGCGGGGGCCGCTGCCCTGGACGAGCCCGCGGCCGCCGGCCAGAAGGAGAAGGACGAAGCGCTGGAGGAGAAGCTGAGGAACTTAACTTTCCGGAAGCAGGTCTCGTACAGGTAGGTGCGGGGAGCCGGCAGCCGAGACAGGTGCGCCGCGGCGGGAGACCCACTCTTCTACCCAGCAAGGGGCGCTTCCGCGGAGTTGGGCACCTCTCTGTTTCCACGCCTCTCCTTCCCCCTTTCCCCCTCTCCTCCCGGGGATGTCTGTCTTCTCCCCATCCTATCATTCCAGGCTGGAGGGCAGCAACGCCTGCTTTCCCCTGTGGCAGGAGAGAAGCACTGGGTCCCTAAGGTCAGAGCAACAGAAATTTTGTCTGTGTGTGTGTGTGTGTGTGTGTGTGTGTGTGTGTGTGTGTGAGAGAGAGAGAGAGAGAGAGAGAGAGAAAGAGAGAGAGAGAAAGGGTTGCAGACTCAGTGATGCTTAGTTTTCTTAAGAGAAGTCGTCAAAGTTGCCCCTAAGCAGGTGTCATCTTCAACCACCCTTCCCCCACCTTCCAGATTTCGCTGGATGAACCTTTGGCACTAACTTGACAGCTGAGATCACTCCGACAGGCAGAAAAGAATAGCACTACACTGAAGAGAAATCCTTATGGAAGTTGGACCTGCCTCGAAATCCCCCATGAAGGAAGAGTGGGTTTATGTCTGTAGATGCGCCACTGGTTATGGGGGCTCCATGCCTGCGTGCTCCTTGCCTCTCTCCTGGCTGGAGGAGGGTGTGGGGAGCCCGCTGGCAAGCTAGGGGTGAAGGTGAGAGTGGGGACCATATTTGCACCTAAGGATGAGTGTATGTGTAAGACAAGGACAGTGTGGGATCAATGGCCTTTAAATTAGGATAAAAGATAACCCCACATTGTATTAGAATCCAACAACGAGGAATTAGGATTTATTAAGGTCTCTCTCACCCCTCCCTTCCGCAGGCAAGAATAAAGACATTGACAGGTTTGGAGAGTTGTTGACACTAACCCTACTGCTTATCGATGTTAAAGGTCGAGGTGATATGCAAGCATAGGTTTACAAAGATGTACACTTGCTGGAGCTCAGAGGGTTTCTGGAAAAGGGGTCAGTGAAAACATTCTTGTAACCCTACTCTTTCTGAGTTAGTGTTCCCTTCCCAAAAACCATATAAAGTATTAAGCCTGTCACACCATGTGCTGTTATGTAAGCAAACGCAGATGACAGAGGTGTGTGGGTTTGGGAGGGTGTGTTTTATTTATGGGGGCAGGTGTGTGAATAATTGGGATCCCCATAGACATCGCCTGGCCTGGAGGCCACAGTCACTAGGGCATGTGCTCTGTGTCTAAGTGTTGACTTCTGATGACTCCTAAAACGCCTTCCTGGTGAGGTTGTTGCTTCTGCGTTCCTCCCATGCATTTTGTTCGCTGTGCGCTGAGGGAGTTCCCCACCTGAGTTGTTCTCTTAGTTACTCACACAGATCAGGTCCAAATGGATCTTTCTTTTTATACTTTGGTTTCTAAAAATAGACAGATGGTGGGGAGGGGGTAGCTCTAGGGAGGTATGCTAGGACACTGGCAGTTCTACTTCCTAGTTATGATGGCCCGTCTGGCCCCTGGGGGAACAGGGACTACATTCAGCCTAATTTAGGAGCTGTGAGTTGGAAGGGGGTGGTGATTACATGAAGCACAGTGTAGGCTGCTCCTGGCTTATTGGTATTCATCAGAGTCCTCACTGGGTAGGAAGACAAAGCCAGAGTTTGCAAGGGAAATCATTTCAGCTTGCCTCTTGTCAGGGGTCATTCTCTGAGCCTCCTTTTTTAAAATGTATGTTGTGTGGGGTTTTGGCTTTCTGAGTTGCATGCTCACACATGCACGTGTAAGTGTGTACACACACAAGCATAGACATGGACACAGACGCAGCATGTTTCTATAGAAGAATAATAACATTGCGTCTGCTTTACAATCCTTACATAGAGGTGGATTCTACTTCGTGAACATCATTTCCTTTTAAATAAAGCTTTACAGTCTCCAATTCCTGCATCAGTGTCACCTCAGGTGTCTGGTTAAAAGTGCTCACCACCCTAGACTTGCAGAATCAAACTGTCTGTGGGTGAGAATTTTTAACACGCTCCTCAGGCGATGTTTATGCAGACTAATATATGGGGATTGCCACCCTATTTTGCCCCCAAGACTAAACAATTGATCTTTGAACTCATAAACCCTCCCCATCCAAACCAGGCCAGTCAGTCTCAAAGTCAGAGGAAAGATGGTGAAAAGGAGGTGCTTCCATCTGGAGCATGTTTGTGCCTGGGTAACAGGAAATTGTCTCCATTTTGATCACTGTTACTTATTTGTTTTGGAGTAATGGTGAATGGCCTGCCCACTCGTCATGGCGGCCATTGGTGCTGGACTCCTGCAGCAGGGCTGGCTGTTTTACTGTGGGATGGATGAAGGGTGTGTAAAAAAAGAGCAGGTTTGTCAGGAGCTGAGGGTCGGCTCCTTGGTGGGGACCACACCACCTCCCTTCTGGGGGCACCTGAGGACAGTGTCTGGTGGGAGCTTATGGAGAGGAGGCAGGAAGACCTCACAGAATGGAGTCTGAGTGAAAGGACTGAGTTAGGGTATGGAGCATGGCTGCTTGCGTGAGGGGGATCATTTGAGGTGGAGGAGTGGAGATTTGCAGGTAGGCAAAAAATATCTTTTGAAGAACATGTGTATTTTTGGAATGAAACTTGACAGGCAAAAAGAAGGGGGCTTTGGGAGAGAGGGTGTGTGTGTGTGTGTGTGTGTGTGTGTGTGTGTGTGTGTAGGGGGGTCTCATCTGCTCCTTCTGTTGCTAAGGAACATATAAGCTAGGGTTTAAAAATAAATGAGGAGTGGGTGGGCATATGCAGTGACTCCTGTCTTTTTAGGAACCAGAGCCCTTTACAAAAAGCCTTTAAATAACCATTTCTGGAGGCAGATTATTCATTTTGCTTGACTTTTACTTTGTTAAGTAAAATAAACTGCTTTCTGTACTCCTAGATTTCCCCTCATTATCTATTCTGTGTTGGCTTTTTTTGAGAACCATTTTTCCCATGAGAATTTTTTCCTTTATTTCAGAATCTGCACCCCTAGAGCAAATAGTCTCTGTCGACTGTAAAGCTGAAGGTTTGAAAAGGCAGTGCGAGTGAGCTGGTACTTTTCTTTTAAAATTACTACTTCGTTTTTCTTTGCAAATTATGGTGCTGCAACAGATACATATGTGTAAATGACTATATACTGTGTAGGAACTGTTTTTTTTTTTAAACTGCTGTAAGAATTCCCATATAAGTCAGTACAATAAAAAAAAAAAGACTTCAGAAACACATAAGGGAGGGGAAGGAGAAGGTAGCTGATGTTTATTGTCTTCTATGCAACAGGCACTGGGCTAAGCCTTATTGTATATTCTGTCTTAATTAATCTTTGTGACAGTCCTGTGATGTGACTATGACTATTTCCATTTTATTGAAAATGAACTTGAGGCATAGAGCTTGGGCAGGAGGCAGAATTTAAAACACAGATGACTCCAAAGGACTGTCTCTTTAGACCGCATCACGCTGCTTCCCTAAACATTTATTTTAGGCTTGAGCTCTCTGTCCATGTGTGCATATGTGTATGCATGCGTGTGTGCAGTGTGAGTTATCTTCCCCCTCATCTGTAATACACGGCAGGTCATTACATATTATTATTATTATATATTATTGCATACCTTTTTTTGGCTTGTGGCCCTTTGTCTATATAATTTTAGGGAACTCTTCTACTATCTCAGAAATATAAATGAATATAAATTCATGATTGCAAATATATCAGTTTTGCTTCTGAGAACAAAACCACCTACATGCACCTGCTATGAAGATATCCTCGTTAGAGGTTTATATGCCTTAAAAAAAAATTTACACAGGGTTGTGTAGGCGAACCTAGGTCCAATGAAGAGCTGGCCCATCGGTACCTCTTTGGGCAGCACAGAATGAGTGATGAAGTACAATTTTGCTTGTCAGTATGTCTGGGCAGACCATTACTTATGAGATGTTGATGCCTATGATTTAGTTTCTCTGCTCATAAACCATGCTGGTAATACTAAACCTTTCTTAAAGGAAGTTTTTGGTATGAGATAGAAATAGGAGCAAGGAGTATTAAACGCTTTAGTTTGGGCAACCATGTAAAAAATGATCTGTTATTCTTTATAGGTTGATGATTAGAATGTAGTTTTTTTGCGTGTGTTTTGTCCCACAAAGTAAGGTTGTGTTATTACAAGAAAGATATTTGAGGAGTTCGAAGCCACGTAGGATAAAATGGATATTGGTCTTCCTTGCATTGTAATCAATAGTGTATGGGGGAACTTTTCTCCTGAATATCAGTATGTATCCTCTTTTGTAAATCCATTTTATTTTGTTTTTATCCGTGTTTTGCACATCTGTTAGATTTTTAAAGACTGTAGGATCAGATTAAGATCTTGGTTCTAATTTAATTCCTTTCTCAGTAATGACTTACATACTGACTGTTACTTCCTCAGTTAGGATACACACTGGGCAAGATTTCAATTCAACCACTGTCCGGAGTACTTATTCTGCTCTAAGTGATCTTTTAGAGGCTTGATTTTTACCTGGGAGATTGACACTATTGGGTCCTGTGGAATCTGGGGATAGGGAAGTTGAAGAGAGGTCTTTGCTGGTGTTCAATTCTGCTGTGGCAACAAACAACAGCATTGCCTCATGGGGCCAAATTCAATTAGACTAGAGCTAGCTCTTTCCAACACCGCACTTTCTAGTCTGAGGAAATGAGGGTTCCTAGTGAGAGCCCAGGCTGTCTACACCCTGTATGTTCGTCTGGCCTGGGATCTGAGAACATGTTCCCTACACAACCCCAAGGTATCCTTGAAGTTGAGTACACTGTGAGACCAGAAGCATCTGGAAGAACTATTGCCTACACGTTGGGCTGTGACATTTGCTTTCTTCCATGGGTATGTGTTGGTAACACTGATCCTGTGGAGACTAATTATTTTTCCTGAGGTCCTGTAACTAGTTTTGGGACAGTAGTTACTGCAAATAAATGATGGCATGTGAGCTTTTCTTACAGTGGATAACTTTGAAAGAAAGGTCAGAAGTAAAATGAAATCTAAGCCATAAAACTTTTTTTCATTAAAATTTAATTTGCTCAAAATGCCTATAAAAATGGGCTGATTTCTAATTGTTGGAACTGATTGAAACCTATTTCAAGGCACAAAAACAATGCAGATAATTGGAGAAATAAAAATACCAAGCTAAGTCTGTTTGCCCATAATGCTTCCACAACTCATTGCTGGCTTGTTCACCAGGAAAACTCCTCGATTGGTATGAGCTCAAAAGCGTCCACTTGGGGTGATGGGTGGCTGGTGCTCCCCTGTTCTTTCAAATAGCTTTGTTGAGACAAGTGTCATTTTCTGGTCTGGGACTTAGACTAGGGTTTGAACTTGGCATCTTTCTGCTAATCTCAGACAAGCTATGTAACTCCTTGGAGGCCCAGCCAATGTGTTTCTAAAATGAGATAATAGTAATACAGGTTTGTTAGGAAGATTAAATGAGTTACTTTATTTAAAGGACATGGCATAGTGCCCTACATAGAGTTAACTTGTGTACTTATTACCATTCCCCAAACTAAGTTGTTAGCTCCTTTGAAGACAGAACTTGCACCTGATCATTTGAATCGATGACTCTGATTCTTCTTGCTTGGTAGGTGTTGGATAAGTATTTATTGAATAAATACATTTCATTGGCATTTTAAAATAAATTACTACTGTTATTCATTCTTGGTTCATCTCAATTGTGAGTTTCTTTTCTACTAAAGAAACCTCTGCCTTTTTCTTATTTACACTTTGTCCAGCAGCCCAGGACTGCGTTACTGTTTACAGCTTCCTGTTTGCGTACCTGCATCAGCCATTTAGGCAGCTGTGAGGCTGGAGAGGGGTGGCAGAAACTCTTACTTAACCAGCTATTTGCAGCTTGTCAAAGAAAAGGCCTTAATTTGCCTTCTGAGTAGCACTAATTAGCTCTCCGGTTCTCTTTCTGTCTGTCTCATCCCTTTCCAAGGGGCAGCATTGATTTTCTCCTCAGGGAAATTTCTGTTGACTTTTCCTTCAGTGATTAAAATGTAAAAATGCAGAAAAAGGGCTACCCAGCATTCCTGGAGTCCTGACCATTGTCCAGCCAGCCGGAGGTCACTCCAGCCACCTCTGTTCTATATTACTTCACTCCCTCTTTCCTTCCAGCTCATCTGATTGACTTTGGTGAAAAAGTTATTTTAGGAAGAATGCATTAGTCCGCTTAGTGACTCTAAGCTTTTGCTTTGTTTTTAACCCACTTAATAAAATCTTCAGAAAAGCACCAGCTACTTTTTATTCATGTACCATACAGAGCACTTGAAGAATGGCTCACGAGTGTCCTGACACCCATAGTGTTTAGGGAGAGGAGGGATGAGCACTGCTTGGGTTACTTTAGAGAAAATTAAATCATCTTGTGTGTGCATATTAGCTGAAGGAGGGGGCTGTGATTGGGTAGAGGTGGGAAGAAAGATCTTTGCATATGAATGTTAATGTTCTTTCCTTCCAGCCCTGAGTTTTGTGAGCCTTTGAAATAAAGCAAACAGCATTTTCTTTTAAGGGCAACAGCTTTCTAACAGGGGCTTCTGTCATTCTTGCATCCAACCTAGTTTTGCTGAAATGGAAATTTGCCTTTAGATTTCCAGACTCATAAATAATGTTCTGATAAAAGAACCAATTCTGGTTTAAGCTGTAATATTTATAGCCTGGCTTTTGTTAGATGTTGGGAACAACATTCGAAACAGTAATATTTAAACCACAATTAAATTTCATTTTTCTTAACTTTCAATTACTTGAGAGGTAGAGGAGAGTACTGGTGAAGAGCCCTGCTACCTGGGTCCAAAGCGCCACCTCTGCCTGCTGTGTGCCTGCAAAAGTTACTTAACCTCTCTGTGTCTTAATTTCCCTATCTGCAAAATGGTAGTGATAGTAGTACTCATCCTGTAGAATTATTTGACATTTAAATGAGTCACAAAGTACATGCTATATGTGTGTTTGTTAAAGTGGTATTATCTATACTCAAGTCCAGTTAAGGAACAGATTTGTCTATTATTCTTCAAAATACAGAACATCATCAAATGTCAGCAGCTGGTGATAAAATTATTCAGGTAATATGAAAATGAGATAGACATAGACTTGAGAAATTTAACTGACAGGTTTTGGCATTCTTTAAGGTATAGAATATGTACTTTTTCTTTCATAACTTATTAAAACACAATTCATTGTTACTAGGGGATGTGAAGGGGAGAAAGCTGCTTCTTAGTGCTTTGGAAATTGGAGCAGACAGAAGGCAGAGGTCGGAGGAGAGAGGCACAGTCAGTGTGCGGAGGAATCAGGTAGCAGCAATCCAAACTCCCAGCTGGTCATCTGAGAGCAGGAAGCCAGCCGTGGAGGGGTGGGTGAGAGGGGTCTCAGAGCTTCACAGTGTCAGGAATGGATAAGCTGATAAAGACCGAGGTACTAGAAATAGAATTGTCCCCTGTGATTCCAGGACAGAGGTTATTTCTCTTCTGGCCTGTCTTGATGATGCCTGCTTTGTACATACAGACAATGGCCGGCTGGCATGCCCTGGCAATCACAGAAAGAAGCTTCGCAGATGCTACCTGCCCTGGATTATTTCAGAAATGGAAGGTGCAGCCTTCTGGGATGTTCCATCAGTTATTTGAACCAGGCCAAACAGCAGAATATATTTTAAAAGATGTAGATGGTTATTAAATATTTGTTGGACAAATAAAACGGCTCAGGACTGTGAAATAAATTTTGAGGAGGTGAATTCATTTTTTTTCCCCTAAAAAAGGCAAAGATAAGACAGTTGGACTGCTTTTGTGTATCATGTAGTCTTTCAGGAAATAGCCAGAAAATAGATTCCTTGAAAGGACCAAAGTACATTTTAAAAATGTGTCATTCCTTTGTACATGAGAAAGATGTCAGGCTTGTAAGGAAAAATACATTTTTGCTTTTTTAAAAAAAAAACTTGAAAGCAATTTGTTGAAAGATAAAAAGAGCTTTACATAAGCTTATGTGGAAGCGGTCGGAAAGGGTTCCGTGTATCATTTAGAGACAAACTTCTGGAACATTCCTCAGGCTGAAAGGCCTCAGATCTCATCATTGTCCTTATGGATGTGTCAGAGTTTGAGACAATCTCTTTCAGACTGAAAGCATTCTCTTTAAGAGTTTTGAAGGAAGAGCCTGTAATCCCAGCACTTTGGGAGGCTGAGGCAGGCAGATCACAAGGTCAGGAGATCAAGACCATCCTGGCCAACATGGTAAAACCCCGTCTTTACTAAAATACAAGAAAAATTACCTGGGTGTGGTGGTGCACACTTGTAGTCCCAGCTACTTGGGAGGCTGAGGCAGGGGAATTGCTTGAACCCGGGAGGCGGAGGTTGCAGTGAGCTGAGATCAAGCCACTGCACTCCAGCCTGGTGACAGAGTGAGACTCTGTCTAAAAAAAAAAAAAAAAAAAAAAAAAGTTTCTCCCTTTTAAATTGGCCCCCTCTCAATGCAAAGACTAAGGTGTGGCATGTTTCTTTTCCTATGCAATTGAAGCACCGTCCTCAGTGTCTGAAGTTACACAGGAAGCTGCCAAGCATGGGCTTCCCTGACAGCGCACAACCTCGGGGCTGCTTGGTTTTCATGGCTGTCTTCATTAGCTTGGGCTGCTGTAACAAAGTCCCATAGACTGGGCGGCTTCTAAACAACAGACATTTCTTTCTCATCATTCTGGAGGTTGGAAGTCTGAGATCAGGGCACCAACATGGTCAGGTTCTGGGGAGGACCCTCTTTGGGGCTGCAGACAGCTCTCTTCTCATGGTGTCCTCACAGGGTGGAGGTAGTGAGGCTCCTGGGGGTCTCTTTCTAGAGGGGCACTCATCCCATTCATTAGCGCCCCACCCTTGTGACTGAATCACCCCCAGTGGCCCCACCTTCTAGAACCATCACATTGGGGGTGATAATTTCAACATGTGACTTTTGGGAGGACATAAACACCAGCCTACCCTGCTTTTTCTCACAATATTCCAGGAAGCCACAGACATCACTCCTCTTGTCCTTCCCAGTGGCCTCTGAAGGCCATTCCCAGAGGCAGCAAAGGCAATCCATGCACTTCCAAGCTTTTTGTAAGTGCAGCTCAGAGAAGGAAAAAGCTTTTCTTGGTTCAAATACTGACCGCAACGATTAACTTACCTCCCTACCTGTGAATATTAATCATTATAAGTTACTGATTTTGCCAAATGCTTACACTGTGTCAAGAGCTGCTAAATATTTTACATTTGGGATTTCACTGGACCGTCAATTAAGTAGGGACTATTATTATTTCCATTTTACAGAGAAGGACATTGAGGCTTAGAGTTTAAGCAGCTTGCCTGCAAGTCACATAGCTGAGTGGCAGAGTTAAGATCTGTGCCCATATTTGCATATTGCTTATTACTTCCCTATTGCAGCTTTTCTTGTCCTCTTTTCACCCTTTCCCATTACCCTCTCTGTGTGCAAATAGCCATATTTTCACAATCTAGTGGTTTATTAGACCAAACTCTCTTGAGGAGAGAGACCCATGTGTTTCATCTTCATGGGCCCAGCCAGACCTCACACAAGACATAGAGAGAGGCCTTGACAAAGGTTGATTGGCTGAGTGGATGAACATTCTTTTTATGTCTAAGCATAAAACTTAGCTCTGTGAATAATCATGTGCTACTGTCAGTTGTAGGGAGGCCAAGATTGAGCTTTCCATGGTGTTTTTTTGTAAAAACTATATGAATTTTCCATTGCACAAGACGGGGGAATAAATCCAGTTTCCTGGGGCCAAGAAATGATTGCAGGGATTATAGACTGGTACTGCTCCTTTTAAATTCTACAGTACAAGACCTTGTGATTTGTTGTAATCACAGTGGAACTTGAAGGGAGGTGATGGTACCATGGATTGGGGTCCAGTGAAGAAGCTAGGGTTAACTTATGTGCACTTTACATGTCTGAAATGGCATAGTCAGCCCCATTTGATTTTTACAAAAGATATTCTTAGAAGAGTCTGGTCTTTTACCTTTAGCTCGAGGACCTGTTTGAGCTGCAAGTCTTTGCAATATGAGTTTTTCCATAACAACATCCTTCAGAATTCGTCAGTATGTTCATGAGTGCAGTTAGAGACACCTAGAAAGTTCCAAAGGAACATTTTGAAAACCTGAGTCATTCTTTCTCATTTGAAGAAAACTTTCAGAATTTCTTAGGAAAATAAACCTCTACTTCAAAAATAAATGCCCAAGCTATTTAAAGATTAAAACAGAAGCTTTCTATGAGCCAGCGTGGAATTACTTATAACAAAGTCTAAGGGATTTTTTTTAAAGACAAATTTCTGGAGATTTCTTAAACTGTTATACTGACTAAATTTAGGTACTTAATAATAATAAAAATGTGTGTGGTGCTTTCACAGCTTACCATTTATAAACTCCTTTCACATAATTAATCTAACTACTCACAAAACAATCTTAGGCAACCCCGTATTGTTTTCATAGCCATTGTACATTTAAGGAAACAGTCACAGTAGCTAAGCGACTTTCCCAAGGCCATGTGCCATAAGGGACATTGCCAGGTTCAGGCTGGTTTTCGGATCTGAAGTCTCATACTCTTTTCACTGCAGGATGCTGTTTCAACACATGAATCTATGGAAAAATAGCACCATTTCCCTCTCATTAATTTTACTTACTTGAATTAATCTCACTGGTTTATCACAATGGACAAAGTTGGAATCACTAGCTGGTATTCTAAATCCATATTGCATTGACAATGAGGATGACCTCATTGCCATTGTCATTGCCCTTCCTGTACACATGAAAACATGAAACTACAAGTGTGATGGTATATGTTTAACACTCCTCTTACTGGGGAAAAAGAAAAAAAAACAGGTAGAGATAGAGTCAGGCTCTTTCTTTGCATTAGTTGCTAAGCAGCAGCCATTTCATTGTAAAGGAGACCCAGTTCAAGTAATGGCATAGGTATTCCAAGAATAGTATTTCATTTTTATAGCAATTGCATTTCAGGTCTCCAGAAAGCATATGCTTCTGTAGCTCAGTGATTTTTAGGGGAAGAAATAGCCACCTCAACATATTTGTTGAACATATGGAGAAAATTCAGTATAGCTGATTACCTAATAACCAGACTTCCGTGAGCCGCACACGGTTCACAGGGGCAGCAGGTTCAGGCTACCCACAGTTTGAAGGATTTGGAAGTCTCCAGAAAATACTGCTAACAAACAGGTACGTTTTGAGGCTGTATTTGACATTCACCGATACCATCTCAATGAAATACTCTGGGTAATTTAGAATGCTAAGGGTATTGAAATGACATGGTATAGAACAAAATTTTGTTGTTGCAGCCAAGGGGTTGGATGGTGCCAAGATTTCATTGTATTGAGCTTTCGCTGGCAGCTGAAAGCTCTTCAAAATGAAGATAGAAAATACGGTACAAGACAAGCATAATTCATGGAGCTCAGTTTATCAGAAGGATCTGAGTGCAGAGGAGGACGTATACTTAATGTCCCAATGGGTATGTGTGTGAAGGGGCGATGTCAATATACAAAGCTGTCAGGTGCTATATTTTTTGATTGCACTATCACTATTAATTTTGAAGATGGATTGATCTGTGTGTGGAAGCCTTGAAGCCCTTGGCCCTGCCTTTTAAGGCATAAAAGGCATTTCTGCCATCTCTGTTGTAATTTGCCAAACTATTGTGAAACTTATGTGTATCTATACAAATGTATTTTCTTCAGAGAATTGCTTCATGGAGTTGTTAAGGGAGCAAACTTTGTTGTTTTCTAAGAGTGTGCTGCATAATACTGCTCCTCACCATTCCCCTCCTCAAGATATTTGAGAGAAAATGCCCCTTTCCAGGAGCAGCTGGGATGCTGGGAAGCTTGTCTTTAATTTCCAGTAAGTTGCCCTTCCATTTAAGGCAAAATACCTCTTCCAGGAACTAAAAGTCAGACTCAGAAGAAGTAATACATGGATGAATTCACAAATGGTGAATGGTTATTCCCATTGTGGTGCTGGGTTCATTAGTATGGTTGGTTTTAGCATCTCTCGAACAATTAATGCCTCTCATATATGTTTCATCATGCACTTTTACAATGACTCAAAACAGCTTTAGCAAAAGCACTTGTGTTATACGAACCCAATATATAGATGGTGAAATCAAGACAAGAAAGGCTGGGGAGGAGAGATCTAAAACATTGACTTCCCGGCCTGGCATAAAACCCATAGAAATGCAAGATCCTAAGTGTCTCTCAGAAAAAGCATATCTGGGAGGTGCTCAATGATATACCTTCAACATTAATATGAGGTCCTACTTGCCAAGAACTGTGAAGTGCTTTACATATGTGGTTTCAGTTAATTCTTATCACAACTTTATAAGGTAGATGCTTTTACTATCCATAGCTTTACAGAAAAGGAAACTGAGGCACAGGATAATGAAGTAATATGTCAGGGTGTCACCACCAGCCAACGGTGGAGCCAGGGTTTGAATTCCAGAACCCCCTGTCTAGTGCACTTAAGCATTATTCTGTGCTATATTCCTATATGCATCCAAAACCCTGTTTTTCCTTTTAGGAATGACCTCTGTCCTCTTGTGTGTAGCCTTGAGGGGCTGTACATCAAGGTGCCTGGCTCTCCACCATGGTAACCAATGAGGCCTTTGGAAGCTGTTGTAGGGGGCTTCCTCTCACCACCCTGATAGCATCTTGGGGCAAGTGTATGACTTGAGCTTGGACGACCAGACTCTCTTGGACTTGGACTCAAAGGATTGTCAAAGGGATTGCCAATTTGTTCATATCCACTGGCAGTGCCCTGGTAGGACAATTCCTGCTGCTCTGGTTCCTGTCTTTATTCAAAGCATAGGTTGTGATATGGTTTGGCTTTGTGTCCCCACCCAAATCTCATCTTGAATTGTACTCTCATAATTCCCATGTGTTGTGGGAGGGACCCAGTGGGAGGTAATTGAAGTATGAGGATGCGTCTTTCCCTTGATGATCTCATGATAGTGAATAAGTCTCATGAGATCTGATGGTTTTATCAGGGTGAGTTTCCCTGCACAAGCTGTCTCTTTGCCTGCTGCCATTCATGTAAGACATGATTTGTTCCTCCTTGACTTTGCCATGATTGTGAGGTCTCCCCAGCCATGGGGAACTGTAAGTCTAATAAACCTCTTCTGTAAATTGCCCAGTCTCGGGTATGTCTTTACCAGCAGCATGAAAACAGGCTAATACAGTAAATTGGTACCAGGAGTAGGGTGCTGCTGAAAAGATACCTGAAAATGTGGAAGCGACTTTGGAACTGGGTAACAGGCAGAGGTTGAAACAGTTTGGAGGGCTCAGAGAAGACAGGAAAATGTGGGAAAGTTTGGAACTTCCTAGAGACTTGTTGAATGGCTTTGACAAAAATGCTCATAGTGGCATGAACAATAAGATCCAGGCTGAGGTGGAGACAAGGAACTTGTTGGAAACTGGAGCAAAGGTGACTCTTGCTATGTTTTAGCAAAGACTGGTGGCATTTTGCCCCTGCCCTAGAGATTTGTGGAACTTAGAACTTGAGAGAGATGATTTGTGGTATCTCATAAAAGAAATTTGTAAGCAGCAAAGCAATCAAGAAGTAACTTGGATGCTGTTAAAGGCATTCAGTTTTATAAGGGAAGCTGAGCATAAAAGTTCAGAAAATTTGCAGCCTGACGATGCAATGGAAAAGAAAATCCCATTATTCAAGCTGGCTGCAGAAATTTGCATAAGTAATGAACAGCTGAATGTTAATCACCAAGACAATGGGGAAAATGTCTCCAGGGCATGTCAGAGGTCTTTATGGCTGTCCCTCCTATCACAGGCCCAGCGGCCTAGGAGGAAAAAATGGTTTCATGGGCTGAGCCCAGGGACCTCTTGCTCTGTGCAGACTATGGACTTGGTGTCTTGTGCCCCAGCCACTCCAGCCAGAGCTAAAAGGGGCCAAGGTATAGCTTGAGCTATTGCTTCAGAGGGTTCAAGCCTTAATCCTTGGAAACTTCCACATGGTGTTGAGCCTGCAGGTACATGGAAGTCAAGCATCAAAGTTTGGGAACCTCCACCTTGATTTCAGAGGATGTATGGGAAATGCCTGGATGCCCAGGCAGAAGTTCACTACAGGGGCAGGGCCCTCATGGAGAACCTCTGCTAGGGCAGTGCAGAAGGGAAATGTGAGGTTAGAGCCCCCACTCAGAGTCCCTCCTGGGGCACCACCTATTGAAGCTGTGAGAAGAGGGCCACTGTCCTTCAGACCCCAGAATGGTAGTTCCACCGACAGCTTGCACTGTGCACCTGGAAAATCCACAGACACTCAATGCCAGCCTGTGGAAGCAGCCAGGAGAGGGGCTATACCCTGCGAAGCCACAAGGGTGGAGCTGCCCAAGACCATGGGAACCCATCTCTTGTATCAGCACGACCTGAATTTGAGACATGGAGTCAAAGTTGATCATTTTAAGCTTTAAGATTTGACTGCCCGGTTGAATTTCAGACTTGCATGGGGCCTGTTGCCCCTCTGTTTTGGCCAGTCTCTCCCATTTGGAATGGCTGTATTTACCCAATGTTTGTATCCCCATTGTACCTAGGAAGTAACTAGCTTACTTTGGATTTTACAGGCTCATAGGCAGAAGGGACTTGCTTTGTCTCAGGTGAGACTTTGGACTGTGGACTTTTGAGTTAATGCTGAAATGAGTTCAGACTTTGGAGGGACTCTTGGGAAGGCACAGTTGGTTTTGAAATGTGAGGACATGAGATTTGGCAGGGGCCAGTGGTGGAATGATATGGTTTGGCTCTGTGTCCCCACCCAGGTCTCATCTTGAATTGTACTCCCATAACTCCCACATGTTGTGGAATGAGCCCGATGGGAGGTAATTGAATTATGGGATGGGTCTTTCTTATGCTGTTCTCATAATAGTAAATAAGTCTCATGAGATATGATGGTTTTATAAGGGGGAGTTTTCCACACAAGCTCTCTCTTTGCGTGCTACCATCCATGTAAGTTGTGACTAGTTCCTCCTTGCCGTCTGCCACGATTGTGAGGCCTCCCCAACCACGTGGAACTGTAAGTCCAGTAAACCTGTTTTTCTTCCCAGTCCTGGGTATGTTTTATCAGCAGCATGAAAACGGACTAATACAGATCATCAGTCTTTCTATTCATTGTGAACTATCCAACATCTTCCCGATAAAATTCCTTTTTGTTTAAGTTAACTAGGTGGTTTAAAAAAAGTCTAACTGATAAAATATCATTGGCGAATGGCCCAGCAGCCTCTGCTTGTGAATGTCCTCAGTGCCAGAGAGCTCTTGGATACATTAGGGGCATAGTTACGCCGTTGGTCAATTCTAATTGTTAGAGAGTTTTTGTTATAGGAAAAATGAATATATTATCATTTAGTGAATACTTAATATGTGTTAGGAACTTTCTTGCCTCCTTTTTGTGATTTTCTTGTTTAATTCTCACAACAACTCTGAGTAGTTATCACTATTGTACAGATGAGAAAACTGTCTCACACAGGGGAAATAATTTAAGTCAAAGGGCTATAATTGATGGAGTCAATTAATTGGATTCAGACTCAGTTCTAAGTCACCCAAAGCCCCTATCTTTTCCCATTACATTCTGCTGTCTTCATGTTGAGTCTGAAACTGACTCCTTAATTTTTTTACGTACTTAATATTACACTGTAGTTCTGGAGGACATTCAGGATAATACCCTTTCCTTTTCTGTATAACAGGTCTTCGAATATTTGAAGTCAAATATCACATGCCTCTTCAGCTCTTGTTTCTTTAGACTGCACCATCTCCACTTTCATTCTATCCCTTATCCAAAAGTGGTTTTCAATCAACTTCACTTTTCTGGCTCTTTCTAATTTGACAGCATACTGGGTTATCCATGGCTTTCTTCATAAAAATGCAGCACTAAACTAAAAATGTGGTCCAACCAAGGTCACCATTAGCACATATGGTGCCTTTGTTCAAATTAGAAACAGGTTTCAAGTCTGGGATGCATGAATTTACAAAAATTCTCTTGCACTCCAGAGCACAGTCAGCTCCAGCTAGGACCTCTCCTGTGGTGGGGGGCACTGAGGCTGGGTTTCTGTCCCCATCTGCTCCTCCTTTGGATTCTCTGGTGCAGGATACACCTACATACCATAGGCATAGCTTTGGGGACTTCATTAGCTTGCTGTGGCTGTTGGTTGTGGATAGGGATTAGTATGGGTGTGGACCAATTGCTGTGAAACTCATTCCAAAAGTTGAATATCCAGACTGCCAGTTTAACAAATTGCTGATAATATTTCCAAAGTTTTGCTTAGGTTGCAGCCATTTCACTTAAGACTGGCCATTTTAGCTTGGCTAAATGTTTACTTGGCTTGTTTCCTACTTATTTCAGATGCCATGCCCTTTTAGAATGTTCCACATCCATCCCTTCCTCTGTCCATCCATCTGTCCCTCCTTCCCTCTCTCTCTCATTTTTCCTAGATAAGAAGGGGCAAGCTCTCTCTTAAGTTCTATTTACTATTATCTCTATTTTTCAGACTTATGCCTGCATCGTCCTCCTTTTGACCCTGCTGCTAGTGGAGAAATGCCTGTGACCAACTCTTCCAAAAACTGGCTTAAGCTATTTGAGAGGTTTTGGCGAACTTTCTTTCAGTGAGTTGACACAGAGCCAATGAAGAAATCCATGTGGACTTTGGCTAAAACTATATTTGGTGGCCAAGAAAATTACTTATCTTATCCAGAGGACAGCATTTTCCTATTTTAAGTACAAAGGCTATGCCGTTCAATACAGTGGGCACTAATCCTGTGGACCTACCAAAACTAATTAAGTAAACTAAATTTGAAATCCGGTTCCTTCTTTACACTAATCACACATTGAGTAAATAAGGGCCTTATGTAGCTAGTAGCTGTCCTGCTGGACAGCACAGTTACAGAACGTTTTCATCATTGTGGAAAGTTCTATTAAACAGCACAGCGTTGTGGGATTAGGGTCAAGATACTAATTTATCAAAATTACAGAAGCCTCTAGATAGCCATCCTTGAATGATAACCTTGAATGATGAAGTTCTTGAATTACGAAGTCTAGTTTCCCAAGTTAAGAAGTTGTACTTTCAGGGTGTAACTAGGAAGGAGAGAGAACTGTAGACAGGAAATGTGGGGAGAGTCCTCTTTGGTGTTCCGCATCATCCTTACTGTCCTATGTTCCTCTCCTCACCACAGTGGTGACTGAGGATAAGGTTAAAGACAGAGAGTTTGTCTTCTCTTTCCTTTGCAAACTGCATCTTCCTCTGCTTTGCCAGACATATTGAGCATTAGATGTAAGAGAATGTGTTCTATAGCTTTTGGGTGGCCTAGCTGTTTTGCCATCTAAAATAGTTCAGCTTGTGGTGGCTGCACTTGGAGGTAGAATAAAGGTTATGGGAAGAGCATTATTGCTTCTCCAGCAATTAATTCCTAAAATTTGGGTAAGAGGATCATTCAAGATGAAGGATATGAACTTAGAATGTGGATGTGTAGCTTCAGGTTATGTCTGTGTCACAGAAATTGTTTCTTATGCTCTTATTCTTATATTATTCTTAACATCAGTTCCCATCATGTTAAATAAATATTTATTGTAAATTCACTTGGGAGGCATAGAAGTAAATGCATGGACTTATACTTTTACTGTGGCTCCCCTGATTCCTAGGGGAGAGACCTTAGGAAGCTGTGAAAAGAGCTTCAAGGACAGAGCAAAAGCCCCAGGAGGATCTGTGTGTGTTTGTGTGGATTCTATCTGGTGCTTTGAAGTGCCAATATTGCACACAAGGGTGTTCTAAAAATAACTCAAGTAATGTGCATTCTCTGCTGAAGGGAGTGAGATAATTCATGAGGATGATGAGAAATGAAAAAGGAAAAGGAGAGAAGCTTTAGAAGATGAGAAATGAAATACATGCATCTCAATGGTCTCTGAGGCTCTTCCACGCACTGAGTGCTTTCTTTCAAGTCTTGGTATTGAAAGCTGGGAAAAAGTACTTAAAAAAAAGCATCACTGGGAGAACATTGGGGTTTTCTCACCTGTTTTATAGCATGAGGAATCCTCTCGATAAAAACTTACCTAAGTTGTAAGAATAGATATGGAATACTAATTTGTTATATGTGCAAAACACTATTTCAAGCACTTGGTGAAGAATCCAAAATTGAATAATAAATGATTTTTACCTTAAAGTTGTTTCAAGTTGCTTATAACTTATTGGAGAAAGAAATAAAAAAAATAGCCACTATGTGCCAAATACTATGTGAAGTGCTAGAAATAAAAGAGAAATAAGAGTCTCTGTTATCAAGAATTTATGGCTTGGTGATAGAGAGAAGCAAGACATTGACCTGTCTACAGGCTGATAAATACAAAGAGAGCGGGCGGTCAGCGGGCAGGATAGGGGAGCCCTGAGAGAGGGCACTTATGTCTGAGTGGAGAGTGGAGGATCTGCAGCAAGTGATGGTTAAATGTGCCTTGAAGGAGGAAGAGAAGATAACCAGGTGGAGAGAGGAATTAAAGGACTTGTTCATGTCATTGATTGAATGGAGAAAACATACTCAGGGTTCTAAATGGCAAACTAGAAACAGAATTTTAGAACACAGTCCATTTGCTTCTAATCTCTCCTGAAAAGCTCTCAAAGTAGATCATTTGAATATTTGAAGGAATGAAAGGCTTTAACAGGTTCCACTAACCTAGAATTCCACACATAAGTGAGCTTTACTAGAAGTTGTATCTATTCCGTGCTTCTTAGACATCAGCAGCTTGAACAAAGGTAAAGCAGCGGGCATAGCATGATGCACATGATTGTATCTGGATCTGGGTGATAGGAACACAAAAGTGGGAGAGGTTAGTTCTGTTTGGGAGAAGTTTTCTTGGAGCACTGACTTTAAAGAGTTGGTAGGATTTCAATAGGAGGAGATGGGGACACAAGGAGGGAGAGTATGGAAAGCGTTCCAGGCAGCAGGAATTGCATGAGAAAGGATACAGTGGTAGAAATGTATGACGTATTTGTGCAGCAGTGTGAATGGTGATGAAGTAGTTTGGGTTGAGCATAAGGATAGAGTGGAAGATAAGGCAGGGAAGGTTAGTTAAATGCTCATTATGGAGGACTTTGAATGCCATCAGAAGAATTTGGATTTTATAGTTAATAGGGAGCCATTGGAGGTTTTTGAGCCTATAAGTGATGCTCCATACTCAGCTGTGGGGAGGTCCTTGTTCTCTCTGAAGCCATTGCTGGTTACCCTGCATCCAGAGTCACTGTTATAGCTGCAAGTCATTCCTGTGCAAGTGACACCTCCACCCTGCCATGCCTCCAGACACTCCAGTATGGACAATAACTTTTCTTTCTCCTCTAGCACATGAAGAAGGAAGGGGGACCCCTGTTCTGTCTGCAGGGGCCATGGTGGCTGAGAACCAGGCTTTTCTCATGCCTTAGGAATAATAGGAAGTAGGGTGAGTTTCTAGTCTCAAGCTTTGGGAAAGATTGAGTAAGGAGAATTTGAGATGTCCACAGAGTTTGAACGTGAAACTCATTTTTACATAAAGGAATATAACGGATGGTGTTTAGATTTGATGCCATTCATTATTACTTTAGCAAAATAACATTGTCCTAAGTTCTATACAGGTAAATACACAGAAAATTCTGGAACGTGGCTTGCCTCTGAGCTAGGCACTTTCCCTCTAAACTGTTTGGATAAACTCGCCTGCCCCCGCCGCCCCCTTCCCCCTGCCAGATCACATCACTGGACTTTAAAAAACAAAAATGAAGTGGATAGATTTTTTCCCCCAGATTCCAATACCTAGAAATCATTGAACAAATTAATAGGAGAAATGTGTGTTCTGAATTTATTAGAAAACAGTAGTCAAGCAGCTTAAACATTGTTCA
Organism: Homo sapiens; assembly: GCF_000001405.40. Lineage (NCBI taxonomy): Eukaryota > Metazoa > Chordata > Mammalia > Primates > Hominidae > Homo > Homo sapiens. Next base: position 137,826,553 of record NC_000007.14, on the reverse strand, counting down.
CTGTCAGAGGGCTGTGTTACTGTCTAACACTGTTACATGAATAGAGATTGGCTGGACCAGTTAATAGAAATACAGATAATTTTGCAGCTAAGAAAGATTTGCCTTTAGCTGCAAACCACACACTCTTTTCAGACATAATCTTCAGTAAATGGAGTGCAACATTGTGGAGGAAAGTCAGTGTGACCAATTCTGACTGCTGGCTTTCAGGCCTGTTCCAGAAGGATTAGGACGATGGCCGGCTTATTCTCTGCATTATGTACATGCATTGCAATGCCTGAGAGCTGGCTCACGCTCTGCATTTTGGAGAAATCACCTTTCTTCTCATATAATGGAAAATAGAGAAACATAGAAAAGAGAGCAACTTTGAGATCAAAGTATTATTAACAGGCAGGAAAAAATAGAGTCTTGGTTTAAGGCCACCCAGAGTGATGAACAGTCTTGGACCCACAGGCCCACATGACCTGCCTGACTTGGAGATGCAACCTACAAACTGATTTCATGATTAAGAAGTTAAAAACTTGATTTTTCAACTAAATCCAATTGTTAATAATGTGGAGACTACTAAGCAAGTTCATAATTCTAGTCAACAATACTAAATTCAAAGATGTAAAACTTCATATTTTTTTCTTGTTACTTAATAGAGGCAGTTTTATTTTAAATGAAAAAAAGTGTGTCCCACAATTTTCTTTCTTGATAGCCTTCATTCAAAAAGGTTTACTTTTCACTGCCCTAGATTGACAAAGACATAAACAAATTCAGAAAACAAGTCTGTTACTGTGTCACCGTCCATCCATGTTAGAAAATACTACTGCCTACCACTGAGTGTGTGTGTGTGTATGTGTGTGAGTGTATGTGTATGTGTGTGTGTATGTGTGTGTGTGAGTGTGTGTATGTGTGTGAGTGCGTGTGAATGTGTGTGTGTGAGAGTGTGTGTGTGTCTGTGTGTTGGGGGGTGCATGCCTGTGTAAATGGGCGTTTTTCATGTCACTTGCTAATCCTCAGATAGGTCTCATTCTCTGAGCCCCAATGTCCTCATCTGAAAAATGAGGCTAATGATACCTATTTCCCATCATGGCTGTTGGTGCTGAATGGAATAATGTGTGCACATTGTAAATTTTATAGCCCTACAGCCATGCAAGATATTGCTGTCACCACCACCATGCTTCATCACATGTATGCCGTCTGCCATGGGATAACGTGAAGACATTACAAACTTCTTAGGGTAATGAAATTTCTTAACACCAGCTCTGGAGCCTAGGTTTATAAATGGTACAGATTGTTTTGGAGACGTGCAAATGCAGTTATGTGAGGGTTGGCCAGCTTTTGGGTTTCGTTGTTAAATATAATATTTATTTAACCAAAGTAATATATAAGCAAGACTTAAGGCATAGCTCATAGTTAGAACTACAGAGCTTTATTGTGGAAGACAGTGTGGCAATTCCTCAAAGAAATACCATGCAATCCAGCAATCCCATTACTGGGCATATACTCAGAGAAATATAAATCATTCTATTATGAAGACACATGCATACATATGTTCACTGAAGCACTGTTCACAATAGCAAAGACATGGAATCAACCTAAATCCCCATAAATGATAGACTGGATAAAGAACATGTGGTGCATATACACCATGGAGTACTATGCAGCCATAAAAAGGGATGAGATCGTGTTCTTTGCAGGCATATGGATGAAGCTGGAGGCCATTATCCTTAGCAAACTAACACAGGAACAGAAAACCAAATACTGCATGCTCTCACTTATAACTGGGAGCTAAATGATGAAAACACATGGACATACAGAGGGAAGTAACACACACTGGGGCCTTTTGGAGGGTGGAGGCGGGGAGGAGGGAGAGGATCAGGAAAAATAGTGGGCACTAGGCTTAATACCTGGGTGAGAAAATAATCTGTACAACCAACCGCTTGTGTAACAAACCTGCACATGCACCCCTGAACTTAAAAGTGAAAAAGAATGACAGGGCTTTAAATAAAACCCAATAATTCCATTTTCTTTTCTTTTTCTTTTTTTTTTTTTTGAGATGGAGTCTCACTCTGTCCCCCAGGCTGGAGTGCAGTGGCACAATCTTGGCTCACTGCAATCTCTATTTCCAAGGTTCAAGTGATTCTCCTGCCTCAGCCTCCCGAGTAGTTGGGATTACAGACATGTGCCACCATGCCCAGCTAATTTTGTATTTTTAGTAGAGACGGGGTTTCTCCATGTTGCTCAGGCTGGTCTCGAACTCCTGACCTCAGGTTATCCACCCGCCTCGGCTTCCCAAAGTGCTGGGATTATAGGCGTGAGCCGCTGCACCTGGCCAATAGTTCCATTTTCAAAGTCTCTCCCATACTTTCATTTCTTCAGCGTTGTTATGATATATTAACTGTTTTTTCTGATTCTGCATTTGTATTTATACATCACATGCTACTAACCACTAAGTGCTGTTTGGTAATTTTTTTTAACTGTCCCTTCTGAGGTGAGGATTTAGTAGTTCTCTTTTTATCCCACCCTTATGTGTTTCTTCTTCCATCCTTCCAATACATATTACAATTTTATTTAAATCATTAATAAATGCTTATATTATCATGACTTTGTAAATCTTATCCATAGCCGAGTCACCCAGTGTGCTATGAAAACCTTTTCTTTCTTGTATTATTGGTCTTATTTTAAAACTTATTCTCATATGGACTTACTCATGATTCTTCCACAAAGTTCTTAACAAGACAATAAATGTTTTATTGCATTTAATTGTATCAAATAATGAGTCAGTTTCATGGTTTTTCTTGTAGACAGCCCTTCTGGTTCCTTCCATCATCTTGCCCTGTCTGAACTGGTTTTTACATAGCTTCCGTTCTTCTCCAATACTTTGACATCCTTCTGCCATTTTCCTCAGGCGGATCCTCTGACTTCCAGATTTCCTAAGCGTCACACCTCCTTTTCTGACTTATGCCTTGTCTGATGGAACAAACAATTTTAAGAAGGAGAAGAACAACACCAGCCTCCTCAATGAGGTTTTTTCCCCAGGAACTCTCTTCCTATTTTTAGATGACCAAGTTGAAAAAGTTTTTCAGGATGTGAAACATCCGCAGGAGCTTCTTTGCAGAGGGTACATGGGAGTCAGATATTTAGAGTCCTTTTATGTCTGAGAATATATATACATTTTACCTTCACACTTGACTGAGAGCTTTTCAGGTTATGGAGTTCTAGATGGGAAATAATTTTACCTCAGAAATGTGAAGGCATATCTCTGTTGCTGCTGTGCTTACAGAGTCACAGCTGAGAAAAATTCCATTCTAATTCTCAATAACTTTACATCTTTTTCTTTCTTTCTGGTTTATTTTTAACATTTTTCCCTTTATATACATTGTTTAGGAATTTCAAAACTGGTGTACTTTGTATAGGTACATATATTCATGGGTTTTGGGACCTTTTTAGATCTCTTCGCTCTAAAAACTTTTAATGCCAAGAAATTGTCTGGTATTTTTTTTTTTTGGGTTGGGGGAGAATATTTTCCTCCTCCCCAATTTACCAGTTGCTTTTTTCCTGGAATTTATATTAAATAGCCAATGTATCTACTGAACTATTCCTCTGATTTTTTTTTTCTATTAAAGTTCTCCTTTACCTTTTATTCTTCTTTCTGGGAGATTTCCTCATTTGTTTGCCATCCTTTCACTGGATTTTTAAATTTTTTGTGATCATACTTTTTATTTCTATGAGCTCTTTCTTGTTTTCTGAGGTTCCTTTTTGTTTTATTTTATTTTTGTTACATAGCTTTAATATCTTCTTTTATTCATTGAGGGTATTAATAATAATTTTTGGATGTTGTATTCACCCTACATTAATTCTGTTTTCTTCAAAAATTTTCTTCTCTTCATGCTGATAGCTTCTCTTTACATTGGAGGCTGTTCAAATGTCTGATGATCCAGTAATATTTAAGAGAGAGGCCCCAAAAGGCTGAATGGAAGCTCGGTGTGCATGTCTGTGACTTATGCTTCACCGTGGGGTCCTGGTTTGTTTTATTGAAAAAACCCTAAACTTTAGCATTTTCTGTTTAGTTTTCTCAGAGAAGAATCCTCCACTTTCCTTAAGAGTTCTACATCTATCTTTTTTCTGAGGCTGAATAATAATAATAATTATTATTATTTTGGAGACAGAGTCTTGCTCTGTCCCCCAGGCTGGAGTGCAGGGGAGTGATCTCGGCTCACTGCAACCTTCACCTCCTGGGTTCAAGTGATTCTCCTGCCTCAGCCTCCTGAGTAGCTGGGATTACAGGCATGTGCCACCACGCCTGACTAATTTTTGTATTTTTAGTAGAGACAGGGTTTCGCCATGTTGGCCAGGCTGGTCTCGAACTCCTGACCTCAGGTGATCCAACCGCCTCAGCCTCCCAAAGTGCTGGGATTACAGGTGTCAGCCACCGCTCTGTGCCCTGAGGCTGAATTATTATTATTCAGTGGATAGGCTTTCATTTGCTCTCTCTGCTTTTAGTAGAGGGTCTCACACTCAAACCCAGCTGCGGTTGTATTTTCTAGTTCTCTCTGGTGTAGCTTTTTTAGAAACTAAATCTCCAGTCTCATAGCTGTGTGTGGCACATGGGAGTAGTCAGAGGTCCTCAGAATGGGGGTCTAATTACTCTCTAGAAAGGATTCTTCCTGTTTTTGGCTCCTCCTCACACCCTCACCTTCAGCACTACCTGATGCCTCTAGTTTCTGAGCTTTTCTGGAACTCTGTGGGGTGACCCCACCTCTTTTTGTTTGCTGCTTCCTTCTTAACACATTTAATTTCTGGATTTGTCTACTCTGCCTGCATTCAGCTCACTTCGCAGCTTCCAAAAAGGTTGTCATCTGTCTCTTTTATTGTCATCTCCTGTTTTCTTTCTTTTCTTTCTTTCTTTTTTTTTTTTCTGATGTATGTCTTTTATTTCCTTGACTTTCATCTTACTGGGAGTTTCTGGAGAGAGCTGGGCTAAAAGTATGTGTCCAGCTCACCATAGTGACCTGGAAGTTGCTTATTCTGTTTTGCTTTACAACAATAGAAAAGTTAACATATTCGTGTATTTCTTCAGAATTTTTAAACAATGTTGTTCTTAGTTCCTCTTACTTCTAAAGGACTTTTAAGAGTTTTTTTAGGTATTTCATCTTTCCCAATTCTCTGTCTGTGACCAGGGGTGAATTGGTAATTTTACATCTTTTTTTCAAGCATTCCAAGTAGAGGAGGCACCCCCTGTGACTTCCAGTGGCATTCTGCAGCAATTAAGTCGCATTCATTCAGCTCATCATTTACCTTGCAGCCATCAACTCCTTTCAAAATATCCCTTTGATTGTCAGTAACTACGGACGTGAAGCTGTGGGTTTCTTCCAGGAACAATGCTCTTCTCTGTAGCCTGTGTTCTCCCAGTTTTCTGGGAAGCCCTGAGACTTGTCATTCTCCTAGCAGCTCAGATGTCATTCTCCTCAAACACCCAGATTTCATTTAGCACCAACGAGGTGCTCAGTCTGGGATTTCTGAGGGACTGTCACTGGGGAGAGGCTGTTGCTAATGAGGTGCAAATTGGCAGCAGCTGGGGAGGAGCTGCTCTCCCCCTCTAGGGCTGGGCCCCAGGGGAGGAGGGGAGGGTTGCTCTGACATTTTCAGAGGAGGTTGGTGAGGGGCCGAAACTAGAGACTCCTCACCCTTTAGCAAGGCCTGATGCCGGCTGGGGGAGGCCCTTGCGTCTTGCTGAGAGGCTGGTCTGGTCTCACACAGCCCCACCTCCAGAGTTGCTGCCAGCTGGCTAATTTCTTGGCTGCCTTTTCTGGCTGGCTTTACTTGCAAGCAGGAGAGGCCATGATCAGACACGGGGTTTTCCCAGACATTGGAGAGACAGCTAAGAAGACCCACAGCCCCCAGAGACACTGTCCTTGGGATTGGTGTTCTAGAAGGTTATGAGGTTGGGGTTTGGTGGTGGAAGAGGGGTTACTGTAGCAACTGTTGAAACAAGAGAGCCCATCCATCTCCCCCCAGCATTTGCCCGCCTGTTTTACATGGAAGAGCCTCTTATGCATTAAACTGTTCACCTGAGTGCTCCCACCAGCTGCGCTTCTCTGCTTCTGCAAGGTGCAGGGCTCTCACAGCCATTTTCATCTGCAAGGGTCTCTGCCAGAGCTGTGGCAGAGTTTTCTGTGGGATGAATCAGAAACTATGTTCTGATGAAGAGAAAATGGAGGGCAGTGGGTGGATGTGGAATGTCAGTAGGTAGTTAAGTGGCTTTTTGTCTCCTGGTCTGTCTGACAAAGTGTGCTGATTGGGGCCTCCTGCTGTGAGATTCATTTGGGTGATCTTGAGCAAATCTCTTAATTTCTCTGACTTTAGCATCCTTCATCTTTTTTCTCTGTATCTCATTTTTTCTAACTTTTTAAGGAGCACACTGAGTGCTAGCCTAGATGCAAGGATGAGTGAAATGAATAAAATGCAGTCCCTGTCCTCACAGAACTCACCTTCTGGTGGAAGAAGGTGGACATATGAATAACATAGACTTACACATGATGAGAAATGCACTATGTCGAAGGCATGCAAGAAGTGTCATGGGATGATGAAGGAAGGGGCAACGATGCTCTCTGAGAGGGTCAGAGAATGCCCTACAGCGGTAGTGACATTTGAACTAGTTGTTGAAGACTGATTCTGTAGGGGGACAAGGAATAGTAATGGAGGTTTGAAAAAACATGGTGTATTCTAGAAAAGACAAGTTGTTTGTTGACACTAGCATGCATGTGCAGGATGAACTGGCAGGCTGTGGGGCTGGCAGTGGACTAGGTCAGATGATGTAGAGTGCTTGCCATACAATGAGTTTGGATCTCACCTTCTTGGGGATGGGGAGTTGTGCTGGGCTGTGCAGAGAACCATGATCAAATATTTGCTAAATGAGTAGGCTGGGCCATATGATCATTTAAGATCCCTTGTAGTCTGGCTGGGCGCGGTGGCTCACGCCTGTAATCCCAGCACTTTGGGAGGCTGAGACGGGCAGATCACAAGGTCAGGAGATCAAGACCATCCTGGCTAACACGGTGAAACCCCGTCTCTACTAAAAATACAAAAAATTAGCTGGGCGTGGTGGCGGGCGCCTGTATTCCCAGCTACTCAGGAGGATGAGGCAGGAAATGGCATGAACCTGGGAGGTGGAGCTTGCGGTGAGCCGAGATGGCGCCACTGCACTCCAGCCTGGGCGACAGAGCGAGACTCTGTCTCAAAAAAAAAAAAAAAATTCCCTTGTAGTCTGAAGTTCTTGGATTTTCTGTGTGGGTACAAAGCTGTGGGTCTGGGAACACAGCTTCGTTGAGGAGTGTTATCTGGTGTAACGTCTGTGAGTAGGTGTTTAAATGTGGGCTGTACTCAATAGCTATATTAAGAGGTAGCATCAAGCAGGGAGTGGAGCACCAGGTTCCCAGTTAAGCTGGAGTTTAAATATGCAAGTCTTGTTTCAGCCTTTGATCGTGCTTTTGACCATGGCTAAAGCACTTAATCTGTCGAAGAGCCTTAGGATCATCACCTGTAAAATGGAAATTTCCACTTCTGTGCAGTTGGGAGGGCTTTTTGTAGAAGCTTTATTTGACAATGATTTTTCTGTTGCTTAGGTCATTTGAGGGGAAAAACATTATTTTAAAGTTTAACGTTATTTCTAATTGTCTTAGGAACTATCAACATACATGGAAATAGAAATTATCTGTGTATTGATTTGTGTGTAATACACTTATGCTGAGTTTTTCCTGAGTTTTTGATCCATAGATAGATAGGAATCTGGTGGGAGTTGGAAATATGGGCAAAAAATGGTGGGAGGGCCAGGTGCGGTGGCTCACGCCTGTAATCCCAGCACTTTGGGAGGCTGAGGCAGGTGGATCACCTGAGGTCTGGAGTTCAAGACCAGCTGACCAACATGGTGAAACCCCGTCACTACCAAAAATACAAAAAATTAGCCGGGCATGGTGGCGCATGCCTATAATCCCAGCTACTTGGGAGGCTGAGGTAGGAGAATCCCAGCTACTTGGGAGGCTTGAACCTGGGAGTCGGAGGTTGCAGTGAGCTGAGATTGCGCCATGCACTCCAGCCTGGGCAAAAATAGCAAAACTCCGTCTCAAGAAACAAACAAAAAAATTGTGGGAGATGGGAATATGTGCCAAAATGGTGTGACAGGAGCTCAGTTCATGAATGTACAGATACACAAAGCTTAATGGTCCACTTGAGCCATCTGAGGAGTGCACTTGTGTGGTTGATGACACATTTCTGGACTCCTAAATATTAGTTTATGCTTATTGAACTTTTGACCTAGAGGATTATTATGGAATGGAATCACATGATGAGCAGTTTGGACCAACTTCAGAGCAATTCTAAATCTCTGAGTTGCTTGTTTGCTTTCGGGTTGGGTGTATTTCCTTCAATTTTGTCTTAGAAGGTTTTTAGCTTGGTAGCCTGCCATCTTCTCAAAATATTCCCAGTTAGCTCATCTTTGTAACCAAATGGAATAAACGGTTTCTATATGATTCTCATGCTGTAAGACAATGTCATTGATAGTGTGTAGCCAAGTAATGGTGAAGCCAATAAGAATATTCAAAATATGGAGCAACTGGTACTGGTTGTGGATGACTGATAAGTTCGTACTAGTACATAGTGTCTGATGTTAGCCCCTGCTGTGGCTAAGAAGGCCTGGGACACATATGCATAGGAATAAAACAGATGTGGCATATTAAAGACTGGGTAAGAACGGGTAAGAAAGGCATGGGAAGGTACCTTTTAGCATTGGCCTCACTCAGATACAGTTTGCATTCTCTACATTCATAGGACTCTTATCATTGAAATAATCCACTGGTATCTGCAGATTGATTTTCCAGTAGGAGTGATGGTCAGTGTGACCTACCAAATATCCTCACATCTGGTCTGCAAGGGCTTTATTAATCACTAGTGAAATTATGACCATGGTCTGTGACTATAGGACTGTATTGGGGGAAGGTGAGTCACAATTCGACAGCAACAGTCTTTACTTGTTCTATACACATAAGAAAAGTACTCATTGAAGAGTATGTTTTCCTCATTCTGAACTCAAATAAACACTTTGTTATTATTGAATGTACGTCACTTATCACCTTTAGTATTATTTGAGAGTTATAGGTATATATATCTTGTGGCCTCTAAATAATTGTAAAATCCTGAGGGCAAAGTAGTTAATTCATTCAATAAATATTTATTAAGCACCGAGTATGTGTCAAGCACCTACTGTGTGTTATAGACACTGAATACAAATGAATTAGACAATGAGACACTTTGAACTGATGACACTTTGAATCGAATTGATGAAAGGATGATGGGGAATTGTTCAGCTGAAGAGGGGTGGGAAGGGTCTTCTACAAAGGTCAAGAGGTCAGCATAAGCACAGGTATGGCCATGGGAAATGACTTGGCTGATTAGGAAATAAAAAGCAAGTTGGTAACCGAGAAATATAACATGATCAGTTGGGTCAAGAAGTGAGACGAGAATGATAACAGTGTTTATCACTTAAATTGTCATTTTAGTGTTGCTATTCAGTGAGGGAGATTTTGTCATAACTCCTGGGATGCTACTGGCATCTAGTGGTTAGAGGTCAGGCTGCTGATAAACATCCTGCAATGCACAGGATGGCCCCTCACAACAAAGAACTCTCTGGTCCAAAGTGTCATTAGTGCCAAGGTCGAGACTCCCTTCTTCGGATCTTTTTACATTTGGATTGCATCATTCAGGTCTTAACTCAAAAGTTCCTTCTTTAGCAGCTTCCTTACTCACCCCCTATTGTCATATAAAAATTTGCCTCTCCTTCTCTGTCACTCTCTATTACAAAACAATGTTTTTTGTCTTTATACCTTTTGATACCATCTAATGTTATATTATGCATTTGTTTATTTTTATTATCTGTCTCTCCTCTTTTAAAATATAAGCACCACAAGGTCTTTGATTGGTTCACTGCTGTATCTCTAGAGCTTAGAATAGTGTGAGGCACATTGGAAAATGCATGGAAAAGTTCAATATATGGGTGTTCTGAGTGGAAGAATGTGGTAAGTTGGACATAGACTCTGAGTTCCTGGAATAATCACAGTAGTTAACATTCATTTTTACCATTGATACTAGGCCCTGTTCCAAGCATTTTGCATGTATTAACTCAATCCCCAAAACAACCTCAGGGGGTAGGTATCTGATTATTTCCATTCTACATATGAACCAACTGAGAAAGAGAGTTATTTTCCCAAGATGTACATCTAGCAAGGGGCAGTGTTCAAGAGGTAAATTGCCCAAGGTGATCTTGTGTGTTTATTCACACATGCTTTTTGTGGCTATTAGTCTGAGAATGCTATGGGGAGTTGGGGGTTAAGTGACTTGGGAATTGGATTTGAGGGGTTTCAAACAATGCATCCAAAACATAGATGGACGGGAAATATAATGAACTAAATGTTGGTCATATCGCACTCAAGGGACCTGTGAGCCATCAAGGTGAAGGCTAACATGAAAAGGATTCTCTCATTCAAGAGAATGGTTTCAGATGAAGTGTGGAATTTGTAATGGGAACTGAAATCAGGAGAGCAGACTTGATTATTTAGGGACAGGTTGATGATGGGAACAGACCCAGGGAACACCCTGACATCACAAATATATAAGGGCCTATAATATAATATAAAAGGGTACCCATAATGAAAATAGAAAGAGCAGTAGAGTCACATTTCAAGTTCTGCTTTGGGCACAAGCTTCTATCTAAAGTCTCTTTTCTCCCTTGTAGAACTAATCTTTTCTCTCTCTGTTCTACCTACAGTATTTTATATTTTCAATGTATTAAGTGACATAAGAGAGGTGTTAGATAATAGCTAGTACTACGAGTGTCACCTAAGCCCGTAAACTTCCACAGGCCTACATCTTCATCTTTGTTCATATCCATGTCCCTAGCGTGAACATCCATAGCTGACATCTAGTAGTCTTTCAATATTAATAAATAGATGATGTTGAATATGTGAATTAGAAAATGTTTATTGGGAGAATAAATGTATCATTTCATTAGAAAATTTGTTTGTAACCCACATCAAAAGAAGAAGAAGAAATGTGTAGATCAGTGAACTTTTCTGTTGTTTTTTCTATTTCAAAATACACTCAACCCCCGACTTCTTAGGCAAGCCATTTAGCTAATTTCTGAAAGGGAGCAGCTAATCCAGCACCAAAGCCTGTGCAGAAGCTGGGCCAGCAACTCAAATAAGATGATTTTCTGAGAATGACCAGCCATGTTGGCTTCACATATGGAAGACGAGTTTCTGAATTCTCCCTCCTCTCGGGTGGCACATGGTGTCTTCTCTTTCTAGCTGCTCCAGGACGAAGGAGGGGGGATGAATTTTTAAAAGATTCAGGGGAAGGAATTCAGGTTCTAGAAATATCCAAGAAAAGTAATAATAAAACCAGTAATTCTACTTTTATGAGCCAAAGGTCAATATTATTTAGTTTTTTTTTTTATTTTTTCCTGGGAAGAAAAAAGAGAGCTGATCTTTTGGGTAATTATTGATATTTCCATGTTTTCAGCAGGATTCAAGTTAGCCAAGGAGAAGCATAATCTTTCATTATCCAAACTGGAGATGTCTTGAGTAATCCAGTGGCAGGAATTGCTGCTGAAGGAGTGTATTTTCTTTTAGTTCATCTGCCTTTTTGACCTAAAACCAGCGTACCATTTTTTTGTTTTAAAATATACGTGATATACATACATGGTTTGTCTACCTCTGGAATATTTATAGGCTCATATTCCTTTCTATACTTGTTCTCTAGCGGGGGTGCTTATAACATTTAATAATACTTACAGAGTCTGTTTCTTAGTCTCATTTCAAACCTCAATGTTTGTGCCAGGTTGTTTGGAGCAGCTCAAGTCTCTGAGGTTATTTTCCCAAGATGTATATCTAGCAAGGGGCAGTGTTCAAGAGGTATAATACCCAAGGTGATCTTGTGTATTTATTCACACATGCCCTTTGTGGCTACTAGTCTGAGAATGCTATGGGGAGTGGGGGATTAGGGGCCTTGGGAATTGGATTTGAGGGGTTTCAAACAATGCACCCCAAAACATAGATGGGTGGGAAAAATAATGAACTAAATGTTGGTCATTTAGTCCATTATTAGCCTCAGAGAAGCTAGAAGCTCTTAAAATATTCAAGAGTATGAGAGATTCAACCCTTCGAAGAGAAGAGGAGTTGATGATGGAATTTGAATCGTTTTTTGGCATTTCTTTACTTTATAAGAACACATGACGGTGTTCCATTCCAGTGCAGAGGAGCTGTTCTTAACTCTTAAATGGAGAGCCCTGCTGTTAGAGAAAAGGCTTCGTGAAGGCTCCTGTGTGTGGGGTCATCCTACTCTCCGGGTGGCTTCCTCCTCCCATTCCTCACCTTCATCCATCACTGTACTTGCACATCCATCCTTTCATTCTGCTCTGGAGATCCTTTGGAAAGGGAGAATAGAAAGGACAAACCATTGATCGATAGAGGCAGTAAAGCTGTCCTTTGGGGTTTCACAATATGTCCTGTACTATTTTTGTGTTTAGCAAAAATCCATTTTGCCTCATTATGAGCCTGTTTTCCCTTGGGCTTTCACTTCTGAGATTATTTCAAGGGAAATTATGTCTATATATTAGTCTCATTTGCCCACATCTCACTCAATAACTATTAGCGTTATTAGATATCCTGAACCAGGAAGCTGCATTTTGCCAGCACTAAATGCAGCTTGAAATTCAAAGATTCAATTTGGAGAAAAATCACTACATTTGAGTGGGTTAAAATCTTGCCAAAAATGCATTTTTCCATCTGTCTCATGGCAAAAGCTCTTTTAAGATTTGAAATTTATAGCTAAGGACTTCCAGTCATCTTTGCAAAGTGGTCTGGAACTAGAGAATATGATAAGACTGGAGGTACTTGGGAGCATTCCTCTGAGGTGGAGGAAGGAGTTGACATCAGTTTCTTTCTGTTTTAAGTTTATTGAATGGTGGACATCCTCAGTATCAAATGCTGTGAAGTCAGCACCAGCACACTCAACACCCAAGGGGGTGGTTCACAAAGTGCATCCATAGCCCTGCCACGCCCAGTGTGACATGACTGAAAGTGATGATCATGGTCACTTTCATTCTTTCTTCCTGACCTGAATCTGCCTGGGAATATGAACATTGGGTTCATCCTTACTGACCTACTCTAATACATACAAAGAAGGCTGTCAGCTTGCCAAACCCAAACAAGAAATCAGAGGCCAAGTCAGGAGTTGGTTTTCAGCCTCTTCACTGATGTGACCCAGGAGAAGTGATGCTCCCGAGAGTGACTGTCTGCACTTTGTCTTAGCAGTGCTGATGAGACCAGTGAGCACTAGCACCATCACCAGTGAGAACTGTACCTGGTCCCCCTAAGTCTGTTCCTGTGTGGGTGGACCCTGCCTCTTAGGGTTGTTCCTGGTCTATTTACTTTCTTTAAACAGAGGAACTCCCTTCCTTCTGGTTGCATATCAACTTGTGTCTCTGGCATACTTTCTCAGGGTCATTGTTTGGGGCTCTGCTCTGTTGACTTCTTGACCATTTCTGCTGTTCTCGCAACTGATGCTTTCTGTACTTCGGTGCATTGTGCAGCAATGATTTGAGAGGTTCAGTCTTCTCTCTTACACATATAAGACATCCTGTATTGTTATTGCCTCAAATATGACTATATACCTAATTAGTATCACACAAAGGCGCAACATAGCTTAGTGAGTAGAACACAGGCTTTAAAAGTCAACCTTCTTGGGACTAAATATTTACCACTTTCCAGGTCTGTGGAGTCAGGCAAGTGATTTAAAATCTCTTGGCCTCAATATCCTTCTTTGTAAAATAGAGATATTAGTATAGTCTGTCACATAGGGTTATTGTGAGTGATGATTAAATGAATTAATATATGGAAAGGGCTTGGAATACTGCCATTTATGCATTAAGATATCAAATTTTAGTTACAGTGATGATGCTAGGGGCTCAGCATAAGGACCTCAAAATTGCGCCTGAAAGGGCAGGGTTTCTTTATCAGTCATCCTGCCTTGGCACCTTACTGTCCTCTAAGACTCTAGGGAAATATAAAACAAAACTAATTAAGAGGTTGAGTGTAAGCTTTGCTACAGTTAAATGCCTCCCGTCTTTATAGGATATAGAACCTAGATGATGATGATGATGATAGTCAACATTTATTGAGCAATTACCATGTACCAGGCCTGTCCTAAGCCAAATATGTAATCATATTTATTCCTCATAAAAACCATATGATGAGAAGCTTATCTCTGTTTTTTAGTTGAGGAAACTGCAACTCAAAGACTTGGAGCTAGATTTACACCCAGGTCTAACTATGAATAATCATTATGAACTTTCTCCTTTACACTAGACTGGTTCTCCTCAAAACAGGAAGCCCGAGGGAATGGAAAGTGAAGGGCATCTCCCTGGGATCTAGTCCTTTGAGATGTTGGACTTTGAGCAAGCTACGCAACTTCCCCAAAGTTCAGAATTTTAATCTGTAAACTAAGATAACAGCTATTTCACAGGTTGTTGTGAGGGAGACAAAACAAGCTAAAATATATAACAAAGCAGGCAAAGATGTATACTTCAAGAGTCACTACCTACCTAGGCTGGGGCAATTAGAAATTCTAAATATATGTACATAAGTATTTAGCAAAGTTATATACTTCAAGAGTCACTACCTACCTAGGCTGGGGCAATTAGAAATTCTAAATATATGTACATAAGTATTTAGCACAGATGATAAAGGATGGGCAATTCATTCTGAGATTAGGCTGTAGTTCTTCTTCAGTATGGAATCAGAGCTCAATTATCTTTAACCATTGTGATTTGGGGAATAGTTTTGGTCCTAATTGGGTGTACATGATGCCTTTGTCTTCAGAAGTCTGATCAATCAGGGGATGCTGCACCACAACCCTTATACTACGTTTTAGTGTTTCTCAATGTCAAGAGACTTCTGTAACAGATTTCAGTTCTTTCTGATGGCTTTGAAAAATGCTAGTAATTCTCTGTCTTTCTAATGGAGTATTTTGTGTTTGTTGTCTCCTGAGGTCAGAAAATTACTTTGGGGAAGTTGACTTTTGTGAGCTGTGAGTATGGTGTGTGTGTGTGTGTGTGTGTGTGTGTGTGTGTGTGAGAGAGAGAGAGAGAGAGAGGGAGAGAGAGAGAGAGAGAAAGAGAGACAGACAGAGAGAATTAAATCTGTATTGTTAGTTCTTGGTTAGAATAGAGCTTAATGGATCTTCCCATTTGTGAAAACCCCATAACTCTTCCTGTGTAATATCATTAAAGAGCCTCCTGACAGCAGTAGGTAAGGAGTAGCTCTGGGGTGTTACTTTTTAATCACTTTAAGCCCATTTTCGTGTGTTATTACAGAACCATCCCTCTTCTTTATCACTGCATCTTCCAATAGCACACCATTGCTCCAGGACCAGAATTCAGCAACAATTTTAGTTTTTCTGTTGACAATAAATATGTTAGCCTGACTGATCAAGGCTGATGCATGAGCTTGATCTTTGGGATTATTTCCATTCTACATCTGAGTACATACGTAGAATGTACTACATAAGATAGAGCCAGTTCTGCCAACTGTCTGTGGTTGTCATAGGTATGCTTCATCAAATATTCTGGCGCATGGTAGGTGTACTTCCTGGCTTTGTATATTTGAGTGGGGCCACCTAACCAGTTCTGGACAATATGTTGTGATTGGAAGTGATGTGTATCACTTGTGGGATGGAATGTTTATTTGCCACAAATAAATAACTAAAAAAAAAACTTCTCCAGGGATCTCTTTTCCTTCTGCCACAGTTACATCTTCTTAATTGTCAGCCTGGGTCCAGAAAGCCCCAGCCAATTCTTTATAGACAGGCAGTGCTAGATAGACATAAACTGCTGTTATTTTAACAAGTGAGATATGTCTTGTGTTCCTACAGTATAACCTACTTCATCTCGACTAACACAATGATCCATAGTCAGGGACATGTGCTTTTTGGTGAGCAGTCAAGGTGTGGCCTTGATGTCCCTTGTTTTCTCTGCTTTGCCTTTACTGTGAAGTCTGTCTAGCAGTCTGAGAAAATTTAAGACCCTAATAATAGATGTCTTGGGGCAATGAAACTTAGTACCTTTCATAGTTTCGTTTTCTTTTCCTTAATTTTTTTTTCTGTATTTCCTTGTACCAGCCATTAATGTTTTGCCTGTCACATAGCAGCCACTCAATAAGTGAGTGATGAATGAATTTGTACAGAAATCCATTGATTGGTAGGGAACAATTAGCATTAGCATTATAGAAGTGTTTTGATTCTCCCTGAACTTATTGTTGTCAATTACTCTTTTACTCAATTCAACCCTAAGTCATACTATTTTCTATTTCCAGGGCTGCCCTGATGAGAGGTAGCTTTGGCCTATCAATAGGTGCATTGGCCTCTCTGAGACAGCAGCACAGGGGACCTCAGCCTTCTACTGCCTACACTCAGCAAACAGAAATATATGAGGCTCTTGGCTGTGAAAGCAGAAGAACCTCTTACTCCTGCACCATTTTATGGCCAAGGCCGTAGCAAACTGCTGACTCCAGAGAATTTTTTCACCTTTTTTTTTAACTTATGTGGATTTTTTTTTTTCCAACTGGGTTTTGCGCTGTTGCTCAGGCTAGAGTGCAGTGGTGCGATCATGGCTCACTGCAGCCTCGACCTCCTCAGCTCAAGTTATCCTCTCACCTCAGCCTCTTGAGTAGCTGGAACCACAGGCACACATCCTCATGCCTGGCTAATTTTTGTATTTTTTATAGAGACAGGGTTTTGCCATGTTGCCCAGGCTGGTCTTGAACTGAGCTTAAGCAATCTGCCTTCCTTGGCGTCCAAGAATGCTGGGATTACAGGCATGAGCCACAGCACCTGGCTTGTAGTTTTAACTAAACTAAAACTTCTCTGGCCCTGGAGAATTTCCCTTTCTCTAAACTTACGCATATCAGGACATGCCTAAAGTGTCTATTTTATGATAAAGTGATGAGAAGGAAAGAGACAAGGGTTAGGACAGCCCGAGACTGCAGGCTGATACCTGGTGGCAAAATACTAGTCTCTTAAACACTAGGCACATATCCTGCCCAATTAGAGATCTCCCTGGAATCAATTCCTTCTCTCCATTCCTCCTGTCATTGCTTCAGATCAGGCTTTCAAATCTGTTGATTACACTATTAAATTAGAACTGTGCCCGAGACATCAATGAGTATGAGCTATTATTATCTTTATTATTGCTATTCTGTAGCCTCCTGTTCCCGTCTCCAGTTTTTCTTCATTTCAATCCATACTGTGTATCTTTTAAAAATAGATCAGATTCTGTCATTTCCCTGTTTATAAAGCTCTCTTGCCTCCACTGCCTAGAGGATAAAGCCCTAAAGTCTGAGCTCATTGTACCTCTTCAGCCATGTTCTCACTCATGTTAGCTGTATCTGAATCATCAAGGAAGCTTGTCAAACTCTCTGTGCCCCAATTCTTTTCTCCAAGAGATTCTGGGAAGCTTTTGGGTGATAGGGAAGGGAGATATGACACATTCCTGGGGGGGTGTGGAGTTTGAGAAAGCTCCCCCAGTGATTCTGAGGCCACTTCTTCCTTACTTAGCCATCCCCACGTCCACAGCTAGAACCTCTAATGTTGCCATGTGTAATGTTGGTTCCAGCCACGCCAGGCTTCTGGAGTTCCTTAGTCTCACCATGATCTTTGACATCCTCATGGTTTGCAGGTGTATTCTCATCACTCTTTATGTTCTTCTTCCTTTTTCTGCTCGGGTCTCTCCCATGGTTTTTTAATATTTCATTTAAATGTTAGTTCTTAGGCCTTTCCTGATATTCCCAGATGACTGTCTGTCTCCTCTCATGGCATGTTGCATTGACCTACATTATTATCCTTGTTATATTGCAGCCTCATTATTTGTGCCTGCTACTGCCTGGACAGTGGGGGCTAGGGGAGGCAGGTGCCTGGTTCTGTAATCTTCTGCCAGATTTGAACCGAGTTTGGTGCATAGCAGGCACTTAATGAGAAGCACACTTTATGAGGCAGCACTGTGTGATGGTTGAGTCTGGGCTTTGGAGTCTTCCCTCTTGGGGACCTTGTGACAAGTAAATGAAATACTGTAAACAAGGCACTTAGCCTAGTGTCTGGCTCTTAATAAATGCACAATAAATGGCACCTACCATTTTTTTGAAATAAATATTTTATGATTAAGTCTGTATTTATAAGATTAATAAGTCTCTCATTTATATACTAATTTCCAGGATGCATAGATTTTTCATCCAGATAGTTTATATACCAGCAAAATGGGAAATAACAACACCTGACTTTTTTACTGGAAAAATATTGGTTGCTGTGGAGATTATCTACTACGTTGTCCTTACTCTCAAAGAGATTACAGTTAAAACACACCAATATCAACATGAACAACTGGGAAATAGCAATGAGCCAATCACAGCAGAGATCTTAATTGGCTTCATAACAAAGTGTGGTCTGTAAGCCAATGGGAATGAAAGGAGAATCAATAAATCCCAAGAGACGAGAGTTGCCTTTTTGGGGGACACAGTCATACACACACCTATATTCGCTCTGGAGGAAAAATGGTGGCAAGAGGGTGTATGACTTGATGAGTGGGGGAGACATGGTCAAGGGGACAGGCAGGCAGGTGAGAGTCTGGGCTGACTCTGGGTTGGTCCTAGTGTTAGGGCCATGCCACTCAAAGTGTGTTTATGGACAGTAGCAGCAGCAGCGGCACCTGGGAGCCTGCTGGAAATGCAGACTCTCAGGCTGGCCCCATTATTTTTTCCAGTTTCTAGTTTCAGGGCTTGCCTGATGGGAGACAGCCTTGGCCTATCAATAGCTGCAGTGGCTTCTCTGAAAGAGCAGCACAGAGAACACGGATGGACTATAATCTGCATTTTAACAGGGTCCCCAGATGATTTGTGAGCACGTGAAAGTTTGAGAAGTGCTGGCCCAGGGATGTGCAGTGACTTGGATGGGCCCTATTTAGCGCTCTCCTGTGAGCTGCTGGAACAAAATAGAGGGTACTTAAAAGCATATGCACTTCCACTGTAGGCTTAAAACTGCAGAAACGAGGTAGCTCGTGCATAAATGTAATAATTCTTTGTTCCAAATGTACCTAGATGTCATTATGACAAAACATAAAATCCATTTGGAACTGTTACTGATTCCTAGCAGCTTTTTGCCATTAGACATTTTCCAGGCATCCAAACCTAAAATAACATGGATCTTGGGTGAAGGTTTTTGAAATGCCTTATATTAAAAAGTCCTTGTATTTGAAAACCAGTAAAGAAGTATTTGGGAACCATTATGCGTTCTTTCAGTACTGCATATGCAGAATATTTTGGGTCTTCACAGATAGACTTGTGACGCAAAAATAAAATAAACTATCTCGTAATCACACAGAACAGATCACTGACATATATGGCAAGCTGTTGCAGTGACCCAGGATTAAAAGTTTAGCATAGTTCTTAAATGTGTGCCTCATACTGCATCAGCTCCTTATTTCGAGGGCTCATAGTGGATGAAGCAATTACCTGGATGGCCCTGTTTCTTGCCCTTTCCCTGGTCTTCTGCCACGTAGGTTGGTGGTGATGGTTGGGAAATGGGGGTGGCAAAAGTGTCCTTTATGGATTTTATACAGTTCTTATTCCACTTTTTGGTGGGTCACTGGCCTGGTTGCTGTCATGCATGGTGGGGAGGTGGGCAGATGAGAAGCCCAGCTCTATTGCCAATCTTAGTCCTGAGCATAGATGCAGAGGTTCAGGCCGGGTGCGGTGGCTCATGCCTGTAATCCCAGCACTTTGGGAGGCCGAGGCGGGCAGATCACGAAGTCAGGAGATCGAGACCATCCTGGCTAACACGGTGAAACCCCATCTCTATTAAAAATACAAAAAATTAGCCGGGCGTGTTGGCAGGTGCCTGTACTCCCAGGTACTCAGGAGGATGAGGCAGGAGAATGGCGTGAACCCAGGAGGCGGAGCTTGCAGTGAGCCAAGATCGCACCACTGCACTTCAGCCTGGGTGACAGAGCAAGACTCTGTCTCAGAAAAAAAAAAGAAGCAAAGGTTCAGTTTCTGATATTTTGTTTCCAATCATGTGGCATTGACACTGGAATCAGCTAGACCTGCATTCAAATCCTGACTCCATCACTTAAGCTGTTGTGTAACTTTGGGCTGGTTACCTCACTAACCTCTCTCAGACCTCTCTCAGTTTCTTCATTTGCAAAGTGGGGAATAACAACACCTGATTTAGATGCAACGCAAGTTGCAAGTCATTCAGCATTTACTCATGATCAGTGAGAGTCACTGATATCTCCGTTTTTCTCGTTTCCCCTGCCTTCTAAAGCCATCAGGTGGGGACCTTCATCTACCAAACAGACGCTAAAGAAGGATGGGCACGGTGAGTGGAAAAAGGAGGTTGAAGAGTTGTTTTTGCTCCCAAGTGTTTCATAATGAATGAGGTTAAGAAGAGAAAATAAAATACCCTGTCCCCTTGCTCTTATCTGGCTCAAATACAGCCTGTATTATTTAGCGTCAAAGAAATTATCTTCTCATGCTTTGTTCAGACCACTCCAACTCATGGCCACAGTTCTGACACTGGCTTAGCCTTGGCTGACCTGTATGAAGTCAAATAAGTTCCTTCACCTTTCTTAACCTCAGTTTCTTTATCTTGAAAATGAGAGCATGAACCTTTGTGATCTCTAAGGTATTTCCAATTATTCAGTTCTAAGAGATTATGCCCATCTGAGAACAAGTGGAATTAATGTTATGAAGGGTGCCTTCAAAGGAGAAATGCTTGAGATGGGAGCAAGAATAGATGCAAATCATGCCTGTTTTTGAGCTCGGGAAAGCTTTCATATGGCAGGGTTTTATATTCATCTGCCTGGTTGCATGCTTATGCACTGCCCTTGTTTGGCCTTGAAGAACATGGTTTTTTCCATTGTTTCTGGTGGAGATAATCACAATGACTATGTCACGTCTGCTTGGGAAACCAACCACGGCTGCTGATCTTTGGATCCTTGTCTGGGAAGCTCTCAAGCCAGTAGTAGTTTGCCTCAACCATTCAGGGGTAGCTCCTCTCTGGCCAGGACCTTGTTATGCCTTCCCTGCAGACAGCGTAAGGGATGGTAGGCATTCTTTCTCCATTCGCTCCCTCGCCAGAATCAGCACTGGTGATTGTCAGGCAGGTAAGGAGAACACTGTCATGCTCAATGGAGATGTCAGACTAATGTGAGTCAGCTCTAGCTTCCCTCAAGCACAGCTGGAAGACAAAGAAACAGATTTACTGGAGATGTGCACAAACTAGTGCCTATTATGTTAAAAAACATAAATAAAACGAGGGAGAAGGCATACAGAGAGAAATTATCTTTTAAAAACATCTTGGCAAAATAGCACTCAATACACATCAGTACAATAGTGGAGTCATCCATGTGTGTCAACCTGTAGTTCTTAATGACAGGGATGTATAAACAAGTAGGTAATAAGCAGCCCAGCTGCTTCTGGGGTTTCTCTTAACTTACTTTCTTTGAAAATGAGTTGGTGGAAATACAGCTGAAAACACAGACTCAGAAAATGAATGAGTCATTTGAGTTGAACATAAAAAAGGAGACCTGGATGAGGATTTAGAGAGAAGATCCATTCAACTCCGTAAGCCTACAAAGTAAGATTAGACTAAATAGATAGAAATTTTATTCTACTCCCAAAGGATAAACATCATTTTCCATTTCTTTTTGTAGACAGGCAAAGCTCTGCCGTGAATCATGGTTTTAATGCAGACTTCTTTACAGAAAAAGAAATATATCCATTTCCTTTCCTTTCCTGTGCCCATCCAAGCTTGTTATCGAGAGGAGTGCCTCTGTACCCTCTGTCAGCTAGAATCAATGTTAAACACTGAGCACACAAACACCAAAAACGTTTACATCTTTTTATTTTTCTTCAAAGACTTCAAAACTGCCTTGCCTTTGTTCTTACAGATAATTTTTAATAGCTGGTCTAGTTGTATTTATGTTAAATGGGGGCACAGGGGTCAAAGAGACTTATTAAAAGGACGGAATGAGTGAAGGACTTCTCTTCTGACGAATGAACAGGGCATCGAGCCAATAATTAAATCTTATTGAAGCAGAGAAAACTAGCCTATATTTATATGCCTAGAATGTTCTGAGTGCTTTCTTGTAGGATCTCTTTTCAATAATTGTAAAGTGGTAATTTTCTTCATTTTCCTGAAGAGAAAACTGATGCTCAGAGAGGCTAAATAACTGCACAAGCTCACATATCCAGTAGAGAGGGGGAAGAGATGGAAGTCCAAAGTCAATGCCACACTGCTTCCTATTTAACAATATCAAACTCAGGCATCAAGCTCCTGCTCTATGCCAGGCATTTGCTGGGTACTGGAGATGTGAAGAGAGAATGGTCTAAGCGCTTACTGTTGAGTGCTTCCCAAAGCATGTGCTCAGTGTTTGCTGGTTGTCACTTACTCTCACAAAGGAGCTCCCTCAGTCTAGCCTCAGAGAAGATAATTGTGCAAAGTGGGCATGCTTGTTAGCTTATATTTTCAGAAAATGAAAAACGCATGCCCGGACTATTTACCTCACGAATCTAAGATGATATAGTGAGCGGGTGTTAGGGATGGGACCTGGGCCAAATCCAAATAGGTTATGCATTTAGCCTTCAAATCCTTGCTGTGTTCCAATGTCCGTTTAAAGCTTGTTAAATTCTCCAGGATATTTGATACACACTTACTTAATATGTTTCATTTGCAGAAATGGTTGTATTTTAATTGAAGCTCCTGGAAGTGAAACTGCGCTTTTGTAAGAAATTCTTAAGTAAGTGGAGGAAAACATTGTGCTCAGGAAAAGTTTTCCAGAGACTTCAAAATGACATGAAATGTTAAGGCCGTGTCCAGTCAAGATGCCTGTATATAAATGTGAAAGGTGCATTGTCTTAGTAGACATCATAAAGAAAAATAGCATCAAAAAGAAAGAAAATATCATACAGCTAAACAGGTGATCTAAATAATATACATAACTTAGAAAATGTGAAATCAGTGGATAGGATTCATATGAGGATCTTTTTAACATGTTTCCTATATCAGAATCAAAAATACAGTTCCAGTCACATTACTTTCTTGTTTGAAAACATTTTTTGGCTCTTTGTTACTGACCTGTAATTTGTCTAAACTGTATACTGGAATGTAAGGCCTCTGAAGAGTGATCACAGCCCCCTTTTTCAAACTTACCTCCATCTTCTCTACAACCCAGCAAAACTGGTCTCCTCACTGTGTCCTGAATTTCCTTGTTTTGTCTCACCTGCGTTTTCTCTCAGCTTGCACCCCTCCATCCCTTCTCTCCAAATGTAGAAACCTTTAATCGCTCACTTGCTTCTCCAGGATGCATTTATGGATCTTTCCTTAATGCAAGCGACCTGCCCTGGCCTTTCCTCTGGATTCCCTTTTGTAGTGTTAATATTTGCATAGTGATTCTTATTTTGCTTTGCTTTGTATTCATTATTTTTAGTGCTTGTCTTATTTTACCTCCTAAACTATAATTTTCTTGAGAGTTTTTCTCATCTAATTTTTTTGTCTTTGTAGCATTTGGCATAGTGCTTCATGAATTGTATTAATGAACATCAGTAGGTATTAGTTAAATAAAATTCAATTAAATAAAGGCCAGAGTAAGATGTGCAGTTGGAACAGCCAGGTGTTAGATTTTCTCTGACTCAGAGATGAACAGCTTCCCAGCAAGGGAAGAAGTTCGAGGAGAGAGGCCGGTAGGAGAGGAAGCCACTTCTATAATTTGGCACTAATAAGAAATTTACTCTGGAAAATCTCAGTTTTTCACAAACCATCTTTCACTTTTCTCATGATGGAGAATATCCCTTTATTAGTCAGGACCTTCTGCAAATTAATGGGCAAGTCTCATGTCCTCATAAAGCCATAACCCTATTTATGACATTACAATTGGTTACTTAGTGATAATTATAATGTCACAAATAGAGGATTATTATGATTTGAGGTGCAAAACAGCTGTAACAAAGAAAGTCAGCAATAAGTGGACATGATGTAGTAAATTTGCAGCTGGAAAAGAATAATTCCCAGAAAGATATTAAAAATCATTTTAATAGTTTTTGGGGAACAGGTGGTTTTAGGTTACATGGATACATTCTTGAGTAGCGATTTCTGAGATTTTGGTGCACCTGTCACCCAAGCAGTGTACACTGTACACAATGTGTAGTCTTTTATCCCTCATCCACCTCCCACCCTTCCCTCTGAGTCCCCAAAGTTCATATATTATCCTTATGTCTTTGCCTCCTCATAGCTTAGCTTCCACTTAGAGAACATACAGTATTTGGTTTTCCAATCCTGAGTTACTTCACATAGAATAATGGCCTCCAGCTCCATCCGGGTTGCTGCAAATGCCATTGTTTCATTCCTTTTTGTGGCTGAGTAGTATTCCATGCTGTAATTATACCACATTTTCTTTATCCACTCATTGGTTGATGGGCATTTAGGCCCATTTTATATTTTTGCAATTGCCAATTGTGCTGCTATGAACACGTGTGTGCTCGTGTCTTCCAAAAATGCATTTTTTTGCATAAAGTTTTCCACTGAGTGATGGGGCAGGGGGGCACATGCTAAAGTTGAAGCTTTTGCCAAGGAGAGAGAGCTGAGGGCTGCAATTCTTTTGGAGGATGCTTTTCCCAGCCACAAACCCATATTGATTTCTTCCAGAACATTTACTAATCCTCTCTCCCCAGCTCTCACCCCCAGTGGGTGCAAGCCTGTGCATATAAACACACTCCCTTGTTTCCCATTCAGGATATGGAATCTTATACATCATAAAAGAGACTGATCTCCATCCTGATTCATAGGACTGTCAGCAGATGGCAGAGAGAGTGATAATGCCACTTACTATCAGGTCACTCCGAATTATTATTTATTCTGTGGAGAGTGAGACTGAGGACTGAAACCTGATGTTTAATTTTTCAAAATCACATGGTTAGAAACTGGAGGGTCCCAAGCTTTCTGGTCCTACATCTAATGAACTAATGCTTTTGTTGTTTATTTTTGCACTATACTTTATAGCTATGTAATGATGTAAAGGACACAGTTGTTTTATGAAATCCATTTCCCCTTGCTCCTTCCTTTTGAAACCTTGATCTTTTTTTTCTCTTTCTAGTAGCTAATGAGATTCAGGAAAGCCGATCCCATTTCCAACTCCAGGGAGCAAGAAAGTATAATATTTGACCTTCCAGCCTCTTAGCATCAGCTGGTACTTCCTTCTTTTCTCTTCCTGAGCCATGAGTCATGCTTCATCAAAAGTTTCCCAGGCTCCTGAAGTGAAAATGACAAATCAGTGCATAAGAGTGATAGGAAGAGAAGTACAAGATTGTATTAGACAGTATAGAACAAAACACTTTGCAGAATGAAAAATTGCAGAGTGCTGACACTTGTTCTACAGAAAGGGCATCAGCACTTAGATCACTGTTGAACAACATTCATTTTGGGATGAATATTGTCTAAGGTGAGGCTGAAATTCTTTGCTTCAAATTCTACAAAATTCTTATTCTACAGAATGGTGGATTATTTAGCTACCAAACTTTACTGAGTATATAGTTATTGAGGATCAACTGGGAGATGCATAATTGGGCATCATGAGCATTGGATGGAGCATTGGGTGGGGGCAGAAAATGTTAAGGTCATACTTGAAATATCAAAGTGCACAACCTAGGAATAGACTTCAATATCAACAAGATTTGACTCAGCTGAATCTCTGTTTTGCCAGTCTTTTCTAGGTCTAGTTTTATACCTGTTAAACATGAACATTAAAACATTTCACTCTGTGTTAGTCAGTTCTTGCATTGCTGTAAAGAAAACCTGAGACTAGGTAATTTGTAAAAAAAGATGTTTAATGGGCTCATGGTTCTGTAGCCTGTACAGAAAGCATAGCCCTGGCATCTGCTTCTGGTGAGGCCTGAGGAAGCTTCCAATCATGGCGGAAATCGAAGAGGGAGCAGGTGTCTCACATGGCAGGAGAAGGAGCAAAACTGAGAGTTGGGGGGAGGTAGCACACAGTTTTAAACAACCAGATCTCTTGAGAACTCACTCACTATCCTGAGGACAGCACCAAGCCATGAGGGATCTGCCCCCATGACCCAAACGCCTCCCACCAGGCCCCACCTCCAACACTGGGGATTACATTTCAACAGGATATTTGGGTGGGGACAAACATCCAAACCATATTACACTCCTTGCCTGTAACCAGTGAGAACCCATTTGGCTGGTATATCACTCCAGTTTGTTCTAAGGATGTAGTAGGTATTTGCCAATTCTGTTGAGCAACAATCTCAACTCCAACCTTGCCATATTCTATAGGGGGGAAATTGGAATCCCCAAATCTCTTGGGTACCTGAGATTTCTCATTCTCCTTAAAAGGTCCTGGTTGTCCTAAAGCAACCATGCCTCCTATCCCTGCCACCCCTGGTATTTGCTTCCTGTTTTATTTCTAACAGTTGTCTAGAGAGAACCGTACTGAAAAACTGAATCAGGTGATTTCTAATGCCATTAAATACTTAAAGTTAGCATAGAACTAATCATTATAGAAGAAGATTTCAAAAGCTTCAAATACATGGTTCATAATCTCATTGAATTAAAAAGCTGGCTAAAGATTCAAAATGGACGCACCTAATGGGACAGCAAACAATATCTAAGTTGTATGGGAGATGTTGTAATTAATCTCTCATTTAATCATCCTTTCATTCAAGCATTCCTTTGATTGGTAGATGAGGCTGGCTGGCTTACATCAGAAGCAGATTTTGATCAGTTTTCCTTAGGAAAGCATGTGATTGACTTCTTAACCAATCCAGCCCAAAATGGATGAACCATAATATCAAAATAATCACTTTTAAAAGAGTAAATTCTAGGCAGAATAACTGTTCTCAGTATGTTCTTATGAGGAGTTGGACTGGTTTTGTTAATAATGACATTATGAGATACAATTTATATACCATAAAATTCATCCTTTTAAAGTGTACACTTTTGTATATTTTAGTGTGTTCACAGAGTTTGACTATCATCACTACTTTCTTGGCAATCTTTTAATCATCCTCAGAAGAAATTGTGTACCCATTAATAGTCACTTCCCCGTTCCCCACAGTCCCTGGCAAACACTAATCTACTTTCTATCTGTATATTGGCCTATTCTGGGCATTTCAAATAAGTGGAATTATGCAAATGTAAGTTTTTGTGACTGTCTTCTTTCATTTAACATAATAATTTCAAGGTTCATCTATGTTATCGGATGTATCAGGCCTTCCTTCCTTGTAATTGCTGGATATTATTCAATTGTATGAATATACCAGTACTGTGTTGAATAGAAGTGATGAAAGAAGACATCTTTTTTGCCTTATCTAAGAGAGAAAACATTCAGTCTTTTACTATTAAGTGTGATGTTGGCAGTGAGTTTTTTTAAAAAAATAGATGTCCTTTATTAGGTTGAGGACGTTCCCTTATATTCCTAGTTTTGTTGAGTGGTTTTTAATCATGGACAGATGTTGGGTTTTTACAAAAATGCTATTTCTATGTCTATTGAGATGATCATGTGGGTTTGGTCACTTAGTCTATTAATATGGTATATTATATTGATTGATTTTACTGTGCTAAACTAACCTTGCACTCCTAGGGTAAAATCTCCTTGATCATAGGTATAATCCTTTTTATATGTTGCTGGGTTGGGTTTGATAATATTTTGTTGAGGATTTTTGCATTGATGTATTTAAAAGAGTCTGGACACAGTGGCTCATGCCTGTAATCACAGCACTTTGGGAGGCTGAAGTGGGTGGATTGCTTGAGCTCAGGAGTTCAAGACTAGCCTGAGCAACATGATAAAATACCCTCTCTACAAAAAATACAAAAATTAGCTAGGCGTGATGGTGCACACCTGTGGCCAGCTACTCAGGAGGCTGAGGTGGGAAGATCACAGGAGCCCAGGAAGTTGAGGCTGTAGTGAGCCATGATTGTGCCACTGCACTCCAGCCTGGGTGATGGACTGAGATCCTAACTCAAAAATAAAAAATAAAAATAAAAAAAGCAGATATCGGCCTGCTCTTTTCTTTTTTGCGATGCTTTGGTTGGGTTTTAAGATCATGATAATACTGGCCACGTAGAGTAGGTTGAAAGGTTTTCCTTCCTCTTTCAGTTCTCACAAGATTTTATGAATGATTGGTATGAATTCTTTAAATGATTGGTAGAATTCCCCAGTGGAGCCCTCTGGGTCTGGGCTTTCCATTGTGAGAACTTTTAAAATTACTAATTCAGTCTCTTTGGTTATTATAGGTCTCTTCACATTTTCTGTTTTTTTCTTTAGTCAGTCTCAGTAGTTTATGTCTTTATAGGAATTTTTAAATTTAATCTAGGTCATCTAATTAGTTGGCATATAGTTGTTTATAGTATTCCCTTATATTTCAGTAAGATCAGTACTGATGTTCCCCCATTTAGTAATTTGAGTCTTCCTTCTTTTTTTCTTGGTCAGCTTAGCTGAGTTTTTCAATTTTATTTATTACACTTTTCAAAGAATCAACTTTTGATTTTGCTGATTTTCTCTATTGTTTAAGTCCTCTCTATTTCATTTATTTAGGCTCTAAGTTTTATTATTTTCTTCCTTCTGTTTGCTTTTGGTTTAGTTTTTCTTCTTCTAGTTTCTTAAGGTGTGAGGATATATTATTTGCTTGAAATCTTTCTTTATATTTTTTCTCCATTCTTTCATTACTGTCTTCTTTTGTGTTAAACATCTATTTCCTAATGTATCATTTTAATTATCTCTTCCACCTATTTTTGAGTTACTTTATTACTGCTTTTTTCTGAGGATTACATTTGAAATCCTAAAACAATGTAGTTCAGGTTAATATCAACTTAATTTTAATAGTTTTCAAAAACTTAGTTCATATACAGCTCTGTTTCCTTCTCTTTTGTGTAATTATTGTCATATCAATGACCTCTTTACACATTATAACTATATCAACATTATCTTATAATTATTGGTTTATGCTGTTTCCATTTAAATCTGATAGAAGAATTATAAACAAAACTTATTAATACTGTCCTTCATATTTACCTATGTGGTTACCTTTATTGGTGGTCTTTATTTCTCCATGGATACTCAAGTTACTGTAAAGTGTTCCTTCATTTTAGCAGAAGGGTTCTTTTTAGTATTTCTTGTAGGATGGATCTTCTTATGATGGGTTCTCTCAGTGTTTGATTATCTGGGAATGTCTTAATTTCTCATAAAATTTGAAGAATAGTTTTGCTAGATTTGGTCTTCTTGCTGACAGTCCCTTTCTACCAGCCTTTTAAATATGTCATTCCTTCTGACTCTGGCTTCCATGTTTTAGGATAAGTCAGCTGTTAGTGTTATTGAAGATTGCTGGCATATTATTTTTCTCTTGCTGATCTCAAGATTCTGTCTGATTCGGTTTTTGACAGTTTAACTATATTAAATGTATAGGTATGAATTTCTGAGTTTATCCTACTTGGAATTCATTGTGCTTCTTAGATGTATAGACTAATACTTTTTATTATTTA
This sequence comes from Homo sapiens, assembly GCF_000001405.40. NCBI lineage: Eukaryota > Metazoa > Chordata > Mammalia > Primates > Hominidae > Homo > Homo sapiens. The sequence goes on along the minus strand of NC_000007.14, from coordinate 137,796,922 downwards.
GGATATTTTCAGACTTTATTTTGTCAAATACACTCTCTGTCCCTTTCTTTCTTTTCTCTCCTTCTGGAACTCTCCTTGCATGTATGTTGGTATGCTGGCTCATGTCCCACAAGTCTCTGAGGCTTTGTTTATTTTCCTTCATTCTTTTCTGTTTCTCAAACTGGATGATCTCAATTGCCTTATTTCCAAGTTTGTTAATTCTTTCTTCTGTCCGCATAGTTGTGCTGTTGACCTCCTTCAGTGAATTTTTCATTTACGTTATTGCACTTTCGAACTCTAGAATTTCTATTTGGCTCTTTTTTAAATGATTTCTATTTCTGTTGAAATTGTCTATTTGGTGAGACATCATTCTCATATTTTCCTTTAACTCTCTAGGCAAGATGTACTTTAGTTCTTTGAACATACGTAAAGCTTTTTTTTTTTTAAATGGAGTTTTGCTCTGTCACCCAGGCTGGAGTGCAGTGGTGCAATCTTGGCTCACTGCAATCTCCATCTCCTGGGTTCAAGTGATTCTCCTGCCTCAGCCTCCTGAGTAGCTGGGATTACAGGCATCCACCACCATGCCCAGCTAATTTTTTGTATCTTTTAGTAGAGATGGGGTTTTGCCATGTTGATCAGGCTGGTCTTGAACTCTTGACCTCAGGTGACCCACCCGCCTTGGCCTCCCAAAGTGCTGGGATTACAGGCGTGAGCCACCATGCCTGGCCTTAAAGCTTTTTATTTAAAACTTTGTGTAACCCCAATATCTAGGCTTTCTCAGAGGCAGTTTCTGTTGGCTGTTTTTCCTTCATGTGTATGGACCATGCTTTCCTATTTTACTATGTATCTTATTTTTTGTTGTTGTTGAAAACTGGACTGTTAAAGTAATATAATAGAGCATCCTTGGAAATCATATCCTTACTTTTTGTTTTTGTTGCCATTACTAGTAGTAGTAGTAGTTGTTGATGCTGTGTGTTTGTATGTTTTTTAGTGACTTTTAAAATTCTGTAAAGTCTGTGTTCTTTGTTGTGTGCAGCATCTAAAATCTCTGCTTGGTTAGCTTAGTGGTCAGCTAATAATTGGACAGACATTTCCTCAAATTTATTCAACCAATAACTTTCCCACTACTTTTTTGTGATCTATATGTGTGAGTTAGAGTATGCAATAAATACTTTGGTAACTTGATAACTCTACCTTAGCCTTTACTTCCTGCTTTGTCAGCCAAAAGTGAGAGATTGGGGTCTTCTCAGATCCTTCCTGGGAATACTCACAGCTTGCGCATATGCATGGCTTTCCAGATTCCCAAGAATATGTCAGAACTTTCCAAAGCTCCCGTGGACTTCTCATTTCCCATATTTTGATTTTTAAGTTTTTCGATCAGCTTCTTAATTTGCCGCAACAGATAGGGCCACCTCAGGCAGCTATGATATTAAACAATTCCTGATTCTTTTGGAAAAATCCCCTGGGTACAGGGATTTCCTCACTGAGTAATAGCTGACTTAGGTCAAATGAGGATAATTCCATGTGAATGAGAATTTCCCAGGGAGCTTCCAAACAAGTACAATAGTGATAATTCTCTGAGGATGGGCCTTTTGTGGCGGATCCAAACCTATTCTGCTCTCTCCAATAGCTACTAGGCCACTGGTTTTCACAGCTACCATCTTTCTAAAGCTGCTGGTTTTCAAGGGTACTGCAGAGATAGGGAAAGGGAGATGGGAATAGGAATAGGGTAGGTTTAAGTATCACAGAGCTCACTGTTCTGTAGAATAAGCCATTTTTATTTCAACCTTTTGGTTAATTTTTAGAATTCTGAAAATGTTGATTTTGACAATTTTTGCAACTGCTCTCATACTTTCAGGGAGCATCATTCTGTCTGGAGTGCTTCTTTTTCCTAGGTGGTTTTCATATCAGGACTGACTTCTTTTGAGACACAAATATCAGACTAGGAAGTTGTTTTGTGAGTACAGAATCAGAAAAAGGGAAATAGATGTGTTAAAAAGGACGTAGCTGGACGATGAAGTCTGATGCTTGTCTCCTCTTTAGGAAGATTGATATCTGTGTCTCCAAGGGGAATGGTATATCTAATATTTCTGTGAACAATAACCACCACTAAATATTTATCTTAAGTCTTGAGATCATGAAATGAGGATGTTGGTGGTATTTGCTGCTGATAAAACCTGAGTAGATATCTGTCTCAACTTAGAAACCTGATAAAGCCAGCAGAACACAACTGAGGCAGTAAAGCTTTGGGATTGACTGGGGACTCTTGAGATACACTTGCTATCCACTTGCTACTTGAAGTATGGTTCAAAGAGTGCAGCATCAGCATCACCTGAGAACTTGTCAGAAATGTAGAATTTCAGGTCCCACTCCAGACTTTAGTAAGTTAGAATCTTCATTTCAACAAGGTGATTTATGCACACATTAAAGTTTGATAAATACATGCCTGTAGCATGTTTACATCTTCATGTGGTTGTCCTGGGAGGATTCCTGCAATTTGCTAGCTTCATCTATTTAATGTTCATTTGTATCAACTTAAATTTCAGAAGTATCTGCTCCTAAAGTCTTGGAGAATATTAATCTTTGTACAGTCTTGTCCTTCTTGTAACTCTTTATGGTAAGAATAAATAGTTGAGCTTCAAGAATATCAGAGAGGGAGAAAATCTGTGCAGGCTGGAATGGTCCAAAAGGCATTATTTGAGTTAGGCTTTGAGGAAAGGATGGGGAGAAAGTGAATGCGTGTCATGCAGATGAAAGAACATGGGCCAACCTACAGAGGTGGGAATTATTTATTATGTGCAGTAGAGGTCTAAACTGTAACATTTTTGGGGACATGCATTATGTCTTGCTTATATATGTATCCTCAGTGACTGGATTTCATAGATGCTCTATAAATTATTTTCAAACTGAATAGTAGGAAGATTAGTTTAACTCAAGGTGAGGGTTTATATAAGAATTATGGGAATTGATGCAAATTTATTAGCATATGGCTAGATGATGGTGACTTTGAAAACTTGGTAGGAGTTTGTATTTAAATTTGTTGGGTAATCTTCAGTAAGTTACGTGGGAATGGAAGGGGACTAATTTGTGATTATTAGAAAATTATTAACAGATTAAATAACTTTATTCAAACTCCAGAAAATAAAGTCCTTCAAAATCTTCTTGGCTCTTCCAGATATGTGGATCTTTGAATGAGAACATATTGTAGGAATCACATTAAGGAGAAAAAAAGTTGAAGAAATATGGTAAACATTAGTAGCCCATTTTAATGTTTTATATAAGTTCTTAAGCAGGGGAATGACATGTGAAAATGGTGTTTGTAAGAGATTAAAATGTAGGCCGGGTGCAGTGGCTCAAGCCTGTAATCCCAGCACCTTGGCCAGGTGAGGCCAAGGCGGGTGGATCACCTGAGGTCAGGAGTTCAAGACCAGCCTGGCCAACATGGTGAAACCCTGTTTCTACTAAAAATACAAAAATTAGCCGGGCATGGTGGTGTGTGCCTGTGATCCCAGCTACTCAGGAGGCTGAGGCAGGAGACTCGCTTGAACCCGGGAGGTGGAGGTTGCAGTGAGCTGAGATCATACCACTGCACTCCAGCCTGGGCGACAGAGTGAGACTCCGTCTCAAAAAAAAAAACAAAAAAAAGGCAGCAAAATGCTAGATGGATTGGAAGGGGAAGAGAATGGGTCAGGTAGACTAACTAGGGCTTTTTTTCGTTATCTAGAGATGAAGGCAGATGGACAGAGACCAAGGTAATGTCAGGACAGAGGAACGAACGTTGCTCCTTGAAGTCCCTAGTATTACAAAGTAGAGACATCTAATTAAGCAGTTTAGCTTTTACACAAAAAGAAAAAAGAAAAGAGGAAAGAGATAAACTATCTGATGCAATAGCAATAATAGCAACTATTCTTTACCATCCTCATAAGACAATGGTGAGAATTAAATGAGTGAATGCTTGTAAGTTGCTGTATTAATCTGTTTTACATTGCTGTAGGAATACCTGAGACTGGGTAATTTAAAATGAAAAGAAGTTTATTTGGTTCACGGTTCTGCAGGCCATGCAAGCATGGCACCAGCCTCTGCTAGGCTTCTGGTGAGGCCCTCAGGGAGCTTTTACTCATGGCAGAAGCAAAGGGAGATCAGACATGTCACATGGTGAAAGAGGGAGATGCCAAGTTCCTTTAAACAACCAGCTCCCATGTGAACTAATAGAGTGAGAAGTAACTCATCACCAAGGGGATGGCACCAAGCCATTCATGAGGGATCCAGCACCATGACCCAAACACCTCCTGCCAGGCCCCATCTCCAACAATGTGGATCACATTTCAACATGAGATTTGGAAGGAACAAATATCCAAACCATACTAGTTGCCTAGAAAAATGCCTGGCACATGGCAAGCACTCATAAATGTTAGTGATAAGCTATTGTTAACTGGAAGAAAGAACCTCCTGGTGCTATCGAGTAGCACTTCTGTTTCTCAAAATCAGCACCCAACACAGTGCTTATTTGTAATAGATGCTTAATAGATGCTTAATGAATGGATGAAGGGGAAATAAAATATCTCTCAATGTAGGAATGAAATATGTTGATTATAGGGTCACATTTTGCTGTTGATTTCTATTATACATATAATCCCCCAATGGAGGATTGGGGGAAAGTAGTTATTGATTTCTCATATTCTGTTCTCCAAACTAACTTTATCTCTATCTCATTCTCTTTCTCTCTTTGTCCACACCCATCCTAAGGGATTTCCATCTCTATGCTTGTGATTCTTGGAAGCCGGCTCCCCCTGTCTGTGTTTCATAGCACAGGTGCTCAGTCGACATTTGTGTTCATTGCTAAACCAATATATTCTAGACCTATGGCTCATGCCTCAGAGCAGTGCTCTCAGGGAAAAAGACACTCTCTTTTCTCTGCTGTATTTAATTCAGTCCTTTTCAATAGTTTATCCTTTCTGAATGGCCACTGAGATGTTTGATACAGCCAACTTAATGAGTTGTGGCTAAACTGCTTTATTTTATGTGGCTGAAATGTATTCAACTGCGCATGTGTACATAAGACTTAATCTCTAGACATTTCATGATAATTTGACAGCATAATTGAAGTGAGGGGGAAAGGATTGAGTGGTTTGTTTCACTTACATTTCTTCACCCACCCCTAAAATAAAATATTCTCTGAAGCAAATGTCAGGAACTTCTTCCACCACTGTCACCATGTGACAATGAGTTAGGGAATGGAATTAAATTCGTTATCTAGCGTCTCTTTCCAAAGAGCTAAAAGGTTTTTTTGTTCATTACCAGAGCATCTCTCCAACAGAATAGAGACCTTCCCATATACAGCTGCAGCTGAGTTTCACACTTAAGAAATCTTATAGGATCTTATAAATTTTAAGGGACATAGCTCTACCTGAAAAAGTCTGTAGAAACCTGAGGTCCAGCTCTTCTGATTGCCTTGGGTCCTTTTATTTAAAGTTGGCTTGCCTTTTGTAATGAAACAAGCCTTTTCTTTAGTGTTTAATACCAATGAATCTTTTGGAGAAGATATGCTAGAAAGATTTTGAGCAGGGGTAGAGAATCTTCCTATGTCAGGACCACTGACCCACCAAAATAATCAGGCACATTTAAGAAAGGACAACCTTTAGGTCACTTGCAAAAGAATGCAAACCCATTAAATAAGTATTCTTCTAGTTCATATTATGGCCAGCTGAGGAAGATGAGAGAAGAGATATAGGAGGAGAAATAGAGTGGATAAGAAGGAAAGAGAGAAAAACAGGAGAGGTAGACACATACACACAGAAATCAAGAGGGATAGAGAGGAGGAGGTTTGTGAGTACTGAGGTGAGAGTTACTGAGATGTGGTGCTTGTCACATGCCATTGCTCACTTGGGCTGGTTTCCTTGCTAATGAGTTGCTTAAGCCTTGCTCACAGCTCCTTCTACAGCAGTTTTTCAGGTGAAAAAAATTATCCTTTGGACTGTAGCAACACTGACCCCAGTGGTGCCTCTCTGAGAGAACAGAGAAAATTAAGCCAAGTGCTGAAGGTTGCCTAATCCTTTGAGGGGAATGCAACTAACATTAATTGAATTCTTATTCTGTAGGAAGTGCTTTATAGAGGTTATCTAATTTAATCTTCAACAAATCTAACAACAGGCACTGTTATACCCATTTTCCAGGTGATAATACAGTCATTAAGTGCTTTGTCAGGTAACACCACCAGTTAGCAGGGAGAGAATGGGATTCATGCACCAGCCATCTTCTGAGTCCTGCTCTTTCTGTTTCACCAGCCGCATCCACGTCTCTTTCTAGAGCTTAAAGAAATTTCAGAAAATCATCCAAGTTTGCAAATTGGTAGAAATTGCTCCACGCCTCAGACTGATAATAATTTGCTTTATTGATTAGTGCGTCATTGGGCCCCATGCCAGGCATCTGAGCTTTTTATCTATTTAAAGTAGAGCAGCAGCCAGTTGGTTGGAAGTATTGTACCTACCCTTCTTTGACAGATGGCTTTCTATTTGGCTTTTGAAATTCCATAAGAAAGAATTTCACAGTTTCTCACAGTAGCTTATTGCAGTCATATCCAGAGTCAGTCTTCGGATCATGAATACATTGATCCCTTTTCTCTGGCTTTGAATGCAGCATACTGTCATAGGCCTGGGCGAAAGAGTGGTTCCAGTGTGTGTGTGTGTGTGTGTGTGTGTGTGTGTGTGTGTGTTGGTAATACACAATCTGTAACATAGTCAAAGAAGAAATAAAGAGTCGGCAAACTATGGCCCATGGACCAGATCTCGCTGGCTGTTTTTGTAAATAAAGTTTTACTGGAATACAGCCATGCTTATTCATTTATGTATTATCTGTGGCTACTTTTGTGCTACAGTGACAGAGTGGAGTAGTTGTGACTGAGATTGTGTGGTCTTCAAAGGCTAAAATATTTATTTTCTTGTTCTTTTCTGAAGAAGTGTGCAATCCTTGCTATAGATTAACATATCAACTAGAGAATTCTTGAAAAGAACAGAGCATGAATATAGCAAAACTATGGTGTTACCTAGGTAATAGTACTATGAGGATCTACTACAGATAATATTTTCCAAGTGCCCCTTGTTGTGTTTGGGGGAATACAAAGAGGAGGTTCTCTTACTTGTATGTTGAAATAACTCCTTAGAATAAGGTTGGAGAATTTCTGATAGGAATGTTGCTTGTGTATCAAAATACAGAATTGCGCTTCTCCGTTCTGACTGTGGTTCTTGTCCAGGCAAGTTTGGAAATTGTGACTCCTTGAAACCATTCAGGCAGCCAAGTGTTCCAGCTGATGTTTTGTGTGTTTTTTTTTCCTCCTTCATTTAAAAATACACTTTGTAGAATGTTTTCTTTTTCACGGCTCCCTAAATATTCTGTTTTGAAACATTTAATTACCCAGGTTATTTATATGGAAAGGTTTGATAATGTTTCTATGGGAGTCTGTTATTTATTTCTTTTGCTAAATCTTATCTTATATTAGGGGAAGGGCTGAGGTTGGTTACTATGGCAACATTCTCAAAACTGCAACAATCCCATTACGGATGCTAAAACTATAGTCATTTCAGTGGGAGGGTAGCATGGGGAGTGGGTGGTAGTCTTTTTATTTTTATTTTATTTTTTTTAAAAAAACCTCTCCCACTTCCAAATCTTTTGCATTCATTTATTTTAAGCTTTGCAGCTTAGGGTACTAAAATGAGAAACAAAAAGTAAAAAAGAGTGTCATGTCTCTCTCCATTAAATTTCTGTAGTCCTTTATCAGCTCCCTTTGTGGGGATACCCAGTTTTCTACCTACTCTTTTATTCATTTATGCTTTCAGTTATTCCCCAAACTTTCATTGAGACCTGTGTTATGGGTGAATAAGAGAATCCTTGTTCTTGTTTCTCCTTTTAAATTATAAATTCTTTGAAGCCATTAATTCACTTCACTGTAATTCATTTAAACAAATACTTATTGAGCAATTTGCTTTGTATCAAGAATCATACTTGCATAAGAAGACAAAAAAGAAAAAAGGGATTCTGTTGAAGATTAACATTTTGTTTTGTTGGGCAGCACAGGGAAGGGCACATAGTGAAGCACAGAGATGATTGAAATAAAATTTGATAAATGCTTACACAGGGGCACTTAATCCACTTAACTCCCCAGCCTAGAAAGCATAGAAATGACTGCAGGGAGGTGACATTTGGGTTACCAGATAGGCATTTTCTGGTTAGGGCCTAGATGTGTGTGTGTATGGCAGGGGGATGGAGGTGTGTGTGTGTGTGTATGTGTGTGTGTGTGTGTGTGTGTGTGTGTATTTATGGGTTTGGGTATGCAGGGCATTCCAACCAATCTAGACCAACAAGAATAGAGATATACAGGCGAGGAGTCCTTGGCCATGAGCAGGAGAATTTAGAAAACACATGGATGATTGGTAGAAGAACAGTCTGGAGACGTAGCCATCAAGAGAAGTCATGTCTGGGAGGTTGGATTTCGACATTGGGAACCATTGAAAAGTTCAGAAGGAGGAGCAATTGAGTGTTCCAGTTTAGAAGTGGAAGACAGTGAAGGGAAGGGAAGGGGGAAGATGGGATTGGGAAGAGATATGGAGACTTGTAAAAATGGCAAGATTCACCTTGGGACATGATGAGTTTTAAATGAACCCCATCAAGTTGGACCGTCCAGTAGGCAGCTGGAAATGTGGCTCCAGAACTGACAAGAAGTGTGGATGGGACCCAGAGATCTGGATATGATCAGAGAAGGCTTTGAAGGAGGAACAGGAACCTCAAGAGAAATTACACATTATCGTATCCCTAATATGCTGTCTCACTTTTAGTAAAATATTAAGTATTTCTAAAAAGATTTTTAAGTGTTGATGTGACCAAAATATTTTTATAATTTTTTATTTTTTATTTCAATAGGTTTTTAGGGAACAGGTGGTGTTTGGTTACATGAATAAGTTCTTTAGGGGTGATTTCTGAGATTTTGGTGCACCATCACTTGAGCAGTGTACACTGTACCCAATGTGTAGTCTTTTTTCCCTTGCTACCCCTGACAGTTTCCCCTGAGTTCCCAGAGTCCAATGTGTCATTCTTATGCTTTTGTGTCCTCATAGCATAATAGTGTCCAGTTTCATCCAGGTTGCTGCAAATGCCATTATTTCATTCCTTTTCATGGCTGAGTAGTATTCCGTCTGTATATACACCAAATTTTCTTTATCCACTCATTGATTGATGGGCATTTGGGCTGGTTCCATATTTTTGCTATTGCAAGTTGTGCCGCTTAAACATGTGTGTGCAAGTATCTTTTTCATATAATGACTTCCTCTGAGTAGATACCTAGTAGTGGGATTGCTGGATCAAATGGTAGATCTATTTTTAGTTCTTTAAGGAATCTCCACACTGTTTTCCATAGTGGAACTATGTACTAGTTTACATTCCACCAACAGTGTAAAAATGTTTTCATTGCATCCATGCCAACATCTATTACTTTATGGTTTTTTGCTTATGGGCATTCTTGCAGGAGTAAGGTCGTATCAAAATGCAATTTTGATTTGCATTTCCCTGATAATTAGTGATGCTGAGCATTTTTCCTGTGCTTGTTGGTCATTTGTATATCTTTTCTTGAGAATTGTCTATGCCTGTCCTTAGCCCACTTTTTGATGGGATTTTTTTTTCTTGCTGATTTGTTTGCGTTCTTTGTAGATTCTGGATATTAGTCATTTGTCAGATGTATAGATTGTGAATATTTTTTACCACTCTGTGGGTTGTCTGTTAATTCTGCTAATTATTTCTTTTGCTGTGCAGAAGGTTTTTAGTTTAAGTGCTATCTATTTATCTTTGTTTTAGTTGCATTTGCTTTTGGGTTCTTGGTCATGAAGTCTTTGGCTAAGCCAATGTCTAGAAGGGTTTTTCCAATGTTGTCTTCTATAATCTTTATGGTTTCAGGTCTTAGATTTAAGTATTTGACCTATCTTGAGTTGATTTTTGTATAAGGTGAGAGATGAGGATCAAGTTTCATTCTGCTACATGTGACTTGCCAATTATCCCAGCACCATTTGTTGAATAGGGTGTCCTCTCCCCTCTTTATGTTGTTGTTTGTTTTGTTGAAGATCAGTTGGCTGTAAGTATTTGGCTTTATTTCTGGGTTCTCTATTCTGCTCCACTGGTCTATGTGCTGATTTTTATACCAGTACCACGCTGTTTTCCTAACTGTGGCCTTATAGTATAGTTTAGAGTTGAGTAATGTGATGCCTCCAGATTTTTTTTTTTTTTCTTTGCTTAGTCTTGCTTTGGCTATGCAGGCTCTTTTTTGGTTCCATATGAATTTTAGGATTGTTTTTTCTAGTTCTGTGAAGAATGATGGTGGTATTTTGATGGGAATTGCATTAAATTTGTGGATTTTTTTTGGCAGTGTGGTCATTTTCACAATATTGATTCTACCCACTCATGAGCATGGGATGTGTTTCCATTTGCTGTGGCATCTATGATTTCTTTCAGCAGTGTTTTGTAGTTTTCCTTGTAGAGGTCTTTCACCTCCTTGGTTAGGTATATTCCTAAGCATTTCATTTTTTTGCAGCTATTACGAAAGGGATTGAGTTCTTGATTTGATTCTCAACTTGGTCACTGTTGGTGTATAGCAGAGCTACTGATTTGTGTACATTAATTTTGTATCCTGAAACATTGCTGAATTCATTTACCAGTTCTAGGAGCTTTCTGGATAACTCTAGGGTTTTCTAGGTATACAATGATATCATCAGCACACAGCAACAGTTTGACTTCCTCTTTACCAATTTGGATGCCCTTTATTTCTTTCTCTTGCCTGATTGCTCTAGCCAGGACTTCTAGTACTGTGTTTAATACAAGTGGTGAAAGTGGGCATTCTTGTTTTGTTCCAGTTCTCAGGGGGAATGCTTTCAACTTTTCCCCATTCAGCATAATGTAGGTGGTGGGTTTGTCTTGGATGGCTTTTATTCCCTTAAGTTATGTCCCTTCTATGCCGATTTTGCTGAGGGTTTTAATCATAAAGTGATGCTGGATTTTGTCAAATGCTTTTTCTGCATCTATTGAGATGATCATGTGATTTTTGTTTTCAATTCTGTTAGTGGTGTATCACACTTACTGACTCATATATGTTAAACCATCCCTGCATCCCTGGTATGAAACACACTTGATCATGTGGATTATCTTTTTGATATGCTCTTGGCTTCAGTTCACTAGTATTTTGTTGGGGATTTTTGCATCTGTGTTGATCAAGGGTATTGGTCTGTAGTTTTCTGTTTTTTTAATGTCCTTCCCTGGTTTTGGTATTAGGGTGATACTGGCTTCATAAAATGATTTAGGGAGGATTCCTTCTTTGTCTATCTTGCGGAATAGTGTCAATAGGATTGGTACTAATTTTCTTTACATGTCTGATAGAATTCAGCTGTGAATTTGTCTGGTCCTGGACTTTTTTTTTTGTTGGCAATTTTTACATTACTATTTCAATCACGCTGCTTGTTATTGGTCTGTTCAGAGATTCTCTATCTTCCTGGTTTAATCTAGGAGGGTTGTATATTTTCAGGAATTTATCCTGAAATTTATCTCCTCCAGGTTTTCTGGTTTATGCACGTGAAGGTGTTCATAGTAGCCTTGTATTTCTGTGGTATTAGTTGTAATATCTCCCATTTTGTTTCTAATTGAGCTTATTTGGATCTTCTTTCTTCTTTTCTTGGTTAATCTCACTAATGGTCTATCAATTTTATTTATATTTTCAAAGAACCAGCTTTTTGTTTAATCTATCTTTTGTATTGTTTTTTTGTTGTTGTTTCAGTTTCATTTAGTTCTGCTCTGATCTTTGTTATTTCTTTTCTTCTGCTTGGTTTGAGTTTAGATTGTTCTTGTTTCTCCAGTTCCATGAGGTGTGACCTTAGATCGTCTATTTGTGCTCTTTCAGACTTTTTGATACAGGCATTTAATGCTATGAACTTTCCTCTTAGCACTGCTTTTGCTGTATCCCAGAGGTTTTGATAGGTTGTGTCACTATTATCATTCAGTTCAAATAATTTTTTAATTTCCATCGTGATTTGTTTACCCAGTGATCATTCAGGAACAAGTTATTTAATTTCCATGTGCTTATATGGTTTTGAGGGGTTCTTTTGGAGTTGATTTACAGTTTTATTCCACTGTGGTCTGGGAGGGTACTTGATATAATTTCTATTTTCTTAAATTTACTGAGACTTGTTTTGTGGCCTATCATATGGTCTATCTTGGAGAATGTACCATGTGCTGATGAATAGAATGTAAAGTCTATAGTTGTTGGGTAGAATGTTCTATAAATATCTGTTAAGTTCATTTGTTATAGGGTATAGTTTAAGTCCATTGTTTCTTTGTTCATTTTCGATCTTGATGACCTGTCTAGTGCTGTCAGTGGAGTATTAAAGTCCCCCACTATTATTATATTGCCATCTATCTCATTTCTTAGGTCTAGTAGTAATTGTTTTATAAATTTGGGAGCTCCAGTGTTAGGTGCATACGTATTTAAAATTGTGATATTTTCCTGTTGGACTTGTCTTTTTATCATTCTATAATGTCCCTCTTTGTCTTTTTTAGCTGCTGTTGCTTTAAAGTTTGTTTTGCCTGATATAAGAATTGCTACTACTGCTGGATTTTAGTGTCCAGTTGCATGGAATATCTTTTTCTACCCCTTTGCCTTAAATTTATCTGAGTCCTTATGTGTCAGGTGAGTTTCCTGAAGACAGCAGAAACTTGGTTGGTGAATTCTTTATCCATTCTGCCATTCTGTATCTTTTAAGTGGAACATTTAGGCCATTTACATTCAATGTCAGTATTGAGATGTGAAATACTATTCTATTCATCATGCTATTTGTTGCCTGAATACCTTGTGTTTTTTACACTGTGTTATTGTTATATAGGTACTGTGAGGTTTATGATTTAAGAAGGTTCTATTTTGAGGATTTGTTTCAAGATTTAGAGCTTCTTTTAGCAGTTCTTGTAATGCTGACTTGGGAGTGGCAAATTCTCTCAGCATTTGTTTGTCTGGAAAAGACTGTATCTATCCCTCATTTATGAAGCTTAGTTTCACTGGATACAAAATTCTTGGCTGGTAACTGTTTTGCTTAAGGAGGCTAAAAATAGAATCCCAGTCCCTTCTAGTTTATATGGTTTCTGCTAAGAAATCTGCTGTTAATCTGATAGGTTTTTCTGTATAGGTTACCTGCTGCTTTTGCCTCACAGCTCTTAAGACTCTTTCCTTTGTCTGGACTTTGGATAACCTGACAACTATGTGCCTAGGCAATGATCTTTTCACAATGAATTTCCCAGGTGTTCTTTGAGCTGCTTTTATTTGGATGTCTAGATCTCTAGCAAGGCCAGGAAGTTTTCCTCCATTATTCCCTCAGATATGTTTTCCAAACTTTTAGATTTCTCTTCTTCTTCAGGAACACCAATTATTCTTGGTTTTGGACATTTAACATAGTCTCAAACTTCTTGGAGGCTTTGTTCATTTTTTAAAATTCTTTTTTCTTTGTCTTTGACAGATTGGGTTAATTTGAAAGCCTTGTCTTTGAGCTTTGAAATTCTTCCTTCTGTTTGTTTGATTCTATTGCTGAGACTTTCTAGTGCATTTTGCATTTCTGTGTGTCCTTGATTTCCAGAAGTTGTGATGGTTTCTTATTTATGCAGTCTATTTCACTGAAGAACTTTCCTTTCATATCCTGTATCACGTTTTTGATTTGTTTAAGTTGGACTACACCTTTCTCTGGTGCCTCCTTGATTAGCTTAATAGTCGGCCTTCTGAATTCTTTTTTTGTCAATTCAGAGATTTCATCTTGGTTTGGATCCATTGCTCATGAGCTGGTATGATTTTTCAGGGTGTTAATAATCTTGTTTTGTCATATTACCAGAATTGTTTTTCTGGTTTCTTCTCATTTGGGTAGACTATGTCAGAGGAAAGATCTGGGCTTCAAGCGCTGCTGTTTAGATTCATTTGTCCCACGGGGTGCTCCCTTGATGTGGTGTTCTCCCCTTTCGCCTAGGAATGGGACTTCCTGAGAGCCGAACTATAGTGATTGTTTTGCTAGCCACCCAGTGGAGCTACAGAGCTCTGAGCTGGTACTGGAGAGTGTCTGCAATGAGTCCTGTGATGTGATCCATCTTCAGGTCTTTCAGCTGTGGTTACCAGCACCTGCTCCGGTGGAAGTGACAGGGGAGTAAAGTGGACTCTGTGAGGGTCCTTGGTTGTTTTTGTTTAGTGCACTGGTTTTGTGTTGGTTGGCCTCCAGCCAGGAGGTGGTGCTTTCAAGAGTGCATCAGCTGCGGTCCTATAGGGAGGATGCAAACCTTCCCCAGGGATACCTGGTTAGTATTCAGGTTTCTCAGGTGGTGGACGGGGCCATAGAGCTCCCAAGAGATTATGACCTTTGTCTTTGGCTACCAGGCTAGGTAGAGAAAGACCACTAGGTGAGGGCAGGGCTAGGCGTGTCTTAGCTCAGCCTCTCCTTGGGCAGGGCTCCCTGTGGCTGCTGTGGGGGATGGGGGTGTGGTTCCCAGGCCAATGGAGTTATGTTCCCAGGGGGATTTTGGCTGCCTCTGCTGAGTCATACAGGTTGTCAGGGATGTGGGGGAAAGCGGGGAGTCACAGGCCTCACCCATCGTCCACACAGCCTGCAGTCCTAATGGCCGGTCTCACTCTCATCATGCCCCCACGACAGCACCGAGTCTATTTCCAGGCAGCCAGTGACCAGGGCTGAGAACTTGTCCCAGACCATGAGCCTTCCCATTGAGAAAGCAAGCAGACTCACAGTTTTTTGGTGTCTCAAGGAGTCTGCAGAGGTGATCTAGTTCGTTACTTGAAAGGGTCTGTGGATTTTCTCAGCTTTTCTGGTATGTTCCTACAGTAGTTCTTGGAGCAAAAGTTCATGGTGTGAGTCTCCACATGCTGCTCTGTCTGTCTGAGCAGGAGCTGCAAGCTATTCCTGCCTCCTATCCACCATCTTAATTGACAGTGGTAACCAAAATGTTTAGAGCCATTTTGACAGATTGAGGAATCACTGCTATGATTAAAATGTAGCACTTGAGATGACCATGCTCAACTCGTAGGATGCCATCATCAAACAGCTTTGCCTTCTCCCTCCATTTATTCTTTAAACCTGCACAGTGGGACATGTCCTTCCCTGGCAATTCCGGTCACTCTTAGGCAATTAAAAAACAAAACAAAACAAAACATTCAGGTTAAAAACACCAGATAATTCAGTACCTGAAACGTCCAGCATTATGTACTAGCAAAAACACTGGAGTTGATTTAGAATTGAGCTTTCTTCCCTCCTCCAACAGGGGCCTGCCCCAGCCCTGCAGTCATGGAAGGAGAGTGGTCAGCTTCCCTCTTTCTCCTCAGTATTCCTTCACCCCTTTTCTTCTCTAGGCTAGCCTCAGTCTCAGACCCCATTAAATTGGGTTGAGAGAGAGGAGGAGGAAGGAAATATAAGGGAAACAGTAAAGTGCTTACTTAACTGCTGATGAATTGTTAGTCTAGTTTCAGTGCTTTCTGAATCTAGCAGATATGTAAGTTTACTTCTCTGTGGAGTTCTTTTGTGTATTCTTTGCCCAAAAAGAACATACCCTCCCCCCATTGCTAAGGGTCTCATATCTGTAGTTCTCTGAGACAAAAACAATGCGTTGCTACTGGGCTACACCTTTCCCGACCCTTAGGCTCCTGGCCACACCTCCAGCTAATTTCTGCTATGCCTTTTGAGTAGTACCTGAACAGTCCTGATATGGCTGTCTCAGATGCACAGCCCACACCTTGTTCATGGAAGACACTCAAATACCCTTTGCTTCTGCAAACTCTGGGAGTGCAACCACCTCTCCTAGATCCACCAACAAAACAGCCAGCAAGCCTAGATGCTATCATGTCTGATGTCAGATGTGGTTCAGACACAAATCTATTTGTTCCCCAAACTGCACAGACTGCTGAGGACAGATGTGAAGCCCTCTGTCTGCCTTTTTAAAGTCCCTCTTTCTTGACATGAGGTGAAGCGGCAAGCCCCACTAACCACTGGCTCTCCTTGATTGAAGGGTTGTGGACTCTCAACACATCAATAGCTTCCTTGAACAATCCCTCCAAAACTGTCCAATTCTTGATCCTTTTAAGGAATTATGAGTTTTATAAACAGTTTATAGCACCTTTTTTGGTAAATTTTGCAAAACGTCTAGCTCTTTTAAAAAAATTATTTCTTGATGCTTGAAAGAAAATATTCACTGAAACATCATGTTATGTGAGCATCATTTTTCTACCCCCATTTAGAAAAAAGCATTTCTGACTAGTTGCAGAAGGAATTTTGTTACATGGATATAGAATTGGCTGCATCTAGGGATAGATTGAATGGATGACAAAGTGAAACCACGCTTTCTTTATGAAGGTTGTATTTTCACCTTCCTTGTAGACACCCTTCCTTTTCCAGGGTGCCCTTAGATAAACAGCTGTGCATCTTACAGGAATTGCTTACAATGATAGATTTCCCCTAAGCTCATGACTGCCAAATTTGTCTTTGTAGCCCAGACCTCTTTCTGAGATGCAGATCCATATATCTGATAGCTTACTCTACTTCTCTGATCAAAGTATTACAAGTTTAGCTCACATCATCATTACTCTAAATACCATTCCTCATTCTGAATATCTATTTGCCTTCATGTAATTTATCTTTAGTCTTAAGAAATGGTACTTAGAAACCCTTAGTTGTTTAAATCAGAAAGTTGGGAGTCATCAACAGATTCTTAAGTTCTTGTCAACCATGCCACTTTAGCAATCTGGTGATGTCTCTGACCGCCTTTCAAAACAGTGTTTGTAAGAATACAGGACTACTATGGAAACCAATGATATGGAAACACAGTTCTGTTATGAATGACTTGGAATTCATGAATTGTTTTCCTTCTCATCTCTCACATTGATTCAGTATATCATTCACAGATCATCTCCTGAATAGCAGTCAGACTCATTTTATTTTCTCTATCTTCACTGATGCTTTCTTACTTCACTCCTTCATCATCTCTCACTGAATGACTGAAGTTTCATTTAAAAAACAACTTATACTGATAAATTTCAAATATAGACAAAGGACACAAAATAATATAATGTACCCCATGTTGCTGTTACCTAGTTTTACATTCCCACTCCCCACTCTATTATAATGACGAATTTATAGACTTTATTTTAAGTAAAACTTATAAACTGTCTTAGTCTGTTTTGTGCAGCTGTAACAGAATACCACAGACTGGGTAATTCTTTTGTCAAACGTCTGTTCAAGTTTTTATTTTTGACTATTTTTAATTGTTTAAAAATGTTTATTAGTAGTTGCAGGAGTTAAAAAAATCTGGATACAAATCGATTATCAGATTCATGGTTGGTAAATATGTTTTTCCAATCTGAAGCATACTTATTAATTTTCTTAATGTAATTTTTATAAGCAAAAACTTTTAATTTTTAAAAATGATATTATGTTCTATGTCCTTCTGAGAAATCTTTACTTATCTGCAAGTCATGAAGATCTTCTTCTGTTTTCTTCTAAAAATTTTATGTGTTAGCTTTCACACTTAGGTCTATGTATGATTCATCTTGAATTAATTTTTATGCTTGCTATAAGATAGAGGTTGAGGTTCATTCTTTTTTTTTCCATATGAACATCTAGCTGTTCCAGCATAATTTGTTGAAATTATTGCTTGCTTTATTGAATTTCTTTGGTGGCTTTTTCAAAAATCAATTGACTATAGACTTGTACTATTTCTGGACTCTCTATTCTGTTCTGTTAATCTATTTTTCTATCTTTATGCCAATAACACCCTGTAGGTTTAAAGTAAATTTCAAGTCATGTGGTATGAATTCTCTATCTTTTTTCTGTTTTCAAGATTAATGTATTCTGGATCCTTTACATTTCCAAATAAATTTTAGAATTAACATGTCAATTTTTATTTTCAGAAGACCTGCTGGAGTTATGATTGGGATTTCATTGACTTAGAAGATTAACCTGTATGTATAGTTTATTTTTTAGCCAGTGATTTGGGAGAGAGATTTATTTGCAGATTTTAGGGATCACTGCCTTTGTGACTTCTCTCTATTTAACATATTCCCCCTAACTTTCTGCAGTTTTGCCTTCCCCTAAGTTATCTGATACTTTGATCAAGTAAGGAAACTGAGGCTTTCTGCAACCCCAGCTATGTGCAAATTGGGAGTGCTAACAGTCAAATATTTGCAAACTTGCAAATTTCATTCATTGCAGTTTGTCTTTTAATGGGGGTCTCTGCTCCAGATTTTGCCTAACCATGTTCACTTTGTAGTGCCTTTGAGTAGTTTTTTTTTTTAATTGTCCAGATCTAAAAATTGTTATCTGTGGAACAATTGTTCTGACCTAGCTACTTTGCTATTAACAGAAGACAGAGCACCTCCTTCTTGCCTCCTCTTTCATCTCCCTGTAACACACCTGCCCATTGTCCCCTAAGTAATCTTTCAAAAAAGCAAACCCAAGCAAACCATTTTCTGGTTGAAAGCCCATCAATGACTCTTCATTGCTTTCTCTCTGCTTTCTTATCTTCCTTTTTTAGATTCCTCCTCACTTATCCTATGCACTCTCTGGCTTTATTGAACCATTTGGCATTTCCTAGACACACCCTTCCCTTAAAAGTCTCCCCTTCTTGGGCTTATATCATGATCCTGACTAAAATGCCTCTATGTTCTTTGTAGCCGGGCTAACTCCTAGTTCTTCAAAAGTCAGCTCGAAGTACCAACTCATTGGTGAAAACTTCTGGGCGTTATTGAAAGTGGGCTACTCATACTTTCATATTTTCCTAATGTTTTTGTTATGTTTTAGTATCACAAAACTCATCAACTTATATTTAATTGTTTAATCACTTATTACACTGTGAGCTGTGTACGCCTTGGTAGGGTCCATGTCTTACCTGTGATTGCCAATCGCCTAGTATTCTTGTTGAGGAAATAAGGGAAGGTGAACGGACTGAATAGCCACATGATGGTTGCATTTTAGGTGTATTTATGACGAAATTTTAGGTATCTGGTCATTCCCAAATATTTTCCCTTTGTCTTCTCACTCATGGCACTGAATATTTAAATACCAATATGCGATTAACAAGGTAAAGTTAGAACCACAGAAATGCCTCAGTTATCCAGAGGAAAGCTTTCCAGGAGCCTCAGAAAATGAACCAGATGAAGACTTAAAAATCTATGTATATAAATAGAAGAATTCTTTAAAGAGAATAAAAGACATTGATGAGTCGAAAGCAGTGACATAGTAAATAACTAAAGAGCCAATGATGCCAATATTTCATCTGTTGAGATATGACTTAAAGTTTTATGAACACAAAGGAAAAGGCTGATTCTGATTTCAAAAATTAAGCAGCTCTTGAAGCTTTAATTGGCGTGGCTACAGTATGACACAGAGGAACACTGAGGGAGCTAGACCATAGCCGTCGCTGCTGTGAGACACAGGGAGCCAGAATCCTTTCACATTTTCCTGGACATGTCAACCTTTCTTTGTTTCTTTTTTGACTGCTACATAATCATATAGGCATTGCATACTTTTTATGGAGATTCTTTCTTGGTGGAATCCCAGTTTTAATTACTGTTTCCATGTAAGTTATTGTTGGTGAGCAGACAATGCCTTTTCCACTTTTTAAAATAATGCCATAGAATTCCATATTACTACCATGCATATATACTAAAGTTTCTCCCGCCTCATCCTTTTTTTAACAGATTGGTGGGGGTCTCACTCTGTCGCCTGGGCTGAAGCTCAGTGGCATGATCATAATTCACTGCAGCCTCAAACTCCTGGGCTTAAGCAATCATCTGCTCTAGCCTCCTGGTTAGCTAGGACTACAGGCATGTGCCACCATGCCCAGCTAATTAAAAAAAATTTTTTTTTTTGGTAGAAACAGGGTCTTGCTGTGTTTCCCAGGCTGGTCTTGAACTCTTGGCCTCAAGCATTTCTTTTGCCTCAGCCTCCCAAACTGCTGGGATTATAGGCATCAGCTATCCTGCCTGGTCTTTTTAAAAGGCCTTTTCTTACAATTGATTATTATCTCATTACTCCTCCTTTTCTCATGTATTTTTCGTCTCTTCTCCAGTCCATTTTTGCTTTGAGCCTCTCCCACATACACCTGCCCCCTCAAATATCTGTCATTTATCACAAAGGCTTTCTCATACTGTCATGCTTTAAGACACTGATAATCCACTTCTTCCATTAAGTTGCCCTGTACCAATCATAGATGATCGATTGCGTGGTTATATGAAATAGATAATACAAAATGAAAAATGAACGTTTCTTCTTTAAGTACACCTTCCTCAGATACACCTCTTCCCCTACCCTCAGAGGTAACCACACTTAACCATTTTCTGTGTTGTGTAATCCTTCTATATTTTTTCTAAGCATCTATGAATAAACACACACACGTAAAGTAAGATGATGGTCAAAATGTTTAACCACTGCATGGTAATATAAAACTTAGCACTTAAAAATATGTTCTATTCTCTAGGCAGACCAAACTATATATAATTGCCTACCAGGTGATCTATGTTAGAGGTTAAATCATTCATCAAACTATTCCAATAATTTTCAAAGCATTTATTGATTTTTAATGGGTATAATCTTTTGTTTGATGCAGCTGTCGGTAGTTAAGTGATGTCCCTGTATCAACCATGATTTGAAACAGGGAAACACATCAATCTATTCCAATGATTCACTCATTGCATAATACTGCCACTTGCTTCTTTCATTTAAGAATATACTTTTAGCTGGGCGTGGTGGCTCACGCCTGTAATCTTAGCACTTTGGGAGGCCAAGGCAGGTGGATCACCTAAGGTCAGGAGTTTGAGACCAGCCTGACCAACATGGAGAAACCCCATCCCTACTAAAAATACAAAATTAGCTAAGCATGGTGGCACATGCTTATAATCCCAGCTACTCGGGAGGCTGAAGCAGGAGAATCGCTTGAACCCAGGAGGCGGAGGTTGCAGTGAGCCGAGATCACACCATTGCACTCCAGCCTGGGCAAAAAGGGCGAAAAACTCTGCCAAAAAAAGAAAAAAAAAAGAATATACTTTTGACATCTTTCCCTGTGAGACTATAATAAATCTACTTTATTGTATCTAATGATAGGATAGTATCCCATAATATGGATATAAGTTTATCTATCGAGTTCCCTACTGTTTAAATGTTTCCAGTGTTTTGCTATTACACGTAATGTTGCTAAAACATTCTCTTACATCTTTGTCTGCTTCGGTGCATACTTTTGTAAGATAGACTTATAGACGAGGAATTGTTGGTTCAAAGTAGATGTGCCAATCAAGAATTTGCCCACTTATAAGTAACTACACACATCTTGTGTGCACATGCACCGACATACATATTATCACCTGAAAATATAAACCCAGATGCAAACACAGGTGAGCACTAAATTAATTCTAAAATTCATTTGAGGATTTGGCACCATGAAGTTGCATAGCCACATACCCTCAGGTAGACAAGACAGGGGAATGGCAGAGGTACCTTGGTAGAAAGTGAAGGAGAAGAAGAAAGGTTGGTGGTCCAGAGAAGTCAGTATTTCCTTGCCTGGAATGAGTGCCTGCCTATCGAATTTTGATAAAACTTCTTGATTGTCATCCTTGTTTCATTACGGTCCTCCCAGGAATATTTTGCTTTTTTCTAAGCTTTAAAGATCATAGCTTCGTGACTTAATCTTTGGACTGGATTTCCCCACTTATATGAGAAGAACTAATAATGCCACATGGAGCACACCTTTTCAGGACTCAAGGAGTCTAAAAAAAAGAAAAGAAAAATGAGTCAGAACTTCTGCCTGTGAGTCTGAGTCAGCTTAGTGTGTTAAAAAAAATAATAATAAAAAAAGAAAAGAAAAAAAAAACCGTGTGAGGAGACCTGCCTGGAAAAACTGCTGAATGGAAAGACTTGAGAACAGCTTATAGATATTGACGGCAGATGAAGAATTTTCATGTCTTTTCAGAAATGGTTAGCAGCCACTCATAACAGTCCTGTGACGTCACAGAAATCTTGACTCCTGCTTGTCTTTCTCGTTCTCCTTTAAGCCCTTCCCTCCTCCTTTTCATATAGGACCTTAACACAAGAGGGTCAGGAAGAGAAGAGAAGGGTTGCTCACAGGAGGAAAGAAGGCAAGGGGTAGCTGTTACTTTACCTGGTGGGCCATGTGTCGCTACAAATCAGGTGGTCTCTTTGGAGGAGATGCCACTTGGTAAGGGAGGCTTCCTGAGCACTCGAATACTACTAGCAACTCAGAATGTGGGACCGCTGGAAGGAAAAACACCCCTGGATGGGGCGAAGGTTGAGTTCAATTTTATTTTTTACTCTGTGTGTGTGTAGGGGGAGGGTAATGGGAAATGTGTGTTTTGCAGACACATTAACATAAGGAGAATAGCGGATGCGACTTTATTATCCTCATTCACGTAAAGGTGGACATTTAAATTTTTTTTTACAGTAGGGAAAAAGAACCTTCTGAGTTGATTTGGTATAGTGGAAATTGCATGGAAATGTTTAGCTTCCTCTGTTTTCACAAACATGTAACCTTCTAAGAAAATCTCTCTTTGACCTATTTCAAAGTTTGATTTTTTTTTTTAAAACAGTTGGGAAAATAGGAGCTAACATGAATTGCCCCTTTTCCAACAGTGAAAATGTTTGTAATGTACCTTTTCATGTTGCTCTAATTATGACCATAACTTCTTTTTTATTCAATCCTGAATCTGTTATATTTTAAAATTATATAAAATTATAAAACACTGGCCAAAATTAGTCACCCAGGAAATAGTATAAGGGACCCAGTTAAGAAAGTAAGTGTAAGTGACTGAAAAAGTTTGGTGCCTTCTCATTGAGGCAGACTTGCTTATTTGTTTGTTAACCTCAGAAGTATTACCATACATACTGTCTATGGATTTAGATACATGATTTTTCTCACCTTCTAGACATCCACCTTGTTGTGATAGAAGGAGCATGGATTTAGAGTCAGGCAGCCTTGGATCTGAATCACTTTACTACTTCTGTGGCCCTTAGCAGGCTATATAGCTTCTGTGAGCCTCAGTTTCCTCATCCATAAAATGAAAATAATGTCTACAGGTTAGTATTGTAACAAGGGATCACTCAGATTAACTTTGGAAAAGCTTTCTGCTATTAAGCATTTGGAAAACATGAGTTTCTATTTTTTTTTTGTATTTTGGTTATCATTATTGGCTTGGTTTTCTTTCTAGGCCTTGGATTCTCCTTCACTTTATGTAGAATATGATCTTCTTGTAGTAGATAGATGTGAGTCCTGCCAACAGAATTTTTCTGAATTGGCTTCTTGTCTTTTCTTTACCAATAGCTGCCTATTCAGTTCAGCTGCCTGATCAACATCTTGTCTCTCAATTCCTGTGTGCCCTCACAGATCTATTAAAGCATCCTGAGAAGAGGGTCCCTCAGAGTCACCAGGTTTCAGGGCTCCAGCTTTTCCTGGGGATCAGAATACCCCTTCAGAGGCCAACACTCTAAGGCAGTAATGTGTTTCTCTGGCCAAACGCCTGATAGTATCTTCTTGGCAAGTTCATTATTTATTCCCCTTTACTGGTGTGAGGGTTTTCCCAAAGTGTCATGTCTTTGCAGAGTTTTTCCTACCCTTCCGTGCTATACGTGTGGTACCATTTTATGCATTTGTTTTTGCTAATATGAAATAAATCCCATTATAAATAATTCCAAGGGATTTTGCAGATGATTGTACTGTTCAGAATAAGAGGAGTGTTCCGTGAATCATGGAGCTGCTTTGGTACACAGTTTGTAGAAGTAAAATGTGGTATAATGTAATTGACCCATGGGTCCCTTCTTGTACAGAGTGTCACTTGCTGAGAAGTAAGCAAAAAAGGGAGTGCATTCCTGCATCTGGCAATTCACCCCCATCCTGCAAGAGTAACTCATAGAGCAGCAGCTTATTCCATTGTGACACTGACTCACCCTTCCTCTCTCCACCCCCATTGTCTAGTGCTGATGTGTTCTGTCCCCACTAATTCTAGGGTCACACTGACTTATGCCTTCATCATCCTAAGTGGAGAAGAAAGCTTGTCTGTGTTGATGAAAGTATGAAAATAGAAATGCCATAACTTTTAATGCAAACAATATATGTTTGTTGAATGTATGAATACAACAACTTGGAATAACTGCTGACAGTGTTTCCAAATATTTTGGGTCTATTTAAGTAAAGAGACATGAATAATTTGAAACTGGCATTCTTTTTCTTCTTCTTTTTTTTTGAATTAGCAATACATGTGATGAAACCTTAAAAACAAATTCTCATAGTTACGAATGGTTGCCTTTAGTGAGCAGGATGGGGAACAGATCTGGGGGCTTAGGTCATTCATTATAAACCATTCTGCAAGCTTTCTTTTTTCTAACCAGATGTGTGTATTACTTTAATGTTTTTTTGATACCTCCCTTAAGTAGGCCCAGTCCAGTTTAAGTGCAATCTCTTGAGTGCCTTGTGTCAGACACTGTGCCGGTCACCCAGGGCTCCAGGGTGAATCACGAATAGCTCTCACATGTGAATTCACAGTCTAGTTGGGGAGACAGAACAGACCAAAAGCAGATAATATTTAAATAACATGATGCTGGCTAAGAGAGAGGTAGCCATGGAGTTAAGTATCTTCCTCTCCATTTTATTCAGCCTTTTGTTTTAAAATTCTACCTTTATGATGTATTTCAACAGAGTTCTGTGTCATGATTTTGGATTTAGTGGAAAAAGAACAGAGGAGATTTTCTTGTTACCTTAATTTTCCCAACATGGAAGATTTGGGAATGAAGAAGGACACTGCAAAGAGTGAGGCCTAAAATGGAAACCAGTCATGATTTTTATTTTGCTACTTTCTTTACGGACACGAATGCACACAGTGTAGAGCAGCCTTAACTCTGAATTGGAACAAGGTCGTGTAAGTGCCAGGACGTTATTTCCAGAAGCCCACAGCTGCTGATTCCTACACCCAGTGATTTCCACTGCCTTTTCATGATTCTGGAATTCCCAAGAACAGTGTCATCTTATTAGAAGGTATTTCCCAGTTCGAGTTGGAGACAAACCAACCTTCCCTCACAGGCTGAGTCCTTCTGGTTTCACTGCCAAAGCTTCCAGACTCACCCAGGGTCTGTTAGACATATTTGAATGAATCTGTCAGATTGTTCAGTCGTTAATGAGGTCACACTTTCCATGAAGACCATAGTGGCGTCATTTTGTGTACCAACAATTGTATCAAGTCATGATGATTTTTTAAATATCATTGAAATAATCATTAAAATATTATTGAGATAAAGATGCATGTTTATTGGTATCTATTTATTCCTTTCTCTTGTTTAAGAGAGAATTTACTTAGATGTGTACAAAACTGCTTTCTGGCATACTTAATTTTATGGGTTTCTGATTTCCACATCACTGAAAGTATCTGGAATACCTATGATGCAATGTGAATCTTGTTTCCACTAACTAGTAAGTAAATGCTTTGTTCGAGATTTAAGAAAGTTGGCCTGGCACGGTGGCTCACACCTGTAGTCCCAGCACTTTGGGAGGCTGAAGCGGGTGGATCACCTGAGGTCCGGAGTTTGAGACCAGCCTGGCCAACATGGCGAAACCCCATCTCTACTAAAAATACAAAAATTAGCTGGGCATGGTGGCACGCACCTGTGATCCTAGCTACTCAGGAGGCTGAGGCAGGAGAATCGCTTGAACCCGGGAGGTGGAGGTTGCAGTGAACTGAGATTGCACCACTGCACTCCAGCTTAAGTGACAGAGGTGAGATGCCATCTCAAAAAAAATAAATAAAAATAAATAAAGAATGAATATAATTGCAAAGATAAAACGTAAACCCAGATTGGGAATAAGAAGCAGAATTATACCAAAATGGAAGCTGACGATTACACAGATTCACTCCTTATTTACTCATTCAAAGCTTGCCTCACATACCATAGGTAAAGTGGGTAACTCTTTCTGATTTTTTTGGTTCACTTCAAGACTATATGATCTTGAAATTTTAAATAAATAAGCTAAAAAGGCCCTAAAATATTTTATTAAAACCCACTGAGGGCCGGGCGCGGTGGCTCACGCCTGTAATCCCAGCACTTTGGGAGGCCGAGGCGGGCGGATCACGAGGTCAGGAGATCGAGACCATCCCGGCTAAAACGGTGAAACCCCGTCTCTACTAAAAATACAAAAAATTAGCCGGGCGTAGTGGCGGGCGCCTGTAGTCCCAGCTACTTGGGAGGCTGAGGCAGGAGAATGGCGTGAACCCGGGAGGCGGAGCTTGCAGTGAGCCGAGATCCCGCCACTGCACTCCAGCCTGGGCGACAGAGCGAGACTCCGTCTCAAAAAAAAAAAAAAAAACCCACTGAGTATAATTTATTGATTTTTATAAAACTAATTCTTTTTTTTTCTGTTTTACTTATAAGTTTTGGGATATGTGTGTAGAATGCGTAGGTTTGTTACATAGGTATACATGTGCCATGGTGGTTTGCTGCACCTATCAACCCGTCATCTAGGTTTTAAGCCCCTCATGCATTAGGTATTTGTCCTAATGCTCTCCCTCCCCTGCCTCCCACCCCCAGACAGGCCCTGATGTGTGTTGTTCCCCTCCCTGTGTCCATGTGTTCTCATTGTTTCACTCCCGCTTATGAGAGAGAACATGCAGTGTTTGGTTTTCTGTTCCTGTGTTAGTTTGCTGAGAATGATGGCTTCCAGCTTCATCCATGTCCCTGCAAAGGACATTTCATTTTTATGGCTGCATAGTATTCCATGGTGTATATGTGCCACATTTTCTTTATCCAGTCTATCACTGATGGGCATTTGGGTAGGTTCTAAGTCTTTGCTATTGTAAATAGTGCTGCGGTAAACATACATACGCATGTGTCTTTATAGAACAATGATTTATAATCCTTTGGGTATATACCCAGTAATGGGATTGCTGGGTCCAATGGTATTTCTGGTTCTAGATCCTTGAGGAATCGCCACACTGGCTTCCACAATGGTTGAACTAATTTATACTCCCACCAACAGTGTAAAAGCGTTCCCATTTCTCCACAGCCTTGCCAGCATCTATTGTTTCCTGACTTTTTAACAATTGCCGTTCTGACTGGCATGTGATAGTATCTCATTGTGGTTTTGATTTGCATTTCTCTAGTGATCAGTGATGATGAGCTATTTTTCATGTTTGTTGGCCGCATAAATGTCTTCTTTTGAGAAGTGTCTGTTCATATCCTTTGCCCACTTTTTGATGGGGTTGTTTTTTTTTCTTGTAAATTTGTTTAAGTTCCTTGTAGATTCTGCATATTAGACCTTTGTCAAATGAGTAGATTGCAAAAATTTTCTCCCATTCATAGGTTGCCTGTTCACTCTGATGGTAGTTTCTTTTGCTGTGCAGAAGCTGTTTAGTTTAATTGGATCTCATTTGTCAATTTTGGCTTTTGTTGCAATTGCTTTTGGTGATAAAACTAATTCTTAATTGTTATCACTCAGTGAATGGTACTAGTTTGATCTTCCCTTGCTGATTAATCCAGTTCTTTCCAGTTCACTTGAAACCCATTTCTTTGACTCAGATAGCTTTCACTTTAGTTCCAAATTTTCAGGGACATTTGGTACCAAACTCTTCTTACAGAACTTTACCCTCGACCACCATTGCTGGATCTGCCACAGTCAGAGTTCATCTACCGGGTCTAACACGTCTCGGCTTCTTTTGCATTTTCTCCCGTGTCTCCCTTGGGTGTCGCAGAAGCAGCAAGAGATTATTATCATGTAGTAGGGCTCCGTAATCAGAATGCGAAATCCCTATGCATAAATGCTGTCTTTTCTCAGAATTTCCTGACCCACTTTCTATTTTTTGAGAAGACAAAATTGACTTTTTTTTCTGACTTCTTCAGAAATCTCTTATAGTGACTGGTATTTTCATCTGCTGGCACCTCTGACAATGACTATTACAACGTGCCTCAGAATACAGAGTGCTAACACCTCATCTTCTAAAAGAAATGCTTCCTCTGTAAAAGTGTTTTCTCTGATGAAGCCGCCATATAGACCATTGAATAGGAACTGCAGAAGACTCCGGAACACAATTTGATAGCCGTTCAGCCAAGCGGCTGCAATTTATTTTGTCCCTGAGTGTGAAGGAGGCAGCCCAAAGAATGTTGGCTCTGGAGGAGGAAGGCAAGGATATGGGGAAACAGGGGCCAGAGAAGGGCAGGATGGGGCAAAGATTCAGGGCACCTTATGTAATGAGGCACAGCGTGATTCTGCCCGGGGCCTGTACGTGCATGCAGTCGGGTTGCCTCCCTTTCCCCTGGAAATGTGCCCTTTGCTTACTTTTTGTTTGGTTTTAAAGCAGCTGGAAAGGATATTTTTTGCTCAGAATTGGTGCTTAGCTTTTGCAGAAGCTGCTTCTTGAGAGTCGTCTCTTGTCATCCCTCTGGGTTTTAGCTCAGTGTGACGAAGCTATTTAAAATATGTGTGTTTTTAAATGATTCTAAAAATGAAGTATTCACATTGTTATGCCTCACTCCCTCCCCACTATTGAGTCCTGCTCCCCTGACAGCAACTTTCCATTTCTCTAGCTTATCCTTCTGGTATTTATTTATATCTGTGTTTCTAAATACTATGTTTATACTATGATCATTTGGTTTGCCAATTGTAGACATTATCTGTTAGGTTGGTGCAAAAGTAATTTTGGTTTTGCCAAGATGATAGTATTAGGTACCGACCTAATACCATCATCTTTCTATGAGATGGTACCATTTTAGATGAACATCTTGTGTCCACTTAACATCCTCCCACTTTCTGTAGCTTCCTCATATATGTAGATCAAAGTTCTTGGTTAGACTCATGATCAGATTATTTGTTTTTTGTTTGTTTGTGTTTGTTTTGTAGGGACAGGGTCTTGCTGTGTTGCCCAGTCTGGTCTTGGAGTCCTGGCTTCAGGTGATCCTTCTGCCTCTCATACTGGAATATTATATAATATTTTTAAAAATAGCTCACCTTTATTATGTATTTTCTGGGTGCAAGACACTGTCGAAGAGCTTTAGACATGTATTAACTAATCTTTATAGCAACCATGTAAAGCAGATACTGTTATTCTTTCCATTTTGCAGATACGGACATTGAGACCTGGGTTAACTAACTTTCCAAAGTCATGTAGGTAGTAGCTGGTGGAGCCAGACTTCAAACCAAAGTAAACGAGGCTCCAGAGTCTACTTTTAACCACTACACTTTTTAAATGATTAAGATTTTACAAATACTATTTATAGTGGAGCCACATGTATATTATTATCTCTTCTCCTTCTCTTCTCTTCTCTTCTCCTTCTCCTTCTCTTCTCTTCTCTTCTCTTCCTCTTCCTCCTACTCTACTCTTCTCTTCTCTTCTCTTCTCTTCTCTTCTCTTCTCTTCTCTTCTCTTCTCTTCTCTTCCCTTCTCTTCTCTTTTGGAACTCTTATTAGATGGAAGTTGTATGTCCTGAATTTATCCTCTAATTTTCTTACCTTTATCTCTTCATTACCTTTGACCTACATTCTGGGAGATTGCTTTAACTTTATCTTGTAACTCTTACCAAAGAGTTTTTTTTCCCCTGTGACACTTTAAAAGCCCAGTAGCTGTTTCTTATTTTTGTTCTGTTCTTTTATTTTTCAGTTCTTTCTTCCTAATTGAGTACTTTGGCCCTGTCTTTCATACTGGTGGCTTTCCTGCAATGGCAGGAGATCTGCAGCCATCAGGTCACATACATGAACAAGGCTCTGAAGAGCTGACAGGATAACTTCCGTGGGTGGCCCAGGCTCATCTGGTAGTGGCCCCCCCATCAGGTCACAGACATGAATAAGGCTCTGAAGAGCTGACAGGACACCTTCTGTGGGTGGCCCCGGCTCGTCTGGTAGTGGCCCCCCACTGCAGAGTGGCCTAGGATCACAGATCTGTTCACTTGGAGGATCCTCAGATGTCAGCATCTGGAAGCTTTTCCCTTGGGCTGGCCAGAATCTCCATAATAGAACCACCCAGACTTGTTCCTGGGGCTGTGCACCTGCTGCAGGTGTTGTGGGAGCCAAGTTTGGAGTGGGAAACAGAAAGATCTCATTGTGGGTGTTGACTTTCACTCAATTCTCTCTTTTCAGACTCACGTTTACCCATGCACCACCCTCACCACCCTGCAAGCCCTCCCTATTTGAGTCCCTAGTTCCTGAGGATCCCTCTTTCAGTTTCTCTAGAAAAAGAAATTCCTCCTGTCCTGCCCTGGGTGTGCTGAGTGGGAAGGAGGGAATAAGGAAGATTCTCTTTGCCCTGGAGGAAGTCCATGACACTTCCAATTCCTCCTCCAATTCCTCAGCTTTTCTGAGGGGCTCCGTGCAAATTGGCTTGCTTTTTCTTGGTTTTGCTCTTTGAGATTTGTAACTTTCTTTGTGCTAATAGGTTAGTAATAACTTGTCAATTCACTTTCCATCTTCCAGAAGACTGTTAACATTTATTTCTACCTCTCCATTTCTCTGTGTCCTTGTGGAACTTTACTTTTTAAAAAAACTTAATTACTTTCATTATGTTGGAGGTTGGGAAGGGAGTAGAGATGAACATCACGTTGACACAACCATATTTGATGGAAGTCCGATTAGATCACCATTGGAAATATTTGTTTCTTAGAGTTTGCTTCATTTTCCTGTTAGGCTGGAGGATCCCATGATATTTGTCTCAGAATAACGGGAGGGTTCACTTTTCATTCTGTTTGAGCTTTCCTGGTGTATACCTTTCTTCCTTTCCTCTTAGGATCGTAAGTCCTGAACAATCTTGTTCTAGCTCTTTTCTCCTCTTATCTTCATCTGTAAATGAAAGGGGCTGAGAGCTGGTTTCAGGCAGGAACTAGATCTGACATTTAGGAAATCTCCTGTTCAGGTAGCTTCTCTTGGCCTTTTCCTTTCAGTGATATTTTCTGAAAACCTGACTTGCCATACTGATTTAAATGCCTGATACCAGTGTAAGGTATAGATGTGACTTCTCCTAGGAACATAGATAAAGCTTTGGGGGTGAAATTGACAATAGAGTGTGTCTCCTTTCTCTCTTTAGCCAGTGGGAAGGTTGGGTGACTTGGGGCTGCAGGATTCCGGGAGGCCTCCGTATCGTATGCTGCCTGTCCTTAGAGTCCATCCAGACCTGAGGGCTACTTAGCTGAATTGTTTAGTAAACGACGTGGGATTCAGCTGCATCATCTCTATGAAGACTCTCATGTTGACTTATCATTACAAAGGGCTGATGGTGGCAGTGGTTCTAAACCTTGACAAGTGAACGGTTTCTGCAGGAAGGCTCTTTGGAAGACTGTGACATCACAGACAAGACAAGGAATATCATTAGTGAGGTCATTTTAAAATTCTCAGATCTTGGACTTGCTCTGGGCAGTGACTTTGCCAGCAAGTTGGAAGAGGGCACAAGAAGTGTGCTCATCAAATTTGTGGCAGACACAAAACTGGAAAGGATGGCCAATGTAATCGATGACAAAAACAAAAATATGTCTCAAAATGATATAGATATGCTGGAATGCTGGGTTAAAAATAACACAATGACATTTCAAAGGGATAAATGTAAAATCTTATTTTGGAATAAAAAAATCAACGATACATAATGGTGGGAGAAAAAAATCTACTGGCAGTAGTTCTGGTAGAGAAAGACACTGAAGTTTTATTTGACTAAAAGCTCAGTATAAGCCACTAAATCTGACTGAGGCAACTAAAAAGCTGCATTAATGGAACGTTAATGTATTGAACTCAGGAAGTAACACCCCTCTTCAATGGTTGGACTGCACCTGGCGCCTCATGTTTGCCCAGAGAAGGGCAATTAGCAGGTGCCTGAGGGTCTGGAAGCATGTCTCAGGAGAAACCATGGAAGGAACTGAGTATATTCAGATGGAAAAGAAAACTGTCTTCTCCTTATTAGCTGTGAAACTTTAGGCAAGTTACCCTGGAAGCCCCTGTAGCCTCTTGGGTAAAATGTGGAAGGAGACCATTTCTCTGTGGTATAGGTAGGGGGCAGAAAGAAGGAAGTACTGGAGGAAGAGATTGGAGAGGTAGGAGGTGGGGATGGGATTGAGAACATATTCATAGCTCAGGGTAAGGCATTCACAGTTTATCCTGAGCTGCAGGAAAATAATATGGGCACTGTATTATCTTTCAAACCAGGACATTCAGAGTGAAAGCCAGGCTTATTCAATAAAACAGGACAAAAGGTACCAACTAGGGCTGTTGCAGGTACCCTAGACAAACCAGGAGGAAAGGCCATACTGCCGAAGAGCACTGTCAGTAGAGGACATCTGCCTTTTGGGGTGGTGAGTGGTCTGCCTTTGGAGGCATCTAAGCAGGGCTTGAATGAACTTCTCTTGTGGACCAGCACAAGAGAAGTCGGGTGGAAATGAACGAAATGAACTTTCAGATCCTTATTGAGTACTGCTACAAGGGATGCTATGTTAGAGAATATATGAAACAAATTAAACAGGAGCCATCCTGGCTCTCTGCAAATTCTTTTAGATGTGTATATTTGGCAAAAAGAGGGCAGAAAAAGGAACTCTGACCCTTTCTCAATGTAAAAGTTCCTTCTGAAGGATGAAATTAACTTAAAGGTTCAGAATCTGTTCACCTGGAACAATAATTCTGGTGTGCTCAGGAAGCTTTTTAAAAACACAGCTTCCCAGGGTGCCACCCTGGACAAAGAGTCAGAGGAGGGGAGGGGCACTTTAAGGAATATGATCTGTCCTAGGGCAACACCGTTCACATCTAGGGTGAGCATCCACCTACTGCATATTTAGTAAATATTCGTGGGCTCTGGGCCTAGATCTGTGATAGTGTCTGATCAAAGTCCATGTGGGAGCCATCACTTGACACTTTTAGGGGCTTAAAATAAATGTTGTGACAATATGCAAACACTGAACAAATGCCAAAGCAGGTAGACGACCTGTCCCTTATTTAGCGGTCTGTTTTTCAGGCCTAGACTACCCTATCCTTACTGGTTAGAAGTATTACAGCATGCTTTGCTAATTATTACAAGAGACTGAAAATTGCTCTATGTGGAGGTTGAGACCTTATTGGAGACTTGGAGCAGACAGGCATGGCCTGAAATTCTCTCTGGATGAGGAAGGTGTAAGGAAACACTGGCCTGAGCTACATGAGTCAAAACTTTTTAGCCCAGATGAATTACATTCTAGATACAGAGAGAAGCTATAGAATTACTGTTTAGAATCTTTGGAGAATCGTGGATAATAAATGGGACAGGAGCTGGAAAGCTGAGATAGGCAAACATTTTCTAAGTTTTCAAAAATGAGGATACTTTGGATTTCACACACTGTAGATGAGAGAATCTGACATAATTTCCATAAAACATTCTTGAACAGGTTATGAAACAAGCAGTTTGGGAGTCGTTGGACAGGAGATGAGTGATCCCTAAATGCAAACACTGGCCCACTGAGAATGTTAAGCCAAAGCAGCATGATTTCTTTTTAGGAAAATTAAAGTTGCAAAGCCTTAAATAGAGCAAATACAGCAGATGTGGCATATCTAGGATCCTGCGAGACATTTGAGGTGTGTGTCAGTTCACACCCGTAGCTTCCTGGACAAGGCTGGTGCATATAAACTGTATAATAGGACAGTCAGATAGTCAGATAGCATCATTCTTGTTTGAATGGCCTCTCCAGTATTTCACAGGCAGGCAGACATTTGACGGTAGTCATTCTGTTGCCTATAAAAATATAAAAGTGTCCAGTCCTTTGCAGTCCTTACCATACCACTTGAGTGAATGAGTACCTAACCAGAGAGAATTCTCATGTGGACTCTGTACCTTGGCCCCTGATTTGAAACTTTTCATCAGCAATTTAGATGAGAATAAAGAGAACATGGAAATCAAAATGCTAAGTGATATGAAATTGGGAGGGAAAATGAATACTTTGGATGAGGCCATAAGGTTTTGAACAGATATGAATAGCTGGACAATGGAGCTAAAGCCTACTGGAATCATTCTTTGTCACTCAGTCCACAATATTAAATTCCCTATTTGTCTGGAACAGGCTAGGTGCTGAGATCAGGAGATGTGCACGCCATAGCAAGGAGAGCAGGAGGCAGACGTATCCTGTAATACTTTGGTGGAGGTCAGCCCCGGATGCTATAGGAGCACACAATGAACCAGATCTCATGAAAGCTTGAGGTGGGTAAGGGCTTGGGGAGAGCTATTGAACCGAGCAAGGAGATCAGATATCTGGAGAAGGTGATACTTGAATGGTTTTGAAAAAAAGGAGTTAGCTGTGATCCATGCTGGGGTGAGGGTGTTCCACATTCAGGCAGCAACTATAATGATGTCATAACCAGGACCTGGGTGTGAGACAACATGGAAAACCAATTTGCAATGCTCATCAATGGCAGAGAACTGGAAGAGAGAGAGGTGTTACATATTTTTCTCACTTTAGCGTTCCCTGCTGCTGGAGTATAGAATGTGAGAAAGACTCTAGGGATACTCTAAAAAGGAGCAGTTGTAACATAAAGGGCATGCTCTTTTATCTTAGAGGCCAGCATTTTCCAAACTTACCTGATCATTAGAATCACTTGGTCCTTGTTACAAATGTTCTCAGGCCACTTTCTTGGCAAATCTGATTTCAGGTGTGTCAGAGTGTTTCCCAGGAATCTATTAAGAAGATCGCTAGTTAAGTTTGGGATATACTGTTATAGACATGGGGAACTATTGGAGATTTAATATCGGGAATGAACTGGTCACATTGGCATTAAAGTGGGCTGTTCTGGCTACCGTATACGGAATGATTTGAGAGGGGTAAATACATTTGACACTCTAGGCCAGAAATAATGAGAAATAATTAAGAAAATCAGTAATAGTAGACAGCTGTTGGCTTGAGAGAGACTGAAGTGGAACCAAGTGGGTTTAATTACTACCTGGACTTAGAAAATGAGGGATGAGGACGAGGTGATTGACGGCACCAGTTTTCAGGCTTGGGCTTTTAGGTGGTGCCATTTATTGGGATAGAATCTTGCTTCGGTCAAGTTGAGTTTAGGCTGCCTGTGAGACATTGAGGTGGAGATATACAGTAGGCAGATGTATGGGTCTGGAGTCTAGGAGAGAAGTCTGGAGGAACATAGAGATTTGTGGGCCCACCATCTACTGTGGTAGTTAAAGCCTTGGGTATAACTCAGATTGCTTAGTGAGAATGTTTAGTTGAGAGGAACAGATGGTCCAGAACAGGAATCTGTGGACCATTCTATGAAAGAAAGCTAATGAGGCTTTCAAATGGGAGCCCAAGGGGGAAAATACAGGGAAAGAAGAAGAAAGAGGAGAACATGGTGAAGAGTATCAAGAGGAAGAGATCGCTGAGTGCTGCTGAGGGATTCAGGTAAGAAAATAGTCATTAATGATTTCTGTGTACTTTCTTTGAGTGAGCACTGCTGTGGTTGTTTTACAAATGTTGTCTTATTTAATCACCACAATAACCAGGTGAGGTAGCCCCTGCTATTTACGTCAAGGAAACATGGGGAAACTGAGGCAGCAGAAAGGGTAAATAACTTGACCAAAGGCACAAAGTTGATAAATGCCAGGGCCAAGATTTGAACATAAATGAAAGGATGCCGAAGTCCTGTGTGTTGACCACCACAATCACTTGTTAGGAAACACAGTGGCAAAAAGGCTACAAAGGGCTTGCAGAATTTAACAACAGGGAAGTTCTTCATAACCTTGGCTCTGGCATGGTCCTGAAGCAAACCACCGTGCAGTGGCTTGAAGGCAAAACAAAGAAACAGACAGAAAGGGGAGATGACTTTCCAAAAAGGTGAGTTGCTGGTTATCAAAGGGTAATACGGGCCAACTAGGGATGTCGTTTTAAGATGGGAAATTGTGTTTCGATGCTGAGAGGAAAGAGTAGGTAGAGAGAAATTGGTTTAAGATTCAAGAGAGGAAATTTTGGTTGAATTAAGATCTCTAAGGAGGCATGGGAGAACAGAGTGCAGAACAGCCTAAAGGGAATTGCCTGGACTAGAGATGGAAATGTCGTCCCTCTGGACTGGAAGGAAGGAGGGATATGACATAAGGATGCAAGAGGAGGGGAAGGATTACCTCTTTGAAGCAGGATGTAAGGTCTTATTCTGAGGGGTGGCTTGTTGGGTGAAGTGGTATTAGTGGACCTCAGCAGACCCATCTAATAACTTTAGCCATCAGCTTCTTTTTGCCAACCGAAATGGTTCCTATTGGACTTCCCCCTTCTGGCTCTCCTCTCTCCCTTTCTCCTCCATTTCTGGAGCCTGTGTAGAACCTTCATTTTCAATCACTGCTTGTTGCTGTCATGAGTGGTGCTTTTCCATTCGGGAACAGAAAAGAAACCCTCCCGATAAAATCCAGTAGACTAGAGTGGGGTAGGGGGAAGGAACAGTGATTGCTGTTCTTTCCTTTTATCCCTCAGGGAAAGAAGGGGACGAAGATGGGGCGGGAGGGAAGTAGTGAAGGCCACAGAGGTAGGAAGAACCAGGAGGTGGGCTGGAGCAGAGCCAGCTTGTTTAGCAAGCAAAGCAGATAAAGATTAGAGTAACCATGACAACAGGCTACTGGCAAAGGCGCTCAGCATTTGGGGAGGAGAGAGGGAGGTGGAATGGCTTGGCTGGGTATAAGCCCAGAGTTTTGGAAAATGCCGTTTCTTCCCGCAGGGCTCTTGGTTGTTAGAGAAATCACCATAGTCACCAACAGTGAGTGCAAGGGAAAGAAAGGAGAGGGCCCGCAGGAAAGATTAGTAGGTGAGGTGGGCTCTGCTGATTCAAAGAAAGAGGGAGTGACTCCTCTGTGACTGGAGGCACAGAAGAGGATTAGGAGGATTCCCTGTCGATTGCCTCAATTGCCTCAGTCTATCTGTGTGTCTCAGGGTACATATATTTTTCTGTTTAGCTCTATTTTCTCACTCACGCTATGGTAGCAAAGGCGCCACAACTAGTATGCCTTTTTGTTTCTAGTTTTTCAGGATACCACATTTTTTACTTCTGGAGAATGAGGCATGAGAATATCAAGACTCTGTTTTTTTTTCTGAGGATGCTCAAAATGTGTGTGAGGGAGGGAGGGACGAAAAGGAGGAGAGAGAAACAGAGAAAGAAAGGGAGAATGAGTTCATCTTGGTGTAAACTCTTCACCCAGCCTAGGCCTGTAATTAGTT
This sequence comes from Homo sapiens, assembly GCF_000001405.40. NCBI lineage: Eukaryota > Metazoa > Chordata > Mammalia > Primates > Hominidae > Homo > Homo sapiens. The sequence goes on along the minus strand of NC_000007.14, from coordinate 137,759,729 downwards.
AAGAATTTCTTGGAAATCTTTTTCCCTTGTTCTATTGCCACCCACTTCTATAGCTGCTTGAGAATCTCTATCAATAAGAATGTAGAAGGGCTGGGCATGGTGGCTTACGCCTGTAATCCTAGCACTTTGGGAGGCTGAGGCGGGCAGATCACCTGAGGTCAGGAGTTCGAGACGAGCCTGGCCAACATGGTGAAACCCCGTCTCTACTAAAAATACAAAAATTAGCCAGGCGTGGTGGCAGGCGCCTGTAATCCCAGCTACTCGGGAGGCTGAGGCAAGAGAATCGTTTGAACCTGGGAGGCGGAGGTTGCAGTGAGCTGAGATCGCGCCATCGCACTCCAGCCTGGGGGACAAGAGTGAGACTTCATCTCAAAAAAATAAAGAAAAAAAAAAAAGAATGTAGAGCAGCCATAGAAAATAATGAAATTATGTCATTTGCAGCAAAATGGATGGAGCTGGAGGCCATTGTCTCAGTGAACTAAGATAACTAAGTGAACTAAGAAATAGAAAATCAAATATTGTGTGTTGTCACTTATAAGTAGGCGCTAAACAGTGGATACACATGGACATAAACATGAAAGTAATAGACACTGAGAGCTCCAAAAGCTGAGGGAGTAGGAGAGGGAGGGGGTTGAAAAATTACCTGTTGGGTACAATGTTCACTGTTTGGGTAATGAGTATACTTGAAGCCCAATCCCCACCAGTATGCCATGTACCCATGTAACAAGCATGCGCATGTATCCCCTGCATCTAAAATAAAATTTAAAAAATTTAAGAAGAATATACATACTTTTAACATCTGTGAATATAGTTGTTCCTTTGTGAGTAAGCCCAAAGCGCCTATATGGGAAAAGTAAAAAAATGGTATGATTACAAACAAATGGTGCTTTAGGTTTGAGTATCTATCTCCTGATAACACCCAGTGTGATCTTGCCCAAAAAAGCACCAGCACTGTTGGGGAAGGACATATCACACTCTTCCTTAGTCTGATACGTCAGACTGAGATATATATATATATAATTTTATTTATTTATTATTATTTTTGAGACGGAGTCTTGCTCTGTCACTTAGACTTGAGTGCAGTGGTGCAACCTTGGCTCACTGCAACCTCTGCTTCCCAGGTTCAAGTGGTTCTCCTACCTCAGCCTCCCGAGTAGCTGGGATTACAGGCACTCACCATCATGCCCGGCTAATTTTTATATTTTTAGTAGAGATGGGGTTTCATCGTGTTGGCCAGGCTAGTCTCAAACTCCTGACCTCAAGTGATCCATCCACCTTGGCTTCCCAAAATGCTGGGATTACAGGTGTAAGCCACCGCACATGGCCTCTGAGATATGTTTTTAATATAAAGTGTATCACAAGCATGGCTTTGAGAGGAGAGTCCACTCCCTTCCTTTTCTACCAGACTACTACTTCGTTGCCTACAGAAATGGATGCTGGAGCTACCACTTGGGCCAGGACCTGAGTCCCAGAATGAGCCCATAGCTCACCCAGGGGCTCATAGAACCCCACTGGTTCCATAAGTGTGGGTGTTTCAGATATCATTGCTGAGACTTCTCCGTTTTGATTGAGGAGGAGGTAGTAAAGTGGATTCATTTCCATTTCCAAATCTCTTTCCTTCCAAATAAGCATGTATAGCCCAAGATATTGGAAAAAGAAGGTTCTTTTGCACAAAGGAAACTTAAACCAGGAGATACAGGACTTGAGCTTTGTTCTAAACTGTCATAAATAGCTGTGAAAAGAGAAAACATTAAGAAGACTGATTTCCCCAGGGTGCAGAGGGGAACAAGCTCTCTCAAAGTTGGAAAGAGTGTTACGATTCTCCAATTTCGCTATATGTCTTAAACTACTTTTTAGAGAAATATCTACTTCTGCCAGGTGGATATAGTTATCTTGTTCTTCTCAGCTACGTTCTAATTCATGAACACATAGATTTGGCCAGCAGTGATGTCAAGTGCCCAGTGCCTTGGGGAACCGGCTTGGCATTGAGATTTTATTGGTTAAGAGAGAGATTTCCTGAACCAATATTGAGCTGTTTGCCAGGTTCTGGCTTGAGTAATTTTTTTTTCTAATAGGAAGTAGAGGTGGAGGGACAGGTGTTGAGGGTCAGATAATGGGTACGGTTTTAGACATTTTGAATATGAGCCATTCCCTTCCAGCGGGTCAGGAGAATGGTCTCTGACAGGGAGAGAATGTTGGGACTCCTTACCGTATGGGACTAGCTGGGGCATGAAAGTGGATGACTTCTAGGGAAATCACATGGAGAGGAAGAGGGGCTGAACACAGAATCCCAGCTGACACCAACGGTTAAGAAATGGGAAGATGAGAAGCCTGGGAAGGAGAGGGTGTAGGAAAACTGGGAATGAATCATACACAAAAGTTAGATTAAGAAAGAGTGGTAAAGAGAAGGAAGTGGTTACCAGTGTCTGTGGCTGAAGAGCAGGACTGAGAAATACTAAGGGGTTCTGTCTCCATGGGGATGGTATTGCTGACTCTGGGGAGAGATTTTTCCTGAAGTGGGGTGGGGGAAGCCCGATGACCCAGGTTTAAGAAGTGGATGCAGCGTTAAGTGGAGCAGAACATAGTGTTGGTACCCAGGGCACCAGTGGTGCTTTGAAAAGTCAGGGGCGGCTTTCATGCCTTTATTTTGGAGAGGATTAAAAAAAAAATCCTGGAGAATGTTTACTGAGAAATTCCAGAGAAGAAACAAATACAAAAAGGAAATATTAAAAAATATAACCAAACAGTTATATACCCCAAACACATCCAAAATATATGGAACCCACATGGTTGAGAGAAGAAGGCAGATAAATATATCTGGATGAGAAATTGAAAATTAAATTGTGGGTAGGTATTAGTGGTCCTTGTGTGGTTAGGAGAGGGCTTTGGAATGGAAGGGCAAGGGAAATGTGTTGGGCAGTTAGTCTTAGGAACCCAGTACTAATCAACTCTTAAATCTACACAATGTAGTCTCTGAGGCAAGTTCATTTTAAAATTGGAACTAATTTTTTTTTTAAACCCACAAGTCAAAATACTTAGTCTTTTAGATCGTAGATATGGATGAAGTTAAATAGCTCTTTAAGAACAGCACTGCATGGAAAATAACTAGGTTTACTAGCTAAGTTTAGCATATAAAGCTCTTTACTGAATGGCTTCTTTGTCAACCCCAGGCTGGAGGAGTTCAATTCCTTTTTATTTGGTGAATTCCTTAATTGGATTTTGTTTGCCGATCTTACTTTCTCACATTGTAAGATTTTAATAAATCATTATAATCATTCCCTCATGTCTTACAAAAATAACCTTTCTGACGGTTCCCGAATGACTTTTTTTCTTCTGTGTTTGCATCATGGGATTATTAGTGTAGCTTACAAATGAATCAGAAAAGGGCTGTGCAGCTGAGGGTATATTTCCATTATTTTCTAGGTGTGAACTTGGAGCCTGATAACAAGGAACCTGTGAGGTCACGCTTGGCTGGGAGGGCACAGCAGGTCTTGGCATATTATCTCCTGTCTGGATTATTGATGAGATCCACTGCTTGGAAACAGGAGAGAGATCTCCTATCTGCTTGGTTATTAAAGCCTCTGCAGGAAACAGGTTTATTGGTGATGTATGTACACTGGGGCTTCTGTTGCATTCTCAGCTCAGATTCTTCTGTGTCTGTTACTGTTGATGACTGCATAAGGAAGAACTTATTTTGTTCAACTGACGTGTTTGTTGAATGTCTGGCTCAAAATATACCTCTCCTAAGAACTTCCATGACTGACCTTTTGCAAGGCTGAAGGACATGCTTGGTTACCCATTAGGAACTGGACCAGGAACCCAAGTCTTTTTCTTTCAATTTTCAGAGTTTTGCAGTTTGCTCTTTGGCTTGTGGATGCCAACACTTAGAGTTTATATAGTCAGTTTCTGCGATCCTGAGATGTATTTTTTTTTGCAATTGCAGTTGGTTGTTTCTCCTCCTACAGTTTGTTTAGCCTCTTCCTCATCCATTATCCTCCAGGCTGTATCTGAAGTGGGCATAGGAGGAGTGCCCTTCCCATGACCTGCACAATGTTCACAGCCCCTTTCCTGTTGGTGGGGCTTTTGGAGAAGTTGGGGTTCCCTTGGGGGATTGGCAGTTACAAGATTTTTCAGATGAGGACTGTGGTTTATTTGGCAATTCAATGCCCTAAGAGACTTAAGAGCATTCAGGTCGATTTGTTTCCACTTTGTTCCACGTGTGAGTGACCAAGGCAAAGATCTCAATCTAGACCTAGAAGCAATTTTTAAGCCTGAAAAGCTCACTTGTCTCGATTCTCTGTTTCTCCCTCCTCCCTCTGCCCTTAAACTAAAGTCAACCATCTTGAGGCCATGTGAAAAAATAGGCTTGGATGGAAAGGTGCACCCTTAATCTAATCTTTGCCATGGATTGGCCCCCTCGTTTGGTGGGGAACTCTTCATGGGACATGTTGAAAAAGACCTCACATCTTTATCATTTTTTAATTCATGTTTCTTACCATATTGAATTGGTTTTTGCCACTTGTAACAAAAGGATTCCTGATGAATGCCTCCTGTGTTTGGAGTCTTATTTTATTCTTCCTCTCTGTAGCTGCAGGGTCTAATATATACCTAATTTATAATCTGTGTAGGTGCCAATTACATATGTAATTGTGTGAGCATATGTATATAAAAACTTAGAAGCAGATATGCCCCTGAGAGCAAAATAAAGAATAAAGTTCCTAAAACATACAGAGAAAAAGATAATGTAGGAGAAAGAAAGCAGACGTTTTAAAGTATGCGTTGTTTGAGCTTTTATGCGTCTGTCAAACAACCCTGAAAGTTCCATCACGTGTGATATTTTAAATTTTGCTCCCAAATGGAGAAAGGCATCTTCCCACCCCTCTGCTGTGAGTCAAACCACTCAAGCAGGGCTGTGGCTGTCAGTGTGAAGCCAGCTCTTCCAAGGACCCAGGGGAAGCTGCCATCGCTGCCGTTTCTGCCTCTGCCTTTCTTTGCTCAAAAGTTGGCAAATGCTGGTCATGTCGTGGATCTATTTATAGTAGGCACACGTCTACCCACCTTGTTCTTTTCTTAGCATCAACTTGACATGCTATCAATTATCCATGAGGTGAATGACAACACAAGGGAAGTTATTTGAGGCAGGTGCCCTGAGGTGAGAGATGAGGGGGTGGCAGAGGTCGCACAGTGACAGCTCCGAATGAAAAGGGTAAAACAAACGTCCCTTGCTGCATCTGGCTGGTGAATGATTGCAGACAGGTTGGTGGGAAACCCTGAGCTGGTCACGCAGCAGTCTCCCACTGCCCTTCTTCCCTGTGCCTGCTGATGTTTGAAAAGCCCATTTGAAACAGACAAGGGGCAGGACCTGAAGATGTGATCTCCCTCCAGTGGAGGTCATTTTTGTTATTCTCTTAAGCCACAGGAGGGGAGGACACAAGGACCTCCTGGGGACAGGGGGTGGATGTGGCAGAGGCTGATACTCTTCCTCCACGTAGGAGCATTTCTGGTGGGAGTGAAGCAGCCACCGGGGGATGAAAACAGGGTGCCCCATTCCTCACTGCCTTTGAACCAGCAGGGAGGCTATTCCTGGCAGCAGCAGTGCACCTGCCCCTGGCCCACAGTGCCTCCCACCTTCTTTACATAACCCCCCATGACCCCTCTTGGATTCTAGACTACCCTGTTTTTGCTCCTCCTCACTGACAACATAGTTCCCAGTTAGGGGAACTACTACTTCTTCTTCTCCTCCCCCTCCACGCTCCTCCTCCTCCTCCTCTTTTTTAATGTTGTAATAGAAACATTGATTGCCCATTTCAGTGGGACTGGCTACCCTGGTGTCCTTTTTTTATTTATATGCCATTAATTTGGGGCTGCTCTGTAGGAGCTGGTGGCATTTACTCTCAAAGCTGCTCTAACGATGATGCTGATGTTATTGTTTTAGCTCCAGGAATTGAATTGCTCATGGCAATAGAGGCGACTTCTGCTTTGTCTGTAGCCTCATAGATCACCCCTCCTGTCTATGTCCTCTGTCCACCTTGGATTTTGAATGTGAAGAGAGAGAGAAAGATTGAATTATGGTCAAAGAGAGTGGAAAGCAAATTAATTAAACCTCTATCAGCCTTGCCTTCAGATATAAACTGACTCAGACTTTACAACCCGTTCCTCTCTAAGTTTGCTCAACTCCCCTCCTCCTGCTCCCACTCTGTTCCGTTCCTTTGGGCAATGAGGTACTAAACTACCTCTGTGATAAATGTGTGTGTTGATTCCTTAGGGATAGAGCGGCTGTGCCCTGAAAGGCCTTGGAACCCTCGCAAAATTCCTAAATACATGTGGTGGGCACTCCAGCAGTTGCTGGCAGACTCTCCCAGGGATCCCGGCTGAGTTTAATACTGTCTGCCAGGCTAATCCACTTTCCGGGGCAGTGTCTAGCACCAGAGACTCTCTGTCTGGAAGTATCCTGGCCATTTAAATGACTCCAGGTTCCTGGGGATCAGTTTGCAGCCTTTGTTATCTTTTGGCAGAGCCACCTTGCTTTTCCTTTCTCATCTTCTCTGTAGTCAGACCACTCAAGTGTAACTTTGTTTATTATTTAGGGACCTCATGGGGAGAAGTTGAGATGATTATCCTGAGTACAGAATAGCCAACTTCCAAGTGGGTATTGTGGGTGTGCGTGTGTGTGTGTGTGTGTGTATGTACATTCGTATGTACTAGCATGCACTAGTAACACGTGTATGTTTGTGAGTGATACTGGCTGTCTAGGAAGGATGAGTAGGGTTTGGATGAATCTCTTTTGCAGGAACCAAAACAGGTGCAAAATACCCGTGTCAGAGTCCTCAGATGGCTGGTGAGTGGAGGTGTAGCAGGACAAGCCGCAGACAAAACCCCTCAGACACTGAGTTAAAGAAGGAAGGGCTTTATTCGGCCGGGAGCTTCGGCAAGACTCACATCTCCAAAAACCAAGCTCCCCAAGTGAGCGATTCCTGTTCCTTTTAAGGGCTTACAACTCTAAGGGGGTCCATGTGAGAGGGTCGTGATCGATTGAGCAAGCAGGGGTTATGTGACTGGGGGCTGCAAGCACTGGTAATCAGAATGGAACAGAACAGGACAGGGATTTTCACAATGCTTTTCCATACAATGTCTGGAATCTACAGATAACATAACCCGTTAGGTCAGGGGTCAATCTGTAACCAGGCCCAAGGTGCGGCGCTGGGCTATCTGCCTGTGGATTTCATTTCTGCCTTTTAGTTTTTACTTCTTCTTTCTTTGGAGGCAGAAATTGGGCATAAGACAATATGAGGGGTGGTCTCCTCCCTTAGCGGAATTCCGTACATTTTGTTCTAAGTTATAACCAAAAAACTGAAGTTTATAAATATGAGGCCTTCCTTTTCCCTCTTTGTAGACTAAAGTTTGTGAACCAGGACCCCCTATCGATACCTTTTTAGGGATTGTGAGATCTGACTTTTTTTTTTTGTATTGTTGATTTTGCTATTTCTCAGGGATGGGAGTTCACCACCCACACTTTTGTGCTGTTACTATTTGACCACCTCTTCCTCTTTGCTCCCCCCACAACTTTTATTATCCAGGGAGAAATCTTTTGGAATAGGATAGAAGAGGTTTCTGGGGATAAGTTTTGGAAATAGGCAAATTTTTAGTCTGAAGGACATTGTAGTAGGATTTATGATTCTGAAATGTAGTGATTGTATGTAGTTATGTATTTGGGTACACAGCCTTATGTACATTGCGTTAAATACATTTAAATAATTGGATAATGCCTAGACATAATTAATAAAGTGATGCTGCTTTGTTTCTTTTGTTATTATCATGTTATTATTATTTTATATCATCTTATGCTTGCTTTTTGGTTCTGAGGTTGATTGCAAGGGTTAGAAAATGACAGCGTACAGGTCAATTTTTGTAAATAAAGTTTTATTGGAATGCAGGCTGGCTCACTTGTTTATATATTGTCTATAGTTGCTTTTGTGTTACAATAGCACAGGAAAGTAGTTGTGACACAGATTACCTGGCCAACAAAGCTTAAAATATTTAGTATTTGGCCTTTCGATACAGGTTTCCACCCTCAGGTTTAATTTAGTCTTTTCCTTTACATACTTTCAAAAGTGCTAGAACAATGCTTTAGAAAGTGCTAGTGTCTTTAATGGAAGAATGAGTCATTATCTATACTCAAGCATATTCTAAACCAATCAGAAGAGCTTGAGAGACACGTCTGAAACGTGTGTAGGAACACATATGATAAAAATATATGAAAAGATACTCAGCAGATGTTTGTCAGATGCCACCAAGTACAAGGTAGCTTTTCAGGTGCTATGAGAGGTACTCGGTGAATGGAATACCATCTTATTCTCAGAGAGTTAACTGCCCAATAGGAGGAATCTGCTAACATAACAGAGATGTCTGATAGTGGCTATAGACAATATACATTTTTATAAAACTGAAAGGAGGTAGAATGGCTTTTGTAGCCAAGTCTATGTGTAGAAAATTTGGAATGGAAATTAAGAAACTGTAGTGATGACTGCTGCTTCTAACAGTAAAGGAAATATTTATGTGTATCTTCCAGATGTTTACTGAAGTAGAACCTTAGTAAGTTATTTGACATGAAGCCCAAAGTTATAATAGACACAAAGATGCTTCATTTCAAGCCTTAGATAGGAACAAAAATATGATTGAAACCAAAATTAGCCTAGAACTAGAAGTGGCCTTTACAGATCATCTACTAATATCCTGCTCATTTTGCAGCTGAAAAGACGGGGGCCGAGAGATCTAGTTGTATAAAATTGTCTCTGAAACCTAGGACTTCTGACTTCCAGGTCTTTACTAAATTCCAGTGTAATTTTTAAAATTTTCAAGCCAGATTCTCTGTGGATGTGGAGAATATCAACATGAAGTCTTGCACTGCCTTAAAGATCTTCATTAGCATGCTATTCCTTTCCTTTATCTTCCTGAGTCCCCAAGGTCACAGATGTAGGAGTAAAGTATTGAAAAGCCATTCAGGACTCTGTCTTCTCCCCGTTGCCTTGTTGAACTGCTTATGGGGGTGATGTTCAGGGGCTGGGCTAGGGCATTCCACTAGAGTGCCCAATATCTTTATACAGATGCTGATTGCTGCCCTGAATACCCACAGCAGGAATTTTTTTGAGAGAGGAAGGTGAGTGTGGGCAATTGGGAAAACAGCCCACAGGTAATGGAGGGAGGGAACCTTAAGTTTCCTTTTAACTGCCAATCAGTAATTCTTTGTTCATTTATTCAAGTATTTATTAAGCACCTACTATGTGCCAGGCTTTGTTCTAGGCACTTGTGATACAACAGCGATCTACACAGGATCCTCCCCTTGAGGGCTTTGCATTTTGGTGTGCTTCATGGTGGAGGAGTGTGTTTTTCATGGTGAAGCCATTTGGAATCTGCCAGGTTGAAGCACTGAACCAGGAGTAGGAAGACCTGCATCTAGGCCTCAGCACTACCTACTCACCAGCTCTATAGCCCTGTGCATCTCATTTCTCTGCAGCCGAGTCCTTTCTTGTTAGAACCTTCACCCTGGCTCCTCTACGACAAGGGTATCTTTCTTCTTTATTCTGGTGCTTGCCTCCTTATCTGGTTTCCCCACTTCTTCTTGCCCTTAGTTTCTGCTGATATGTTCTTTTGTCCAGTTGCCTCTTACTGGGTCTCCCTGATGCCAGTTGTGTGTCCCTGTGCAGGTCTCTGCTCTACTGTGACAATATGTTCTGCCTGTTTGCACTTTCTCAGTCTTTGCACTTCTGCTCCTACCCAACCCCACTGAGCAGGTCTAGCTCCATATCCTGGATCCCACCCATAGGCTTATCCACACCAGGGAGAGTTCCACCCCTGGCTATGTCTGGAATCAGGACTTGCTGCATGTTGATTCACTCATTCAGCAGTATTTATTGAGCACCATTTAGGGATGTGATTGGAAGAAGATCTAGTCTCGGTGCTCATAGACCTCATGTGAACCAATGAGGAATCAGAATTGAATTTTGATTAAACTCAGGGACCCTGATTCCTCAAAAAAAATGATAAATTTGGAGTAAACTTCAACAACCCTTTAAGCTCAAGCACTCAGTCCACAAAATTTCTCTATTTCAGACATTTCTCCCTAGCCCTTAAATCCTCTGTCTACAAGCTGATTGACTAATATATTCAGCTAAGGTTATAAAAGCAACCAGGGTTTCTTAGGCAGCCAAAAAGAAGTCAGAGAGCGAAGAGGAGAGAAAAAGCCAAGAATGCCATAGATCCTGGATCAGGTGGGCCAGCTAGGGGAGCAAGGTGGGAAGTACAAGCTTTTTGATGCCTGAGACCAGTGGTTTGAGTGGGGAGCTTGCTTGGGAAAAATCAGCAGGGTCCACAGAAATGAAAGGGGATGTCTACCAGGAGCAGCTAAGAAGAGCCGGGAGGGAGGTCTGGGGGGCTCCTGGTCCTCACCTTGTTTTAGGGTGCTGCCCTTGCCTTTTTCAATTAAAGAAACAGAAACAGCAGCTATTTGGGGTTTTGAGCATGGAAAGGTGGAGGACAGAGGAGCTGTCTGAGTTATCTTAAGAATCTGGTTTTACTGTTTATTGAAATAAAATGGTCAGAGCTTGAAGGAAAAAGTAATTTAATTTATAAATAGTTGCTGATCACTCTTGTGAATAGTATATTCTGTTGTCTTCAGAAATAATCCTGTAGACATCACCTGCATGTCAATATTTGGTTCAGAAAATATAATCACCAGTTGCTGTTATTGTCTATAAGGCACGATACTAAATTATCTTGTCATCTAACTCAGTTTTTATCATTATCTCTTGGTAATTTTATTGAAAGAAACCAGTAACTTGTAAATCATAAAAAGATGAATAATCCCAGTTATAAATTCTTTTCCTTAACAGATGTCTTTAAGACAATCTGACTTAAGTTCTCAATTCTGACTAATTTTTTTCTAATGGTTTTTAGAGAGCTGCATCATGATCTGTGTGATGGGATATGTTTGGGAATGGTGGATTTAAAATGGATTTCTGATAGTATATGAAGGGTATATATCTTTGAAAAAATTGAAGGCAGAAAAATATACAGAAGAAAATAAAAGTTCCCCATGGCTTCCTCTTTTCCAAGAACTAATACTAGACTGTAAGAGGACTGTGAGGGGCAGATACATTGTCTGTTTTATGCTCTGTGCCTGTGTCAAAAAGTGCTTGGCAAATAGAAGGGACTCAATAAATAGTTGTAGGATGACCAAATGAATATTTTGTGCGTTTCCTTCAAACCTTTTTTCTATAGATATATGTATGAATACTATGTAATAATGATTACTTTTATATCTTTAAATAATATTCTGTATTTCAGTTTTATATTCCGCCCCCATTCTTTTTTTTTTTTCTTTAACCACAATAGATGTGTTTATATACATAAGTTTTTCGGGGGATCAGAAGAAAGTATAATACAAATAGTATTATATGTGGAGTGATTTAAAATGTTTTGTTTATATTTTAATAGTTAGTGACTAAGAAATTTGAAGTCAGCCTTCCTCCTTTGCCTTAGTTTCTCAGCTACAAAACTGTGTTTGTAGAATTAGCACTTAGGTACAGAGAGCCAATGTTCAGGGATGATAATGATAAAATGATGTTATATAGATAGGATTGAGAGCTTATTTACTAGAGTCAGAAGAGCCTGAATTTGAATCTTTTCCCTCTCATAGTATTAGATTATGTGACCTTGGGCAAGTGACCTTGGACAAGTGTCAACCTTTATAAATCTTATTTCCTTGTCGTAAAATGTGTTTGCATTTGTTAGGATTGGCTAGCTAGAGTGTGTTGCCATAACAAGTCCTGGAATCTGATCAATTTAGCAAAACAAAAGAATGTTTCTTGCTCACACAAAGTCTGAGTAGAGCCTGGATAGTGAGTGGCAGTAGGGGTTTAGGTTGCCTACTCTTTGTTGTGCTGCCATCCCATCTAAACAGATCTTTAATGTCTCTGCAGCAAAGGAAAAGGAAGCTTGGTGATGGTGTTACCAGTAGAAGGTCTCCAGGTTCTTGGTGTCTTGAACAAATAATTGGACAAAACACACGTACAAAGCAAGGAAGGAATGAAGGGTTTTATTGAAAATAAAAGTACATTCCACAATGTGGGAGCCGGCCTGAGTATAGGGGCTCAAAGACCCCGTTACAGAATTTTTGGGAGTTTACATACCCCCTAGAGGATTCCACTGGTTACTTCGGTTATGCCTTGTGTAAATGGAGAGGATGAGGTAAAGTTACAAAGTCATTTACGGATTATGCCCTATGGAGAGGGTATTTTCTGTTATAGCTGAAGTGTGAATCGGCCTTATGTTCCCTGCCTCCAGACCCTATTTTCCTGCCTCAATGGCACACTAGCTCTTGCTGCCTTGACAATGAAGTTACACATTACATATTACTTCTGCTCACATTTTGTTGTGCAGATCTAGTCATATGGCCACACTTGAGTACAAGGGCTGAAAGTAAACTTTTTAGGTGCTTAGGAAGAAGAGGAGACCCAGAAATAGGTAAGCACTAGTAGTTTTTACAACAGAGGTGAATAATAGTAACTTCAATCAAAATTGGTGTGATCTAATCCCCTACCCGCTTGTGATTAAAAAAAATAGGATTACACTTTTTTTAAAAAAACCTAAATTATTAGGCCAAGGAGCTTCCCACTAGCAAATCGCTAGAAATAAATTCTCCTCAAAATGGCTTTTAATGATTTTGAGGAATTCCCAGGGTCCTGACTCCTGGGTATTTTCAAAGAGATCTTTTAGGTTTCCCCATTCTAGTCCCTTCATCTTGCCCCAGGCTAACTCTGATGTTTTGAGAGGACTTCTTTGTTGTGCCTATCTGTCCCCCATTGGTGGCCAATGCTCTCCCTAGTTCTTTTCAGGACACGATAAGGCTGAGTTGATGAGAACATATTAAAGTCTTGAGGATAAAGCCAGCCAAACCCAAGGAACAGCTTACACCTGATACCAGGTGGGTTTGGACTCACAACCTCAGATCTACACCTAAACTTCAGAGTCTCCTTTTCTGCTAGTTCTTAGCTCGGTTCCATCTTTTCCCTGCCATAGGGAATAAATCAAGCCTGTGCATGCTTGAGCACCTAGACCCAAATGGTTTGCCCTATTTCTAGGCTTAAAAAACAAACAAACAAACAAACAAACAAACAACATCTCTGGATTACTTCCTCCCAGGATGGCTGCCAGTGGGAAATTCATTTTCCTCCAGAAGAGATTTCACAGTGTGGCTTGGCTCCCTGTCTCTGAATATGTAATGCGACGCTTGACAGCACTTTACTCTAAATCTAGATTATTCATGCGCAAATCATGCCACCATGGGGACCAATAGCCTATCCAGATTGTGCTTTGTCAAGTTTGTATCACCTTCATGTGACTTTTCTTCCAGCAGTTGATGAGGGAAAATAGGGCTTTACCTCTCTCTTGATATTCTAGGTCCAGCTCCATCACCCAAAAGCAGATGCCTGGACAACTTAAGCACAGTCTCTCCAGAACAATCCAGAATGTCAAGCATTGATCAATTTTAATTTAAGCTTTGGGAACCAAACCAAACCAAAAAAACCTCCAAAACAAAAACAAGAAACACCCCTATCTCTGCACATACAGTTCTGTTAGTGCAGCCAATTCCATCGTTAAATAGATACAGTATCCCCCCTTGGAAAGCCCCCCAGTAGATGCCTGAAACTGTGAATTGAACCAAACTTGATTCCCATCAATTGTAGCACATTTCTGTTTGTCTCTTCCACCGACAAATTTAATGCCTTTTCCATCTTAACTAAGCACTTGTCATAGACTGTGGCCATAATTTTTGCAATTTGAGGTGCAACAGTAAATCTAGAACGAATTTATTTTTCCTTCTTCACGTTTTCACCAATGAAATTGGTCTTACTGTAGATCTTAGTAACCTCAGCATATGTTTTTTTTTCTATCCTTTTTAAGCTGAGAACTCTCATCTATTCACTGAAAGAAAGCACTTTATGGCTTCTCTTTGGCATATCTGAGTTGCCACCATCACTACTCTTGCATTTTGGAACCATTATTAAGTAAAACAAGGGTTACTTGAACACAAGCACTGGGATATTGTGGTAGTTGATCTGATAATTGAGCCCACTACTGAGTGACTGAGGGACAGGTAGCACTGACAGCATGGATACCGTGGACAAAGGGAGGATTCACTGCCTGAGCAGAATGGAGCAGGACAGTGTGAAATTTTATCATGCTAGTCATAGTGATGCATAATTGAAAACTTGCTGTTTATTTCTGGAATTTTCCATTTAATATTTTTGGACTGCAGTTGACTGGGTGTAGTAACTAAAACCTTGGAAAACATGTCTGAATAAGGGGGGACTACTGCATTTAATGTGTTTGTCTGAAGGTTTTATACTGGGTGATTTCTTTGGACGTAGTCTTCCCCAAGGAGGAGAGAGAGGTACTCACTGCCTTCCATCTACATAAACAAAGGGGTCATCAAAGTAATCCTTTCCATAACACCGGCTAGTTTGTATCTAACAACAAAACAAATACATTCTTCACTTTATAAGGCAGAAACCCACAAACGGATGTTTTTACAGCTGCACTACATTTTTTTTATTTTTATTTTTAAAATATTATTTTAGATTCAGGGGGCACGTGTATAGATTTGTTACATGGGTATATTGCGTGATGCTGAGATTTGGGCTTCTAATGATCCTGTCATCCAAGTAGTGAACATAGTACCCTTATCTTGTTCCAGTTATTAGGGGGAATGCTTCCAACTTTTGCACATTCAGCATGATGTTGGCTGTGAGTTTGTCATATAGGGCTCTTATTATTTTCAGATATTTTTCTTGATACCTAATTTGTTGAGGGTTTATATCATAAACGGATGTTGGATTTTATTGAATGCTTTTTCTGCATCTACTGAGATGATCACATGGTTTTGTTTTTAATTCTATTTATGTGGTAAATCACGCTTATTAATTTTCATATATTGAACCATCCTTGCATCCCAGGATTAAAGCTGACTTTATCATGGTGAATTCACTTTTTGATATGCTGCTGGATTCAGTTTGCTAGTGTTTTATTGAGGATATTTGCTTCTATGTTCATCAGGGATATTGGCCTATAGTTTTATTTTCTTGGTGTGTCTTTATCAGATTTTGGTATCAGGATGATACTGGTTTTGTAGAATGAGTTAGGAGGAGACCCTCCTTGATTTTTTTGGAAGAGTATCAGTAGGATTGGTAGCAGCTCTCCTTTGTATATCTGGTAGAATTTGGTTGTAAATCCATGTGGTCCCAGGTTTTTTTGGATGGTATATGTCTATATTTTTTTAATTACTGATTCAGTTTCTTTACATGTTATTGGTCTGTTCAGGATCTCTGCTTCTGCCTGGTTCAATCTTCAGAGGTTGTGTGCTTTTAGGAATTTATTCATTCTCTCAAGATTCTCTAGTCTGTGTGCATAGAGATATTCACAGTAATTTCTGATAATCTTTTGTATTTCTGTGGGATCGGTTGTGATATCTTTGTCATTTCTGATTGTGCTTATTTGGATCTTCTCTTTTTCTTTGTTAATCTAGGTAGCAGTCCATTAATCTTATTTATCCTTTCAAAGAACCAATTATCTGTTTTTTTGACCCTTTGTATGGTTTTTGGGTCTCAATATCATTTAGTTCTACTCTGCTTTTAGTTATTTCTCTTCTTCTACTAGCTTTGGGATTAGTTTTTTTTTTTTTTCTTTTTTGAGATGGAGTCTCACTCTGTCACCCAGGCTGGAGTGCAGTGGTGCTATCTCGGCTCACTGCAACCTCTGCCTCCCGAGTTCACACCATTCTCCTGCCTCAGCCTCCCGAGTAGCTGGGACTACAGGCGCCTGCCACCACGCCCAGCTAATTTTTTGTATTTTTAGCAGAGACGGGGTTTCACTGTGTTAGCCAGGATGGTCTTGATCTCCTGACCTCATGATCCACCTGCCTCGGCCTCCCAAAGTGCTGGGATTACAGGTGTCAGCCACCGCGCCCGGCCAAGATTAGTTTGTTCTTGTTTTTCTAGTTCCTTTATGTGTGAAGTTTAGATTGTTAATTTAGGACTTTTCTATCTTCTTGATGTAGACGTTTTGGTATGTTGTGTTTCTGTTTTCATTTGTTTCAAATAATTTTTTGATTTTTGCCTTAATTTTTTGTTGTTTACCCAAAAGTCATTCATGTGCAAGTTGTTTAGTTTACATATATTTTTATGGTTTTGAAGGTTCCTCTTAGTGTTGATTTCTATTTTTAATCCCTCTATGGTCCAAGAAGATGCTTTGTATAATTTCTACTTTTTAAAAATTGATTGAGACTTGTTTTATGATCAAGCATGTGGTACTTTTTACAGTATGCTCCATGTGCAGATGAGAAGAATGTATTTTCTTTGGCTGCTGGATGAAGTATCCTGTAGATGTCAATTAGATCCAGTTGGTTCAGTGTCCAATTTAAGTCCAGAATTTCTGTGCCAGTTTTCTGCCTCAGTGATCTGTCTAATACTGTCAATGTGTTAGAGGTCCCCTACTGTTATCGTGTGTCTGTCAAAGTCTTTTCTTAGGTCTAAAAGTAATTGTTGTATAAATCTGGGTCCTCCAATGTTGGGTACGTATATATTTAGGATATTTAAGTCTTCTTGTTGAATTGAATTCTTTATCATTATGTAGTGTCCTTCTTTGTCCTTTTTTACTCTTGTTGGTTTAAAGTCTATTTTATGTGACTCAAGATTAGCGACTCCTGCTCTTTTTTGTTTTCTATTTGTGACTTCACTATAATTTTAAAGCCCAGTTCCCACTAGAACTTCGTTTTGTTAGATGCTTTGACTGTAATAAAACAGCCTTCGATTTTTCCATTTTTATCTTTTTATTCATTATCTTTTGTAATAAATTCCATTATGCATAAAATTTTAGTGGTTACTTCTGGGATCAAGCCTGTTAACCCACTCACACAATTAAATTTTCCTTTCTGACTTTATTTTTTTTCCCCCGGTAGCTGAGTACCTTTCTTGATGTAACATTGAGTAAAACATTGGCTATTTATACATCTAGGCTTTCATTCTCATAAGTGTGTGTTTTAAGCATGGGTATTAATTTCATTATGTGGGTCCAAACCTGTCTCTGACTTGGAAATGACTTACGGGTGCACATGGGTCTGCATATTAAGGTCTCTTGTGGCTGTGGGAGTGAGTGGGAGTGACGGGAGCTACTGTGGGCATTCTTGTGTACATCTGGCCATAGCAGTGGGTCCCAGGCTAGATCACTGGCACTTCTTTAATTAAGGCTCTGTTTCTGCCCAGAGCAAATTTGAGGTTCTCTGCTTCTTTTCCTATTGCAGAAGGGGCCCTACCTAGGAAGGATTTTGAAGTTCTGTTTCTTCCTTTATTTTTTTTTTATCCTTTTGGATGTAACAGCGCACCAACCACTGCCAGAGCTGACAGAATTGGAATGGAAGTAGGTGGGTGGGGGTTGGGGGTGGAAGGAGGGATGGCAGTCATCAGTTTGGGAACAACCTCTGAGCCAAAGAAATGCCTTTGGCATATGAGAACAGTGTGAGTTTATCTCTTTTCCTGTTTGGAAGAAGGTACACTATAAATCCGACTCTACCCAGGAACTGTTTATGGGAGATCGTTATTAAAGAATAGATATTTGATTTTTCCATTGGTTTGGAGAAACTAGGAGTCAGGCACTAAGGACGTGCTGTGTACTCATAACTTTTCTCCAGCTATCCATAAGGCTAATATACATTTTTGACAGGAATTTTTTTAAGTAAGAATTTTTTTTTACATTGTATTTATAGATGTAAAAGCACTGAGAGCTTCATTACTAGAAAGCAGCCCCTATGGTTTTCAGCATTGCTAGAATCAAGAGATGATATTCTTGTTGACTGTTGACCATGCTTTTCCAGATCACCCACTGTTGCACATTCATGAAATTGGAGTGAGCATACAAATTTGTTGAGAGAATTATCTTAACTAGATTCAACCTCTGTGCCCATGAGGTACTGTCATTCTCAGTGATTCAAATAGATATTTGGGTACAGGTGGTCATGTTTGGCGAGCTGGTTTCTGTGCAGATTCAGCACCTGTGGTTTGTTTCATCTTATCGTTCAGACACAGATGCTCTTAGAGCACCACACCATGCATTCCAATGAAATCTTTCCACTGAAACCATAACCTCTGTGATCCTAAAAGGAAGGAGTCAGTGTACAGAGGGACATGACATATTCAAAATCAGAAGTTGGGATAAGCCAGAAGGAACCTTGTGGGATTAATTTTCTTCTTTAAGTGTGGGTAATGTTTTTCGCATGCCCTCTTTTCAAACCTCAGCACTTCACTTGTCCATCTGCATTTTCTCCAAGTATTGTAAATGTCAGGTTTGTGTGAAGAGGCATCTGTAAAACTGCTGGCATGAATAATGACTCTGATGTTTATGTACGGAAGAGCGCACCTGACTTTAGCACTCTTATTATCTTTTACTAATTAAAATCAAGAAGATGTTTCAGCTAGACATTGCCTGTGCATAGCACCTGCTGGATTGCTTTTCTCCTTTTGGTGTTTCTGGTTTGGTGGAAAGGCAAGAAAGGTGAGCTGAATGACTTGGAGCAAGGAACAGTGGTGATGTCCCATCACTCTCGGACAAGCACTCCTTAGCCTATTTAAATTTATTTTTCTAGTTCTCAAAATAATAAAAAAAAAATTAAGACTTAGCCACCCTTTTTATCAGTGAGGAAATTCAGGCTCAGAGAGGTGAGCTCATTTACCTAGTTACTCAGCGTGTGACAGGATTAGGATTTGGACCCAGAGTCACTTCTGAAGCTTGTTCTACTTCCAATCTTATAATTACCTTAAAAATAGGGTGTGGCTGTATAGACCAGCTTTTGCATGAGAAAAGCCTCATTGTTCATGAATTTAGTTTATATTGGATGGTTATTTTAAATTATAGTCATGTGCTGAGCATTATGTCACCAGCAAATCATAGCCGTTTTCCAGAGATATTTCCCTGGTTAAATATTCACATGACATTTGAACATACTGAACAGCCAAGCATGTTGCTTAGTTGTTATGGTTGTTTTTGTGCGGGGATATCGGGTAGGGGAGGGGATTAAAAGTATTGGGCTGGTCTGGCTAATTTCTAGTCTCCATTTCTTGCAGACGACCTCTGATTCTCTGGTTTTGAAGTAGGGAAGTGTGACTGTGGTGAATCCCAAGAAACAGCTTGATAGCTTTACACCATACACCTGCCATTGCTGACATACTTTGGAGGGGACTGAAGTGGAGATGCAAAGCAGTCAGGCTGTAGGCCCCAGGGAGCTTATGAATCTGACCTCAGGGGTCCTCCCTGTAGAGATTCCTCACACCAAACATCTGAACTCATGTCAGGCAGTACTGTTTTAACCTCACTTTTTGCCCAGAATGATGGGAATAAAATCAAAATTGACAGACAGAGGAAGCTGGTCTTTCCTCCAGAATTGATAAACCAAGATACTTTAAACTTATTCCCAAGAATGTGGATTTCTGCATGTATGTATCTCTTCAAGGTTGCATAAATGGAATTTGTGCTTCAATTTGTCAGAATCCTGAATTTCCAAATCCTGATGTAAGGATTTAAGTAGGAGAGATACCTGGATTTGAATTGTTGTGAAATACAGTGGTAGGTTGACTAGCTTTATTCCAACAGAGTGAGGTTGATAGTCTTTGTTGCCATGAGATGCTTCACCTTTTCCCCTACCAACCTTCAAAGACATGGTGGAGCGGAATCACTGGGCAACACCAGTGGGAATAGTTCAACCAACAGTAGTTCTCACTTAGCAGAGACAGACCTCAGGTTCAACCTTTTCTTGACTGCCATTTCGATTCTGCAAGTGGCAAAAATAAACTGGAAAGTGGATGATCACTCTCATATGCTCTATTGACAAATAAGAAAAACAGGGACCAAAAACAACTTTCTCTGGGCAGTCTGG
Organism: Homo sapiens; assembly: GCF_000001405.40. Lineage (NCBI taxonomy): Eukaryota > Metazoa > Chordata > Mammalia > Primates > Hominidae > Homo > Homo sapiens. The sequence continues at coordinate 137,739,748 of NC_000007.14, read as the reverse complement.
GGAATAAAAGCTGCTGGGAGGATCTAGTGTACACATGCGTGTAGCACTTTTTACATTCGCTAAACCCTTTTATAGTTACTCTGTCATTGGCCATTCTGACTATGTTGTGTGCAGGGCAAATGAGTTTTGTTCTTCCCATTGGAGAAAGGCTATCTAAGGAAGACCCATGGGAAATTAGCAAGTAAGCCAGGGCTGGAGTTCCCAGAGAGGCCCTGCATGAGGTCCCATAGGAAGCCGCTAGGATCTCGAGGTCTAGTCGTTATTTTTCCTCTTTGGCAGATTACACCGTAACTCTGAAAGAGCCAGGGAAGCCTAGGTTGTTTGTTCTTTAGAGTTTTTAACATGGAAGGAGGTTTAGAATTTATTTTGCCCGTCTTTTCATTTTAGAGATGAGGAAAATGAGACCCAGGGAGATGTGATTTCACAGGTCAAATAGTCCTATGACACTGGGTAGACAATAGGATACCTGATGTGAATGTTGAAAAATGTGCCGTAGGAGAAAACAGCCCTTTAGGCACTTGACTTGGCAAGCTGAGGTTACTTGGTGCAAAGGAAGAGATGCCCTTCTTTCAGGTGGATGTAGATCCATGCTGAGACACGTGGCTCAGAGTGCTGAGCATGGGCTGGATTTCAGCTCCTGATCCCTCTATTTTCAGTCCACAAACTGCATACTCTGTGAAGTGGCTCTGCATGGTTTTGCTGGTTCACTTAAAACATATTTGGATAAAAAACATGACTGAATGAGGGAGTCAGCTTTTCATTAGGTAGAGGAGGTGTCCATATGTCTAGTAATTGCCCTCATTTGGCACAAATCAACGAGACCTGAGGGATGAGGGATGAATCTGTGTCTTCTTTTTTATGGTTATGGGCATGAACAGTTAGGATGAAACCAGACCTGCGTGTTCTGGTTTGGCTGATGATGGATACTTTCAAAATTGTATCAAAGAAAATAGACAATGGAAGTCTGGCAGACTTTACAATGAGTATCTAGTAAATCGGATATGAAAAGGAAAGGGGGGGGGGGAACCTCATCTTCTCTGTGAATTTCTAAAAAAGTGTTCACATAAGACAGGGCTAGATAGTTTGAAGGATATTTTCCAAGCCCAAAACTGTACAAGAGGAAGTTTTCTCTGGGAGCTGGAATTTGAATGGACAAAGTCAGGTTGGTCTCAGTGGTTAATGCTTAAAGTTTATAAACACATCTTTTTGTTTTTAGCACATCCTACAAATGCAGTTTATTAATATGGCATTTTATATTGAAAGGTAAATATCACCATACCATTGTGAATAATTCTTTGGTAGTGAAAATAGCCCTATCTTACAGTGACTAGATCCTTCTTATAAATGCTCTTCAGGTAGCCCAAAGTTCTCCTTTGTATAACCCATTATAATTAGATTATACATATAATTGTGTAGAGGTATGTATTTAATATGTGTCTCTCCTAGTAGCTTGGAGTCAGTATAGCACAGCAGCTAAGGGTCCAGCCCTCGAGATCTGCTTTCAAATTCTACTTTTGTCACTTAGTATCTACATTACACCGATTAACTTAATCAGTGTCATGTGGTCCTGCTAACTGCATTAATTTGTCTGTATTTCATTCCGCATCTACAAAATGGTAATAAACATAGGACATATTTTATAGGGCTATATATTGAATGTATTAAATGAGAAAATCCTTGAGTATTGCTTAGCACTGTGCCTAGAACATGAAAACTCTTAATAAAGCTTGGCTATTAGTCTTGCTAAACGGTAAAGACTGTTTCTGTCTTATCCCTTGTGTTATCCCCAGTTCTTTGCACAGAACTTGTGGCACGCAGATTAATCATAGAAATTATTGAATAAATTAATGGTCCCATTTTTTTCCTAGCTCCACTGTGGTGAAGTCTCAGATTCCCAAGGATGTGGTTGTGTGCAGATAGGTTCCATGTGGCCAGGGCTCTTGTTCAGTTTAGTGTATTTATTCTGCCACACTTTGCTTAATTCCAGATTGATTTGCTTTTATATGAAGATAGTAATATATGGGAGGCATTGATTCTTAGCTTCTTAAAAACTGACAGCTAATGTTTAGAGGCATTTCAAAATACAGTATCTAAATAATATGTAGGGAAACAGGAGATGTAATTTGGGTTGATAGGAAATGCCTTGGGCTCAAGTAAGAGGTTCTGGGTTCCATTCCGAAGTCTATCAGAGATGAGCTTTCATGTCACCTGCTTAAACTTAACTTTTTTTTTTTTTAATAAAACGAAGGGACTAAAGTCCATTATCATCAAGGTTTTTGCTTGTGTTTGTATTTTATGACAGTAAGATGTTAGTTACTTTTATTAATTCCTTAAATGCATGGAACAGATTTGCCTTTATATTATGAATAGAATGCAGATTCAATTTCTGCAAATAATGTTTCTTTGTATTCCAGGGAAACTTGCTGTTGAAAGTTCTCCTTCCATGAGTATTTCTTGTAAATCAAGAATCTTTTCTAATACAAATAGTTATCTCATGTTTCTGCTTTGAAAATTTGTATGTATTTTTTTTTTTTTTTTTTTTTTGGTGAAATGAGGCATATTTGAATGCTTTGAAGTAAAACTAATACCATTTAGTGAGTATGCACAGACCCAGCATAGGGAACTAAGTATTTCAATGTTTATGATTTTAAAACACTGTCATATTTCGTGCTGTCCAATCACGTTTAGCTTTAATAGTTTTCCGTCCAATTTTTCGGAACCCACCAGACTTGATTTTTAAGAGTTAGTTCAAAGATTGCCCAAACTTTGATTCAATCTGGCTTATAAGAGATAACAAAGATTATTATTTAAAGCCACAGTCATTAGTGATATGAGGGTAGATATGAAAAAGAAAAACTGAATAGACTGCTTATCTCTTACTGTGATCTGTATGACCTCTGATTAATTTAATCATGGTTCTGTATCTAATGTTGAGGGCCTGCAACAAGGTCTTGATTGACAAAATCTATTTTCTCTTCATACTCATTCAGGCTTCTTGGAAGCTAGGGGTTTCTGATTAAATTATGCTATTTTTGTAACCCACAGAAGATCCCATATGGTCAATTTCAAGTTCCCGTTACTTTCAGTATTTTTCCTAGATGTTATTTCACTTAGGACAAACAGGATGCAATTTGTGGGGTGGTTGTTTGACCTTCTCGTATTAAAAGGTTGTAAGTGTTGTCTCTTTCAGCTGCCCATTTTAGAAGTTAAATTTATTGATTGCTGAGCACTTTAGTGCATTCTCTCATTTATTCTTCACAGCAACGTGAAGAGGTAAGGTCTGCTATTAATCCCATTTTGCCTTTGCAAAATAAGCCATAGAGGAGCTAAATAATTTGCCCACTGTCACACGGTAAGAGGTTGAGCCATGTCTGAAATTCAGGTTTATTTGGCTCCAGAACCCCTACATTAGCCTTACAATAAGATGCCTCGTGCAACCTAGCTTGATGGAGATTGCATGCTAAATATATTTTAATACTGGAAATGGTTTACTGATGTTTCCAGCATTCATAATGATCAGGTTGCAAAATCTGTTTGGACATTTATTAAGAGATTGGAACCAAATTAATGACATCTTCTCTGAAATTTCTCTTGGCTTATCTTAGGAGAAATTAGAATGAACTGAAGCAGGGAAGGATAGGAAAGAGCTATGTGAAAAATTAAACACTGTGTTTACCAATGTTGAGTGGCTTTCTACACAACATGTGTGATCTGTGTGTGGGGCCCTGTGTCCAGTGCTCAGGTTATGGTCCTACTGTCATTTTCAGCCACTGTTCATTGATGTACACTCACTGTTCAGGGTAGTAGAGTCCACAAAAGCATGCAATGTCACTGACATAGCGGACGGTAGCTAGCACAGGCGTTTAGTGTGGCCATGAGCCTCAGCTCTTGCTCCTATAATTTCATTTCTCAGGAATTGTTGTTCTTCCCTGTTGCTGGGTCTTGGTAGGGTCTGCTCTGGTCTATCCTAATCGGTGTGCTTAACTTTACATTTGGAGTACTAAGAGTTGAGGTTTTGCTTCCTTTCTTCCCAGAATTGCTTTGGAATCCTTATGCAGTTTGCTCTGCTTTCTTTGTAGTGACCAAGTTTATATACTGGCACTTCTGAATCCCAAGAAAATGACTTGCTATTCAATTGACATTTCAAAATCTAAGATGGTACCCTTGCAACCAAGAAAATATAATTTATTTTATAAAAGAAAAAACCCGTCTACCTCATCATATGCATCAGATATACAACTAAACTGTGGTAAATGCTTGTACACCAGTATCTTCAGGGTCCTGGGGAGCACAAAAAGGGCTACTTGGCCAAATATGACAGATGATTCCTGATTTGACTCTTGGGGGATAAGTAAAATCTAACCAGATAGAGAAAGGTGGAAAGAGTATTCAAGCAAAAGCACAGGATGAACAAAAGAAGGAAGCAATGAATTGATGATTAGTAAAGCAAAAGCAAAATAGATTAGCGTTGCTAAAACAAAAGTATGAGGCAGAGGGTAGCAAAAGATAAGTTTGAACATATAGGTAGAAGCCCTAAAATGCAATGCCAAGGAGACTGGAATTTATTTTAGGTTACAGGGCACCCCTAAAGGGTGTTAAATGGGACAGACGTGTTTTTCACACAGATGAGTCTAATTTCAGCATAAAAGATGGATTTCAGGGCCAGTAGCTAGAGTGGAAACAGGGAAATCAGTGAAGAGATGTTAACATGGTACCAATGTGAAATGAGAAAGGAGCCACCCAGGGTAATGGTAATAGGGATGCAGAAGATTTTTCAATTATATAGAAGGGCAAATTGACAAGCCATCATGATCAGCGGTGATGTGTAAAGGAGAGGGAGTAGTTGACAAATATTTATTGATCACGCACTCTGTGCCAGGCACTTTAAAGGTCATGAGTCACAGAAGTCTGGATTTCTAAAAATCTACAGAATGACTGCAAGGTCTCTCATTGTGAATTCATTCTCTGTTGCTGCATTGGAAATTGCCCTAAAGCTTAGTGGCTAGAAATAATATTTATTATCTCACAGATTTGTGGGTCAGGAATATAGGAGTAGCTGAGCTCAGGGTCTCTGGCTCAAGGTTTCTCTTGAGGTAGCAGTCAATTTGTTGGCTGGGCTGCCATCATCTCAAAACTTACCTGGGTTTGAAGAATCTGCTTCGAAGGTGGATATAGGTCCCTAGTCACAGGGGCCTCTCTGCAGAGCCACTTAACAAGAAGGCAGCTGGTTCTCCCCAGTGGAAGCACTCTAAAAGATATGACGAAGAGCACACACGTCAGAAACTGAAGTCTTTTAAAATCTTCATCTTGGAAATGACGTCACCAGCCACTCCTAGATTCCTGACCCGCAAATCTGTGAGATAATAAATGTTATTTTTAGTCACTAAGCTTTGGGGCAATTTCTAATGCAGCAATTGAGAAAGAATTCACAAGGAGAGATCTTGCAGTCATTCTGTAGATTTTTAGATTTTTATCATCTCTTCCCTGATCTCCCTGCTCCCACTCTAGCTACTGGCCCCCAAATCCATCTTTTATGCTAAAATTAGACTCCCCAATACTTCTGTTGTATTCTGTTTATTAGAAGGGAGTCCCAAAGTCCAGCTCACAGTTAGAGGAGGGAATTACACAATGGCATAAATGCCAGGAGACAGGGATCTGCAGGGGCCCTTTGAGAGACTGCCTACCACACCTGTATGACTGAGTAGATGGCAGTGCATTAATGAAGATTAGGAATGCAGTTGAAAGAGATTTTAGGGGGTTAATGAAGAGACTTGTTTCAGATAGAAACTGTTGCCTATTCAAATGGATCTGTGCAGCAGCATTAGTAATGGAGAAGTAGATTGGAGGGTGGTCATCGTTTTATAGGTAGCATGTGAAACCATACAAGTGACCACTACCTTACCTCCTTACAAATCATTGCTCAGAGGCCACCCTTTCGATGAGGTCTGTCTTCACCAATCTCTTAAAATTTTAACTCTTTTTTCACTCTAATATCCCATCTCCACCTTTTGAGTTATGCATAGCACTTACCATCTTCTGTCACGCCCATGATTTACTTATTGTTCATTGTCTGTTTCTTCCACCAGAATGTGAGCTCGATTAAAGCAGAGTTCTTTGTTTTATACACTGATGTACACTTAGTGCTTAGTAGAGTACCTGATGTATAGCTGATACGCAATAGTTATGCAAAGAAGGATAAAACTTTGTAAAAGTAGTACATCTAAGCCAAAGGTGGAAATAATCCAAGTATTCATTGATGGATGGATAGATAAACCAGATGTGGTACATACATACAATGGAATACTATTTGGCCTTAAAAAGTAAGAGGATTCTGCCACATGTTACAACATGAGTGAGCCTTGAGGACATTATGCTAAGTGAAATGAGCCACTCACAAAAGGACAAATACAGTATGATTTCACTTAAATAAGGTACTTAACAGTCATCAAATACATAGAGACAGAAAGTAGAATGGTGGTTACCAGGTGCTGAATGGAGGAAGGAATGAGGAGTTATTGTTTAGTGACTGCAGAGTTTCATTTGGGGAAGATGAAAAGTTCTGGAGATGGTTGGTGGTAGATGGTTCCACAACAATGTGAATGTAGTTAATGCCACAGAACAGAGCAATTAAAATGGTTTAAATGATACATTTTATGTTATATGTATTTTACCAAAAAAAAAAAATTTCAAAGGTTGTGGACGTAGTAATTAAGATAAGGACTGAAGAATGCCTATTGGATTTGCTAAAACAGAGACCTCAGTGAGAGCTGGTTCAGTGGGACACTGGGAGCTGAGATGATACTGATGAGTGATTGAGAAGTGAGGGGGATACGAGCTAGAGGAGGCTTCTTTATAAAGAATGGGGGGGATCTCAGAATGTTTCAGGCTGGGAGAAGTGGTAGTGGGGTGCATGTGTGTGTATGTATGTGTGTTGTGGAGACTATGTGGGGCGGGGAGGCCACTTGGAGATACAGCTATTAAATAAGTGAACAACAATACAAAAGGCGGGCTGGGGGAAGGGAGGAAGGAAACCGAAGGAACCTTTCCTGTCTACTTGTATGGAGGAGTAATGTCTGAAATTTTCCAAATAGCCAAAGTTGTGGCACATGAGGAGGTTTGGAGCAAACATTATAATAGCTTGGGTTAATTATCACAGTCTGCACCATTCAGACAGTGTCTATCAGAACCCAGGAACAGCCTATAAGACTAAGCTGTGCCAAACTGTGGAAAGGGGTCGATGGTTTAGGGCAGTTAGGGCTGCAGGTTCTAGGGCAGTTATCATCATGAAAGGCTGTGATAAGACATTAACTGTTGAACATTCTTACAGCATATTGTATTGTAATAGACTCTGAATTTGAATATTTTATTATAGCAAGTATGTTGTATGCAAAGTACTCAGGCATTGCAAATCAGGCAAAGTTGAAAACACCCCAGTATTATTAGAGCTCTACCACACAGATTCTGCAACATGGGGAAACTCAATTTAATACATTTTCATTGAATACCTACCTATAAGCCTCCGTGGTATGAAAGGCATACAAAATGTGTATTTACTATATATATTGTAAAGTGATTATATATACTATTGTGAAACTAGATCACTATTTGGTCTACTAGCTAATATTTATATAGATGGTATTAGCATAGCTATTGCCACATAGGCAAAGAGATCCATGTTACAGATGACAGAATTGCAGGTTTTCTCAAGAACTTCTAGTGGATTTTAAAGTATTATTGGAAGGTGGAAACTTTTGTTCAGACACAAAAGTGTTGTACTGAAGTAAAGATTGCTGCATAAACATGCAGTAATTTATTTAAAGGTACATGGTCCTACTAGAGCATGGGCAGTTAGTCTAGAGGTCCTGATCAAGCATGGTGTAGGACAGAGAGCTTGTGTGGGATTTCTATGTGGGGGCTTGGCAATTCTGGGATTAATTTCAGCAGGTTCCTGAAGGTCAAGTGGGCCAAGCTTCAAACAGAAGACCTGTGGTTATGTCTATTCAGTGGCGAGGCCAGATTTAGGAAGCCGAGAAATCAAACATTATGAGGAACAACTAGTTCCAGAAATCAAGGTCAGGCAAGGGCAAGAATGCAAGGAGAAATGTGAGTCAAGATAGTGTCATTGCTGTCAGAATACACATATGGGCCTGATTTGAAGAGGAAAGGGTTTGTTCTAGGGTTTCTTTCAGAGTGAGAGGTTTACTACGTATGGTGGTGCTAAGGCACATAATGATGATGAAGAAGAAGATGACGATGATGCCGTAATGATAAAAGCTGCCATTTGTTAGATCTGTGCTATGTGGCAAGCACTGTTAGTTCAACAAATATTTTTAGTACCTAGTATGTGCCTACATACTGGGGAAAGAACAATAAGCAAAACAGATAAAATTCTTGTTCTCATGAAGCTTATGTTTACGTGGAAGGAGACAAATAATAAATCTGTAGGCAAAAATACAATAATCTAGAGAATTATAAGCCCTTTGGAAAACACAGAAGAAGCAGAGTGAATGAAGACGGTTTGGAAGAGGGTAAATGTTTCATGTACGATGCTTAGGAAAGGTCTGGAAATTTGAACAGAGATATAATACTAGTATGGAGACAAGCCAAGCAAGTTTGGGGAAGACTTTGAACAGAGTGAGATCAGGTGTGAAGGCCCCGTGGTAGGGAATTGCTTGACAAGTAAAAGGAATAGCAGGAGGGCCATTGTGGCTGAGGCGGAATAGTAGGATTCTTTAGAGCTTTTGCTTGTGGCCATCTTACCAGCTTTGCCTTTGAACCTAGTGAAATGAGAAGCCCTTGGAAGCTTCTCTGAGCATCCTGAAACTTAGGCTGTATTATCCTCCAGATACTTGTGTGAGATAGGTAAAATTATTATTGTACCTTTTACATTAATGAAAAAGCTGAGACATGGAGAGAGTTTAAGTGATTTGCCCAAAACCAGCTCTAAAGCTTTGGAATGAGGATTTTTAACGTGGGGAGTGATTTTAGGTTGCACAGAAAGGATGGCAAAGGGACACAAGGACATTTTGCGGGGTGATGGATGTGTTCATTATCTTGTCTGGCTGGTTTCATGCATGCATATGTATGTAAAACAGTGTGCTTTAAATATGTGTCATTTATTGTATGTCACTGATACCTGAGTAAACTCATAAAATACGTTTCAAAAATGAGGGAGAGGCCTTGATGGAGTTTAAAGCAGAGAAATGGCATTCATATTTTGGGAAGGATGGATTAGAGATCAATTAGAAAGCCATTACAAAGATCCAGGAATAAACCAGTAAGGAACTGAACCAAGGTAGTGTAGAGAGGAACAAGAGAGGACTTTGACTGTAAAGATGACAAGACTTGAAAGGTGATGAGAATGAGGCATGAGAGAAAGAAGGAATTGAGCATAGTTACCAAGTCGGCTGTGTTCAGAGGTGAACCACGGTACCATTAACCAAAACGTAAAATCCCAGAAAGGCATCAGGTCCTGGGAAAGGTGATGACAGGTGTAGACAGACTGTGATCTGGTTGTTGTGGGATATCCAGGACAGGAGGTAGTTTAACTTAGGGAGACTTCTGGTTGAGAACTAGAGATGTGGAGTTGGTGTGTAGGCGGCCTATTAGAGCTATAGGCATGAATGCCATGCCAGAGATAAGAAGGGGTGGAGGAGAAAGCTCGAAAGCTCTGGGGAGCACCAGTATTTAAAATGAGACATAGAGAAAAACTTGGTCTGCATTGTGCCCTGTATCTCATTTCAAACTCACAGGAAACACTGATTGTCAGTCACAACACTCTTTCCTTCAGGCGTCTGTCAACACAGTGTTGGTAGAAACCACTACGTTTGATCAGTGTCAACGAGCAAGATGAATCCTCTTTTCCACCCCTGATTTTAGTAGTGAACATGGAACCATTAAGGAGATGAAGGAGTGTTTGAAAAAGTTAGTAGAGGCCCAGGAGATAATCATGTCTTGAAGGCCAAGAAAATTTCAAGAAAAAGACAGAGTAAGATACAGACCTCACTCTTATAAGAACTGAAACATATCCATTGTTTTTGGCCATTAGAAGGTTAATAATGACTTTGTGGAGTGTGGTTTCTATGGCATGAGAGGGTAAAGGTCAAATTATAGTGGATCCAGGGATGAAAGTGAGGACTGTGCTCCCCGGAAGCACAACTTGGAAGTGAAGAAGTAGGAATTTTATTGAAAAAGTCTGTGTTCTTTTTATAAATTTCTTTACAAATCAAAGAGTTATTTAGTTTTTATAGATTGTCACATTTATTTCTTAAATATAGGAATATCCTTGGAGTCTCTTTGCTAGGAGACTTTTGGGCACAAAGCAGATGCCCTTATTTCTGGGTAGTTTCCTGACCTGAAGTGTGGGACAAGACTACCTGAGCCTTAGAGCCATCTGGGATGGTTTCCCAGCTGCTGGTCTACCAGCCTTTGCCATCTCAGAGTAAGAGAAGTTGCACATGGTGCAAAGAAAAGTGAGAAAACTGAGTTTTCTATAAAGAGCACTGCTTTATCCTGAGATTATCTTTTTTTCTTATATTTGGGTTGAAATGTCTTTGTATTAGTAGGCAGTATTTTTTTCTTTTAAATACCCCACCTAGCAAAATAAAAATTTGGCACCTCTCTGAGTTACTCTGTTTTTTCTCAATGATTCTAATTCCTTAATTCCTTATGAACAGCCATCTTTTTTGTGTGTTTTAAGTTTTTATCTTCTCTAGGCCAGAATTAATTTGGAGAACGAGAACTAACTAGAACAATGATATTGTTAGTCCTCAGGAGCTACAGGCAGATGGCCTATCACCCAAGAACTCCAAAATATAGTACATGAGATTATCCTGATAAGGAGATTATTCTTCCTAAAATTAGAGCTCAAAATCAATCATAGTAGATAAGTGTGTAAAGTCACCTTGAAGATATAGAATAGCTCCCCTGCCAGCCAGATTTAACTTTCATGTGATTAAAAATATTACTATGTCTAAGGAAAGAATGTGTTAATGAACAAAGAGGTTGATTGGCTATGAGAACATGGGAAACCATGGGGGGAAAAGCTGGTGATATCTGTCTGAGCACTGGTTAGACAAGAGGAAATGATGGCAGATGGAGGCCTGAGGATAGTTAGGTTTCACTGGCAGAGACCAGATGGACCCACTGGATTGGAGAGGCCCGGCTATGTGAGCCTGATGTCACCCCTTACCCTCAATGCATCCAGCTTTCCTTCATCTTTTCCCATGCCTACTCTTTGCATTTGACTTCCCAAGTAGGAGGAGAATGCAGTAGTGCTGGGGCTAAACTATTGCTTCTCATACAGACTGAAAGTTTAAGTCCCTGTGTGGATCATTTCTCGATAGAATTTTTTAAACCAGCATTCTGGATTTATCCCTCAGTCTCAGCTCTGGTAGAAAAATTCTTTAATGTGCTGACAAAGTCTGGTTTCTGAGCTTGTGGTGCTGAGGTCTGATTGAGCCTCTTGTGCCTTCAGCCAGGAGGACCCTGGCTTTCCTTAGATGGGAGCAGACTTTGACGTTACCACTGTGTTGGACCACATTGTGACTTGCTGTAATTTTTCTTTTAAAGTTTCCTCCAAAATTACCATTTTAAAAGAAACACCAAATTAAAAACATATTTATTGACCAGACATTCTGCAGAAAACCATGTTCAAGAATAACTTTTGCCATTTTTCACTAGACAATTTTTAGAATTTTGTCATTTCAACATTTTTTTCTTTGTTTCTCACTCCAAACTTCTGTAAATTTTTTATTCACTAAATTTTGTTCACACAATTATAGGTAGTCTTGTGATGATTGTCTCCAAGCTGGTTCCACTTTCTTTGTTTTTAATTCTGCTCCGATGGATTATTTGTCTTGAAGATCTTGAAAGAAGTTGATAAAGAAGAGCTTAATCATAGCAAAATTTCTTAGATTCTTAATTCGGACCACAAGCAAAATGGTCTGTTTTAAGCTTCTGCTATGAAAAATTACATGGAGTTTTTCTCATGGTTTCAAATTATTTTATTCCTAAGGCTCAAGGCTCTTGATGTGATGGTGAACATCTGGGAGAAAAACTTAAGAAAAAATGTAGTCATTTGAATGTTTGATGAACAGTTTGAGAAGTTCACAAATTTGTAAACATTCTGATTTTAGTCATTCGGGTTCTTCCCCTACTTCTTTCATCTGCTCTTGTCATTATGTAAATAGAGCCCTACAGAGGGGATGGAGAAAAATTAGTTTTTGTCCAAATATTCCTCTCTTTTGCATTTGATCAGAATGTTCTCTGTTCTTGACGATGGGTGATAAAATTATGGGCAAGGAGAAGCTTTGCAGAAGGGCAAAAGGAGTAAGCTGGGGCTCTGTGAGTATTGCCTAATTGAGTGGCTTTGCTCAAAAATCTTTTTCTTTTTGATGATAACTTTCTTGTGTTGTTGTCATATTACATATTTAGAAATGAAAATAAGATGAAATATTTACTTATTGAACATCTGCTTTTCTCCTAGATGGGGTCACAGTCTCCAAGTTCCCTGTTTATTTAGGAAAGATTGGCTGGTAATTCCTGTCCCCTTTCCTCCCTTTTGTATTACTTTAGATATCTGATTATTCATACCATCTCTGTTAAGGAAAAAAATACTTATTTCCATGGAAATAACATTAGGAAGTGGCTTTGGGAGCTAAAAATCTTCTTTTCATGAGAAAACATTTTTTTTTCTTTTGCAGATCTTGAAAACAACGGCATCCTTAACATACAATATACACAAATAGATGTTTTGATAAAGAAAATAGATCCATATAAGAACTATTTTATCTGAGTTTACATTAGACCTGCAATAACATAGTAGTGAGTTGATACTAGGAAGCCATAAAGTCATAAAAGTTTTACCAGTATGCTTAAGAGAAGATTCTCTTGAGGAAATTAAAACAGAAGAAGTGATATATCATAATCTTTCACAAATCTGTATAATCAATAGCAGAGATCAATAGTAATATAGCTAAAAATCTTTGAACCCTAAAGATATTTTTTGAAGGGACAACGTTTTAGGAATTCTTAGCTCATTCTTGGCTGACGTCTCCATGAAACCAGGGTTGTTTGTGATTTTGCTTCATAGGAGAATCCTTGATCACTCCGTGGAAGAACTTGTAGTTCCAGAAGAAGAAAGCTCATGATCATAGAATGTGTGATTTATTAAATTAGAATCTGCATTTTGCTCAAATTTTGAAATTCTCAGATCTTTTTAACAACAAACATCATGATCCAGTACCATTATATTTTGGTTAATAATTTCGGTCTAACAGAGTTGTTTTTGGTAACTACGGAATTATCTTACCTGATTTTCTCAGAATAGTGACCATGAGAAAAATATTTTGGAATTGGACTTGGATTGGAAGGGAAAAGTGGAGGACAGGAGAAATCGATCAGAAGCATTTGCAGCAATCTATGTGGACATGGCTCAGATTGGCCTGTGGGGCAGAGGGGATGCAGTGAATGGAGAGCTTCAAGACATATGGGAGAGAGAGAATTGACTGCATTCATTCATCATTGATTGTGGAGGTTGAGAGTGATGAAGTCTGAAAGGAAGATCCCTAGCAACTGAAGTGAGAAAAGGACCATTGCCTGAGAGGGGAGAAGGACCAAAAGTTCAGTTTGGTGCATGGTAGTTATAAAGGATCTTCAGGGTGAGATATAGAGCAGGCAGTGGGAGATAGGAGTTGGGGTTTAAAAGAGTCTCTTGGTCCCCAGACAAGGCATGTTAAAATAGCTGACATTTGATGAGCTTTGAGTATTCTATTTAATAACTAATTTTAGATACTGTACTATATGACAGCTATAAAAATAGGAGCTGATGTATCTGAAAATATCCAAAAAGAAAACGAAAGAAATCACGTTGGGTCTAATAAAAATCAGTCAGTAGATTTAAAGAGAAGAAGAGAGTTAGGCTAGGAGAGAAATGTAAAACTCCCAATTTGGTCTCTTTCGGTTTCATTTACATGGAAATCTATGCTTGAAAGGGAAATACAGACGACTATTAGAAGTCAGAAAACAAAGGTACAGGAAAAGAATGGAAAGTCACCTGGGTTTCCCACCACTTGTAGTTTTCTAAGGTTAATTAAATCTATTTGCATTTTATAATGAGAAAAATATCACAACCTTTTTTTTTTTTAAAGAAAACAAGCTACCTTTTTTTAAAGTGATTTGAAATAGAAATGCCTCTGCTAGCTTCTCTTTTTCATGCTGAGAGGACATTTCCCAGCAAGCCCCAAGGCTTTATCGTCTTGTGATGTCTCCAGGTCACCTCAGGGACATAGTGGTATAATAAGGAAAACCAAAGGGAGAATGGTAGAGGCATAAAAATGTAATGAATTGGGGGAAGGTTGATTGGACCAGGCAAAATCTGGTTATTTTGACCCTTTGTCAAGGCGGTCCCAGGTGTATCTCTGCCCAGAAGAATATATTTCAAATGTCTTCAGCTGTAGACTTCTGAAGCTACAGATGATTCCACTGATTTATCACTTCTCCCGTAGGTTGACAACATTTTGATACTCAAAATGCAGGGAGGAAAGAAGCATAAGAAGTAGGTATGAAAGAGAAATCACAGGCTTTGGGAGGGAGTGGTATTAAAGAGCAGAAGGGGGATAATACCCACAGAATACCTGGGATGAGTTCCTCAGGGAATCCTTTTCAAACCTTCTCGCCCTCCCCACCTCATCCCCTTCTCACCTCTGTATAAAGAGCTTTGCCCTTTTCTCCTCTGCTTTTCCTCCTCCATCACTGGCTGCTTCTTTTTAGTCTTTTTGCTAGAAACGATCTTACCTTCTCAACTTCTAATTGTTGGAGAGCCCCTGGGTGCAGTATGAGTATAGCATTTCTTTTCTTCTTTATTCCCAGCTACTCCCTACTTGGCTTTCATCTGTTCCTGTAACTTTATATACCATTTATATGCTGCAGATGTTCAAATGTACATCTCTAGTGCTTGCCTCCCCTGCACTCCACACCTCCTACTTGACATCTCTGCTTAGAAGTCTTGTAGGCATCTTAAACTCAATTTGTTCAAAACCACATCTGCCTAATTCCAATCACATCCCAAACACTTGGTCCTCTGTCAATGTCCCCATCTCAGTAAATGTACCACCATTTGTCCTGGGACCTTGAGTCATCCTTGGCTTTTCTTTTTTACCAACAATTCATCATTAGTTCATTAATAGTAATCCATTAGCAAGTGGCTCTGCTTTCAAGATATACCTCGAATCTTACCACTTCTTACCACCAGCACAGTTACCACTCCAATCCAAGCCATCACTTTCTGGACTGTTGTAGTAGCTTGTTAAATGATTTCTCTAGTTATACCCCTCCCCTTTCAAACTAATTCAGATATGTTCTCCACATACCAGCGAATGTGACCCTTGAAAACATAAAGATGTTCATATCATTTCCTGGCTCAAAAACTTATGTTGGTTTCTTTTTGCCCTTAGAAAATCCAAGGTCCTCACCATGGCCTATAAATGCCTCTGGCCCCAGATGCCTCTCCAGCCTTATCTCCTGTCACCTCCTCCCTCGCTTGCTGAGGTCCAACCTCACCCACTTTCTGGCTGTTACCTGAACAAGCTAAAAATCTAAGGGACTTTGCATTTCAAGTTACCTTTGTCTGGAATGTTCTTCTACCAAATATTCAATTGACTGTCTCTCTCTCTCTCTCTCTTACCTAATGTAGGGGTCTGCTCAGAGGATGTCATGATACCTTATCAAAAGGAAATCATGGGCCAGGTGCAGTGGCTCACCCCTATAATCCCAGCACTTTGGGAGGCCGAGGTGGGCGGATCACAAGGTCAGGAGATCGAGACTATCCTGGCCAACATGGTGAAACCCCGTCTCTACTAAAACACAAAAAATTAGCTGGATATGGTGATATGTGCCTGTAATCCCAGCTACTCAGGAGGCTGAGGCAGGGGAATCACTTGAGCCCAGGAGGCGGAGTTTGCAGTGAGCCAAGATTGCACCATTGTACTCCAGCCTGGGTGACAGAGAAAGACTCTGTCTCAAAAAAAAAAAAAAAAAAAAAAAAAAAAGGGATATCATGATACCTTATCAAAATCAGCATCCCTTGCCCTACTCTTGATCTTGTTCTTCATCACTGCTGTCATGATTTCACTGTATACTAAGAGTGTATTTGTTTGTTGTTTGACTCGTCTCCCAGGCAGTAAGCTATCTCAAGCGGGGGCATTGTTGGGCTTTTTTGTTTTATGCCCACCATCCAGAAGACTTCCTGCACATGAGGCGTAACTATTAGCTCCATAAATACTAGCTGACTGAATAGCAACGTCAGTAACCAAGGGAATTGGTTTTTGATTTGCGTGGCTTTTTATTTTGACAGCCTTGGAAACAACAGTGAGTCTGCCCAGTTCTCACAAGTGTCTAGCATGGCGCCTGGAGCAGAGTTTGCACATATAAATGTGTTGGGTAAATTAGTGAATGACCAAATGAATGAATAAAGTCACTTTAGTGCTTTAATCACCAGTACATCTTCAGCTACCCTTTAGACCCATTCATTACACAGAGTTACTATGGCAAAGGAACCTAACCTTGTCTAAGGGTTCCATGAAGGCCTCCCTGAGGAGGGTACTTCATCATCATCATCATACCTAACAGGTTCTGAGCACTTACTATGAGCCATCTACTGCTTTATGAACTCTAACTGATTTAATCCTCACAACAAATCTATGAGGTTGATAATATAATTAGTCCCATTTTACAGATGGGGAAAATAAGGCACAGAGAAGTAGATTCATTTATCTCAGGATAGGTAACTAATAAATGGTAGTCTGTTTCCAGAGCCTGTGCACTTCACCACTCACTATGCTATACTTTTTTTTTTTTTTAACGTAGTCAACTATTTAATTAAGTTCTTAAGACATTTAGAACACCAATTTGTGAGGATAAATTCCATTCGTCAGGGCAACCACAGATCACAGGTAGCCCTGGAGCTGAGGAATAGCTTTGATTTTTGGTAAAATTTGTGAGTCCACAGCTTTCTGCTCAATCTTGCACTGCTCCGTAATCTCATATTTCTCTTTTTCTGTGTCGAAGATCTCACCTTCCTGGTGTCTGGGCTTCCGCAGCTTCTTCTTCTTGAAGTAAGCATCAGTAAGATGTTTTGGGATTTTTACATTGCTGATATCGATTTTGGTTGAGGTGGCAATGACAAATTTCTGGTGTGTTCTTCGTAGAGGAACTCGATTGAGGACCAGAGGTCCAGTCACAAGTAACAAGCCACTAGCCAGCTGCTTCAGGAAAACCACCCTCTTGCCCCTGTGGCGTCCAGTGAGGATGATCAGAATGGTCCCGGGGGTAATGCTGGCTCGCAGTTTTCTCACGTGCTGACTGAAGGGTTTTTTGCTGTGGCTCAACAGCTTTCGAGGCACATCTTCAGTAGGATAATATCTAGGCATTTTGCGAAGTTTAACCACCCGGGTACTGCCGTTCTTGTCACCACCAACTGGTTTTGTAACAGTTGCAAGAACCTTCTCCTTCTTTTTCTTTTCAACCTTGGATTTAGCGGCTGAGTACTTCCTCTTGTACATGGCCTTTCTGGAATACATAGCAGATCGGGAATACCTGCCAATTCCTCTGACAATGACAGGGTTGCGGCTGCAATGGGGCTTCCCCTTCTTGGGCTTTTTAGCCTTGAGGTTACCCTTTTTCACCTTGCCACCAGCATCAGCCTTCTTGGCTTCAGGTTTCTTCTCTTTAGTATCTGGCTTCTCAACTTTTTCACCCGCCATCTTGCAAGATGGGAAAGAGCTCACTATGCTATACTTCTAAGCTGAGGACTGAGGATGGAGTATTAGCTGGCTTGATGGAGGATTGGAATTAGGCAGAAGTTAGCATTCTGGGCAAATGGAACCATGTGTGCCAAGGGCCAGATCATTGCCAGTTCCATGAAAGACATGACAGGTTTAGTGTAACCAGGGCACAGACTGGGCATATAAGAGGGTAAGAGCTGAACCTGGTTATTAAGCAATGGCCAGATTGTATAGGCCTGGTAGGCTGTGCTGAGTTTGGACTTACCTTAGGCAAAGGGAAACATTAAATGGTTTTAAGCAAAAATGTTAGGTGTACAGATTTACTTTTTTAAGCAGTCACATTGGTGACCCTGTAGAGGATGAGAGGATGGGCTGGAAAGCAAGCAGGTGGAGGGCAGGGAGACCGTTAGGAAGGTCTCACAATAGTCCAAGAAAGGGGTAATGATGACCTGGTCTAGGGTATTGGTAGAGGCAGTGGAGAGATAGTATAGGTTTGAGGTAAAATCAACAGGCCTTGTGACTTGGGGTGAAGAAGTGGGAGGTGTACAGAAATTGAGGATGACTCCCAGATCTCTGGCTTAGGATGGCAGGTAGAAGATGTTATTTATAGGGACCAATTAGTTGATCAATTCTCTTCTAGGATTTTATTCTACAGATAGACTAGTTACTAGTACAGACACACAAGCCTTTATACAGAAAGACATTCATTGTAGGATTGTTTGTAGTAGGATTAGAAACAATGTGGTGTAGGGCCTTGCACAACTCCAGGATCTGCCATTCACACAGAATACAATGTGGAGGCCTCCCTGAATTTGCACAACTGATAAATTAATTCCCGAATTACAGGATGTCCAAACCATGGGATATAATACAGCAGTTAAAAAGTAGGATGTGAGTCTTTATGGACTGGTAATGGTTGCCAAGATAGGTTGTTATGCAAAAAGGTATCCTATGATTTGTTTTATGTAAGTCTATTCATACACACACATATTTACACTTGTAAACACGTAACATAGTTCTGGAAAGATACATAAAATTTTGTAACAGGGCTGCCTCTAGGGTAGAGGATTAGGAGACGATAGTAAAAAAGCTTTTTTGTCTTGTCTCATTTTTAAATTTGTATGCATTACCTGTTAAAATAATAATATGTTAAAAATACATCATGGAGACTTGATAATGCAGTGACAATTAAGTGATTAACCAAATAGGAATAAAGGAAGCGTGATACTAATTTATAATTACCTTTCCATTGAAACACTTCTGAAACAATAAAAATTTAAGCCATAATAATAAATCCCAGGGCAAAATTAAATATGAAGGTAATAAATATGGGGCTTTGAAATAGTGTATGGGGGATATTACCAAAAATCCCACCTGGCAAATTATTATAAGGACTCAAGACTTTTTCGGCCGGGCGCGGTGGCTCACACCTGTAATCCCAGCACTTTGGGAGGCCGAGGCGGGCAGATCACAAGGTCAGGAGATCGAGACCATCCTGGCTAACACGGTGAAACCCGGTCTCTACTAAAAATACAAAAAAATTAGCCAGGCGCGATGGCAGGCGCCTGTGGTCCCAGCCACTCGGGGGGCTGAGGCAGGAGAATGGTGTGAACCCGGGAGGTGGAGCTTGCAGTGAGCCGAGATCGCACCACTGCAGTCCAGCCTGGGCGAAAGAGCGAGACTCTGTCTCAAAAAAAAAAAAAAAAAAAAAAAAAGATTTTTTCAAGTGTGAAAAACCTTAAAGTTGATGAATTTTAGATTGCACTTCTAGTTATAATATTAGTTGCTCATGAAGTATGGGGACCTCAGTGTCTGGCAGGCAAGTATTACAGCTCTAGTGTAACTTAAAGGATCTGCTGTGTTCACCAGGGCATGTGAGAATCGTCTGCAAAATGAATGCACACTATAAGCAAGAAGAATACAGTGAGGCGGGACCAGAATATTAGATCAAGTTTGCCATTCTAGCCTTCTTTAGATTCTTATCCTGCACGTAATCATGCTGTTTTGAGAGGGGTCAGGCTTCACCAGCCCTCACTTATCTGTGCAGCCATGAAAATGTTTCAGGACCAGGTTACTGTCTTTTTTTATTCAGAACTTCCTTGGATTTTAGGTGAATTTAGAATTGGAATTAGTTTATAGTTGCAGTGGTAAAATTTACTATTGGCATTACGTGGATGGCAGAAAACCTTAAAAAAAAAGGCCTGAGTAACAGAAATGACAAAGTAAAGGTAAATTCCAGCTAGAGAGTACTTATTTCTCCTTACTCCTGTCCCATCTGTAGTAAACCAGTAACTCAAACTATTGAAAGTATAATACGTATATATCTTTGTGATTTGCAAGCACCCAGGTGATTCTGATAGCAATAAAGTTTGGGCAGCGTGGTGCTGAAGAGTGACACTGCCTTCCCAACCAGCCTCAGATGAATCCCGTCGAGTACTTCATTTGTGAATCCCTTCTTCAATATCATTCTGCTTGGGGGCCTATGGAGGAGCAAAACTCTGCTGGAAAACTCTGATGATTCTGCCTAGAAAATGATAGGTTTGTGTTCCAGGGGGACGTGGAGATATATTACTTCTAAATTCTCTGATCTGTTGACCAAATGCGGCAAGGCTAACCGAGAAAATCATCTGGTTTTAAAAGATATTCCTAAAAAAGTTGAGACAGTTGCAACTAATTCTTGGCTGCTGCAAAGATTCCTGCTGTGGAGGGGACTTGAAGCAGAACATGCCCCTCACTGCCCTTTGTGGCTGTAATTCCATCAAGGGATTCTGGCAGCATACACCTCAGACACAGAGAATGTTTGACTTCAGAGACTCCTAGGTAGACTGTGAAACATTTTAGGACACGTTCGACATGAACTCCAGCTTTATACCCTGTTTACATTTCAGAGTCATCTATTAAAGGTGGGTATGAGATAATCAGTGGATACAGAAAATCTAGTTCTCCAAGACATTAAAATATTATGTGCCAAGACCTAGATCCTTCTGCTGACCAAAATATCGATGGCGTGAAAGACCGTGCCCCTTGTATATTTTACACAGAAGTCCATCATACTGAAAAGTTTGTTCCTTTTTTGCAGTGATCACATTGGCCACAAGTCCCCCAACAGGAAGAGTTTTGCTAATGGCAGGCAGCCTTTAATCTTACATCACATAGTCTGATTCTGCCCTTAAGGAGTCACCTGGGCCTTGGAGAGGAGGCCGTCTTCTCCTTTGTTGCCCAGGACTGAGAGACCTGCTAGTGTATCCTGGCAACTGTTGTGCTCACCTCAAGGATGACAAGTCCCTCAGAACTGTGACTTTTCTTATGTTGTCCACATTTCAGAGGCTTCTTTTTCACATGTGCCAGCAAATGACTGCCCACAGCAAGTCTCTTGTTCTTTTGAGGCAGTGCCACTGAGCCTGGAGCTGTGTGTCTGGAGCCTTGCGTATCCAAGGAGAAAGCGCTTGAGTGGCCCTGAGTCAGAAAAAGCCTTTGGCGTTGCCTCTCCCTTTTTTGTAATAGTGCCTCTTTCTCCCTGGCTGCGGTTCCCTTCTCAGCCTCCCCTGTTTGGCATGCCCATTACACCCCTGGCAGGGTGGGCATCTCTCCTCTAAGGGGCCACCTTTGGGTTCAAATCCCAGCCCCATTGTTATTTACTTACAATTTGGGACAAGTTACATAACCTCCCTGGGTGTCATTCTCCTCATCCGTAAAGCTGGTCCAATAACAATAACAACCACAACAATAATATTACTGCCTAGGGTTTGCTTTTAAGAAACCTCCCACATGCTGTCCGACAAAGTGGATGCCCCGTTGCTCACTGCTGTTGTTCTCAGGAGGCTCACAAGCCATCCAGCCCACCCGGCTGGTTTTTGTTTTAATCCTCTTGAGATGCTGTGAGTGGGCAGCACCATTTGGGTGAGTCATCACTCCTCATTCTAGGTGGGACGGCACTCTAAGCACATTCTGAGAAAGCAACCTCCGAGCAGTACTCCTCTTGTCCTGGTAGAAAAGAATAGGTCTCATGATAGCTCCTTCCGCTGGGTGGGTTGTGTAATTTGCAACAAGGATTCTAAAAGGAAGTTTAAATCAATCAGAGGCTGTGTATGTGGAAACAGTGCGATTCATGTGCTGAGATGTTTTTCTACCCAGGAATAGCCATTAGGCACTGGCTTTTTACGTAAGAAGCCTTTGTGAGAAGGTAAAGCATGCTCTTGTTCCAACCCCTTGTTAGAACTTAATCTTTTTCTTCTCCATGCCTCACTTCCCCGCCCCCACATAATATTCCTCTTTTCATTAATTTTTATGGCAATTCAACTTAATATTTCCAAATATGCAAATATTAGAAATAAAAATCAACATAAAAATATTTCTATATGAGTATGTACACACACACATAAAAATATATAGTGTAGGCATTACTGAGTGCTACCTGCTTTCAGTTGTAAACGGACAGACAGACATATGTTTATGCCCTGCAAGAAGCTCCATAGCATCTTCTAAAATGTTAATATCACTTACAATGTGCTTACTTACTCTTAGATTTTATTTCTTTTTTCATTTTCCTGAGAACTGTTCCTTGTAGCCAAAATGCCAATTACTCACTTTAAATAGAGTTCTAATTTCTTGTAAGTCACAAAGAAAAAAAATATGCAATTTTTCCTCTTCCTTTTCCTTCTTGAGAGCCAAAAAAGGCGTGTCTGTGCCATTTCTTCTCACGACTAAATAATGGGCCCTCCCACATCCCACCAGCTCTGAACCAGTACACTGAAGAAAGCCACTCTTTTGACATTTTCCTGTGTACAGGGCAACATTTCTTTATGCAGTTTTATTCACATTAACCAGTACTATTGGCCACCTTCTATGTGCTGGTCACTTCGTGGCCCAAAGTAAGACAGAGTCTCTGTCTTCTGTAATCCAATCAGAAGGGTCAGAAAAGCAAGTTTACCATATAGTACAAGTAGAATAGGATGAGTTCCATAAGAAAAGATAAAAGCCCATCTGGAAGGAGAGAGTAAGGTTACTGGTGAGTAAAAGGATGTTGATATCAAGTTCTGTAAGAGTCAGGTAGGAATGGAGTAAAAAACACGGGTGGAAAAATTTTCTTAGGCCAGAAGGTAGAGCTGGTTGTTATTTGTTTTTCACAGAAGGAGAGGCAAAGGAATAGGCTAGCTATCGTACTGTGAAATGTTTAAATAGGAGCAGAGAGAGGTAAAGGAGGTGCCTACCTTGATCTTGGGGAATTCGGACAGAAGGTATTTTGCACAGAAGGTGGGAGTGGAGATGAAATTTGGGACTTGAGGAGAGAACCTTTCTTGGTCAGTGATGACATGTTTGCTCTTGGTTTATCTTTCAGTCTTTCAACACACCCTGCATGTGTTCAGCAGTCTACATTATTGTTTACTTTTAAAGATCGTTGAGAGAATAGTGATTTCATTTTTCATTACCTCCCTGCTGAGTTTTCCTTCACTGGCATCTCTGGCTTTATGTTTGAGTTAACCTATTCTGGATCCGGCTGTCTTCTGGTCACTGGTATAAAGTAGAAGTGAGTGGCAGGTTGTTACAGCAATAGAATTTGATAGCAGTTGGAGATACCTGTGGGAATTGGTCATGAGCTCGAATAGTTAGCAAGCTCTTTCTTAGGAAATTTTTACAGTCATTTAAAGGCCTTTCTTGCAGTTTTTATTCTGACAATGAGTCTTTTCATGAACGTTCAGATTGTCTGAAGATGTCGCAAAATTACAATAAGACAGTTGTAAGAATGTTCCGTGATTCCCAGAGAACTATAACATTGAATTTCCTATTAAAGTCGTGAATAAGAAAGATTTTGCAGAGACCAGATTGTGAATGCAATCTCTTACACAAAAGCATTGGGTGATTCCCTTTTGTCTGTGACCTCCTTCCTAGGTCATTCAGAGCTTCAAACTCTTGCTCTCAGCCATCCACCTTCATGCCTTGTTTCTTTCCTTCCTACTCCTTACATTCTGGCCCTAGTGGGTGACTTTTTGTAACCAGCACAAGGCATTCACCGTCACAGCCCTGGGGCTTCGCTCTGCTTTCCCCTCTTGACAGCACACTTTGAACCTGATTGTTTATCTGGTAAAGTTCTTCTCAGGCTGAACTCCTCCTCTGTGAAGACTTCCCTACTTCTCTCTTACAAGCAGAATTCACTCCCTTTCTGAGACAATACCACTAATATAATAGGTTTGGGCTTCTATCAAGGTTGTCTGGTTAGTCATCAGGGAGCACAGAGTATTTCTGAGTTATACATGCTTTTCCCTGTTGCTTTGCACACCCTTTGTTCATTTGCATGCTACAGGGCACTGCTGTGTGTGCTCATACTTGCTTATTCTTTTAGGCATATGCCATAGTATTGCCCTAAGTGAAGCTGGGACTTTAATAGTGATTCTACAAGACTCCATTTAATACCCAATTGGTGGTCTGGATGAGGCTAAAAGGAACAACGTTTCTGGACTTTAAGAGACTTTCAAAATAGGAGGGGAGAGGGCAGTGGGTCTCATAACTTTCCACCCTGCTCCACCATCAGACTGACACATTGTTTTGGCCAGCATTTCTCAATCTGGGTTTGCCAGGAACCTAGATTTTCACAATACAAATGTCTAGGCTTCAGAGCTTCTAATTTTGTAGGTCTGGGGATGATAATTAAGGTATTTCCCAAGCTTGGCTGGTGACTTATACAGTGGACTGAGAAGAGTTGATCTCACTGTGGCTTTAGCCCTGGCTGCACATTTGAATCACCGAGGGAGGTTTTCCAAATATTGAAGCCTAGTTTCTACCCGTACCATTTAGATCAGATTCTCAAAAACCAGACCACTGGTCTTAGGCTTCTCTCTGCTTTTCACCAAAAAGCAAGATGTAGAAAAGAGCAGTAAACAGAGAGGGGTGATTATATTATGGGAAACCACAGAGAAGATTCAGTGTAGTCCTTTTTATGGCGGTTATTTTTGTTTCTGTTTTCTGATTAGGAAGGAGGGATGGAGGATAACAATATGAATGCCTAGAAGCTAAGGACAAAGCCATTTCAGGTGGAAGGATTCATACTTACGAAGGCATAGAAATGAGCGATTACTTTTCCTGGTGGAAAGACCACATATGTGGATTCATGAGGGACACCCTTGCATGAAGGACGACAGGGAGGTGGTGAGTAGGGAAACCCAACATCTAGGTTGAAGATAATGGATTTCATGTTGGAGAGAATAGGTAGTTACTTTGTTTCTAAGCAAGGAGTAATTTTAGAGATAATATTGAGTTTCAGTAAGATGTCTTATTGCTATGGTTAGGGTGAACTGAAATAAATGGTAACACAGCAGGGTTTTGTTCAGGGCCAACTTGTGTGATAGGTGTGACAAGGTGGCTGCTTTCTGTTCTGCATGTCCAATTTGATAAACCAAGATCTACCATGGGATTTGGGCAATCCATAGCTTCCTGCCCTCTCTCTACTCCTGCTTCTCTTGCCCTTCTCCACTTCCATATCTCTTTCTCTGCTAAATATGCCATTGTCCTCTATTTAGGGTAAACATCTAAAAATAGGTATAAAGAAATAGAAGAAAAATAAAAAAGTAGCAATGATGGGCACTCACATTATAAAAGATGTAAATTGTTTTAGGGAAGACAGAATTGTTTAAAGTATGTATTTAAAAGCAGATATGTGTTAGATGTTTTTAAACATTTTTTTTAACCTTGAAAGGAAAAGAAAATAATGTTAAAATTTTAGATCTATAAAGGATATGAATTTATGCCCAATATTGTTTTAATTCAATTAGGATAATTATTTTAAAACTGGAAAAAGGAATCAATATTGATAATAGCAAATAATCCAAAATCAGAAAGAATCTATTAAAAAAACTACTTTCTTTGAAGAGTGAAGTTTTCTACATTCAAATAAATTATACCACAGATAGTAAGAGATCCTATAAATTTGGTCATAGGACTATGGGTCAATAATGTCTGAGAAATAGTAGAAATGGGAGAGTTTCTGAAAAATTGGTGGTAAGAAAATATCCCCATTCAAAATTGGGCAAGTGGCCAGGCACAGTGGCTCATGCCTTATAATCTCAGTGCTTTGGGAGGCTGAGGTGGGAGGATAAGTTGAGGCCAGGAGTTTGAGACCAACCTGGGCAACATAGTGAGATCCCATATCTACAAATAAATAGATAAGTCAGAGATGGTGATGTATGCCTGTAGTCCTAGCTACTTGAGGCACCGAGGTGGGAGCATTGCTTGAGCCTAGGAATTTGAGGCTGCAGTGAGCTATGATTGCACCACTGCACTCCAGCTTGAGTGACAAAAAGAGACCCTGTCTCTAAAATAAAAATTAAAAAAAATTGGGTAGGTTAACTTACAGCTTAATAAGTTAATGGCAACCTCTACAAAATTATCCTAACAGTAATTAAACAGATGTTTTATGTAGAATTAGAAAAGAAAATAGTGGTCATAAAGAGCTAGCATGAGTTCCTTAAAAATAAATGTGTATTATGTGTCTCATTTCATTTATTGGATGGGGTTATTATAGTGATAGCTTTGGAAAATTCCATAGACAACTTGTGTCTAAATTTCAGCAATGTATCTGATAATATTTTGTGATTTCCCTGTGGTTAAGGTAGAAACATATAGATAGGCTAAAATTAGGCCAAATCACAAATGTTACATCCCACCCTACTCCACCCTATGTGAATATTATAAATTAATTCCAAGCTGGAGCCAGGTATCTATTTGAGCAGGGGTCCTGCAGTTGGTTCTGTGCTGGTTGCTATGTTTATCAATGACAGGTGAATCATACATGAATGCTTATCAACTTATCAACTTGCTCTTATTCTCCTCTGGGAAAGACAGCTGAGACACATGGTGATAGAAATCAGATTTAGATATCCATAGACTGGAACGATGGTCCCATATCAACTAATATAAAGATTATAAGTTTAGAAACTGTGGCAATTAGCCTTTCACCACTTGTGCTCTAGGGTGTTTTGTCTAGATCTTTGTTACTTAGAAATTCCAAGCTGAAGCTGGCTGACCATTTTTCAGGATTCTTCGCAGAACAAGTTGCTAAGTGGCGAGGAAGCTTGAATTTGATTATTTGCTAACCCTGAAAGTCTATTATTCTTTGGAATTACTTGGAGAAACTGTTTTATGAAACATATCATCATCTCAATTGTCTATCATACAGCTAACTCACCTATCTCATCCATCAAACTTAGTTTCAAATAACTTGTTGCTGTTGGAATAAAATGAAATCTATCCTCAAAATATGACGACTATTAACATTCAGAATCTTCCAAAGAGTGCCTGCAGGTTCAGGAGGCATTTCCAAAAGAGGAATCTTCAATGCTTTAAACAAGATACTGGAATCTCAGTTAAATACCATTTGCTATTGGGAGAGATGTAGTGTGTATTTTCTAGGGTGACAGCTTTGGACAGCAGCAATTTGACTGTGTAAAGGCTTACATATCTTTCTATTCCTAATTTTATAATGCTTAAAATATTTTTATTATTGCACATTCTTGAGATCATTACTAGAATTTGTTGTTAATATGGCACACTTTCAATTTTGATTAGAACACAAAACATGAAATGTTCTAAATGTATAATTAGAATAAATCTGATGCTTGGTTAAAATATTTTTATTGAGAAGAGAATATATAGTAGGATACAACAAAATATTTGGAAATTATAAAGGGTAATAACCCAACAAATATCTGAGTATTCCCTACCCATTTTAATAACAAAGGGTACCATCGTAATAACCTCTGAAGTCTGTTGCTTATTTTCCTTAATCTATTCCTGAGCATCCCCAATAAGCTTAAATTTTTCACTTATTGTTCCCTTGCTTTTTATTAACATTTAACCAAATATTTGTATCTTTACTAATGATAGCAGCATAAAACTTTCATATAGTGATTTCTATGTGCCAAGCACTTAAATGCCATACATTCATTTAACTCAAAAGCAATCCTCAGAAGCAGGTATCCCCAGCCAGGCATGGTGGCTCACGCCTGTAATCCCCAGCACTTTGGGAGGCAGAGGTGGGCGGATCACGAGATCAAGAGATTGAGACCATCCTGGCCAACGTGGTGAAACCCCGTCTCTACTAAAAATACAAAAACTAGCTGGGTGTGTTGGTGGGCGCCTGTAATCCCAGCTACTCGGGAGGCTGAGGCAGGAGAATCGCTTAAACCCAGGAGGCGTAGGTTGCAGTGAGCCGAGATTGCACCACTGCACTCCAGCCAGGTGACAGAGCGAGACTCCGTCTTAAAAAAAAAAAAAAAAAAAAAAAAAAAAGTTGGTATCCCCATTTTACGGATGAGGAAATCAAGATATATAGAGATTAACCCGAATTCCAGTTCAGGCAGTCTGACTGCAAATTCTGTGCTCTTCCCCTCTGTTCCATGCCCCCTGTCAAGAATACATAGTATAGCTCTATTTGCATTTAAAATGTTATGTAAATGAAATACTACTGTGTGCAATCTGCAATTAACACTTTTAGTCACCACTGTGTTCTTGAGTTTCATATGTTTTGTTCTATGCAACTGTAGTTCATTTATTTTCATTTGTAAAGAGTATTATTTCATTGTATGACTATATTGCAATGTATTTATCTGTTCTGCTTTCATCTGACATTTGAGTTGCCTTTATATTTTTCTGTAATAAATAGTGCTGATATGATATTTTAACTATCATCTTGTGTGTATATACCAGAGATTATCTAGGGTGCATATCCTGGAGTATAATTCCTGTGTTTATGTGCACCTTCAATATTCCTATAGAACAGCAAGCTGTTTTCCATAGTGATGAACCATGTTGTCCTCCTTGTGACAGTATGTAAGCTCTATATCTTGCCAAGAGGTAATATTGTCACACTTTAAAATTTTTGTCAGTCTGTTTAGTTTAAAGTGGTAGAGGAATGATGAGGAGGAAAGAAGAAAAGGGGGAGGAGGAGGACGGGGATGAATTTCCAGTTATCTGATGGATCTGAACATGTTTTTCTTTTTTTACTGTTAATATTTGGTTTCTCCTTTTGTAAACTACCTGTTCAAATCTTTGGTTCACTTTTTGGGGGAGGATGTTTATCTTTTTCTTATTAGTATCTATTAGTTGTAGAAAACATCTTTTATTTTGTGGCTAATCTTTTTACCTTCTTCATGGTGTTTTTGATGAACAGAATTATTTAATTCAATTGAATTTATAAATATTTTCCTTCTAGGATTTCTAGATTTTTGTGTGTGTGTGTTCTATTTATTAAATACTTCTGTTCACTTTGATTTTAAAAAGATACTTTCCTGTATTATCTTCTAAAACTTACATAGTTTTGTATTTCACATTTCCATTTTTAATCTACCTGGGATCAAATGTATATATGCTTCGAGGTATAAATACAATTTTATTTAATTTTTCTATAAGGATAAGCAATTATTGTGGGAACATTTGTTGTAAAGTGTATCTTTTCTCATTATTCTGTAATGCCAGTTCTGTCATAAATCAAGTTTCTATGTATTTTTTGGTCTGTTTCTGACTGTCTTTGTTTCATTGGTCAGTTTGTTTATTTCTGTCTTAATACCACACTGTATTAATTGTTAATGGATTATAACAGGTCTTGATATCTGCTAATGCCTTCCCTACTTCCAAATCTTTTTCCTAGGGAGTCTTAACTCCTTTTGTTCTTTGTTCTTCCTTATAAATTTTAGAATTAGCTTGTCAAGTTCCCTCAAAAGCCTGTGGGACTTTTGATTGAAATTGTATGGATCCATAAATCATTCAGGGAGAATTGACATCTTCAAAATATTGAGTCTTCCATGGTATGAACACAGCTTTCCTTTTGTTTGGGTTTTAATGACTTTCTAATATGTCTTTAAATATTGTCTGTACCCAATTCTCTCTTCAATTCTCTCTGTTCTTTTTTTGAATCTCTAATAAACATGTTAGATTTACCTTTTTTCTCTTCTCTATGTCTCTTAATGCTTTAATAATTTATTTAGATCTACATTTTAATTTACTATTTTTTCTGTTTCTGTCTGCTATTATAACCCATTTATTAATTTTAATCATGATTGTCCTTATTAAAATTTATTTTTGTTCTTTTTAAAGTATTTATTCATTTGTTTATGGTCTCTTCTTTAGTCTTAGTTTTAACCCCATCTTTTATTTTTTAGCATTAATCATAATTATTTTATATTCTATTTATGATAATTTCAGTTTTCTGGAGTTTTTGCTGGCTTATACTCATTGATTCTTTTTCATTCTCCTGTGTTTGTGATTTTTGATGAGGATTTCATGTGTCTTGGTACTTTTTTGGAATTCTTTGAGACTTGGGTCTTCAGAGAGGATTTGATTTGCTTCTTGGACATGCAGGGAAATTTATGAAGCCATAAGTACTTTATACTAAGTATTTGGATTGCAGTCTGTTGGATAACCTAGAGAACGAAGGCATGTAAGGGCTAGTGTGTGGTCAGATATGTTGGAAAGATGTTTTTCCTTCCATCACTTAGTGCCAGTATTCAAGACGAACATTTTTCTTGTAGTCTTTAAGATGAGTGGAATCTTTCAGATTTAGTCTTTCATTTTTGCTGACATCACTTTAGACAATATGCCAGAAGTGTTTACATATAAATGTATGTATACTGTTGACTGTATGCTGACTGTATCCTCTCTCCTCTCCCTACACACGAAACTCTGTGACTCCCAGTACCCAGTGGCCCATAAGAGAAAGAGGCCCTGAAATTTAAGCTTCCTTAGTTTCATAATAAATCCATCTCTGCTTAAGAGTAGATGTTCATTATTTTATCATATCAAGTACACTGAAGCTTTAAAAACAAATATTTTTATTATATAAAGTAGTTTATAGTCTCATATTTCCTGTAAAATGTAGTCTTCTCTTTTACAGTTGAGGAAAAGAAGGGTTGGAGCAGCGAAGTGACCTGCCCAGAGTCATAAAGTTAATGCGTTGAATCTGGTTTTCTGTCCAGTCCACTTTCCACTTTACAATGCCAGTAGTTCTCTATTTAGTTATAATAGATGCCTTTTTCAAAACCTTTACTGTGTTTTAGGAAAAAGGTACCTTTAATATGCTTACTGAATTGCATCTTCATGGCTTCTACTCGAGGTCACTTCAAATCCTGTTTCTGTCACCTCCTCTTAGTAGCCTTTCCCTATCAACATCATTCCCATTTTCTACCACTTATTCCCATCATTCCATTCATAGCAGATCTATATCTATTAGCAATAATTCATGCATTTGCTTACTTATGTATTGTCTGGTTTTTCCCCTGAGATCATAAGCTAAGCAAGAAGAGGGACCATGTGTATTTTGTTTACTTCCATACAAACAGCAATTACTTTGAGCCTAGAACATAGTAGAAGCTGAATAAAAATATTGAATGTCTAAAAGTCTGATTCTAAAACCCATTTCTTTTTGCTAAATATATTTATTGAATCGGATGTTTCCTGTTATCTTAGAATTACAACCAAGTTCCAAAGCTGAACTAAGTATCCTACATTCTAAGTTTTGAGAGCTGCCAGTGGTTAAGGCCAGACATCTACTGGGAGGACTGAGATCAGAAAATTATTCCTCCAAAGCTGTCACTTCCACTCCTGTAAATTAATATAAAGCGAGAATGGGAGAGAAGATATTGCTTTTTTGGAGTACAATGTTAATAAAGCAAGTTTAATTGCTTCCTTTACTCTAAATCTGCCACTAAGAGTAGGGCGAGAGGCTCAAAGAGAATATTAATCCAAGTTATGGTTGTCTCAAAGAAGACACTACAGGTATTTTAATCTCCATTAGAACATATGCTTAGCCAGGCTTGGCGACCTGGCTATCTGGCAGAAGAGAAGAATCTGTAAAGAGACATCTTAGTGGGGTACTGCCAGGCAGGAATAGGCCACAAGTTGGGGTTTACTTCAAGTTCTGGTTCGCAGAAAGTTTGGAAGACTGATGCCATATCTGCTGTCAGGCTCAGATAATTGAAACCTTAGGGATAGGGGTCTAGTCTTGTTAGTATCCTCACAATTTGGGGAGATTTGGAGGCAAAAAACAAAACAAAACAAAATAATTCCCTGTGTATTAGAAGAATGGATCATGACGCTACCATCCTGGTATTAACTGGAAGATCTAACAAGATCTTGGTCAGGATGGTTGTATTAGTCTGTTCTCACTTTGCTATAAAAAAATACCTGAGACTGGGTAATTTATAAAGAAAAGAGGCTCAATTGATTCATGGTTCTGCAGGCTGTACAGGAAGTAAAGTGGCTTCTGCTTCTGAGGAGGCCTCAGGAAACTTATAATCATAGCAGAAGGTGAAGGGGAAACAGGCACATCTTATATGACCAGAGCAGGAGGAAGAAAAAGAGGGTGGAGAGGTGCTATGCACTTTTAAACAACCAGTTCTCACAAGAACTCACTGTCATGATGACAGCTCCAAGAGGGATAGTATTAACCCATGAGAAACCACCCCTGTGATCCAGTCACCTCCCACCAGGCCCCACCTCCAACATTGGGAATTACAGTTGAACATGAGATTTGGATATGAACACAGATCCAGACATATCAATGGTCAGTGCTGGGAGAGCTGTGTGGGTCAATGGAGCGCACTAAAGCTACCATCAGTCCAAGACAATAAGCTCAATGTGCCCTGATGGCTTGCCAAGGCCAGCGATGCTACCAACGTTATCCAATCAGTTGAGGACACTGCCTTTTCCTTCTCCTTCCTTCTTCCAAAATGCTAGAGGAATCCGCATAGGTGAATAGAGGTACTTACGATAAGCAGACCACCCCACTCCCTAATTCAAAGCCATTTGTACCACAGGTCTAAGGGAGGAGTGGTGGCATTTAGAATTAGAAATGAAAAATGAAATGAACAAGATCAAAATGAACAAGATTGACCAGCGGAAATCAAATGAGACTGTTAGGGGAGACTGTTAGGAAGGATAGATTTAACATGTCACGACTGGGGAAATAGCTGTTGGAAAATAAAGCTCTTTCTCATTCATAATCAGTGAAGTTGAGAGTCCACATTAAACTATTGAAATAGTTCCCTCTGGAAGGTCAATAACCTAGGACTGGTTCTTAGGAGAGAATTATTTAAAATAAGGGTGTTTCGGCGGGGTGTGGTGGCTCACGCCTGTAATCCCAGCACTATGGGAGGCCGAGGTGGGTGGATCACGAGGTCAGGAGATCGAGACCATTCTGGCTAACATGGTGAAACCCCGTCTCTACTAAAAATACAAAAAAGTAGCCAGGTATGGTGGCATGCGCCTGTAGTCCCAGCTCCTCAGGAGGCTGAGGCAGAAGAATCGCTTGAACCCGGGAGGCGGAGGTTGCAGTGATCCAAAATTGCACCATTGCACTCCAGCCTAGGCTACACAGCGAGACTGTGTCTCAAAAAAAAAAATAAAAATAAAAATAAAAAATAAAAAATAGATAAATAAAATGAAATAAAATGAAATAAAATAAAATGAAATAAAATAAAATAAAATAAAATAAAATAAAATAAGGATGTTTTGGTACTTCAGTATACCACCCAGTCTTTGATTTCCTCTTCAAGGTAAACACTGTGGTATAAGACCTAACATTTTGTTTTAACTGGAACTAAAGGCCAAACTTCATATTTTCCCTTGGTGGTCTGCATATTTCATCTGTGTAGCTATTTTAATGTACCTAGAGAACAAGGAAAAGGAAATACATCAAAAGTTACAGAAAAGAGGAGACCCCAGTGGTTTGTATCTTTGGGTAAAAAGGCCCTGTAAGGGGGCATTGATAAATTGTGGTATAAACAAACCTTGATCCTGGCAATATAGTAGCCAGGATCTTTAAAAAAGATAAATATTTAAATATTTATCTTTAAATTATCCTTTAAATTATCTTTAAAAAAGATAAATATTTCTGAATATTTGCTAATCTGGGTGGTGATTCCACTATTAAAATTAGCATAGACCTGAGTTTTAATAGACTAGCATGCTTGGTGCCTAGTAGGAATGCAATAAAAATTAGCTTAAAAAGATGAGTTTCCAAATGATTGTTTTGTGGGCTCATAAATAAAGATGCTTTTAAGTGTTTTATTGTTTTCCTCCTGACCCTCTCTCAGGGTTATATCTTTACTGCATGTTCCATATTTAATTTCATGATCACATTGAATATCAGAGAAATAAGAAACAAGTTATGTTCATGGATACTGACCTCCATTGTTTAATAATAATAGCTATCATTTCAATAAATATTTATTATTTGTCTATTAATTTACATGCCTTTTTCTTTTTTGTAATTTTTATTAAGGTATATTTAAATGCAAGTTATGAGTTTTGCAAATGTGTACAGTTGTATAATCTATATATTTATTAAGATATCAAACATTTGCATCACTCCAGAGAGTTAACTTGTGTGCCTTCCCAATCAGCCATCTCCCCTCCACTCAGCAACCACTGTTCTGATTTCTACTGCAATAGGTTAGTTTTTCCTGTTCTATAACTTTATGTATAATACATATACAATATGTTCTTTCTGTGTCCCATTTTTTTTCACTCAGAATAACGTTTCTGAGATTCATTCATGTTGTTGGAAGTATCTGTAGTTCATTCTTTTTTATTCCTGAGTAGTATTTCACTTTATAAATATACCATAGTTTCTTTAATCCATTCTCCTATTGCTGGACAGTTGAATTGTTTTCTTTTTCTTTACTAATATGAATAAAGCTGCTATGAATATTTATATATAATTTTTTATATCTAGGAGTGAAATTTCTGGGTCATATTGCATATTTATGTTTAAGTGCATTAAAAACTGTCTAATAGTTGTCAAAGTGATTTACTATTTTATTCTTCCAGCAACAATATATGAGAGTTCTTGTTGTTCCACATTCTTGCCAACATTTAGTGTTCTCTGTCTTTTTATTTTAGTGAAATGAAATCACATTTCATTTTGGATTTACTTTACATTACCCAGATAGCTAAAGTATTGAGCATTTTTTTCTGGGCTTATTGGGCATATTTATCTTTCTTTTGTGAAGCATCCACATAGAATTTCTTTCTTCATTTTTGATTGATAGTCATGCTGGATATAAAATTCTTGGTTGACAGTTACTGTTTTTATTTCCTTTCAGCACATATAACATATCGTCTCACTGCCTTCTTTCTGGTCTCCATATTTTCTGAAGAAACCATCCATTAGTATGAAGGATGCCTTGCATGTGATGATTTATTTTCCTCTAGCTGCTTTCAAGATACTCTCTTTATCTTTTACTTTTGACATTTTGACTATGATGTTTCTAGATGTGAAGGTCTTTGAGTTTATCTTAGAGTTTATTGAGCCTGTTGAATGTATAGATTAATATTTTTCTTCCCCCTCAAGATTGGGAATTTTCTGTCATTTCTTTAAATATTCTTTTTGCCCCCTTTTCTCTTCCTTTTTCTTCTGGAATATCTATTATGAATATGCTGGTATGCTTGACGGTCTGCCACAGGTCTCTGAAGATCTGTTTTTTTCTTCATCCCCTTTTTTTTCCTGTCTCTCTAATTGAACAATTACAATTCACCTATCTTCAAGCTCACTGATTCCTTCAACTATCAGCTTCAATCTGCTGTCCAGCACCTGTAGTGAATTTTTACTTCAGTTTTGATATTTTTAACTTCAGAATTTCTATTTGGCTCCTTTTCAATATTGTCTGTCTCTTTATTGATATTCTCTATTTGATAAGACATTGCTCTCATAGTATCCTTTAGCTCCTTAGACATGGTTTATTTTAATTATTTAAATATTTTTAATATAGGTGCTGTTATTTATTTATTTCCCCAGGCTGGAGTGCAGTGGCACAATCTTGGCTCACTGCAACCTCCGCCTGCTGGGTTCAAGTGATTCTCCTGCCTCAGCCTCCTGAGTAGCTGGAACTGCAGGTATGTGCTGCCACACTCAGCTAATTTTTGTACTTTTAGTAGAGACGGGGTTTCAACATGTTGGCCAGGCTGGTCACAAACTCCTGACCTCAAATGATCTGCCTGCCTTAGCCTCCCAAAGTGCTGGGGTTACAGGTGTGAGCGACTGTGCCTGGCCTGCAATTTTTAAAAAATGTCTGATCTTCTCCAAAAAAATTTTTATTGACTTGCTCATTTCCTGTGTATGCGTGATACTTTCTTGTTTCTTTGCATATCTCATAAAATTTTATTTAAAACAGGACCTTTTAAATAATACAATGTGACAACTCTGGAAATCAGATCTTCTCTCACTTCTCTCCAGTGTTTGTTTATGTTGCTGATTGTAGTATTGTCATTGCTGCTTGTTTGTTGACTAATTCTGTAAAGTCTATTTTCTATGTTGTGTATGACTACTGAAGTCTCTGGTTAGCTTAGTGGCCATCTAATGATCTAATTATTGGACAGATACTTTCTTAAATACCTGAGTACAGTAAGTGTCCCCAATTTTTTCAAGTGGCTCTGTATGAATTGTGGGGCATGTCTTCAACACTCAGGAATGTGTAAGATGGTTTACAACTTTGCATTGGCCATCACTTCCTGTTTGTGTAATGCCTCCCTTTTAGCCAGAAGTGGGACATTAGGGCCTTCTCAGATTTTTCCTGAGCATGTGTACAGTCTTATACATGGTTTGGATTTGTGTCCCCACCCAAATCTCATGTCACATTGGAGGAGGGGCCTGGTGGAAGGTGATTGGATCACGTGGGTGGATTTCCTCTTTGCTGTTCTCGTGATAGTGAGTGAGTTCTCATGAGATCTGATGGTTTAAAAGTGTATGGCACTTCCCCCTTCTCCCTCTCTCTCCTGCTGCTATGTGAAGAAAGTGCTTGTTTTCCCTTCCGCCGTGATCGTAAGTTTCCGGAGACCTTCCAGTCATGCTTCCTGTTAAACCTGCAGAACTGTGAGTCAATTAAACCTCTTTTTTTTCATAAATTACCCACTCTCAGGTAGTTCTTTATAGCAGTGTGAGAACAGTCTTCCACCTGTGCATGGTCTTCTAAATTTTTAGGAATACGTTGAAGCTTTCTGAAACAACATATGTGTACAGCTTAATTCCAGTTTTTCCTTTTAAGATTTTTGCTTAGTTTCTTATTTGCCCCAGTTGTTATCATCATCTTAGGCCACTATGGTGTTAAAAATTCATAACTGATTGTTTTCAACAAATGCCGCTGGTGAAAGTGCTGAGTGGAGTCTGAGCCAGGTTGAAGAAAAACAAGCCATGGAATGGGGGTTTTCAGAGAATGTCAGACATGGCACATTACGACAGTTGTCTGAGCATAGTTTTTTGGGAAGCTCCAAATGTATTTTGCCCTTTCCAGTGGCTGCTAGGCTGCTGGTTTTTACTGGGATCAAGGAGCTGTTGGTTTTCAGTGCTACTATGGAGCTGAGAGATAAGGATGGGGATAGGGCAACTTAAAATGCCACAAAAATCACTGTTCTTATTGAGGTTTAGTTATTTTTCGTGACCAAATGCTTCTCAGATTGTTGCAGGATTTCTTGAAAAATAATCTCAAGAGTTCTGAGGAAAATGATTTTGCCCATTATTGCCGTTGTTTTTACTGCTTTTGTGGAGGAGCAGCTTTCCAGGGGTATGGCTCTGCTATTCCTGCTAGAAGCACAGAAATAGGAAGGAGGTGCTGAGTAAGTAGAAGTATTGCTTGACATGTCTTTTACTTCTTTTGATAAGTAGATGTTAATTTTGATGTAGTTGAATTCATGAATTTCTTCTTTTATGGTTAGAAGTTTCTGCATCCTATCTTGAAAAAAATCATTGCCAACTCCAAGGTCATTCAGTTTTTTAAAATGCTTTCTTTTAGAAGCTTTATAGTTTTAACTTTTAGGTTTCTATCTGTGATCCTTCTTGATGTATTATCTGTATAATGTGAGATAGGGTCAATATTATTTTTTCCCATGTGAATAACCTTTTTTTCCTAGCATCTTGTCTTGAAAAGACCTTCTCTCCATTGGATTGTTTCAATACCTCTGTTGAAGCTGTACATGTGGGGGTTATATTTGAATCTCTGTTCTTTTCAATTGATCAAATGTCAATTCTTTCTTTAATAGCACATGTTCTGGATTTCTATAGCTTTATAATACGTCTAGAAATTGGGTAGTGAAAGTCTTCCCTCCAACTTTTTCTTTTTTATCGAGGTTATTTGGCTATTTTATGTTTTTTTTATTGCTATATACATTTTTTAAATCACCTGGATTTGGATAGAGATTGTGTTGATTTTAAGTATCAGTTTGGGAAGTTTTGATATCTTAATGTTAGTAGTACTGATCTTTCAATACACAAATATGGTATGTTTATTTACATCTTTAATTTTTATCAGTGATGTTTTATAGTTTTCAGTGTAAGGTCTTACAAATATTTTATTGTATCTGTCCTTTAATAATGCATGTTTTTTAGTGCTATTGTTAACAGTATTTTTAAATTTTTATTTTTTAATTTGTGGTTGCATATATACAGAAATACAGTTGACTTTTGTATATAGTGTCTGTACACTATGACTCCAAACTTACTCATTCTGTAGAATGAGTTGATTTTTGCAGATTAGTTGGAATTTCAAGTAATCATGACATTTGCAAATGAAGATAATTTTACTTTTTCCTTCCCAATATGTATGCCTTTATTATTATTATTAACTTTATTTTCCCTCTCTTTTTACACTGGCTAGAACTTCCATTACAATGTTGAATAAAAGTGGTGAGGGCAGACTCCCAGATTTGTTTGAATGTTAGGGAGATGATACTCAGTTCTGTACCATTATGTATGATGTTACTTATAGATTTTTCATATGTATTCTTTATCAGACTGAGGACTTTTTTTTTCCTCATCAATTTTTTTTTTCTGCAAGTAGGCCTGCAGGATACATGTGAAGTATTAGAGTCTAGTTAATGATGAGTTAGTTGCTAGTGAGGTAGGGGAAATTAAAAGAACAAGTATATCTGCAGGCCGAACTGGATAGGATGAACAAAGGCCATATGATAGGAATATAGACAAGCTGGGCTGGATGAAGAAACCTGACTTCTCTTTGTGGCTCTGCCACCAACTTCCTATTAAACCTTAAAGAAGGCACTTTATTTTATTTATTTATTTATTTATTTATTTATTTATTTATTTATTTATTTGAGACGGAGCTTCGCTCTTGTCGCCCAGGCTGGAGTGCAGTGGCGCCATCTCAGCTCACTCCAACTTCTGCCTCCCAGGTTCAAGCAATTCTCCTGCCTCAGCCTCCCAAGTAGCTGGGATTATAGGCTCCCGCCACCATGCCTGGCTAGTTTTTGTATTTTTAGTAGAGAAGAGGTTTCACCATGTTGGCCAGGCTGGTCTCAAACTCCTGAACTCAGGTGATCCACCTGCCTTGGCCTCCCAAAGTGCTGGGATTACAGGCATAAGCCACTGCGCTCTGCCATGGCACTTTATTTTTTACCTAGCACTAAAAGATATAGCTGAGAGCCAGGTTGGTATCAGAAAGAATTTGGTAGAGTTGCAAAAGTGATTTTAAAATTTGAAAAATAAGAAATGTGAGAAGAGATTGATAAGGCTAGACTTCCTTTATCTGCTATGAAAAAGGCTGAGATTTAAATTTTTTGATACTACTTTCAGTTCACTGCACCAAGACAACCATTCATCTGTCTCTGGGTACCTTCACATCCCTTTTCTCCAAAACCACACGCCCTTGGTTTCTTTAGCTATATTGCAGGTCTTGAGATCAGGTAATGCTGTGTTCCCCAGCTCTACTTTTAAGTAATTATTTTGCTAAAGTATCTTCACCTGAATCATCTGGGATGACTTCTGTTTCCTTCCAGGACCTTCACCTCACTGATACAACTGGCACTGATACACCCTGGCAGTGTGTCTCCTCAACACATAGGTGTGCTCTGGGGTCTTTGTAGGCTTAACCATTGTGCCTAGGCCTGACATCGAAGTAGGTAGTTAGGTCTTTGCCTGTCACCACAGACATCCCATTATATCTATGGCACTCTGAATTACAGCTTAGGAAAATAATTTTAACTACTTTGAATGTCATTTGACTCCATTCCTTAGGGTCATGCAGGATTTTTTCATTTTTATGAGTCCCTTCTGAGAACACAGATAGCCTTATGAGGGACAGTTGCCTTCAGTTGACAGCCTTGTGTGGGGGTTGTCTAGTCAGCGATACCATCAGTTTTGCAAGACTGTGGTTGTGACAGTATAGGCGTCCAGGTGAAATTGAAGGGGGAAGGGACCAAGTGTGCTAGCATCGAAATGGGGAGTGGGATGCTAATGATACACTTTTCTTGTTGTCAGTTTTACTGGGAACAGCCCTGTGGAAATTTAAATCCTTTCCCCTAAAATTTCTTTGAAGTCCCAAAAGGCTTATGTTCTTAAGGTTATTTCTGTTCCCAGGCTAATGCTTTTCCTAAATTTGTTCAATTCTGGATTATCTTTTTATCTCAGTAGGCAAAATCTATTCTGTATTCATTGACCTGGATATAAAATTCAGCCCCTTCTCCAATTTCCATATTCATTAGACCTCACTGCCTTTAAGGCAAAAAGTAGACTTCCCTGAAGGTACAAGTCCAGGTGGGAAATATGGAGGAGACAAAGGAGGCATTTCCATGACAGTGTGCAACAACTTCCAATTGAGCATTAGACTGTGTTCTTAACATGCTCTTTATTTACCCCATACCAGGGCATTTGCCTGTATGTTTATGCCCCCTCTCAATCCTAAAATCCTAACCCCCAAGGTGATGGTATCAGGAAGTGGGGCCTTTTGAGAGGTGAATAGGTCATGAGGGTGGAGTCTGCATGAGTGGGATTAGTGTCCCTTTAAAAGAGACCTAAGCAAGCACATTTGCCTCTTCCTCCATGTGAAGATCCAGTGAAATGACACCTTCTATGACCAGGAAGTAGACCCTCACCGGACATTGAATCTGCTGGCACCTTGATCTTGGGTTCTCCAACCTCCAGAACTGTGAGAAATAAATGTCTGTTGTTCATAAGCCTCCCAGTTTATGGTGCTTTGTTAGAGCAGCCCAAACAGACTAAGATAGCATTTCATGGACAGCATTTAGTCCATTGCATGCCCTGGTATTATACCATCTTGTGGATCCTTCCCTTCCTTTCTATTGTGTGGCCCTTCTCTCTCCCTTCCTTTCAGAGCGAATACAGAGTGAGAGAGCCTTTGGAGCCAGACATCTGGGCTCCAGTCTTGGTTTTATCACTGATTCACTGTATGGCTTACCTAAATTACTTAAACTTTCTAATATCAATCGTCCCATTCATAAAATGGGCATAGCAAAACGATCCATTTCATAAACTTGCTATGCATATTTGAGGTGTGCTGTGGTTTGCTGCCCACAGGGCTTCTCAGAACCAAGGTACTCATTTCACCGCTGCTGGGAGTGTTGGCTGCTGCTGGTCCACATCTGAGCCCCTTCCGAGGTATTGTCTCTGACACAAGAAGATCTCTGCCATGGTTATACTCTCCCCAGGGGCTGCCTGTACTCAAAGACTGGTTGATGTAAAGTTTGAGAGTCTTGTTCTTTTACCTTAAATTGGGGCAATCCAGCTCCAGAACTTCTTGTGAGGCCAACTGAGGCTTCCGTTACAACTATCTCATAGTCCAGCTTCTCACTCTGCTAATCCTGCCTCCTTTAATCCCTGACAAGCATTCTTCAGTAAACCTCTTGAAAACTTCTGTCTGAGAGTCTGTTTCCAATCAGAAAGAAAGTGGGTAAAAGAATTTCCAATGCATACTGGGTACCCAAGAAATTATTATTATTGCTTTGAAGGTAAGATAATTTATTTCAAGGTATTTTCCAGGATATGGATCTATCTATATATCTATCTATCTGGAGATATATATATATATATATTTGGAGTTATATCTATATCTATATCTATATATATCTGGAGTTATATATATCTCTCTATATAGATATCTGTCTGGAGATATATATAGATATCTATATATATCTGTATCTATCTATCTGTCTGTTTATCTATCTATAGCTATCTATCTGGAGATCTGGAGAGATATCTATATATATATAGCTATCTCCAGATAGATAGATAGATAGCTATATATACATATAGATATAGATATATAAAGCTACATAAGGAATTCTAATTAATAGTTTGAACCATGAGTAGTGAGAATAAAATTATTCTAAATTTTGACAAGGGAAATTGTTATTGTTTTATTTTTTAAGATGTTATTTTACTGGAGCATATTCTAATTAGTCTCCTCCAATAAAAGCAGAATCTTTTTATTTAGTAATTGACTCTCATCTGATACTCTTGGGTACTATAATTTTGTTGTTTCTGTATATTTGAGTATTATCAATAATCCAAAACTGATAGAGGTGCTGATAGTTTATATTTCTGGAAGGCTAGAAGATAACCTGTGAAAAGCTGATGTTTTATGATTTTATAGACCGAAAGAGAAGTTAATGCCACAGAGGTTAAGATCTTATTCACTGATAGAGTGTAAACTACTCTTATATCTAATTTAGCAGTCTTTTTAGGCATTTCTTTCCCGACTTTTATCAATCTCAATTTCTTATTTATACTTTGACTTTGCATTTGTCTTCTCTACTTGTTACTTTACTAGTGAGTTAAATAAAACTTGGTCAGATGCTCACTACTATGTATAAGAGAATGATGTTTTTCATGGGAATGTGTTTCTGTTTAAGTATTATTAGTTTATAAAGGGTAGCATTATTATGGGAAGGCATCCAAGGTTTCATGGGGGCAACTGGAAAAGAGAAGTCAGCATTTTGAAGTTAGCCAAACCCTATCATGCTAAATTCAAACTTTGGGTGTGGTTTTGAAGTATGTGTATTTGCTAGGGTTGCCATAACAAAGTACCACACATTGAGTGGTTTAAACAACCAAAATGTATTGTCTCACAGTTCTGGAGGCTGAAAGTCTATGATCAAAATGTCGGCAGGGTTGGTTCTCTCTGAGGGCTGTGAGGGAGAATCTCTCCCCTAGCTGCTGGTGGTTGCTGGCAATCTTCAGTGTTCCTTGGCTCATAGAACCATCACCCAGATCTCTGCCTTCATCTTCACATGGCTTTCTCCCTATGTGTGTGTCTGGGTCCAAATCTCCCCTTTTTATAAAGACACAGTCATATTAGGTTAGGGGCCTGTCCTAATGACCTCAGCTTAACTTGATGACCTCTGTAAAGACCCTATCTTAAAATACGGTTACCTTCTGAGGTACTAGGAATTGGGACTTCAACATGGGAACTTTGGGGTGACACAGTTCAGCCCATAACAGCATGATTATTTTTTCTCCATTCTCAAGGATTACTTTTTCCCTCAAGTGATACCATAAGGAGAAGAATGTCATTAACTCTGGAGAGAATCTCAGTGAAGTCATCTTACCATGTTTTAAAATGAGGTTTGTTGCCACATCCCACGCCAAGCCCGTACCAGTGTTGCCTTATGGATGTGGTTAGGAAAGTTACACTTGGGAATTAAATCCTGTCTGAGAAATGAGTTCACAAGTTCTCAGGGGCATTCAGCTGCCAGGCCATTTTTACACATTAAGCAAAAAAAAAAAAAAAAAAAAAAAAAAAAAAAAGTCTTTTGGGCATTGCATTTATTTACATGAATATAATAAATACTTCCAATGGCATTTGGATTGCACATTTGCATGTGTTTAATATGATGGTAAATCTGTCTGAGGAAAGTGTGCGGTGCTTTCTGATTTTGTATTAGGAAGATGGGTTAGGCAGGGAAGAAGAATGATTCCTTTGGCAACCGTGGAATTATTTACTGACTAGAAGAGGAAATCTTCTGTTTGAATAACCCCTTTGAACTGCCTGACACGTGGTGGAAGTTTGTCAAATGTTTGTTGAATGAACAGAAGTGTCCAGGGAACTTAGACTGTTTTGAGAGCAATCAAAAAGCACATATTTATTCAGAGATTTACCATGTACCTAGCTTTGGCTGGTGCTGTGGGGGCCCGCTGATGTGTGTACGAACAATAATAGCAGCAACTATCGATTGTGCTTACTCTGTGCCAAGCATCCTGCCCAATTTTTTTCCACTATTCTCTGAGTTAGGCGCTATTTTTATTTTACGTATAAGGAAACTGAGGCTAAAAGACATCAAGCTATCTGACTACATAACCATTAATTGGTAAGGTAAGGTGTGTGCTTAACTTCTGCACTCCAGTGCCTAGTAAACATGTCCTCTTGCTGGTAGAAGTTTGCATTCTTGTTCTAGAGACAGGAAATTTATAATTAAGGCAATTAGAGAAGTAGTATAGAAAAGGTGAATTTTATAGTACGTCTGGTTTGCTATGTATATGTGTACTGTCAGCATTTTATAAAAGTGTCAGGTTGTGAAATGGTTAAGTATATACCTTCTGGAGTTAGATGCCTCCATTCAAATCTTACTCGGACCTCTTCTTACCTGTGTGTTGTTAGACATGGAGCTTACGTGTTCTCCATAAGCTCCATGGAGAACATCTATTATAAAAAAATGGGAAATTTATTATGAAATAGGGATCATACCTTATTATTGTGAGGGATACGTAAAATATGTAAAAAGATTCAGTGCCTGGCAAAATGTATTTTCTGTTCAAATGTAAGCTTCTCAAAGGCAGCAGTGATTGGGGTCTGTTTTATTTGTTCTTGTAACCTACA
This sequence comes from Homo sapiens, assembly GCF_000001405.40. Taxonomy (NCBI): domain Eukaryota; kingdom Metazoa; phylum Chordata; class Mammalia; order Primates; family Hominidae; genus Homo; species Homo sapiens. Next base: position 137,695,362 of record NC_000007.14, on the reverse strand, counting down.
CATTTAGAACAGTGCTTGGCATAAAATAGACATTCGGTAAATACATTGTTGAATGGATATATTTCAATATGTAAAGGCCTGGGCTTAGTCACATTACAGACAATGAAGTAGTCAGATGTTTGCACATCTGTGTGGAACAGTGGTTCCTAGCCAGGATACACATTAGAAATACCTGGAGGGCTTTGAATGGACTCATTCTTAAACCCCATGGTAGGCAAAGGTTGAGTACCAATGTTGGAGAATCACTGTGAAGGTAACAAACGTAGAATAATAGTTGTATATTATGTTGAAGATTCAATACCAAAAGTGATTTTTTGAGTGACTCAATGGGATGAGTTTCTTAGGAAACAAAACACAACCTTTGGTTCAATAGTAATTACATCTTTCAACATTTCAATGTACATTAAAATAATCAAAAAGTACTTTGAGTTCATATATAATATGAAGTAGGATTTAGGCTCAAATAATTACGCACAGTTTGTTCCCTGACATAAATCAGAGGTGAAGTTTGTGCGGGGCTTGGGACAATTTTTTTATTGCGTGGACTATCCTTTACATTGTAGGCAGCTTGTCTAAGTCAGCCAAAAAGCACTGTGAGCTGCTTTGAAGACAAGCAAAGTTAGTGCCCATATGGTATAAGAAAAAAGACAACAACACACTAGGTGATTAAGAACTCTCTTGGGGAATCAAACCAAGACACTGAGTAACTTCTTAGACAGCTGGTTCCTTTTCTAGAACAACAGGATGAGTTCACCAGTCTCTAATGTGTCAATCTTTAGGAGGTGTTCTGGGTAAGAGACTTCCTGATTCTCTGGTGCTTTTCTGCTCTGCAAGAAGAATCCTGATTCTGTTCTCACGTGCAGCATCACCCAGAGAGGGAGCTGGCAAGATGAGGATAGATAGAAAACGGGAGCCACATAAACCTACAATCAGACTGAAACTGGAACCAGAGGAAATTGAGAGAAATTTGCAAAGTGGGTAATTAGAAAAGGGTATCTCTGGCTTATTTGCATGTTTTCCATAAATTTTTTTTTTTTTTTTTTGAGACGGAGTCTCGCTGTCGCCCAGGCTGGAGTGCAGTGGCACGATCTCCGCTCACTGCAGGCTCCGCCCCCTGGGGTTCATGCCATTCTCTTTCCTCAGCCTCCTAAGTAGCTGGGACTACAGGCGCCCGCCACCTCGCCCGGCTAATTTTTTGTATTTTTAGTAGAGATGGGGTTTCACCGTGTTAGCCAGGATGGTCTCAATCTCCTGACCTTGTGATCTGCCCGCCTCGGCCTCCCAAAGTGCTGGGATTACAGGCGTGAGCCACCGTGCCCGGCCTTCCATAAATTTTTAAATTTCTATTTATGAAGAGTATATGCCACATGTTTCATTAAACACATTGTAAAAATATTAACACTATCATATGCCCTTTACGAATGTGGCAAAGGGATTCCATTTTAATGTTGACCACACAAAGCCGTTTTGATGTTTCTTAGGCTTCTTAACACTGGATTCTACCTTATTTGCATTTATTTTTAAAGAGCTGCTATGAAGGATTTCTGACTCTCTCAGGCAAGAATATCACTGAAATGTAAGGCATGGGATATAATTCAAATCATCCTAATCAGATTTCTCAACCCTTGATCTAATCAGCAAGCTGTTTTTCTTAGCTTCTTGGTCAAGTTCATTCATTAACTCAGAAAGCATTTCTTGAATATAGACTGTGTCTACCCCAGGGCTGGAATGTAATTAAGATTAGTAGATGGATTGAGCCCTGTCCTTTAGGAGTTTATAGTCTTATTGAATGAAGTGAAGAAAATAATATGATGCTACTTAAAATGTATAATGGCTTTTATATTTTAAATATATTAGAGGTCTTTCAGGTAATTGATATTAACTGTGATGTTGTATTATTGAAACTGCATTATAGGATATTTTCTTTTCATATCTATTTCACAGTTAATATCACAGTTCTTTTCAAAGAAGCATTTGTGATTATAGCCATCTCCTATGAAGCGTTGTTGTGAAATTAATAGAAAGAATCATTGGCATTTCATGGTTTTGCTGACCGTGGGCTTGAGAGGATTCTGAGCAGAAGGAAAGAACAAGTTGAAACCCCATTGATTTTTTTTTAATAGGAGCAAATTGCAGCATAAAACTACTGCCCCCTCATCCCACTCCCAACCACACACCAAGTTCTACTAGACTCTTAAATTCGTCATCTACCAGCAAGATAAATTCAAATAGAAAAATAACTTTCGCTAACTTATATTTGAGGTCTGAGATATAATAAAACTATTTTCTTATTTTGGAAGAAAATGTGTATGCATGTATGAATTATTGGAGAAAAGGATTTTCTCCCATGGTTATTTAAAAGAATGGAAAGTTCTAATCAGAAGTTATTTCGTACACCCTGTTGTACCTAAATATATTTTTTCTATTTGTATGTCCTTTTGTGAGGGCAATTAGAGTTACAAACTGGCAGCCACTTTCATGTTTTTTACTTATTTTTTTCTCCTAATTAATGTTTATGTGTGTAGACATAAAACCAACCTTAAATTTGTATCCACAAAGAGAAATAAGTGATCAACAAAAAGGCCTTACTTGTTTCTATTCCCAGGCTAGAAAAGAGTGTGATTTGACTGTAATTTCTTTCAGGGTTAAATGTTTGTATGTCTCTTTATCATATAGCCACATTATCTTTCATAGACACACGTGGCTTGCATCCTTGAATCCTAATTTGATTATTTCAGCAATTGGCTCCTCCTGGCAGTCCTAATTAGGAAGAGTAACCGGGTTTTGGCGGTCAGAGTCTACAAGTTCTGATGAGTTAAACTCATTTGCCCTGTGGTTTCTACTGGTGCCTGACAGTAGCGTTTTGTTTCCTCTCTTAAAAAAATTTTTTTGTATCAAAACTGTCTGGGACAGTTAATGAAAAAATGAAAGATCTGTGTTTTTCTCATTAAACCAAGATTTAGAAATTCTTCAGCCATTCTAAGAGTTTGCACTTGGGTGTGGTTTGGTATTTTTTGTAAGGACACTTAATTTAGGTTGTGGTGACTGTTAAGGAATCAAATGTAGAACCTGTGTATTCTGACTCTTCAGAGATCTGATTTTCTTATGAGGAAAACTGTAGCTCAGAGTCCCCATACAGAGCCCTTCAAAGCCAGAGAAAATCCTAATAAAAATGCTAAAGAAGTTCCTTCAACATAGGTGGAGGAAAACTGTTTTGAGATGAAAGATCACTGTATAAGATTCTTCCACTGTTACTTTCTTATTGCTCGATGATATGGAATATGCTTTGGGGTGAGGGGCCAAAATTGATGTTGCTAATTATTTGCCTTGGTGAAAGTGAGGAACGAGAATATTGTGTCATCATTAAAGGCCTCCATCTTCATAATGACCCTTTCGGGGATTATATAAAGCAAGTAAATTGTCTGTTACCCAGTGGGAGCTTTTGAAAGTAGGCTACCAGCAAGCTCGATGTGATCGCTTCTAACTACTGAAGACCTACCCCCTATATCTGGGACTTCCTGTATAGGAATACAAGAGGCTTAAAAAAAAAAAAAAAAAAAAAAACCCAAAGGTCTAGACACTTGCTGAGCTCTCTGACATACTTGGTAATTGATTAATGGTTGCACAATCCTGGATTCTTACTGGCTTCTACTCAGTGTTTCCTCAGGCTTGGGGGCTACTGTTCATCTTGCTCAACTTTACAAATTATTTTTTGGAGGGAGTTTGCAGAGGTCGCTGAGCAGGATGAAAAGATTACCTGCCCTTCAGGGTTCAAGAAAGCTTTTAAATTCTGTTCCTATTCCTTCCCGTTTATATGGGGCAAGTTTCTTTTCCTTTGGGGACTCATTTGTGATGGGAGTCACCACAGATCTGGCCATCACTGCTTTCCTTTTCTCCATTCCACTGTCTGGAGCTTTGTTCCTCTGTGTAGTCCAAGGGGTTGAGAAGTCTGAGGATCTGGGCCTTTCTGGGGATCCAGGGTATCTGCAGGCCTCATCTCAGAGATGGCAGATTCTTACTGCAGTGTTCAGGTCATATGAGATTAGCTGAAGACAGCCAAATGAAGATAAAGTAAATAATGCAATTGCTGATGTTTTCTTTAGAGCTCCCCTTGATGGGCTTTGGAAAGTTGTGGTCCCAGCTGCTTAAATGTACATGCTCCCACAGAGCAAAGTCTAAGAACTTTAGTGCACAGAAGAGAACCTTAGGAGTGTGTGTAAATGCAGCTTCCTGTGCCTCACCCTCCAACTGATTCAGGACTCAGAGTTGCAGCATCACAAGACCCTCCTGATTCTATTTCAGGTACTTCTCAGACCACACTTAGATATTATTATAGGGGAAAAGCCCCTCTCCCTTCTAGGGAGTGACTTAGTTCAATCACAAATCAGCGCTCATGTTTAAGCTCTAGACCCTTGTGAGACATTTTTTGGGAGGCCATTCAGAAATTGAACTTCCACGGTTCCTGATGATCCCACAGATCTCCCTAGGTGATCTCTGCTTTTTTTTTCTTCTTCTTGCTGTTCTTATTCTCACCACTATGCTCTAACCGTTCTTCCCTTCCCTTTGCTCAGCAATGATCATATTTGCTTTGCTAAAGTAGCCCCTCTTGTTTCATTTCTTTGCAGACCAAGATCAGGGCTGACTATCTCAACCTCTCCCAATTCATACCCTCCTTTCTGACGTGAATTCTGTTATGTTCCACTCAACAAATCTAAAATCTAATTAGTGTTTTTAGGCTTTATCTTACTGTGGGTCTTGGTAAGTTATTGAATGTGCAATTTCTTGGCAGATGCAAAGCAGTCTTTTCCCATTTAGAACCTCAAACTCATGTAGTCCTCTGCAGGGGTAAGGAGGATAGGGAAAGGATGATATTCTCGAGAGGAAAGCAAAATAACAGTGAACTTTCAGCTGTAACCAGCTTGGAGAATGCTTTGCTGGAAAATGGAGGAATTTCAGTAGGAGACCTCATGAGCCCATTTTTCTTGCTTTTAGTCGCTGGCAATCTTAAAGTTGTTCAAGTATGGTGGCTGCCCAAACCCTAGGTCTTTTTCCATAAATGAAGAGTCAAGACCTTTGCTCTTTCCCTCTACTCTGAATAGAGGATTATATTTTAATTTTTGGTTCTGAAGCACTATTTCCCCACAGTGGTCCCCTTGACCTCCCTGTCTTTTGGGACCTGCCACCCTCTTTGGACACCATGCACTTTAGAGAGGTATATTCCAATACTTTGGTAAAGATTTTCAGATGTGGAAGAGGCTAACTCAGGCATTGTTTCTACCCCATGGGAAATTTTGAGCTCTGTATGAGATTCTGATGTTGGTTTTTCTTTGTTTTTGTTTTTGTTTTTCTTCTTGCTGCAGGAAAGCAATCTCCCGGGCAGGCCTCCAGCATCTGGCTCCTGCACATCCCCTCAGCCTTCCTGTGGCAAATGGTCCAGCCAAGGAGCCCAGAGCGACTTTGGACTGGAGTGTAGGTGTTGGCCTTTTCATTTAAACATCACTTCAGTGCATGTTTTGTGTCTCTCATTCTCAGGATTCCTCTAGTTACAAGGAAGACTTGCTTAATAATTTTCAACATTGCCTGCTGACCTGTCCTCAGATACCTTAGCTGTAGCTCCATTTTCAAACTCCTATGAACATCACTCCTTTATATGAAGTCAGATGTGTTCAAGACTAAGATAAAAGCTTCCTGAATCATTTGAAGTATTACTGCAGCTGTAAGATTAAAAAGTACCTCGTGCGCAGTCTTTATTGGTTTCTGCCAAGTTGACGATGAATTGAGCTTACCCTTAGTGCAACATCTCGCAATCTAAGTTTTGATTTCCTCAGCTTGAGCTGAGTTTTTCTGGGTGCTTTTTTTCCCAGAGGATTACAGGCACTTCATGTCATTCTATTGCTTTTCCTTCCTCCCTTAACCAAAGGCAGATGGGTCTGGCATCAGTAGGTTGGGTATATGAGCTGATGTTAACATTTTAACCATAACACACTCACAAAAACTATTAACTTGACTTGAAGATTATAGTCTGAAACTCTTTAGTTGATTAAACACATTTATTGAGAGTCTTCAGTGAGTCGAGTTCTTGGCCGAGTAACTGTTTCTAACTGTAGACCCAAAGGCTTTGTCCCTTCCTGAAGCAATATGAGGAAAAGGTATCAAGGGAGAGAAGGGCTTCCCTGAAGTTCTGCCAGCCTTCCCTGATGATGAACCTTGTTTAGCACTTTTAGTTGAGTCTGAATAGAAGGGATAATCCATGTTCTTTTTCTCCATATGAAAGAGAAAGGTGGGGTGGGGGAAAGGTAACCCATGCCATGATTTGATATCCTCTGTATTATAGCATTTCTTCCTCTCCTCTCAGCACACACTTATTAATATCCTTATTTTACATCTTGGATGCATACCAATGTAAATGCTGCCCACATTTATGAAGTGCCTGGCAAAAGACTGGATGTGCTTGAACTACAGCTTCTCCCTTGGTGGAGATATTGTTACCCTGAGAGTGTTCAGATGCTGCCTGAGCCTGTTGAATTGGTGTATAGAAAGAATATTCCTTTCCTGGAGTTTACTTCTTTATTCCAGGACAGCTATTTAATAAACTCTTAACCCACAATAGAGTATATTTGCACCAGTGTTTGCATAATTAAAAACAATTAAATGCATAAACATAAATAAAACCTAAGAGAGGTATGCATGGAGCAATGATGAGAGTGTATTATGTATCAAGGAACCGAAAGAGTTGGTTTGATATTCACGATGTTCCAAACAACCCTGTAGTCTGCAGCAGCAGGGCCTTCTTTGAGGTGAGACATTCCAGGGGTAGTTTAATCATTTAGAGGCGAACATTCATTAAATCCCTTCTCTGCCCTTTTGTGTGACATTAGGTAAGTCACTGATTTCTTTCAGCTTCAACGTCCTCATCTGTAGATGGGGATAATCATGGCCCTATTTCATGGACATTGTTAGGATCGAATGTGACAATAAGTGAAAAAGTTTTTTTTGTAAACTGTGCAGCCAGCAGATTTATTTGTTAAAGTAATTGATGAATTCATTAATTCATCAAACATTTGTTGAGTTCCTGCTTTGTACTAGAATCTATATTGGTTACTTGGGATTCTGAGGTGAAGAAGATACGGTTTCTGCCTTCAAGGGTCTTAGAATCCTGTGGGCAGAAAGGAAATCAACACGAAAATACAGGGAAATGAGGACGTCACTGGAATGCAACAAAAGGACATTCCATTCCCATTTGATGTTGGAAATAGTTATCAGAAAATGCTTTTTAAAAGAAGTGTCCTGCCTGAGCCAGAGCTTGGCACAAGGTATTATTTTCTGATTCCTATAGAGAGGTATGTACTCTAATATTTCATCAAAATGGTATTTTTGGCCAGTGGTGGGAGGCTGCAGTACAGAATGAGGGAAAAACAAATAGGAATGAAGGCTGGGTTTGTGCCTAGTGATCTTTTATCCCTCCCTCTTCTCCCCTTTTCTTTGATTTTAGGTACCCCATCTTGGAGGTCTGTTGAAAGTATGGCATGACACGAAACACTTAGCTGACATCTAACAATGGTGGGAAAACCGAAAGCCCTTCCTTGAGACAGTCCATCTGAGGGCTTAGAGATCTGATGTGTAAGGAGTTATGAGATGTTACTCTGGAAAAAAACCAACATCTTTGTGGGCTGATTTTGGTGTCAGCAAACAGAAAGCAAACCGTGACCAACACACTACACTCATTTATTACAATCGTGTAAAGCATTTGTTTCAGAAAAGAGGAAAAAGCCGATTGTTAAAAATATTTCAGTGACTTTTTCTTTGGCTAAAACTAGATTACTTGTATTACTTTAGTATGCTCTTCTGTTCAAGGAGCCAGCCAGGGATTTCTTTGTTCTGTTTAAGGTGCAAAAACAGTCACCTCTCTGTGCCATTCCCTCTCCTCCACTCTCTTGTTTGATTCCCTCATCTTCTACCATTAGTCTACTCTTCTGGACTCAATGTATGGAAATGAGCAATCTTTATTTAATTCAGTATTACTATTTATTGAGCAATGAAAAGGGTTGGAGCCTCTTTGATTCTTTCAAATAAAAAGGAAGGTGGCAGGAGCTTATAAAAAAGGTAGGGGGAACTCCAGTCTCTTGCCTTTGATAAGGTAGAGGGCCCCAATAGTGCTAAGTTGTGCTTCTGAAGGTCTTGACCACAGTGGCAGATGGGGTCCAGCAGGGACGACGAGGGTCCTGTTGTTCCCTTTCCCCACTTGACTCTTGGGTGGAAATTCTCTCTGCTCTGTAACACTTTGGCTCAGGGGAATCAATGGGGGTCATCTCAAAGGCGTCTACTACTATGATTCTCTGGCTTCTGTTACTCTATTCTTCTTCCTTCATCTGTAAGGAAAAAGATTAAAAAAAACGTTCATGGTGTGTCTGAAGTTGCAAAGTCAGAGTGAACCTGGAGTTAGGATCTTAGTCCCCAAGTTTCTACTTATTGTGGAATCCCAAAAGGGCCGTGTTCTGACACTAGCCTATGTGCCAAAGTCATCTGAAGGGACACAAGTATTTCCTAAATATACTTTGGCAAAAGGCTTTGAGGAGAAGTCTGTTTGTGGGGTGCCTGAGATACAGGTGAGCACTGATTTAGTGCGCATAGACTATAGGCACCTGCACTTCTTGGCCAGGAGGGTGCTGTTATAGCAGACAGTTTTTATGCTTTGGGTACATTAACTTAATACTTCTCTTTAAGCATTCCATTTTTATGTTCTCATTTCCTTGTTTGTGATATATACAGTCTCTCTCTCTTAGTTTTAGGTTGTTTCTCAAAATCCCAAACATTCTCTCCTGCTGTGTTTTACTCAAATGGCTTATTATGACTTTTAGGATTCTCTGTCCCACATGGGCTCATTCTTTGAAGATTTTTCGGCAATAGATATTTACTGAGGCTGCCTGTGCACAGTCATTTTCCTCCGTGCATGTCAGGGATAGAACCTGCAGTGGTGTGTGGAGAGTATCTGGATCAGTCTTCAGTATGATGCCTGAGTCTTCTATTGACAGCAGTGGACACTGGGCTCTACCCAGTATGAAAATTATTTCCTCTAGAGATTTTCTCTTTTGCTGTCTGCCAAGCCATGCTCATCTTTTCAATCAAACTGATTCTATGTATCTGATGTAGTCTTTGCTTTGTATCCTCACAACACCTCTCTGTTGGTAGTGCATTGTCTTACAAACCTTAGAACCAAATTAGTGCTTTTTGTTTGACTTTCTTATTTGTGGCTGTCAGATTTCAGGCTGCTTAAAAGGAGGGGCAATGTTTTCTGCTTGTTTTCTCTTCACAGTGGAGAGTGCAGCATCATAGACCTAGTAGCTGCTTGGTTACTGATGTCAGGGGATGAATTGATTACAGTTTTTCTGCTCAATCAGTGAGAAGGGGATATTTCGCTGGGAGTTGACAGGCACTCAGATAATCTCTAGTTCCTGAAAGGCTTGGTAGGCATGACTCCAAAGTCTGCTTGAAAAATAAATGGATTTATGCCGTTTTAATCCCAAGTAACTGTCTTTAAATTTCCTTCCTAATTCAATGCATTGTGTTAGATTTTAAGGCGCACACAGTACTTTGGCCTTCCTACTCTTCACAAGGACATCATCTTTTCACTTCCACAGTGACAGCCTGCAGCAGCTGCCCCCTCTGACACTGGATGATGCCTGTCAGCCAAGCCAGTTGGGGTAAAACAAGTTAAATTACTAGAAAGGAAGGAAGTAATGCCTAAGAAGGAAAAAATATTCTCATCTCCTGGGATGGATTCCAAGTTCCCAGTTTAGAGTGAATTAGTCCATTTAGAAGCATGTCTGTTCCACAGATAATGTGTATCTTCTTTTAAATGTCACATGTCTCCCTTCCAATGGAGACTTCATTTGGACTTCCAGCACTCTTCCCTGTTTGTAGTACTGCAGCAGAGAGCCCAGGAAGTGTGTCTCCCATCTGTCCCCACCATTTCATAATTTGTTTTTGCCCATTACACTGCCTAAAACAACCCCCTGAACAGTGGTGGAAAAGCCACCAAGATCTTTCTTAAAGGGCACATTGGTTTTAAACCCAGCACCCTTGATTTTATTTTGTTTTCCTTCCTCATTGGCAAACTTTCTTCGGTCCCAAGAGCTGTGGAAAACAGAGCCTCAACACAAACAAAGCCAGATCTTCAGTCCGAACCACCTTTCCTTTCCTTTCCTTTAGTTGACGATGCTAAGAAACACTTTCTCTGAGGCAGATAGAAACATCACACAGTTGGTGCACTGCCTCACAGTTTGGTTCAGGGACAAGATTAAGGAACCAGAGTCTTCATGTGGGATTGGTTTAAACTGGGTTATGAAACTAGGTCATCTTATCTTTAGAAACCTTGAATGAAAAGCCAGAAGGAGGCAGGGCTGTGTGTGTGCATGCGTGTTTGTGCGTGCGTGCTCGTCCGTGTGCATGTTCTCATTTCAGTCCTGTTTCCTGTGAGTCCTAGGAGACCTGGACCTTAATTTTGGGCGTCAGGCCCCCCTCTTCATCAGGTCTGAGTGTCATCACCCACAGCCCCACATCTTTCCCCACTCCCAGCCCCATTTCGAAAAACTGAAGTCAGATTAATCGATAAATGAGACTGTTTGTTGAGCAGCGCATAAGGAACTACTCACTATAAATCAGTGAAGATCCCAGTCCTGGTCAGCCACGTAAATGAAGGGACAAATCGACCTTAATTTCAGGGACTCTCACCATTCCTTTATTTTCTGAGAACGGGGGAGTTTTTAAATCAAATCACCCTGGCTGCCGAGGGAAATCATGGAATTCTGTAACTTCACAGACCTGTGAGAAGTGTCTCGGTCTAATCTTCTGCCCCGAGGCAAGTGATTATCTAAACAAACGCTGTCCAGTAGAAATAGATATGAGCTGTAATGATACATTTTCTAGTAGCCACACTTTAAAAAGTGAGAAGAAATAGGTAAGATTATTTTTAATTCCATATTTTGTTTAAGCAAATATATTCAAAATATTATTTCAACATGTAATCAACATAAAAATTATTAGGGAGATGTTTTACATTCTTTTCTCACACTAAATCTTCAAAATCTGCTGTGAATTGTTCAAAGAGAAGCACATCTCAGTTAGTGCTAACCACATTTTAAGTCCTCAGTAGCCATCTGCGTATTGTACAGCACAAATCTAAAACATCCAACATGGTGTGTTATCAATTCTTGTCCTGAAGATTTTCAAGGGGAGGCAATCCACTCTTTTTCCTTTTTGATTTTGTAAGGACATTTACATAGGATACATATTTATAATTCTCATTGTTTCAAAACATTTTTATAAGCAAGCGTCTTCATTTTGTGTGGAGTATTTGCTTCTTGTGTGAGCATACTCTTTATCTGTGTTATTCAGTCTCAAACACTCACCTCACCTTTGTCTTTTTGCCTGTAACCATTACTAGAATTTCGGTAGCACTTGAGCAAGAAAACATGCCTATATCTAGAAATCTGTATTTATGTCTATTTAGGTGAATCTCCACTCTTAGATGAATAGATCTATCGATGTAAATCTATCAATGTAAATATATATATAGCTATACAGACTTGTGAGTCTCAGCACTCACAAGTACAGAAGAAGTGCTATCTTTGTTTAGAAATAGGAGAGTTATTTTTCTGTCTGGCACAGATGGAGACTCTTTGAGTTGTATACTATTTGAGATGGTATTTCGAGATGCATGTGTAGAGAAGAGAGAAAGATGTTTCCAGGTAGGGACAGTAGAATGAACAAAAACGTGGCACCAAAAAGGGAAATGCGAGGTATGTTTCAAGAAGAGTGACAGGGAGCCCAGTGTGTTGGCATATGCCTGTAATGCAGCTACTCAGGAGGCTGAGGTGGGAGGATTGCTTGAATCCAGCAGTTTGAGGCTGCAGTGAGCTGTGGTGATGCCATTGCAGTCCAGCCTGGGCAACAGAGCAAGGCCCTGTCTCAAAAACAAACAAACAAACAAACAAACACAAACAAAAAGAGTGACAAGGATAAAAGAGTGACAAGGATAAAAGAGTGATTGATGCTGTTATTGGAGTCTAGTATGCCAGGTTGAATTTGGATTTTATTTTATAAATAGGGAAACATCTAAGCATTCTGAACAAGGGAGAGGCACAATCATGGCTCTCTTTTGGCGGAAACTAAATTTATACTAACGTTAAATAAATCGGAGAGGGTGTCAGAGTTCAGAGCAGAAGAAAACAAGACTCCGAAATTAGATGCACTGTCCAGCGTATAGTAAGTAATTGGGGGTATATTCAGATAATGAAAAGAAACCTAGACAAAAATAAAAGCAAAGGGAAGAGGCCTGCATTTGCTGGGGTAAATGAGGCTCTGCAGCAAATGAAAGACTCAAATGTATAATGGCTTAATACAAGAGAGTGTCTCACCTATGTCATAGACCAAGACTATTCCAGGTGGTTGGCTGGGTAGTCAGGCCCTTTCTCACATAGCTATTCAGTGACCCATGCTGAGGATCACTCTGACATCTCACCAAGAGGATTCCAAAAGCCTGACTTCCCAATTGACCAGTAAGACAAAAAATCATGGAGGAATGTATGTGGGAGGATTTAATGGAACAAGTCTGGAATTTCTGCTCTGTTTCACTGTTCAGAATTTGGCCACACCTAATTGCAAGAGAGACTGGGGAAATAAAGTCTAACTATGTGTCCAGGAAAAGGAGAAATAATTATTTTGAGGACTGGCTAGCAGTCTTGGCCACAAAGACCAAGGAGAGAAACGTAGTTAATGCTAACATCTGTGGATTGGGAGGAAGAAGGGAAACTAGAGAGTAATAGCAACAATAATAAATATAATGAACATCTATTAACTTCTTGTTTTATGCGGAACATTGGGCTTTATGCATTTTTATGTTTAAACATCATTGTAGTCCTGTAAGGGAGGTACAGTGATTTTTATGTGACTGATGAGTAAAATAGGGTCTAGGAAAGTGAGAAGGGCCCTGAGTCATACAACTATTGGGCAATAAGTCTGACTCCAAAGCTCACATTGATTAATATGGAGCTGGAGACGGGTTCCTGAGAATTGTAGGAAGAAAACAAAAATAGTTCATTTGTCTACTGCATTCTTGTGCTAATGCCACCCAGGCTAGACAACTTTATGCAGGATTCAAGAGTCCCCAAGACTACCCTGTCTTCTGACATCAGTTGCAAGTTCGGGACCCCCAAGACCACACTCAGCTTCAGTAACTCACTAGAAACACTCATAGAACTCCCTGAAAGCTGTTAATACTCACATTTGTGGTTTATTACAGTCCTTTCCACGTAGAATCATGGTTCACTAGCTAACTTCTCCCAGCAACCATGTGCTATAATATACATGGCATAGAGCCAAGCAGGGAAGCTCATTCGAACCTTGATGTCCAGAGTTTTAAGTGGGGGTTGGTCCTGTAGACAGCGTTGACTGCCCATTTGGTTGACAATAGCCTCTAGCCCCTCTGGGGGTCAAGCTGATACCTTATGGCCCAAGGCCGCCAGACAAACAAAAACACTTTTATCAGGCAGGACTTTCCATGGGCTTAGAGATTACTTTCTTGGAGCTGAAAGCTCATTGCTTTATCAGTAGGTTTTGACATTTTACCCACTGCTACATTTTGGACTTCACTTTCTAAAGTAGTTAGTGGGATTTTGCTGTGGTTTCCCTCATATTGGCTGCTGTTATTATGCATCTAGTTCCATCTTCTCTGGTAGATTTTTCTCCATTGATTAACACAGAATCTCAGTGCCTGGCACCAGTGTTATCGAATAAAGAATTGTTGAATAAATTAAAGAATAACAAAATGAAAAGGCATTATTCTGTATAAATGGTTATAACTTAGAGTTGGAGAAAAGTTCCCAGTAGTAGAATATTTTAGGTTGTGTGGATTGATGTCTTCAGGATACCTTGCGAAGAAGTGCCTTTCTACTTTTTTTAAAGTGTTGTCATCATCCATCACTATCTGAAAACTTTTAGGGTCTGAACCCATAGCTATGCTTCTCTTGCATCTGCTGTTGTCCCACAAGGTTGACTGTGAGGTGAAGCCTATTTTCCCATTGACTTCCTTGAAAAAATTGAACTTGCAACAGGGAAAAATTACCAGTAGAGAAGAAAAAGTTTTGGTGAACAGGTGTCCACCCTTTGATGTAGAGGGCAATGATCCTGGTCAGTGTTGCTCTCCCTTTAGGAATGGTTTTGAGGCACTGGGAGATGTGGATGGTGCACTCCTACCACCAGGGTCTCCCTGTGCGTTGTCCTGAAGCCCTTGACATCTATATCCCTAGTGACTTTCACATTCTCTTGTCCCTTCCTGCCTCACTTCTGTGGTCCAGGACTTGGACCCACCTTTCTTGGATCCTGAAGCACCTACATCACATGTCACAATACAAATTTTGGTTGTTCTTACCCCAGAATTATTTGAGTCACTAGGCCCTGAAAGGAAAATGTGTTCTATCTGAATCTGAAGAAATACGTTTATTTTAAAAGATGGGTGACACTTGGTATTTTTTCCCAGCAAATGTCATTTAGTGTATATTCCTTTTTTTTTTCTCTTTTCTTTTGAGTCAGAATATTGATCCATTGCCCAGACTGGAGTGCAATGGCACAATCTCAGCTCACTGCAACCTCTGCCTCCTGGGTTTCAAGCAATTCTCTTGCCTCAGGCTCCTGAGTAGCTGGGATTACAGGTGCCTGCCACCATGCCTGGCAAATTTTTGTATGTTTAGTAGAGATGGGGTTTCACCATGTTGTCCAGGCTGGTCTCAAGCTCCTGGCCTCAAGTGATTTGCCTGCCTCAGCCTCCTGAAGCGCTGGGATTACAGGCATGAGCCACTGCTCCTGGCCATTTGGTATATATTTCTGCTTTGCTGTACTAAGCTTTGAGATTCAAAGGGCTATCGTGTGGACACTGCTGGAGTAGGTTATAATAAAAGTGGCTCATGTATAAGATGGGTTTTCATTACATGATTATTCTATAGAATTTCTTATTGAAGTCATCTGCTCAGGCTGCTATAACAAAATGGCAGACTTGTTAGCTTAAACAACAGACTTCATTTCCCACAGTTCTGGTGGCTGGGAAGTCCAAGGTCAAGGTGCTGGCAGATTCCAGTCCTGGGTAGAATCCTCTTCCTCACTTGCAGACAGCTGCTTTCTTGCCGTGTGCTCACATGGCTTTTTCCTTGGTGTGTGCATGAGGGGAATCTCCCATGTGTCTCTTCTATAAGGACACTAATCCCATTATGAGGGCTCCACCCCCATGAACTCATTACTTCCCAAAGTCTCATCTCCACATTCTGTCACATTGAGGGTGAGGGATTCAACATTGGAATTTTTTTTTTTTTTTTTTTTTTTGAGATGGAGTCTCACTCTGTCGCCCAGGCTGGAGTGCAGTGGCATGATCTTGGCTCACTGCAGCCTCCACCTCCCAGGTTCAAGTGATTCTCCTGCCTCAGCCTCCTGAATAGCTGGGATTAACAGGCGCCCACCACCACACCCAGCTAATTTTTGTATTTTTTTAGTTGAGATGAGGTTTCACCATGTTGGCCAGGCTGGTCTCAAACTCCTGACTTCAAGTGTTCTGCCCACCTCGGCCTCCCAAAGTGCTGGGATTACAGGTGTGAGCCACCGTGTCTGGCCAACATATGATTTTTGAGGAGACACAGTTTAGTCCATAGTATCCCCCATAAAAAATAATTACATGCCCATGTACATCTGATGAATAAAATAAAAACAAGAGTAATTTTCCTGTAAGCCATGGAGACTTAGTCTTGTTTCTTTATGGTTAATCTAATACAATACTTTCCCTAACAGCTCAGAGCTCCTTTTAAGCAAATGAGCAAAATATACAATTAATATATAAATCTATAATTTCCAAGATAGAGTCCCATAAGAAGGAATATGGAATTCTATTCATCGTACGATTAAAAAAAAAAAAAAACAGTTTGCTTCCCCCTTTCCCCAATACCGCACTACACATTTCTGGAAAATAGGGTTGTTGCTCATCAGGTCATACATTCTAGCAGCTCTGTTCCCCATCCAAAGTATATGAATATTTTTAGAAGCAATAACATTTAGTTTGAAAAATTGAGAAGTAATTGGGTGAAGACCTTACTGAATTAGTAAGATGTGAATTAGCAGAAACGTATTATGCTTTGAGTACACAGGGACTTAGTTTTAAGAAGCCTCTGCCCTTAGAAATATAATTTACCTATTACTGGTATAACTGTGTTTTCAAACTGTCTTTACTTAAAATACTTTAATGCTACCATCCTCCTTTTTAGCTAATTTGTTAAGCTTATTCACTAAGCAAAGTCAAATTTTAATATAATTTTAGTCTCAGTTGTCATGACATTTGCAGTGGTGGGCCTGGTGAATAAGGTTTGACATCGAACTATTTAGAGGTGTTTTTTCCTCATTTGTTGAATATGTTTCAAAAATGTCCACCTCCATGGATAAAGCAGCTATAAACCTAATGTTTATTTTAGTTATAGCTCAAAGTTTTTCCAAACACCTTTCTCCCTTTTTAGAATTTCGGGAGAATCAACTCTAGCAGTACTTTTAGTGGTCAAATGAGAAATGTTTAGACTCCTTGGTTTCACTAACTTTCTTGTATCCCAAATCTAAATTTGAAATAGTTTTCCTTATCCCTGGAAAAAAAAAATTGATGTCAGGTGGGTCTTTTCCTTGCAGGAGAATGCCGTGAATGGAGAACACCTGTGGCTGGAGACCAACGTCTCGGGAGACCTCTGCTACCTTGGAGAGGAGAACTGCCAAGTCAGATTTGCAGTGAGTGTGCGCTCCGTCTTGCTGGGGGAAGGCCTGTGGATCTGAATGAATAGAGGGGTCACCTTGCCTAAATTTCCAAGGGGAGGTTTGAACGAGCCTGTCCTTGTGAGATGGAAAACTTTCCGGATGTTTTCAAGGTTTGCAGAGAGTTTCTCAAGTTAACATGGCTTTCAGGTTGTCGCTCGTAATGGTTTTAGGGTTCACTTATGCAGGCCAGGCCTTGGTGTCATGTGTTACTTTATAATGATGCCCAGGGTAGGTTGTTGTGTGTTGGTGGGGGGCAGAGGGTAAATGTGTACGAGGTAGTGTCTCCTTATGGAGGAGTTGTTGGTGTGGGGCCAAGGCCTGTGTGTGGAGGAAGGGGCTCTGTCTGTAGGGAAGTGGCCACAGTGGGGGCTTTACTGGTGGGTGAAGGTGGAAAGAGAGGGAAACACCTGTGCTGGGAATGGGTGTAGGCTAACAAATAATCCAGACTAAGTTCTGGAGGATACGATTCTAGAAATAATATAAACAATCAACAGTCAGGTCAATTGGAGTTAACTTTTGTTGTTTAAAATTTGCTTTGTGTCCCTATTTAGAACAATCTATTTAGAGGGTTAAAATTCTCTTTATGTTGTGAGGTAAGTGTGGTTGCCAAGTAGTGCATTGTGGAGATATCAAAACCACAGTGTTGAGAAATTGAACTTAAAGTTTGTGTGTAGTTTTAAATGATTGGTCCAAACAGACAGTAATGGGAAGCTTAGGATAGTAAAGAAGAGATAAAAGATGTATTCCTTCTTATTTGGGGAAATTAGCACCAGAATTTATAGAATGCTTTTTTCTTTTTTAAAAAAATATTTGTTTATTATGTGAAAGAAATATTTGCAGCAAGATGTAGGGCCTTGAAATTGCAGATGAATATGTGTTTGTTAATAACCAATATGGAATAAATCGAGTTTCCATCAAAGCTTATAGAAGGATATGTATAGCCCCCAACGATTTTAACCAGGCTGCCTAAAAGCACAAAGTCCCAGAACCAAGACCTTTTTTGTTGCTTTAGCTGTTTTAACTCCTTGTTTATAAATTTCATTTGGAGAGTTTTGAGAGTTCTGGGGAGAACAGGGCCTGTTTAAGTGAAGTTGGGAATCAATGTCAGGGAAAGACCCAGATGAACAGGCTCTGGATTGGAAGTCGGGAAACCTGGAGCTGAATCTCAGTGTTACTGCTCAGTGTGTGACATTGAGAACTCGTGACCTTTGGGCCTTGGCTACCTTCTAAAACAGAGAGTAGGATTAAATTCTTTTTTATTAATTTATTTTTGTTTCTAGACCTGTAATTAATCATTTGCTTCTCTTCTAATTTTGTTGTAAATTTAATTGACTTAAATATCAGGATTTCAACTTTATGCATATGTATTTTTAATTAAAGTATAATTGCATGGAATTGGATTGAATTAACGAAATCCATGAGAAGCTCAGCTGTTTGGACTAAAATGCTGTAAATAATGAATTAACATTAGTGTCTTGGTTAATTGCGTAAACACTGGTCCTGGGATGTAAGATAATAAAAAATGGAAAAAATGAAAGCCAGTATTACTTACATATATACTTTTGAACAATTTCTACTGATGGACTATGATTTTATACAGAGTCATCCCTTATTTCCAAATTGCTCCCTTTAATCCCTTTCTGTTACTTTTTAGGGGATGGCTACCTCTCTTGACAAATATATGAACAGATACGTATATCCTCTTTAAACCTTGTATCAGTAAATAGCATTGCTATCCACTGAATGATTATTACTTGTTCACTAATACCTTTAGGCCAGGAAAAGCAACAAGGAGAATAAAGGAAATTTTAGGTAGAAGTAGGAAGAAACAGAGTTGAGAACGTTCCCAGTTTCCTTCTGAAGCTTCCTCATAATTTCATACCAGGTACTTGGCCCTATTAACTCATATTACAAAACGTCTGAAAGATGAAGAACTCTCCTCCAAAAAAATGTTGGTTAAATGAAGGAATAAATCAGTGAGGAAGCTGAAGACCTAACTGCTGTAAGTTTCTTGAAGCTCAGTTTCTTTACCTATAAAGTGGGGGAAACACTGTTTTGAGGGTTTGGTGAGATGATACATAGAAAGGGCTTACTTGGCTCAGCAACTGACCTAATGAATTAAAGGCAAAAAAAGAAAAAAAAGAAAAAACCCAGGAAGGACAAGGACAGGAAATTTACAAAAGAACTACCAATTGCCAATAGATATCTGAAGAATACAAAGGCATCCCAATTAAAACAACTCAGGAGTCAACTTCATGTGCCTATTAAATTAGCAAAGATTTATAAAATGGTAATAGTTGCTGCTGGTTGGTTTAGGCTGAAATGGGCAGGCTCATCATCAGCTGCCAGGAGTGTAAGTAGATACACTGTCCTTCACAAAATTGGCAGTGTGTACTGAAAGCACTGAAAATCCTCTCAGTCTCTCTCCCCACCTCGCACTGTGAGGCGCATGTCATCTCTGGGCATCCCATTTTGAGAGAGACATTGGCAAGCAGCAGAGGACCCAGAGTGGGGTGCCCAAGTTGGTTTAGGGGATGGAAGCTTGTTGTAAAGAAATGTTAGGTTACATGGGCTACAGCTGAGTATTAGGAGCGAAGGCAGAGAGATGTCTTCCAGTATTTGAAGAGTTAATTTGAAGAAAAGAGAAGTGACTTGCTATCTGTTGTTAGAAATGGAAAAGTCATAGAGGTAGAATCCACTGACTCTAACTTTATAACAATAAACAAACATTACCTGGGAAACCTAACAATGCACACTCCTGTTTCCCTCTTTGCTCCAAATGCTGATTCAGTATGCTTGGAGTTGGACTTGAGAGTCTCCGATTTTTTTTTTTTTTTTTTTTTTTTGGATGTAGTCTTGCTCGGCTGCCCAGGCTGGAGTGCAGTGGTGTGATCTCGGCTCACTGCAACCTCCGCCTCCCGGGTTCAAGAAATTCTCCTGCCTCAGCCTCCTGAGTAGCTGGGGTTACAGGTGCAAGTCACCACACCCAGCTGATTTTTGTATTTTTAGTAGAGACGGGGTTTCACCAGGTTGACCAGGCTGGTCTCAAACTCCTGACCTCAGGGGATCCACCCGCCTCGGCCTCCCAAATTGCTGGGATTACAGGCATGAGCTACCACACCTGGCTGGGAGTCTGTGATTTTAACGAGCACCTCAAATAATTCTGATGCAGATGGGTCGCAAACCTAACTTTGAGAAATACCGTATGATAAGAAAGAACTTTGTCAGCCTGAGCTTCCCAGCAAGCGAACAAGGTGCCTGGAGAGATTGACTGGTGGGATGTGTGTTTGTGGATAACGTGGGTGGCCATGTTTCAAGGATGCTGTAGTTGGGGACTCTCAGCTGCTTTGGGCAAGAGGTCACAGAGATCTCCAGGCGAGTCTTTAGTTTAAATGCTCTGTTTGCAGTTTTCTTAGAACAACAGTCTTTTTTGGGAAAAAAGTATGCATAAGCAGATCATGTATTTATATTCTAATTTCTTTTAATGAACCACCTTTGAAGAAAGCCTACCTGTTGGGGCTGGGACTAAATTACCATAACCAGGTACTACCTGCAGGCTCCTAAACAAAGTACAGGCAGAGTGCTCAGGGGAGGAGTGAATCCATCATCTACGATGTGCCTTTCACTCCTTCCCTATTTTAGCAAAGCAAATGTCACAAGTAGAAGTTAAGAGAAGGAAGAAGTCAGTGTGGGTTGAAGCAGACAGAGGCAGCTTCATGGAAATGGGGTTCGAGCTCAGTTTTGAAAGATGGGTAAGATTTACATAAGTGATTTTGAAGAAGGAGAACATTTCGGGCAGGGAAGAGGAACATGAGCAGACTCAGAGGTGGGGCAAGCTCTGTACAAACGAGGTGGCAATCATGAGCCGTGCATGAGCATGTGTCAGAGAAAAATGGAAGTAAGAATGGAGTTAGGTTTTTTGAAACAAAACTTGGAGTGCATATTGTAAATACTGGTGGGCTTAGGAAGCATGACTATAGAATACATTGTCTAAACCAAGACACTTTTGAGGGTGAAAGTGGCTGCTGTTAATAATGATGCCGTAACATTAGGGATAAACCAGAACTGCATCACCCTAGCTTATGGGACATTAGGGCATCTATGTAAAACTAAAACTGTCCTGCAAAGCCGGGACCTCCTGCTGCCATGTGGATTGATATTTGGGGACTGATATTGGAGGGTACTGAAAGCCAGGCAATGACTTCCAAAACCCTAGAACAGCTGTAGGAGAGTTTGTTCCCAAGCTTCAGGGCTAAAACTAAACCACGTGACCTTTTCCTGTTCTACAGCTCTCTGGTGGCAACATTTAATACTGTAGAATACCTGTGAGCAGATACGTAATGGAATTAAATTTGTTCCCAAATTGGCAACAGTTCCCAAATTAGCAACTGTTTCTTTTTCTGGTCTAGATAAAATATAAAAGGATGCAAAAGTAATGAAATTGAAGTAGAAAGATCACTGTTTCCCAACCTGATTATGGGCACTGGAAACCTGAAATAAAATTCCAGCCAGAATCACTGTCGTTTGGTGACATTTATTTTTATGTACATTTATTCATTTATTCATTCATTTATTCTGTCAGTGTTTGTGAGCTGGGTTGAGTACCCAGTGCCTCACCGTTTAGCGGGCACAGCCAGATAGAAACTGTTCTCATGCTCTGGGGCTAGGCTATACAAACATGTTTAGCCAAATATTTGTACCTAAAGGAGCTCACCCCTCCAGTAGTAATCCCTGGAGTCCATACCATCGTGCACCTACTCAGACTTGAAAGAAACTTGCCTACATTGATATGCAAATTATACACCCACCGTGGTCACACAGACCTGAATAGGCACAGATGGGTAGCATGGGTGGTCAGAAGGAAATAGACTTTGTGTGGACTGACCTGGGTTTGAAAACCTGCTGTTCCATTTATGTACTGAGTAAAGTTGGGACATATCACTTTGCCTTTTTTTGCCTCAGTTTCCTGATTTAAAGTATTGCTACTGAGATAGACCACAGCGATTCTTATTTCTGGATGAGCATTATAGTCAATTATGCCATTTTACCTTTTAATCTTACCTTTGAAGTGTTGGTTCCCATTCTGGATGTACCACATCAGGATCTCTAGGGAGTGGGACTCAGCCTGATGTCAAAAACAAACAACCAGATCTACAGATGATTCTCTTCACTGTCAGGGTAGAGAGACAGTGATCCACTTCAGAAACAGAGTGTCAGGACCAAAAACCGTGGCCTGGTTCTCACACCTGGTGTGTAGTGGCTGTGATGGGCTAAATAGTGTACTCCAAAAGATATGTCGAAGTCCTGACGCCTCAGGACTTCAGTACCTCAGAATGTAACTTGATTTGGACATAGGGTTGTTGCAGATGTAATTAATTAGGATGAGTTCATCTGGAGTAGAGTGGGCCCTAATCCAGCATGACATGTGCCGTTATAAGAGAAGACACACGCTGGGCGCGGTGGCTCATGCCTGTAATCCCAGCACTTTGGGAGGCCGAGGCAGGTGGATCACCTGAGGTCGGGAGTTCAAGACCAGCCTGACTAACATGGAGAAACCCCATCTCTACTAAAAATAGAAAATTAGCCGGGGTAGTGATGCATGCCTGCAATCCCGGCGGCATTACAGGAGGCTGAGGCAGGAGAATCGCTTGAACCCAGGAGGCGGAGGTTGCGGTAAGCCGAGATCGTGCCATTGCACTCCAGCCTGGGCAAAAAGAGCGAAACTCCCTCTCAAAAAAAAAAAAAAAAAAAAAAAAAAAAAAAGACACACAGAGACACACACACAGAGAAGAAGGCCATGTGGTGATGGGGGCAGGAATTAGAGTGAGGCAGCTGCAAGCCAAGGCCCTCCGAGGATCGTGGCTCTCCTCAGAAGCTAAGAGACAGGCATGAAATTCATTCTCCCTCCAAGCCTTCAAAAGGGTGTTCAACCTTGTTGAAACCTTGATTTCAGACTTCTAGCCTCTAGGAGTGTGAGAGAATACATTTCTGTTGTTTTAAGCTACCCAGTTTGGGTTCCCCACAGAACACCCATTGCCATTGAGTGGGATCTTAGTATTCAGTGGAAAAGTGTTTGAGAAATGCTCACACAATGTTTGCAGTTTTCCTAGGACTCATACTCATCATCTCTGATCCATAACAACAACCTTTTGGGGTGGTCATATCGGGCTGTTCACTTCTACCTAAAGATAAAGAAGAGTCAGAGAGGCTTACTCACTATCCAGAGCTTTATGGCTTCTTTGCTTTCTTAGGGCAGTGCTAGGAACCTAATATAGTAGCCATTCTATAAGTCGAGTTACCTTATCTAGCCATGCAGATACCGCAGTTACATAGGCTCACTGACACGTATGCACACAGGTGCGTCTACAGCAGGCTTGAGTGTTTAGGTTGAGTGGTATGTGGTTGAGGTGTAAGTGAGCAGACAGGCAGGTTGGTGTCAGAAGCTGGGAGCTGCAGGGAACAGAGTAGGTAGATGGTGAGGTGAGTGAGCGTGTATGTTGTGTAAGAGGAAAAATGGAACTGTCAGACTTCAGGATGCTGTTACCAGATATATCTTCTCTATTTTTAAATGTGAGCATGCCACCCTCTTTTTGTGGACCAGCTAATAGGTACTGCTTTGCTTTTGTTATTGTTTTGTTCTTGTATTTTGCTTTAGTCTTTTCCTCGTAGATAATGTTTGGTGAAAATGGCTTAACCCTACCTGTGACACCCTGCCTTAATTCTAAGTTTTCTTCTAATGTTGCTTGCAATTTGCCAAATACAGTTTTACTGAGAAAGTGAATGAATTGAGTTAGAGAGGCCATGTGATATGAGAGTTGGAGGATTGGAGGGCAAGAGCTTCACAGATCCAGAGACAAAAAGATCTAGATAAAAATGCAAGTTCTGCTCTGCCTTTCTGAGCCTCAGTTTCCTCTGTAAAATAGTGGTGATTAAATCTACCTCTCAGAATCAGTAGAGGGATAAAATCAGTTAACAAATGTTTGTATTCATTTTCCTCCTCTTCTGTACCTACTATGGTTCAATGTCATGGAGCTGAACAAGCTAATTAGCAGATTTGGTTGGACTTTGGCTTAACAAGGCCTTATATTTGGGATGATTCCAACACTAAGACTCTTATGGCTTCACCTGTCATTTTGCTGCTGTGTGTAGCATCCATATTCTTACCAAGTCATGACTGCGGACAACTGAGTGGGACAAATCAAAGTAACCCATTCTGTGATCTCATCTCACAAGCTGTGTCTTCTTATTGGTGAATCAGAAGCCTCATCATTGTCTGTAACGGGGTATCACAATATTTGCTCACAGGAATGCTGGTCATGTCCTTAGATTCTTGGAAGAAACTTTCAAGAAGAGTACAAGGGTCATAGCTTTCTGCCCTATTTGAAGGAAACTTTCAGCTTTCTGCTGTTTAAAAATGAAAATGATTTTGAGCCCAGTTACACCTTGTCTGTTTCATCTCAGGAAGAATGAGCACCAGGCAGCAGCTTGTGAAAATGCTGGTTCCCATGCATCTGTGTGTGTGGGTGAGAAGATGAGGCAATCAGAGCCCGACATGCATTACTGGGGACTTTCTGGCCATCTGCGTATTCAGGTCTAGCTGGTGTGTAACATGGAGCACCAGCATTGGACTTAGAATGCACCAAGATCTGCCTGCATGTTGCTCCTGCTCTGTCAGCCTCAAATGCCAGTTGTCTGGCACAGCAGACTCATGATCTGCACCCCAGATGGCAGTTTGGCTGAGCTGGGTGCAGGCTGTCAGAGGGAACCACGTGTGTGGCAATAAAGCCCAGGAGGCAAAGCCCGCTCTCTGAGTTGTTTGGGTGCCAGCCATTCTCTGCCAGGGGCCTTTTTCACCATTAGGATATTGAGGATCTAATGAATCAAGATGACTCATGGAAAGTGTGGCCATCAACAAAAATAAGAAAAGAATTTTCACAGACACACTGTCTGCTACTGAGTTCCTAGTCAGTGGATATGAGAGAGGGAGAGAGTGGGGTGCTCTCAGTGGCAGAAGTAATGTCACCCTTTAGGTGTCTGGCCTGATAGCTCAGCATTTCCAT
Source organism: Homo sapiens (assembly GCF_000001405.40). NCBI lineage: Eukaryota > Metazoa > Chordata > Mammalia > Primates > Hominidae > Homo > Homo sapiens. The sequence continues at coordinate 137,670,469 of NC_000007.14, read as the reverse complement.
GAGATCGTTCACGTGCACACTTAGTGTCTGGCACATGGTAGACCCTCAGGACATGTTAGCCATTGTTACTATGACAACTGTCATGGGGATCGTTATAATTTGGTACCAAGTGCTGTCTGTATATTAAAGGAGAATCTAGTGCTGATACTGCTCACTTCATGTAATGGGGATAGTGATAGTATATGTAGGCTATGAAGCCAAGGGATCTTTAGGATTCTGTCACTTCTAGGTGACCCTGGATCAATAGTACCATTGTCTATTTGCACAGCCCATTTTCTTTTGACCCAAAATTGTGTTCTGGAGAACACTAAACTCAAAAGAAAACAATATACGGCATTATACATTAAAAGGAGCTCATGACCATAAATTTTGAAAACACTGAATGACTTTAATATGCAAATAGGTCCTGTGAAGCTCAACGAAGCATATAAGGTATGCAGGATTTCCTACTTTTTTTTTGAGTGGATGGGAGGATTGTGGAACCCATAATTTCCCCACAGAACACCCATTGCCATTTTGTAGGATCTTAGGAGTCAGTGGAAAAGTATTTGAGAAATGCTCACACAATGCTTTGCAGTTTTCCTAGGACTCATACTCGTCTCTGATCCATAACAACAACATTTTGAAGTAGTCACATTGGGTTGGGTTGTTCACTTCTACCTAAAGATAAAGGAAAAAAAGAGTCACAGAGGCTTACTCACTCTCTAGAGCTTTATGACTTTTTTCTATCTTTGTGCAGTTCTTTTGCCTTTATACTAAACTTTCATTAAGCCAAAATGCATGTGTCTTATTTTATTCTTAGAGTTTGAACCTCTGAGAATAATTGTCATCTTTTCTGTCATGACAATTTTAGATTGAGGCTGCATTTGCGTGTTTGTGTAAGGGTGTGTGTTTCTGTGAAGCAGTTCTGTTGTTATTGGATATTGTATGGTCCTGTTACCTAGTAATAAAAATAATTTGCATCTGATTTAGCATAAGGCTTACATGTTACCTAGGCAATGCCCAGGTGTACAGAAATGGTTTCTCTTCTTGCAATGTTTTCCAGGGGCAGGGACCCACAGTACTGGGGTTTAACCAGTATTCCTGTTGCTTAGAGGCACTCAATCTTGATGGAAGCATTATTTGCATTATCGGTTACTCCAAAACCACTACTGGCCCCCAAAGTTGGTATTGTCTCTGTTTGTTAGGAGCTTGTTGTTGTTGTTCCCTGCCACATTGATGAGGTGGATACATATTCAGAAGGTGATGCTTTAAAAACACGAGGAAATGGAAAATCCTGCATTGATGCCTTCATTTAAGGGGGTGCAGGTAATGTGTTGATGAAGCGTGTGAGCTTTGGAATCAGATGACCTGGTTTTGAATCCTGATTTCCAGGCTTTGAGTTGTGTGACACTGGTCCTTGTTTTAACCTCGTTAAGCCTAAGTTTTACATCTGGAAAATGGGATTATACTGCTTCTTGTGGTTGTTGTGAAAATTAAAAGAGTTAATGCATATATAACAGCAGGCTGGCAAATCACAGGCACTCAATAAATATTGACCACTATAATCATTCCTCCTTGAATGAAAGTGGTTCCAAGAAACAGAGCCAAAAGAGACAACTCAGAGTACTAGGTTTGGAGAGTCTTAGCATCACCTACTACCTCTGTTTCCTCGAGGAAAGTTAAGGACTGAGCTTGTGAGGTGAAACAACTAGCCTAGCTGACAGTCAGGCTCTCCCTCCCCTCTTGCTCCTTCACCATTCTGTCAACCTTTTACAGCACACACCACTTACTAGCTATCATACTTTTAAAAATTGCTCGCTTATTTATCTGTCTCCAACACTACAGCATAAGCTCCATTTAGCTCAGGAACTCTGCCCTTGTTGTCCTCTCCTGTATTCCCCACACTGAGGATAAGTGATTGAACTGAATAGTTACCCTGTGTTACTTAACATTGAATGAATGAATGAGTTCAATGAGGTGCTTGTTGAGAGAGAGACACATACACACACAGACACCTGTCACCAGATCAACCCTGCCATTTAAGTATTGTTATATTTATAATCCAGGACGTCTGAATTCCTGCCTCCTTTTTAAGACTCTTTAGAGGGAGATTTAACACATGCAGGTAGCTGACTTGTGTAAGGTTTTATGCCCTGTTTAGCCAGTGCCATGCCTTTTGCAGTGCATTTTATTTCATTCTCGTGGAGAACAGAGACTGCTTTTTGCCATCTTGGCACAGGGGGTCATGTGTGGTTGTCATTAGTCAGTTCCCCTAGGGATCTCATGAGAACAGATCATATGAAGCAATCACGTTAAATATCATATTTCTTATCTATCCTCATCAGTCTTGGTCCCCCAGGTTACCACTAGCAAAGAAAAGAGGAAAACAGTAAGCTGTAACACATAGAGATGGCTTTGGGTTAGAAAGACTTCCACTCTTAGCTAGTCTTTCTTGGGCAAGTTGCACAGTCTCATAGGGTCTCAGTTCCCTTAGCTGGGTAAGTCGTACCTACTTGGCATGGCAGAAGTGAGCTCTGTTTACAGTGTGGGTAATGTGTATATTACACAGCTAGCCTCCTGGCAAATCTCTGTGGGTATGATGTCCTCATTAAAAAATGAAATGGGCGGGTGTGTATGTGTCAGTGAAAACATTACCAACTGGAGGTACAGTGTTGAGTAAACAATGACTGAGATGTCTGTGGGTCTTCCTGGACTAGATTGGCTGGAAGACTGCCTTAATTATGTCACCAAATAGCTTGGAATGTGAAAAATGGCAGTGAAAGGATAACTAACTTACCACAGCTTGATATCGCTTCTTAACTAGAAATACAGTATTCCATATCAAAGCAAATATCTCTAAATTTTTGGTTAGAAATATTAAGCTGTGAACTTTAAGAAAATAATTCTATTTCCACAAAGTAAACTGATAATGGAAACATGTCAGGATTCATAATACAAGTAAGATGGTGTTTATGGTACTGTCACACCAGCAAGGACTGAAAAAGGCAAAGTGTTTGGGATTTCCTAGTTTATACTAAGGCTCAAATCTCTGCTGTACCCGTGATATGCTACCTCAGAACTAGAGAAAGCCACCAAGACATAGAAACACCATTTTCTATTAACTTGTTTTGTTATGACTTCTGTAATATGTCTAGCCCATCTTCACTCAAGTCTGTCTGCTTGAAATTTGTGAATGCACATGGGTGTGTATGTGTGTAGGGCTCTAATGGTATGAATTTCTACTTATTAGTGTCTGTGTACCTGTAATTATATTTATATCCATATTTGCGTGCATATCAATCCTTCAATTACTCTACTATAAGACACCTGGCAACTTTGACCTGCTGGCACAAATAATAACCTTGAAGAGCGTGTAAAAATATGACAAGGAACAGCCACAAAACCACCTGTAAAGAGCCAAAATCAGGAAGATTGCATCTGATGAGTTGAAACTAGTGACCGGCTGTGGTTGTATACTGACTTCTAAGCTGAGAAGCATAGAAAAACAAATGGGGAAAAAGAAATAAGAGAAAAGAGAAGCAGGCAAATTTTAAAGAAGCAGAAACAAGAAACAAGGGCAACAAAGTACAGAGAACTTCAATAATAAGAATGATGAAATATGAAGTGTCCTTGGGTAAAATGAGAGCCAGGGTGGGAAACAGAATTATGGATTTTTAAGGATTTCTTCAAGTTCATTAGGCTGGAACCCTTTTTAATGTATCATGAGCATGAGGGAAGAGGCAGAAGGAATACCTGAGCTGCCCAGTAATCTAGATGGAGGGGCACAGTGAGTATCATTCCCCATGACTCTCCGCCTGGCAACTCTGAGGGCATCAGTTTGTTAGTATCATTTGATTAGACTTGTGCAAACCCATTCAAACTTATCAGGCCCTTCGCCATGCTTGTTATAAAGACTGGCTGCAATATTTGTTTTATATCTCAATAACTGTGCCTGAATTGTAAGAAGATTTCCAAAAGATGGTGGCAGTACGCGATAGTCACCCAAATGAATTCCAAGGTGTAGACTTCTCCTAAGATTCACGTCGTAGCTTTCTGTTTTTTTGTTTGTTTGTGTGTTTGTTTTAGAGACAGAATTCTGCCATGTCACCCAGGTTGGAATGTGGCGATGTGATCCTGGCTCACTGCAGCCTCAAACTCCTGGGCTTAAGTGATCCTACTGCCTCAGCCTCCTGAGTATCAGGGACCACAGGCTTGCTGTAGATTTCTGTTGAAGCCTATCAGAGAAACTTTGTGCCTATCACTTTCTTCTCATTAAAAAGAAGTATTAAATCCACTAACATAAGTCACATTTAACCATTTAAGAGTGTGATTTGGTACAAATTTTAGTTTAAGGGTAAACTGTTGAGATACAGACATGTACCTTTTTCCTCCCTTAAAAAGAATCCTGTACTGTTCTGACTGTAGTTTTTACCAAACTTAATCCAGTGCTCAAAACACGATGGATGTATCATTCTTTGTAACCAGTCATGAACGTTAGCTTTGAATTAACGCAATCCTAGCAATTTGGTTCTTACCAAATTGTTTCTCCTATGAGCCCCGATTGGCTGCTTCTCAGGAAGAGGAAAGGTTTTTTGTGTGTCTTTCTAGTTCTTATATTCAGCTCACAGTCTTTTTTTTCCCTTGGCTTTCTGCTGTAAGATTTTGGTTTTCTTTCCCTTCAGATGAAAAATATAAAATACACTGGCTATCTGGGAAATAGACAACTTTTTCTTTCTGGTTCAAACAACAACACACAGGCACTGCTCTTCTTTCTCCCTGTAGGTCTCTCGGGAGGTCATGGAATTGAGCCTGCCTAGGTGGGGTTCAGCCTAGTATCTAGAATCTACCTGCACATCTGAGGTTACTCAGGGGAGGTGCTAGGAACATCAACATAAACACTTCATATGCAGAATGCTTCTGATAATGTGTTTCTCAGAACAGAACAAAACACGCTGTTCGAAGAGCATCAAGTGAGTTTTCCTGCGGTACTCGAGAGGCAATTCCAACCATAATAGAGCATGAGACTGTCAGGTATGCTGTCAGCCCAGCATACACATGAACAGCAAAGCTGCCCAAGGGGTAGGATTGAAGCCCTCCTGAGCTGCTGATGATTCTACTGAAATACTTAAGGACAAAATATAAGGAATTCACACTGACCTTAGTGGAGGCTGGTGTGGGGCTGGGAAGAGGGCTGTGTGCTCTCAGTCACTCTTGTGCCTCTGCCTTTCCTTTTTGTTCCATTCTTGTCACTCCAGTTCAGGCCCCCATCACCTCATACGGGAAATTATCACTGTGACCCTTGAATTTCTTATTCTCTTTCAGGAAAAAAAGCCAGTGTCTTAACCACGACCTGCAACACAGCATGATCTGGCCTGCTGTTATCATCTGACCTCATCTCTACTCCCCAACACTGGCCCCCAGCCACTCCTTAGCATCCTGACATCCTCATGCCTCTGAGCTTTGCATGGCTGTGCCCTTTGCCTAGAATGTTTTTCCGCCAGATATCCACGTGGTGAACTCTCTCACTTCCTTTGGGTGTTTGTCAAAATATTCAGTGAAACCTTCCCTGGTCCACCTGTCTACAACTTCAATTTTCTGCTACTCTTGATGTTTCTTATCTCCCTTTCTCTCTTTAATTTTCTTTTTAGTACTTATTTCTGTCAATATATTATATACTAATCTCTCTTGTTTGTTGTCTGTCTCTCACAGGAGAGTATAATTTCTATGAGATCAAAACAATTTTTCAGGGCTGGGCACGGTGTCTGATGCCTGTAATCCCTGGTTCTGTCTGTTTTCTCTCCACTCCTGCAACTGTTCCCAAATAAATATTCCAAGGTTTAACTAACCTGTAGACACAGGTGGCATCACATGAGCCGCAGTAATACAGATGCAACTGTTTTTAACTCTACGCAGTCTATGTAAGACCTCAGTCTTCTGCAAAATAGCCCTTCTATCAGATAGTCCTGTGGGTCCCCAGAAGATATCTGATTTGTGCTCACAAAAATATTATAGTTGTTCAGCTATAATTGTCATGCAGCCTCTATGCTTTCTTTTTCTTTTTCCTTTCCTTTTTTTTCTTTCTTTCTTTCTTTTTTTTTTTTTTTTTTTTTGAGATGGAGTCTTGCTCTGTCACCCAGCCTGGAGTGCAGTGGCACAGTCTCAGTTCACTGCAACCTCCACCTCCCAGGTTCAAGTGATTCTCATGCCTCAGCCTCCCGGGTAGCTGGGATTACAGGCGCCCGCCACCATGCCCAGCTAATTTTTTGTATTTTTAGTAGAGACAGGCTTTTGACACGTTGGCCAGGCTGGTCTTGAACTCCCAGCCTCATGTAATCTTCCTGCCTCGGTCTCCCAAAGTTCTGGGATTACAGGCGTGAATCACTGCACCCAGCCGCACTATTTTTTCCCTATTGTGGGCAGAGGGCTTCCATTCCTCAAACAGTCTGAGGGCACCTCATTACTGTTGCTTTTGGGATTGCTTATTACGAGAATGTCTATGTCCCGGTGGGGGTTTTGTCTCCTAATGTTTCCTAAGCCACCAATTCTCCAGACCGGGGCTGATTGAGGGTTAAGTGGGGAGGGAGCCCTATGTCAGAAGCCCTTTCTCCTTTCTTCCCTCCCCCTTTCCTTTCAGAATAACTGTGTCAGGCAGTGTTCTTGGTTCTCAGTGCTGGAATATAGCGGCATGGAAACACACAGAGAAATCTCCACCTCTCTGTAACTCTGTAATTTTGAACCCCATGGCTTCTGGGGCGTAGTTCTGTTTCCCCTTCTCATGAAGCTCCTCATAGACAGCTCCTCTGGCTTCTTAACACAGCCAGTGTACCTACTTCCCAGGTTTGAGGGCTGCCAGCAACCCCCAGACACACCGTTCAAACCTCCACACTCAACCACCAGCCCTGAGCCCAGTGACTCCTGTACATAGACACCCAGGAGCCCAGGAATTGTCCCGCAGTGGACATGCCAAAGCAGGTCTCCATGCCTTTTCAGAGGCGTCGGTGCCTACTACGTAAAGAGACTTCAGATCTTTTTCCTGCTGGAATGCCTTTGATTTTTTTGAATATACATATTTTAAGCCCAAATTAAAGAATTTGCTTTCTCTGCTAGACCCTTTTTACTGGTTCAGCCTCAGATTTTGCCCTCCTCTAGGTGACAGCTTTTCTTGTCTGGGCTGTTGTTGAGCATGTCGCCATGTGTGGCTCTCTCCTGTGAATGGCCTTTTCTACCAAGTTCCTCTTGTCTCCTCAAGTAGCTTGCCAGCTCTTGCAAGGACAGAAGCTTCCTCCTGTTTATATCCTGTACAGCACTCACATAGTCTTATACACATAGTGATGGTTAAAATAATTGGTGGACTGAATTTCCATAAATATATTCTGGAAAAGTCAGCAGTAACAGATTGTTTCAGCCATATGGAATCTTCTCTTATGTAGGATAACTCAAACCATCATGATTCCAGATACCCAGCATCTACAGATTCAGGAGTATTGGTGTATATCTGAGCATTGCATGAGTATTTTGGTGTATCCTTTGTAAGAGTCTCCAACCCAACTTCTAGTTGTTCCTACTGCTTTTCTTCCAGATATTCTGAGATACTTTTGGCACCATCCCTTATCAAGGGTGTTGGTTGTTGGGGGCTATCTCAGAAGGTTTCAGCCTTTACCAAGTCCTTGTCTGTCCACAGATCACATTGCACAAACACATGGAGTCTTTACAAATGAAGGCCTGCCCTCCAACATGGGCCAACACTACTCAGGGTCTGGGCTGGGACCTTTTAACATGGAGTGAGGTCTCTCTGCAATTGAACCTCTAAGGAGAGGTCTGAGTTTCCACTCGGGTCACAGACTCCTCCGGACATGTGGCATCTTTGCTCCTTGGTCTGGAATCATGAGATCCTGTTGTCATAGACAGAATGAGTGATATACTGAGGATAAAAGAAGTGTGCTGGGGCCGGGCGCGGTGGCTCACGCCTGTAATCCCAGCACTTTGGGAGGCCAAGGCAGGTGGATCACGAGATCAGGAGATCGAGACCATCCCGGCTAACACAGTGAAACCCCGTCTCTACTAAAAATACAAAAAATTAGCCGGGCGTGGTGGCGGGCACCTGTAGTCCCAGCTACTTGGGAGGCTGAGGCAGGAGAATGGCGTGAACCCGGGAGGCAGAGCTTGCAGTGAGCCGAGATCCCGCCACTGCACTCCAACCCCGGGCAACAAAGTGAGACTCTGTCTCGAAAAAAAAAAAAAAAAAAAGGAGTGTGCTGGAACTTCAGCCGGCCACCCTCCTGGCTTGTCCAAAATGTTCTATATTCCTTTGAAGAAAAAGGGAAGCCTGCATGAGTGATGGTGGAGGTCGGGCTTTGGCCCTGAAATCATATTAATGGAACTTTCAGATAATGTCATTCTTCATTTTTCCTAATGCCAATTTATAGATTGCATCCCAGACTCCCCAGAGAAGTAGAATTTGCCAAATATGCTTGTCATTTCTTCTAATTAGGTTTTTAAATAAATCAAAGAACTCTTGTTTTCATTTACCTTGGATTATACAGCAACAATCTTGTTGTGTATGTTGCCAGAGAGACAATGCCTACTGAGAGGACACCAGATTCCTGACATTCTAAGAGCTTAGGAAGGTTCCTCCCCTCCACTTTCCTAAGCATTCCATTAGCCCCGCCATTGAAGAGGAGGAGAGGACAGTCCTGCCTGGGCTGCATGGCGCCTCCTTCCTACCCATCTCCAAGATGCTGCTGTGGACCGGGCTTTGTGGTCTAAAAGGGAAGGAGAAGGGGGAGGAGGAGAGCACTCTCCTGGCCTCTCTTGCAGTTTCCCCTTTGCTTGATTTTCAGCCTTCCCTCGGTTTCTAGTCCTCGGGGTGAATCTTCCCATCTAGGAGGCTAAGGGGTAGAGAAACCATGGGGGAGAAAGCTGGGAGGCAGCTGGGGGTAGGCCTGGCCCAGCAACCTCCTCTGTCCTTCTCCTTGGCTTCTCACCATGTGGCCCCCCTCTGGCCCTTTCCCCAGCATGCCCCATCTGCCCCCTTATGCACTCACAGTATTGTTGGTTTCTGCCTGAAGCCCCTTTCCTGGCTGTCATCCCTTTGCTCACTGTGGCCTCATAGCTGGTGATTCCTTGCATTACGTCTGGGAATTCTGGAGTGAGGTGCCATGAGCTCAGACTTTGCCCTGGTGTTTTTGGTCCTGCAGCAGCCTCTGGCCTCTGAGCTCCTCTGAGATGGGGAGACTAAGAACCGGTTGCCATGCTGGCTCTTTTCCTACTGCCTTCCCCATGTCCCATCTCTGGTGATTCCACCTGTCGAGGTGGGCAAGCTCAGTGGGAGCTCTTAGGACCGCAGTAGAAGCTATGTAGTCAGCAGGCAGTGCAGTTGGCCCCACTGCAAGAAGAAATAAAGCTTGCCGTGTGCCTCATTCAGAAGGGGACAGCCAGCCTTGTTGTACCTGCTTCCTGGGTGTCAAACTTCTGACAATTGGGAATGACAGATATTTAATTTTACTTACCTTGGGCAGCAAAAAGGCCCCAATCCTTTTATAGATCATGGGCCTGTGAAAGTAGCTAACCCCAGGCCCTGAAGGACCCACCCCTCTTCTCCTTTCCTCCCCTCTCCTCTCCCTTCTCTCCTACCCTTTCCCGTCTTTTCCCCTTCCCTCTTTTTCATCTTTATTTTTCATCATCTTTCCCATCCTTCCTTTCCTGTTTTTCTCCATCAAACTCTCTCAACTCCCACCAGATATTCATTGTTACTTAGCAGAAATCACATATCTTGCTCAAAGGAAGAAAAAAAATAGCTTTCTTGGTACATATAGATCAGGGACTTAGGCAAGGGAGGTAGTTGGGTGGGATAGGATTCAATATTAATCTCTTTATTAGGGACAATTGTATACTCTCTACCACTGCCTGCCACTGATGCCTCTGTCCTCCTCAATCCCCATTCCCTGCTCCAGTGGTCTAAAGCTGTGACAGTTTTTCTCCCTTGCCTGCTATGAGCTGAAGATTGGTGGAGAGCTGTCACTACTTTCAATGCCAGCAGGGCCTGCAGCATGGGAAATATGTAGGATGTGTTTTCTCTTATAACCACTGTATGGCTGCTGGTGAGATCATGCCCACCATCCTAAAACCTAGCATATATATTATTGTGTTGTTATTTAAGTAAATGTTGGTCATGTTTTTATTAGAACAGTGTAATATAATGGACTGTGATCTATACTGTATTCCATATTGTCTTAGTTTAAACGGATATGTTCCCCCCTCTGCCCACCCCGTACCACACACCTACAAATAAGTTTCTTTTGAATACCAACACCAGCAAAATCAGGAAACCCTTAGTAAGGGTGCTTAGGTGCTGTTTGATATTTAAGGCAGTAAGCTCAACTGGCCTTTAAATTCATTGATGAGAGCAAATTATTGTTTTTTAAATAATTTTAATTTTTAAACATGTTTCATGTTCTAGGCAATATTTGTTTAAATTATGTTTTTGTGCTAGGTTCTATAACAACTGTGTCCCAATGTAAGGAATAAGAGGTAACCTACTGAATGCTTCTTTTTTGAGATGGAGTCTCGCTCTGTCGCCCAGGCTGGAGTGCAGTGGCGCGATCTCGGCTCACTGCAAGCTCTGCCTCCCGGGTTCACGCCGTTCTCCTGCCTCAGCCTCCTGAGTAGCTGGGACTACAGGTGCCCACCACCATGCCTGGCTAATTTTTTTGTATTTTTAGTAGAGACGAGCTTTCACTGTGTTAGCCAGGATGGTCTCGATCTCCTGACCTTGTGATCCGCCCGCCTCAGCCTCCCAGAGTGCTGGGATTACAGGCATGAGCCACTGCTCCCGGCCCCTACTGAATGCTTTTAAGTGACTTTTCTTGGTTTAATTTATCACCTTTCGTAGAGAAGTAAGCACTGGCTCATATAAGTTATTTGGGAAAAAGTGAATATTTGTAGTATTTAGAATGTCCAGATTCCTGCATCTTACCTTTGTGTATAGCTGGGAACTTAAAAATGAAAAATTGCAACCTAACTAAGCACAAAATTCTAGGTGTTTTGGGCAATTTCTGTCCGGAAGCTTATTATCCAACTACTTCAAATAACTTTAACCAGTTGAAATGTAGTCATACACCGTGAAGTCAGTGATTAAAATTTCCGATTTGCTAAAACAGTTTCCCTCAATTAAGGAACTAAAAATCTATTTACTTTTCTACTATGGCAAAAGACCTGGGACCTTTATTCAGAATTTATTTACTTAATTTTACATATGATTGTAAACTGTAATTATCTGATTTCTCAGATTAAAAGCTGTTGAGAAGCTGCCATTTAGGAAATTGAGAGCAACAAAAGACAGCAACACTGACTCAAAAGGAGCTCTACCCAAACAGAAGGACAGGAAAGAGAAAAATGACTGTTCTTTGTACAGTGCATCATGTTGTAGTCTTTATGAAGAAAAATTTAGAATATGGTTTATATATTCTGCCTCAAAAGGCACATAAGTTCATAATATATTTTAAGAGGATCTTTTAAAAATCAATATAGTTCAGTTAAAATCAGTTTTAGAACTTACAGCACTCGACTCCATATATTATCATCTGCGGAACGTTGCACTTCAGTTTTTCCATATGAATGATGTTAGTGCATTTACATGACGTTCCAGAAGGCTGAGAGATAGCATATCTTAATGCACCAGTTCTCAAATTCTTCTAGCCCAGATCCCTTGTGCAAAAGATGTTTTGACTCAGAATCCTGATTTGTAAAACAAAGGAGGAGGCATTGCATTTCATTGAATGCATGAGGCTTCCTGAGTTTTCTCCGCATCTTCCTTCCATCTTCAGTGACTTTCGTAACAGACTAAGAAATCCCTGGAACTCCATAGAACTTAATGCAGAGCGTAGTGTCAAGCACGAAGCTAGACTAGGACAGGAGTTATTGGCAAGGAGGGAGGCTTTTCAGGCATCCTTAAATCACAGCCTGTAAGTGGTTGCCTACCTGTGGTAATATTGCATTGCTTATCCACAATGTAATTTACTAGGAGTTTCATGGGAAATGAATAGACTAAAATCAACTCCAGTTTCCTTTGTGTCGCTATAACTCTGATTAGCAATGTGACTCAAATGCCCCATGCATTTTCCACAGGTGGTGCCAAAGCAGTGATTCGCACCAGGATATCCATAGGAAACAGAAGGGAAACCATGATTTGCTTATGGGTGCTCTACCCTGTAGAGCAAAATAGAATTTTTTGATTGTCCTTTTGATTGCTACTGCTGTGTTACTACGATTACTACTGTATGTTTTCTTGTTCCTCCCCCTCCTTCTTTTTCTCTTCTTCTTTTCTTTTTTAGTAGTAGAACAAGACACTGTTCAGTAGTGTAGCTAGATGCTTTGGTTTCTTTTATCATTGTTATGTGCAAAAGCAATTGTCAAATGTATTTCATGTGCTACACCATGTTCTTCCCTCAGGAAGAGGAAATCCGAGAGTGATAAAAGCATCTGCAAGCAGAATAAAGGAATCTCAGTCAGTGGATTTCTTCTACAAGTTTCATGGCAGCGGTACTGCAGTGTTTTAGGTTCTTTGTTGGTGGCTGATAATGTGTAAATACCCCATGTTGAATGAATGCAGCTGTCCAAGACCTATGAGGCTGCATTTTCTTTCCTAATCCTACCCCTCCAAAGTGGTGGTTTGCAGCTCTTCAAATCTCTGGCCGCAGCAATGCTTTATTTCTTCTCACCTACCTGACACAGTTGACTCAAAAATTATACCTCAGCAGGGGAAACCACTCCTCGGAAGGGGAAGGTTGCCAGCAATCTCTAAGAGGACAGGAACTCAGGACCTTTCACACTTGGATGCTTTGATAGCCCATCTGACAGACAGGCTTAGTTATAGTACATTTCTTTCAGGCTCAAACACAGAAATTATTCATACAAATCCTCCTTCCAGTCTGTCCTTTATAGAGAGGGCTGAACTTTCCTATCTTAGATCCTGCATGACACTGGCAGTCATGAAATGTAGATTCTGCTCATTCATCTCTCTCCATGCAGTCCATTTTTTATCATTAGAGAAAAAGATAAACTTTAAAAAGTTTTATTTCATTATAATTTTAAACTAATACTGACTGTCAGAGAGGCCGAATTGTGTAATGCTTATAAGCATGAGCTCTGAAGCCAGACCACTTGGCCCTGCTGTGCCTTAATTCACTGACCTTGGGCAGTTTTCTCATCAGTGAAATGGAATTAAGAATAGGGCCTGTTTCATAGGGTTGTGAGGGTTAAGTGAACTACCATTTGTGAAGTGCTTATAAGAACAGATAGCAAATACTATATTCCTATTAGCAGCGTTTCCTGCTTTTGTTGCTATTCTTATTATTGTTTCCTGGGCGTAAAAGCTGAACTTGCCTTCCTTTACTTCTGGAAGATTTGGGCAGAAACCGAAGTAACTTAGTCTAGACTCATGCCTGGGATAGAAGCCTAAAATGACTGGCCCCTGGAAATCTAGACTCTTTGGCAATAGGGAAAGAATGCCTGTTTTCAACTTAGATCTGAGTTTGGATGTTGGTCTTGCCCCTTAGCTACTTGAGTGATAATGTAGAAAATATTTTAAAATGGAAGAGAATAATGCCTATATTGTAAGGTTCTGAAACTTAGAAATGACAGAACAAAGAGCCAGTTCTTGTTATATGCTCAAAATATTGGAGCTATTATTATTATTATTTGAAGAGACAATCTAGCCCACCCTAAATCATGCAGATGTGGAGCTACTTGGTGAGTGCAGAGACTGTTGATAAAGTTTGTCAGTTTATTCAATATTTAAGATGAAGTTTTAAATTTGCTTTGTAATAGAAATAATTACAATGTTTGCTGTATTTATGTATTTATTATATATGCCCACTTTAATACTAGGGAACTCTTCAGAACAGACTGTTAACATTTCTTTTTTGTCTTTTGAATTGAATATTGTAGAAATCAGCTCTCAGGAGGAAGTGTGCAGTCTGTAAAATCGTCGTCCACACCGCCTGCATTGAGCAGCTAGAAAAGGTAAGAGCGCGCCCCCTGCTGCAGTTTTGTTACATTGCAAGTATTTGGTCTTCAGAGGCCCGGTGTAAATTTCCAGTTCCAACTTTTTGAAAACAATGCCCTTAAAAAAAAGCTGGAAGTCCAACATTATTACCAGATTACTAATGGAAAGACAATGTTTAAGGGTCGTTCACTCTCTTGTTTGCTGAAGTGTAATTTGATATCATTTTACGTTGACTCTTGGGAAAAGGAAGAACACAGTTAGATGGAAAAGCCTGGTGTGCACTGATTCTCTTATTATATCATCTCAGTTCAAGCATTACTATCCACCCATAGGCTGTTCCACAAGCTGTTTAAGAAGGAAGAAGTTCTATAAGCTGTTTATAATTGTTGTTCACATATATCTGACTTGTGTGGTTTACGTCTTCCTAAAGTGCCTGCAAGGGAGCGAGCCACGCTGGAAGCCGGCTCTCACTCTGCTGGGGCAGTGCTCCTCCTGTTGCTGCTCAAATGTGTGGGTGGGGCTGGAAGTGACATCCCGGTGGTGGTGTGCCTCCAGAATCAGTGGATTCGGCAAAGTCCATTTATTTGTCATTTAGGGGATGGGAAAGGCTCCAATAGTGAGTTGCCTGCCATCCTCTTTCCTTTCACACTTCCCACTACATTTTAATGTGTGTGTTTCTCTGTGTATTATCTATGTTCTTGAGCTGTCATGGGTAAATGCATTGAAATATTTTAGTCCCCCATGACATTCATGTAGTTTCACTGACATGACCAGTTGATCCTAGCTGATATCTTGTGGCAATGACTACCAACATGTTATCTTAATATTTTCTTTTCTGCCCCAACTTCACTTACTCATCTCTGCCTTCATTCTTTTGCTCCTTTCACTTTATCGAGTAGCTAACCGAAATGTCAATGTGCCTACTAGGAGACCTCCACATCTAAAAGAAAAGCAGTGCTGAATCCTTTTATAAAGAATAACTCTGGGCTGGGTGTGGTGGCTCATGCCTGTAATCCCAGCACTTTGGGAGGCCAAGATGGGTGGATCACGAGGTCAGGAGATGGAGACCATCCTGGCTAACACGGTGAAACCCCGTCTCTACTAAAAATACAAAAAATTAGCCAGATGTGGTGGCACGCACCTGTAGTCCCAGCTACTCGGGAGGCTGAGGCAGGAGAATTGCTTGAATCCAGGAGGCGGAGGTTGCAGTGAGCTGAGATCACACCACTGCACTCCAGACTGGGTGACAGAATGAGACTCCATCTCAAAAAAAAAAAAAAAGAATAACTCTGTTGTCTTTGAATAATTGTCATAATACTAAAAAAACTCAAGTTTATATTTTCTACTTTTACAATCAGAAACCCAGCTGGGTAGTTTAAGCTGCCAGTATCTTTCCTCTGGCTCTTTCTTATCTCAGTTTCTCAAATTTATGGTGTAAGAGCATTATCGTTTAAAGATACTTAGATTTGATTTGTGAGAATGAAGGAAAGGGGTTGGAGATATAGAATCACCTGGGATCTCTGTTGATTATCTAATGTGATGATTTCAAAAGACTAAGAAGAGTATTATTCCTTGTTCTTTGGAGGTTTTGCTTTTCAGTCTCAATATCTGTCACTGTTTTTTTTTTTTTCAGGTAATTCAGTCTAGTCTGATGCTTATCTCTAATATAATATACTTTTCTTTTTGAATGACAGATTAATTTCAGATGTAAACCAACATTTCGAGAAGGAGGCTCAAGGTCACCAAGAGAAGTGAGTATTTCAGAGCTTGATTTCAAGTATCACCTTTGATTTCTCATTGATTCAGTGGATTCATAGATATTCACCAGGGAATAAAAAATAAATTCTATCTCTTTCTGTTGCATGCCAATTTTTTGTTAACACATCAATAAGCACAATCAATAAAATCTTCAAGTCTTTTCAACATGTGCACACTGGACTTTATTCTCATAAAATGTACTGGGGAGTTTAAGGTCTTACCAAATGAACCAGAGACTAGAGGAAGGTGGTAGTGATAGAATTGAAGGGGTAAGAAAGAAATAGACTTTTATTACTTATTTATTTGGAGACAGAGTGTCGCTCTGTTGCCATGTGTTCTGGTTGATTTTAAGTGCATTTTTCAATTTTGAGTGGGTATAAGCCATTCATGGGGCAGCACAGTAACTGGTTATTCCTATGAGCCCTGGAGTCAGACGGTCTGCTTTCAAAACCAGCCTTGATGTGTGTGATCTTGGGCGTCTCACCTAAGCTCTCTAAATCTCAGTGTTTTCATTTGTTAAGTAAAAAATAAATACATCATAAGCTAGAACTATATTCAGTTCTCAGTCCCTGACCCTCCAGTCTGGTCGTGAAGATAAACAGGTAAAGAGGAAGTTAGAATGAAGAGTTGTTACTGATGTGTTAGTGGGAAGCAGAGGTATGACAAGAGGAGACAGCACTTATTTGTTCACATTTTATTTAGCAGAGACAGCAAGCACAGTTCAGGCAAGAACCCTCCTGTGTTATTCTGGACAGTTAAGCTCCAGGCCCAAAATTGCACTCCCTAATCAGTGAAACAAAAGCCTGCAATGAACAGAACCTGTCCTCCTAGAATGTAGTTCAGCCTGCCCAGCAGTCACTCACTGCCTCCCAAACATTAGCATCTTATACGGTATCCTCCTTAAGACAAAGTCTGGTAAAAATGATTTCTGATAAGCATACTTTCTCAGGGAGACGAGGTTCAGTTCCACTTACAGATTTACCCCTTGGAAACCTCCCCAGCTGGTCTACTCCTCAGATCAGCTCTGTGTAGTAACAAATAGGAAAGAGAGGAGAGGGGTCAGAGAAGGGGCTTCCTGGAAGAGGCGGCAATTAAGCTGAGACCTTAAGGAGCTAACTAAGTTAAGTGAGAGGAGGGTGGTTAGGAGGTGAGTGGCAAGAGCCTTCCGGATAGAAAGAAGAGCACACAAGTCCAAGTGAGAGAGGGTGTACTGAGTAAGACATGAGATCTGAGATAGCAAGAGCTGGACCCTGAAGGTCCTTGTAAGCCATGCTGCAAGTTGAGTGTTTTATCATCAGGATAGTTGGGAGGTGAGCATTAAACTACTTTAAGCCAAATATTGTTCAGGCTGCAGCGTGGAGGAAATACCATGCAGTTCAAGAGTTGGAGGCATAGAGACAACTTTCAGAAGCCATGCTAGTAATCTAGGCAAGAAATAATGGTGACGTGAACTAAGAATAACGTTGGTAGATATGAGTTTGAAGGAAACAAAATTGACAGGATGTAGTAATTGATTGGATTTTGGACACAAGAGGAGCCCAGACTAAACCAAGCTACTGCTAAGTGCGCGCACGCGCGCGCACACACACACACACAAACACACATACACACACACACACACCTGAAAAACTGATTAGATGTTGGAAAATGAGTTGATTTGAGGATGGGCTGGGGAGGTAATGAGTTTAGTTGTAGAACTGTGAAGTGTGAGGTATCCCTGTTGTCCTCAACTGGAGATGCCCAATAGAAGGTTGAGTGGGTATATGAGTTTGGAGCTTATGAGGAAGACTGGGCTGGAGGTCAGGCATTGTGAGTCATCAGCCTATTTACACAGTAATGAAAGCTGTGGGAATAGATGAACGTGGAGAGTGGAAATAGGAGATATCTGAGAATCACAAACATTTAAAGAGAGTTGATGAAAAAAGACAACATGAATATGAATGCTATAATTGCTAGTGACAATGCAAAAGGATTGGGAGAACATGTGGAAAGAGAGTAGGTTGGGATGGAGGTTGTAGAAAGAGAAAACATAGTTGTCCCCATCAGTTGTCTTCTCCCATTGTGTTTGTGCAGCATGGCAGCAATAGGAAGGTTGTGGGCCATGCGCAGGGTGAGGAAAGCAGGAGAAGAATGATAGGGCTGTGGTGCCTCAGTGCCACCCAGAGTGCAGACAGTGTGGGCCAGAAGGTAATTCAGTGGTGACTCAATTGAAGGAGGTGCTTTATTTAGGAAACTAGAAGGGGTTGTTTCAAGTTAAGATGGAGTTTATGACTTTCCAACCAGGGGATTCATATACCCACCTTTAGCTTCCTGCCCTCCAATATGTATCTCTCTCAATTGATAGGTCAATGTGGAGGCAGGGGAAGAGAGAAAGAGAGACAATTTTAATCGTGCAATTTTTCTAATACAAGATGCTTTTGGTTTTCATTAGTCTGTACCACTTCTCTGAAGCTAGACCTTCCATAAGGGTTTTGGATATTCTCCCTTGTCTTCTTATCAAGGACTTGAAATTCCTTTCTTTTATATATTTTCATCCCCTCATTTCTAGATAATTTCTATCAGCATAAACACACTCTAATAATTTCTATCTTTAAAAAAACCCAAAAACATTCCTTAGCCACAAACTGTGTCTTACCTACTGCTCTAATTCTCAGTTTTGTGGTCACTGCCAAGCTTCCAGAAAGTGTTAACTATATAAATTATTTTCGGTATGTCACTTTCTAGTCATTGTAACCTGTTCTGATCTGATATCTACTCTACCCATTTACTGAAATTGCTTCTTTTTTCAGTGTTGCCTATGATCTCCTATATGCTAAATGTATTAGGTATTATTTATTTTTCTGTTCTTTCCTTATCCAGTCTCTCAAAAATATTCAAGATACTACATATTCCATCCTTTTTGGAATGCTCTCCTCTCTTGGCTTCTCACATCACCCTTTCCTAATTTTCTTCTTGTTTCATCAGATGGCCCTTCCTATTCTTTTTCATTGCTTCCTCCCCCAACCTCTGCAAATCCCTCCGAGCTTAGTTCTTTTCTATGTTCTCTTCCGTCTGCCCACTCCTGTTAGAGGAGCTTATCCAGTCTCATGGCTTCAAATACCATGTGGGCTGACAACTCCTAACTTTACATTTCCAGTCTGCCCTTCTTGGAGTTCCACTTGGCATGTCTTTTGAATGTATCACAGTCATCTCAAATATAATACATCAAACACTAGACTATTTCCATCACCATAAAAATGATTTTAAGAAAATCGTATGCACCTCAGGAAATGAGATGGCTGTTAATCTGGCTTCTCAACTGAGAAAACTGGGGAGTCATGTTTATTCCTTCTCTCATAGACTCCCCACATCTAATTCATTTGCCTGTCCTGTCAATTTTATTTATAAAATATATTTCAAATCCATCCAACTGTCTCCAATTCTGTTATCAGCACCTTAAACTAAGACACTGTGACCTCTCCCCTTTGACCAATGTAATAGCTTCATGATTCTTCAGTTGTCACTTTCAATCCACCCATGACTTAAAGGAGTGATCTTTCAAAATGAAAATCAGATTATTAGGTTGGTGCAAAAGTAATTGAAAGTAATGACAAAAACCACAGTTACTTTTGAGCCAGCCTAATATAATTTTCCCTGGCTTAAAACTCTCCAGTGGTTTCCATAACTCTTAGAGCAAAAGCAAACCCTCTGTCTTGGCATGAAAAGGTCCACATTGTCTGGCCCCTGCCTGCCCTTCCAGCCACCTCCAGCTCCCACATGAACTTTCTTTCCATTTATGAGGCATATACCAAGATATTCCCCACCTTTGGATATTTGTGTATTTCACTGCTGTACTGAAAATCTCTTTGCGTGACTGTTTCTTACAGTTAGGCCTCAGTTCAAATATCATCCCCCTCAGCCATTGTCTTAGTCTGTTTAGGCTGTTGTAATGAAATACCATGGACTGGGTGGCTTATAAGCAACAAAAATTATTTCTCACAGTTCTGCAAGCTGGAAGTCCAAGATCAATGTACCAGCGTGGTCCAATTCTAGTGAGGGCCATCTTTGGGGTTGCAGACTGCCACCTTCTCATTGTATTCTCATGTGGAGGAAAGAGGGTGAGAGAGCTTTCTGTGGTCTCTTTTATAAGGAGCCTGATTGCATCCATGAAGAGTCTACTCTCATTACTTGATCACCTTTCAAACACCTTACCTCCTATTACCATTGCGTTGGGGTTTAGGATTTCAACATAAAAATTTTGAGGGGACACAAACCCCAGTCCTTTGCAGAGGTCTTCCTTTACAACCACCTTTAAATACATAGCATATTGTTCTTTATCAAAGTGTCTTGTTCTTTCTTTTCAGGGCACTTTGTATACCATAATAATTTATGCATATTACTGTTTGCTTGTCTAAAGAATATCTCCCTTCTTTAGTGTAAATTTTGGGAGATCACTCCTAGATTTTGTCCTAAATTAATTGCACCAAAACACAGAGTATGTCACTGATGGATATCTGCTGACTGAATGCATTTACAAAGGTATTCATTTCTCTCAAAATGTTTATGAACTCTTAGTCTAAAAGGACATTTTGAAGATGAAACTTATGACTCACTGACTATGACCCATTTGATATTCTTAATTAAAAATTAAGAATTCTTACTACTACTAATTCAGATGTTTATTTAGTAAATGAAAGAACATTTGCTTTAGAATTAGTTTGACCCTAGTTCACATTATACCTCTGCTTCGTTTCCACTAAGTGGTAAGAGTCTCTGGAGCACAGATTGTTGGTCACTATGCCCTGGCATTTGCATAGTGCCTGACATGTGACAAGTTTTAAATAAATATTTGTTGGAGTCATCTAAGTTGAATCTTTCTGGATCTCCTTTTTCTTAGTCATAAGCCATAACGGACTGGGTTATGATTTCTAAGGTCCTTTCAAACTCTATGAAATATATATATATATATATACATATATATATAAAATTTTTTATTTCTATAGGTTTTTGAGGAACAGGTGGTATTTGCTTACGTGACTAAATTCTTTAGTGGTGATTTGTGAGATTTTGGTGCACGCATCACCTGAGCAGTATTTACCGAACCCAATTTGTAGTCTTTTATCCCAGTTCAACTGGCTGTTTGAAAATAGCCAAGCAATTGTATTGTGTATTTTTGCTAACAATACTGAATATAAGCCCTGAAATAATGCATTACCAATATTTTAACACCTGTAAGTAATAGCCCTTTCCTTGCCCAGTACTTGAAGTTGTTTATGAATAATTCAGAAGTTATTGACGAGCAATAAAAAGGTTTTATGGTGTTAGAAGCCTTGCTTTGCTATCTTAACAACAATATATCAACAGTCACATTTGCAGTGTTAAGGATCCTGAATCCAATGTCAGTTCAGCAACTTAGGAGCTCTTAATAATGGTCAAAAGAAAAGAGTGTGAGAAATTAAAGCACTTGGGATATGAGGATTAGAATAAATGATTCTATAGTAACTTTTTTTCCTTATCGATGAAGGCAATTGATGATCCTCCCCTCCTCCATGGTAACTATGTGATTTAATCGTCAAAGAAATTAGGTGGATAATTCCATTCAATTCAACACACATATATTGGATGTTTGCTTTGTTCAAACTATAATTAAGCAGCAGTAGAATAAATTTATATTGGGCCTAAAAAGAACTCTGAACAGAAGGATGCTGGACATCTCAAATCGCAGAGCTGTAGTTTGGAGACAATTACTCATTTTCTTCTACGATAGTGATTTTGTATAAGTTAGTTTATCAATCCATGCCTTAGTTTTCGGCTTATTTTCTAGGAAGGATGATATTAAAAATATTTAATAAATGGTAGAGCCATAGAGAGTAATATTTAAATAATAATTTTTAAATGTTCTTTTTTATTCCCTGACTAAACTATATGATATTCTACATCTGCTTACCAAATTATATACAGTAGTCCCCTCTTATCCATGATTTTGCTTTCCAAGGTTTCAATTACCCAAGGTCAACCACAGTCCAAAAATATTAAATGGAAAATCCCAGAAATAAACAATTCGTAAGTTTTAAATTGCATGCTGTTCTGAGTAGCACGACGAAATCTTGTGCCATCCTGCTCTGTCCTGGGATATGAATCACCCCTCTGTCCAGCATATCCACTACCTGCCCATTCATCACTTAGTAGTTTTCTCAGTTATGAGACTGAAGAATCGTTGTATATGTAAAGTTTGGTACTATCCCTAGTTTCAGTCACCCACTGGGAATCTTAGAACATACCTCCTGGGAAGAAGGGATAACTGTGTGTTGCAGTGCAAATGATGAAGTCAGTGTTAAGATTTCTAAATAATTGTTGATTTATGGACAGTGTTGGCTGACTCTTTTGAGTAGAGCTGTTACTTGCTAAATGATCCCATGAGTCAGCCATGATTTCACACAGGTAATTGCATCAAATGTTTCCAACATGTTTCTTCTTAAATTGATAGTCATTAGGTGATTTATAATCTCAATAATTACAGATTTTTTTCTGACCATCAATGATATTGTTCCTTTTCCCTCGGCTTCTGCTACACTAACAGCAATTATATTACATTTTTCTATTCTGTATGATACTGTCTGACATTTTTATATATTCAATATTTCTACTACTGACTGTCATTGAAATCATTTGTTGGTGTGTCATGTTGAATAGCGTGAGCCCTGTTTTGCAGAACAGAGGAAAGGCACAGTGACACAATGGTAAGGGCACAGATTCTGCTGCCACCCTGTCTGGGTTTGGACCCTCACTTTGACCTTTACATTTTGAGTAACCACTTCTATGCATTAGTTTCCTTATCTGTAAAATGAGAATGATGTTGACCATTCAAGTCAAGCCCTCTGATAATGTGCCCTACTGTAATGCGAATTGGGATATGCTGCAGTTGGCAGCTGGCTCTGGTTCTCCCTAACCCTTATTCCTAAGCAGGCAGTGGACTAAGGTTCTCATCTTATCGGTTGAGTAGGCAGATGCTAAAGGTGTCAGCAGTAGCCTCAGCTGCAAAGTAAAGAGGTAGAGGGTCCAGTGCCTTCATCCTCAGTAGAATTTTTGCACTGAACTGATGGGATAGATACTGATAACTGGGCAGGTTATTCTAGAATTGCCGTCACTTTCTTGAAAGCCACAGCCAGCCACAGGACCCAGAATTGTCCATCCAGGTGGATATTTACGATTGTACATACAACCACCACCAGCTGGGCCCAGCCCAGCATTCTGAGATTCTTTGGGGGAACCAGTAATATTGCTCAGACAGCATGATTTGTTTTCAGAAGAGAGAGATCATTGGAATAGGATCCTGGAGACCTATTATGTCAGAAATTAACATTATAATTGCTTAATAATGAGGAGGTAGAAGTGGTCTCTAATGTTGAGGTGATGCAAGGGAGGAGTCAGAGAGATGGTAGGGGCACTAAACTGCAATTTCCCAATCAACATATATTTCAATATTTCAACAACTCATAGGATTTTACTGATATATTCCAACTAAGTGGCATCTCTACTCATGAAAATTCTCATGAAGATTAGAAGAATTATTACTTATAAAATATTTTTTAAAGCGCATGGCTCACAGTACTCAACAAGTGTTAGCTATTATAATTAGCTTCTTTCTTAGGACAATCTAAGCTTGTGTCTTTGTTTTATTAAACTGTGGTAGTAGGAAAAGTGAGACAAACATTAGACTAAATTGTGGGACCATTGTGCTTATTTATATCTGATTATAGTTAAAAGACCATTGTTCCTCCAGGGTCTTTGTTTAGTTTTAGTTTAAGTGGATTTGACATTATTAAGAGAAATAGAGGTGGCATTTCAGTATTGATAATGCTAATGCTTCTCAGTGGTTTCTTGTCACTCTGAATTTCATGCCTTGATATATAACCTTTTTTCCCTCTACACTGATCTATTTTCTGTCCATCTGTACGTACTAATAGAACAGTGCCTTGCATGTAGGAAAATTTTGAATAATTGAATATATATTCAAGTGGTTTTTAAAGAGAAAATAAGGGTTATGGCTAGACCCTACAATAGACATGTTAGAATTAGATAAAGTGTGTTTTCCCAGAAAAGGGCAAAAGAAAACAATGAGTACTTTAGGGGTATTGGTGTCAGAGGGATGAATTGTTTGTAAGTTATTAGGGCTTGCCTGCATTCCTAGTCCTGAGGATGACTTTCTTGTAATGTATCCTGAGAACCAGTGGTGAATGGCGCTGCTTGACTCTGCCCCAGGAGTGCTTGTCTACTTGGGAGGAAGAGGACTTTCTGTGTTTCCTACAGTCTGAGACAAAGATAGACCTTGAAAGCTAATCTGTAATAGTTCAAGGTGCCCAAGGATGGTTTAAACACAATACCATTGCAAAAACATCATTGATATGCTTGTATCTCTTGTCCTTGACATCTCTTGCCTTCAGCTTTTCTCTTTCTTCACTCTATCTAGTGAATAATTCTCACGTCTATGTCTTGTATTAGGAGATCTCTTTCTGAGAGTTTGATCTACATTATCTCTAGCTAGAATGTTTGGTATAGTGTCTGCCTGCCACAGATAAAGCACTACATACCTATTTGTTAAATTGAACCTGGATATTGTTGTTTCAGCTTCTCCCCTTCACCTTTCCACTTTTGTTTGGGTATTTCTTTTACCTGCCTCAGTTACCTCCCAGCTCAAGGTCCTCTACTGTGTTCACAAATCTGCAGAGTGTTTGACTATTAAGACAGTAGAGTAACTGCAATCTCGTGTGGCCACTTGCCACTAGGAAGACGTGGAGGGAGGGCATGAGAAGTGGAATCTACAGATATGAAAGATCTTTGGGGATGGAGAAGTAACTTAATTTGTCCACGTAGATTCATGTTTATTGTTAAACAAGTCATACCCATAAATATTTGTTTCTGGGCTCATCTGGGCTTAGATGATGGTTTATATAAATCAATAGTATTACCACATTAAAAAATGAATCTTGAGATTTGCAAATTAAAACATACTCAATCAAGTGCAGTAGCTCATGCCTGTAGTTCCCACTATTCAGGAGGCTGA
Source organism: Homo sapiens (assembly GCF_000001405.40). Lineage (NCBI taxonomy): Eukaryota > Metazoa > Chordata > Mammalia > Primates > Hominidae > Homo > Homo sapiens. Next base: position 137,645,681 of record NC_000007.14, on the reverse strand, counting down.
GATGGGTGAATTGCTTGAGCAGAGGAGTTCGAGGCTGCAGTGAACTATGATTATACCACTGCACTCCAGTGTGGGTGACAGAGCAAGACCCTGTCTATAGAAATAAATTTTTAAAAATATTCATTTAATTTTGTTTTCCCACAGAATTTTGTACGTCATCACTGGGTGCACAGGCGTCGGCAGGAGGGGAAATGTAAGCAGTGTGGTAAGGTAAGAGCCCAGCCACCTCATGGCCTCGCAGGAGGCTCCCCAGGCCTCTGCAAGCAACTGAGGTAGATGAGTCCTGTCCCCAAATCCAGTGTTCACTGCATCAGTTCCTTTCTGAAAGACCTTACTTGTCCAGGTCTCCTTAAGAGGCATTGTAGTTGTTCTAGAACTCACTGCATGAGGCAATGGTGTTAATAAAAAGAATTAGCACATTTTTAAGATACCTGGATGCATTCTTACAGTGAATTTCATTGATGATTTTTGAAAACATGACTGTTTTGTGAAAATGCCTTCATGAAGACAACTGGCTCATCGTACTTTGGCCAATCGCAGCAAATCAATGGGTTTGAGCAACACTACGTTTGCTAATATAAAATTGTGTTTGGGCGGAACTGTTTAGGACAACATGGTCAGAAGCTAGAAATGTGTTGCTCCCTTGGGACATTATCCAGTTCATGGAAGAGATGCCCTTTTTATTTGTGGTTATTTATATCTACCTCCTCTGTCATCATGGCTGGTTATAGGTCCCTCAGGATGCAGTGCCACTTGGAAAAGTGAGCTGGAGCAAGGGGTGGGGGTGTTGTGATTGTATACTATTAAATGCCATAGATTCCATGTGTCATTGACCCCAACAGATTTGGGTTACAGCTTTTTCCAATGTACAAAGATCTACTTTAAGGATGACAGGGTCCTCTGGGAGGGTTAAACTGGTGGCGAATATCACTATAAGTATGTATAGTGTGGTTCACCACCAATTTAAATGACATTAATAGTAAGCTGATGGTCATCAGTAAAGGGAAGTTTTGATTTGGCAGACAGCAAGATAATTTGGGGGGAATATCTTCCTAAATAATTAATTATTCCTCTGTTTGTTTATTCATGTGACTCCTTTGGGTCAAGCATTGGTGTGAGCTGCCCAGTGCAGCATTTTTGACAGTAGAGCAATGCAAGGAAATATTGGCTGCCTGAGATATGGTTGTGGAGGGTGAGGGAGGGAGACTTGGAAAAAATTGCATTAATTTTGCTGTTTTGCCCAATGCCTGGGAAGAAAATATGCTGTAACCATTGGTTATGAAGGTCTTCTCTGGAAGGCTACACACCTTAGCCTCCAGGGCATAGGCCTCCATTGTAACCAGTATTTTGTTCTCCAGTTCAACCCTGTGGCTCTCAGTTGGTTCTCTTTTATCCTGTAAAGAGGATGAACAAAACAGGGTGAAAGCAGGGTGAAATAAAACAAAGTAAACAAGGCCGAAGGGGGAAGTGGAAAGATTTGTACTGATTCTTATTGGCCATCCTACATGTCCTGGGGAAAAGGAGGTCACACCTCTACTCTCACATGACCTTTCTCTCTTGGGTCCATCAACCTCTTCCAAGGTGTTGCCTTGGGGCTTATGGATTTTCTTTTACTTCAAGAATCATCGACTGTAACTTTCCCATAAGTGTGCATGTGTGTGTGTGTGCATGCATGTGAGGGTAACAGTATGCTGCAGCCGGGCAGGCATAGCCATTTTTTGGGTCAGAGATGTAAAGAGTAGTAAGAATCTGGATGAATAGGTCCTTCACTTTGGAAAAATATCTTCACTGGAGCCCAGTAGCTGGCACCACCTCAATAATGTAAGCCATAATGGAGTGGGAGGGATTTTATTAAAAGAAAATCAATAAACATTTTATACTTTGAGACAAGTGTTCCCTAGTGCCATATTGCACTCTCTTCTGGCCTCTTGTTGGCATGGTCAACTGAACAGGAAGAACTGGGCTTCCTCCACCCTGAGTTGCTGTGTGTCCTTTCCTGCCAGTGTTCTCAGCCAGCCATCATGCCATGAGCACAGCTCGCTGCACGTCCGTCGTCAGTGGGGAAGTCAGTGATCCAGCTTGTCACATCATGTTTCAAAAATATTGCACTATTATAGTCATCTCTTGTGTTTATAATGCAGCTTCTCCATGAATTCTTCAAGACTCAAACAATTATGGGATGGGTGGGATTGTCTCCTTGCCACATAATAAATTACCCTTCCTTGGATTCCAGCTTCCACCCTGGACAGGAAAGCTATGGCTCTATTTCCATTTACAGATTAAGTAATGAAAATTCACTCCAAACATTGGTGCTATACATAATTTTCATCAGTAGTGTTGTACCTTCTTATTCATATTCATAGACTTTTTTTTTTTTTTTTTTTTTTTTTTGAGACGGAGTCTCGCTGTGTCTCCCAGGTTGGAGTGCAGTGGCGCGATCTCCACTCACTGCAAGCTCCGCCTCCCAGGTTCATGCCATTCTCCTGCCTCAGCCTCCCAAGTAGCTGGGACTACAGGCGCCCGCCAACACGCCCGGCTAATTTTTTGTATTTTTAGTAGAAACAGGGTTTCACCGTGTTAGCCAAGATGGTCTCGATCTCCTGACCTCGTGATCCGCCCGTCTCGGCCTCCCAAAGTGCTAGGATTATAGGCATGAGCCACCGCGCCCGGCCCATATTCATAGACTTTTAAACCTCACTCCATCCCCCATACACACACACACACACACACACACACACACACACACACACACTATTCCATAATTTACTCATTGGGATGGAGTGAAGAATAATTGCTTCACTTAGCAAAACTTTTTTTTTTTTTTCCAACTGATGGCTTGCAAACTTTACAGATTTTTTAGGAAGTGTTTATGGTTAAAGAGTGTTTGTGGTTTCCATTTCTGCTTTTAAAATAAACAATAAAATGATGTTTGGACTGATTTTCTCTTGCCTTAAATATGTGTTTGGCTGAGTGTGTGTGGCATTTAACAGAGATCAGATGAGATAACTCATGATTTAATTGCTCAGTTCCTTTAACGTTAGCCGAATGCCTCAGGCTACTAGGTTTATAACCCTTCTGTGGTTTTTCATTGTCATTCATAGTCCTTGATTACATAAGAGTCAGGGTCAAGGCAGAAAAGAGCCAAAATGCTCAAGTTCAAATTATGTAATTTGATGAGAGTTTAATGAGGAGAATATTTAAAATGTGTGAAAAGCATGGGGGATGGTGGGTGGAACCACAAGAAAAAATGGAGAACACTGTGACTAATGTCAGAGAGCTGTGGTCAAGCTAAGCCTGAAGAGGTGAGGAGATGGAGAGGACCCCTTCCCAGGAGCTGCAACTTTCAGTCACAAGACTCAGCCAGCCTGTGGTGACCTAGAGCCTGGAGAAATAGATACCCAGTAGATACCCAGCTCCACATATCTTCATGTTCTAGTGGCCAAACCCAACAGAAACCATAGCACAAGGGATTGTTTGATGCAATCCATAAAAGCCAACTCTTTACAATGAGTCATTGAGTAGAGAAGGATGGAGAGTAAAACTTGAGAGGCAGATGGAATTGATCTAGCACATATTGTTTAATGCAAACCTGTAGTCAATCAATGGTTGGAGGCAGAATGCATACTTTTGCTGTAAACATGTCTCTGATCTTCACTAGATCTACACATTGCCTTCATTCAGTCAAAATTTATGAAACACTGAGTTGTCTATAGTGCTTCAAAAAATCTATATTCAAAAAATATAGTAATGATTATGGCTATTTTGACTCTTCATTTTTTGAGGGAAGCAAACATCCAAACCTAGCATTATGGTAATTGTGAAAATATGTTTGTAAATCACAACTTAAAAGCTTATCTTTTATTTCTTCATATGTAAAAGTTATAAAAATAAACAAGCTAACTTTTTGAAAATCAAAATTTAAAAATTTCCAACATCAATTCTTGAAGCCAGTTTTAAATGCAGTATACACATTGAATATCCCTTATCTGAAATGCCGGGAACCAGAAGTTTTTTGGATTTAGATTTTTTTCAGATTTTGGAACATTTGCGTATACATAAGATATCTTGGGGATGGGACCCAAGTCTAAATATGAAATTCATTTATGTTTCATGCTACACTTAAACACAAAGCCTGAAGGTAATTTTATACAATATTTTAAATAATCTTGTGCATGAAACAACGTTTTTACTACGAGCTATCACATGAGGTCAGGTGTGAAATTTTCCACTTGTGGCATCATGTTGGCACTCAAAAGGTTTTGGGTTTTGAAGCATTTTGGATTTTTGATTTTCAGATTAGGGATGTTCAACCTGTAATACATAGTTAAACTTTGTCTACATTTTTTATACTGTTCAGTTCCTGTATTAGGCTGTTTTCGTGCTGTTTATAAACACATACCCGAGACTGGGCAATTTACAAAAGAAAGGGGTTTATTGGATTTACAGTTCCACGTGGCTGGGGAGGCTTCACAATCATGGTGGAAGGCAAGGAGGAGCAAGTCACATCTTATGTGGATGGTGACAGGCAAAGAGAGAGCTTGTGCAGGGAAACTCCCATTTTTAAAACCATCATAGCTCATGAGACTCATTCACTATCACAAGAACAGTGCAGGAAAGACCCGCCCCCATAATTCAATCACCTGCCACCGGGTTCCTCCCATGACATGTAGGAATTGTGGGAGTTACAATTCAAGATGAGATTTGGGTGGGGACACAGCCAAACCATATCAGTTCCCTAACCAAACATGCTACATTAATATGAATTATTTGTCCATAAATAGTATGTATTTTCATATATTGTTTAAATAGCATGCTGTGTTTATTAAATGGGAAAACATCAAAACTACTCTTTATTTTTAGTAAATATTGTTAAAAACTAACTTGAGAGTGAACTTAGGGTACAATATGTAAATTATACACAAAAATGCCAAAGTGTTTAAAACTAGTTCATGGGAGTGCAGTTGGGATATTACATGGGTAGTGAAAGGGATTACAGAGTATAAAAATAATGGAAAATACTGACTTGGGCCTTTCAGGAATGTCCCCTTATCAACTTAAAGCAATGTACTCTACTAATCTGAAAATGTGTACCCTGGGAGTTAAGGTTAAGGACAAGGAAGGGACGTTTAAGGGTGAGGATCCATGCACTCATTGGGCAGGTTTGGTTATTTGCCTGTCTGTGTGTTTGTGCAGCTATAGCAAAGGAATCCTCTCCCAGTAGCCTCAGGAGGATTACGAGTAGGTAGAGAGAGGGCAGTACAAGGGCAAGGAATCCAGGATGCTCCATAAAGCCCCTGCCCACATGACTGCTGGAAGCCTGGCCCTTCTCTCCTTGGCTGAGTATCAAGAAGGGGGACAAGGACAACCACTGTTCTACTCTCTGCTCCTATGAGTTTTGACTATTTTAGATTTCTCATACTAGTGGCATCATGTAGTGTTTGTCCTTCTGTGTCTTATTTCACTTCAGTGTAATATCCTATAGATTCGTCCTGGGAGGGGGAAATGGGGAATTATTAGGCAAAGGGCACAAAGTTTCAGTTATGCAAGCCGAGTAAGGCCTAGAGATCTACTGTACACCATAGTGCCTGTAATTAACAATACTGTGTTGAATACTTCAAAATTTCCTGAGAGGGTTGTGCTGTTAAGTCTTCTTACCACCACCAAAAAAAAAAAAACCTAATAATAAATAAACAGGGCAGGAAAACATTTTTGGAGTAATGGATATGCTTTTGTCATGGATTGTGGTGATTCATGGGTGAATACTTATCTCCAAACTCATCAAGTTGTGTACATGAAGTATGTACAGTTTTTTAATGTAAATTATACCCCCAAAGAATTTTTTTTAAAAGAAAAGAGGATGGGGGCTAAAGGGTCCTTGCTGCAGTCCCCAGTTTTCATCTGTAGAACCATTTTACTGCTGTCACTGCTCCCTGGGTCTTTGGTGTGGTCACTATCCTGGTCATCGCAGCAAATACAGTGCCCTGGTCACCCTGGGGCCCTTTGTTCTTTCTTCAGTAGTTCCCGCCCACTTGTCTACCTTCTTCTGGCTGCTGCTGTTGGGCCTGCTGGTACTTGTGAACCCAGATGACCTGCACGGGGAGCAGAGGCCCAAACCTCAGGCCAGGGTGGCAATGAGGACACTTCCTGTCATGGTGTTCAGGTCCCAGGTACACAAGCAAATGACCCCTTTGCTCCCTGATCATGATGGGGGACATGGTCCCAAAAAGTTCCAGGTACACAAGGTCCCAATCCCAAAAGGTTCCAGGTACGCAAGCAAATGGCCTCTTTGTTCCCTGATCAGATGGTCCTCAGAGACAAATGGCTTCTGTCCTTCTTCCTCACTTCCTCAGCAGGGCTGATTCTGCTTCTACATATTTACCCTCCTTTTTGGAGAATCTGGCCCAAGTCATGTGTCTCATGATAAATCTCCGGTTTTGATTCCAGTCTTTTTAAGGGACTGATCTCATTGCATATTTCATATGTTTTTGCTCTCTCTGTTGCTGAATTTGATTGAAGTATAAACTAGATATTAGCAAGTAAAAACATTTTATCAAAATGACTATTTCAAATATAGTAATTTAGGTGTAGATGAACAATCAGAAAAGCAAATCTAAACATTTTTGAAATCTTTGTGTTCTTCTCCTATTTAGAATTACTGTCAGATAGATGAGATCATATATGTAAAGCAGTGTATGGTAAATGTGCACCTCATATTTGGATGCCAGGTGAGGAGAGCTAGTTTCCTCATGAAAAGCAAATCAATTATAGACTATGTACAAATAATAAAAAATTTAGTATTTTTTAAGAGAGAAATTAGAAATATACAGCTTCTCTGCCTTTTAAATTAATAAGGCATATAAAACTGAGAAATTATAAAAATATATACATACAACATAATAAATATCTCTGTATAAAATATATAATTAACATGTTATAGTTATTTACATATGTAATGTGTATATATGTATATCTATGTGCGTACATATGTATCTGTGTGTACATACGTGTGTATATATACATATGTGTGTATATACATACACATATATACACACATATATATGTGTGTGTGTATATATATACATATATGTATATATGTGTATATATACATATATGTGTGTATATATATACACACATATATATACATATATGTGTGTGTATATATATACACACATATATATACATATATATGTGTGTATATATATACACACATATATACACACATATATATGTGTGTGTGTATATATATATATATAGTTGTTCTTGCCAGATAAGAGACTGAAAATTCATAAAAGGGCAAAAATAGAAAAAAAAAGAAGCATTGGGGAAATGAAGAAAATAATGACATTTAAGATAAAAATTGGAGGAGGAACATGAACAAAATGTATATGGAGAGGAAAGAAGAGACGAAGAGGTGAAAGGTGAGAAGCAAAGGGACAGAAAGGTCCAGAGAGCCACCAGCAAATGAGTAAGAGTATCTGGAGAATGAAAAGGAGGAGTTGTGAAGCCACCAAGCTGATATTTACAAGCTGAGCTGTGCTCATTCCTGGGACACACTGGGATTCCCTAGGGCAGGCAGGCTTGGAAAGGGGTAAGGGAAGCAGTTCCCAAATCCTCATTTACCGTTTGTCTCTTTATTAAAACCTGAATCTGACCTGCCTGAGAACACTTTTGTGATTCTTTGCGCTGACCTCCCTTTCCAAATTGCCTTTCTTCAATCCGCTTATGACGGAAATCATTCTTTTCAGTCTTTGCCCCAGGTGTAAAACCCTAGGGATGTCAAACAGACATGAAATATTGATGTCAGAAAAAAATCTCCTTTAATTAAAAAAACAATGAAATGAAATATGATTTCAAGGAAGAAAAAGAAATGATATAAAATTCTCTCTTGTTAAAGAAAAAGCATGTTATGTATTCTTTAAATTGACCACCACAGTGATGAGCAAAGCCAGTGCTTAGTTTATTTATAATCCAGGCAGAGAAATATGAGCTGAATAGTTAGCTGAGAAGCAAAAATCAAGGTTCTGCTGATTAATAATTGGAGCTTTCACTCCCTATAGGGCAGGATTAATCCAAAAGTACATCCACAGTTGATTAAACAAGTCAGGTAAGTCTAAAAGTACCTTCAAGTTGGTTTAGCAGTTGGTTAGGAAAGTTTTTTATTTTGATGAAAGTCTAGTAAACAGGTGTAATTCTTCTTTATTAGTTTCAGCTGGTTAAAAGCAATTTTGGTTTAAACACAGCATTCCATTTTGATATCTACTAGGCAAGTGGTATTGTTGAGAGGACAGTTTTCCTTTTACATGGAAAATGTTTCCTTTTTCATGGTCTTCTCCAATAAAAAGATAGGCATATTATTACCTTTTCAGATCCAAACCATTATTTTAGCTCAGGGTTCCCAAGAAACGGACTCGGAGTTGAGATTTATGTGTATGAAGTTTATTGAGTGATCTCAGAAGTGACACCGGTAAGGAAGTAAAAGCACCAGGACTGGGTAGAGGGAGGTGTTGAACTGTGGGGCAGTCACAACAGAGGCCTTAGCCAACTCCATGGGGAACTGGAAGAGCCCTTCAGAGTTACCCGGACTTGACCTTGGCCTTGACCCACAACTGGGCGAGGGCTGTCCTTGGCCGATGTCTTCGTTCATTGCATTGCTATAAAGCAATACCTGAGGCTGGGTAGTTTATAAAGAAGAGAGGATTATTTGGCTCACAGTTCTGCAGGCTGTACAAGAAGCATGGCACCAGCATCTGGTGAGGGCTTCAGGAAACTTCTGCTCGTGGTGCAGGGGGAAGGAGGAGCCCTGAGTGTAGAGATCACATGGCAAGAGAGAAAGAAAAGGGGTGCCAGTGTCACCCAACAATCAGATGTCACTGGAACTAATAGAGAATTCACTCATTGCTGTGAATGCAGCACCAAGCCACTCATAGGGGATCTGCCTCCATCACCCAAACACCTCCTAACGGTTCCCACTTCCAACACTGGGGATCAAATTTCAGCAGGAGATTCTAGAGGGGACAGATATCCAAGCTGCATCAGCTCAAGTGACTCTTTTAGGCTCAGGGCAATTCCTGAAGATGGGAGGGTGACTCATTTGAAGACCTTCAGCTTCCAAGACTCTTCTCAACTGAGGGAATGAGATGAGTGGCTCAGGCCTGAAGCAGAGTTATCTGGGTGGAAAGCCACAGTATTCAATACTGTCCATTCCTGGTGCTACTCAGAGTACCTTGTTTTGTATCGTACATTTTTAGAGCAGCTCTTTCAGGGTTCTGATTGGTCACATTTCCTGGGAAACATAGAAGAGGAAGGATATGGGATAAACTATAGCCCCCATGGTTGCAGCTGGTCTTACATCTGCTACTGATATTCATCATCTCTCTCCTCAACCACTTATCCTGGATTCACCTCACTCTCAACTAGTGCCTCTGGTCTAGGTGACCTACCTGGTAGGCGGACCAAGACCGTTATCTCTCTGCAGTCTGATTCCCTGGTCTTGGCTGCTGCAGTTGTCTATTTATTATTAAAATTGTTCATAGCATTACAAAGCCTGTCCCAGCGGATTTCCTGGTTACCAGATGTATTCTTCCAGCTTCTGTTGTCAGGTAACAGCTAGATCTGTGCCTAATGATCAGGATCAATTACTCCTGTCAGGATGCTGGCTCCTTTCTGTGCCTGCTAGTCTCTTAACACAAAAATTCCAAAGTAACTGGGTGCAGCAGTAGCTTAAAGTTTAAGAGCTTCCTGTTAAGTCCCATGACGAAGAAATTCACCGTCATGGGATTTAGACCCTCAAAGCCCGGAGCTCTGGGGACCAGAAGCACAAACTCCCAAAGTGGGCCACAGTAGGCATAGCCACTGTTACTTTCTCTCACTGGTTTCTGTATTTCTGTATTTTGTCATGGAGACACAGCACCATGAAATGATCATAGATTTAGTGAGTAAACATACTGAGTCTGGTGGATGGTGCTCATAGGATATTTTCTCAAAGCTGAAGCCAGTGTTATATTTTCAAAAGATTATTCCATCTCTCTGTCAGGCCTTCATCTTCTGGATGGTGTAGGCCGTGATAGTCCAGTGGATCTCATGGTCACATGGCCGCTTCTGCACCTCTATGCCATAAAATAATTTCCCTGGTCTGACACAATGTTGTGCAGGATCCTATGTTCGTGGGTCACACATTTCGTAAGCCCTTGCATAGTGGTGCTGACTGAGGCCCTGAAGAAGGGAGAGGTAAGCCCATATCCTGAATATGCATTGATTCCAGTCAAGATGAGTTGCTGCCCCTTCTAAAGCGGAGGGGCTTCAGTGTAATCAGTTTGCCTCAAAGTAGCTGGTTGTTCTCTCTGAGGGATGATGCAATATTGGATTCTCAGCTTTGGTGTCTTTTGCTGGCAGGTTAGAAATTCAGCAGTGGCAGGAGCCAGCTCAGTTTTGGTGACTGGCCACCCATGCTATTGGACCCACATATAGCATCCATCACTCCACCAAGGGTACTGCACTTACAAGCCCATTGCACCATCCATCAATGGGATGGCTCATGACACAGTATGGTACCTGCGTTGTGTCTAAGATTTTAGTTCTTACAAAGGGAAAGCTCTCTGGTAGGAATTAATGTGCAATAATCTTCACTCTTTGTACTTACTTTCATATGTCCTTCCTTATACCTCTTCCCTAGACCTCCTGTTTCCCTCCAGGGCCCTGGCCAACCAGCCTTGCCATTTATCACTGCCTGTGCATCATTATATATTCTATGTCAAGCCACCTATCTTTTCACATAAATGGGATGACAATTTGCTTCACCTGAAGTTATGCCCATGAGGAGGATTTCTTATTATTCCTGTCTCTAGGACCCACTCCTGAGTAGGCTTCAGTGCAGCAGTAGTTTACTTTTGGCCTGGACGTATATACCAAGTTGATCCATGCATGAACCAATCTCAGCATTTTCCTCCTCTTTGAGCTCGTCATTCAGTACTCCCATTTTTCCAGAGGTGAGTTGAATGAGAGACCTGGTACTGTAATAATAGTGGATAATGTGGGTGATCTGAGCCACCTACTCATGCATCCCTGGTACTGCTTGTTCCAGATCTCAGATGGTCCCACTTACTATAACAATGGATTAAGGCTGGGCTCACTCAACCTTATGATGTAGTGATCTGACAGAACTCAGCTCATGACACCTGATGATTCATGGACAGGTATTTCTCCACCAGAGTACAGTAACCTGCCAGAAAATATTTTTGAAAGGTGTATAGTTCCCTCTTGCAGATAGCACAACCTTGTTTCAGAATCCTAGAGTCTGTGTTGATTTTCCTATTGGTGCTTGTTATAAGCATCACAGGGCATCTTTTCTCCTTCTCTAAATTTCTAATCACATGGAGTGACAGGGATTCTTTCATTGCAGGCTGGACCTGCTGCAGCACTGTTTCATGCTCTGGGCCCCATTCTAAGCTGGCAGCATTTAATGTCATCCAATAAATGGATCACATTCCTAAATGTAGAATGTGCTGCCTCCAGAACCCAGAAAGGCCAAATAAAGTGCTGTGTTTCATTCTTAGTGGTTTAAATTATGAAATGCAATAATTTTTTCTTTAGATTGGAGAGGATATTCTAGCATACCTTGGACTACTGACCCCTAGAAGCTTCATTGACATGGGGGACCCCTGACTCTTCATAGGGCTTATGTCCCACCTTTCTTCTCACCAGGACCTCTGATGTACCTTCCACTTCTTGCTCATCTGCTTTAATGTGATGCTGCTGATATGGTGGACCAAATGATGTTCTACAGAATGTTCACACAGTTCGGGTTCCTTTGCATTAGATCTGGATAACATTCAGAAGAGTTGAAAGCCCTGGTACATGCCTGTAAAAATGTACTGTTAACCCTGAAAGCACTTGCAAATAGTTTTGAATTCTCCTTTCAGAGAGGGATGGAAAAAATTCATTTGCCAAATGTCATGTACTTAAGGCTGAAATATTCTAAATTTGGCACAGTGGCTGCAAATAGAGTGTACTGGGTTAAATTTGTGATATTCAGGCACCATTCTCCAGTCTTTGGTTTTATGGGATCTCAGCTGGTGAATTAAATGGGGATATGTTGGAGTACACCACCTCTGCCTCCTGCTTCCTTTAGTCTTTAAGGGTGGCACTTAGATAATTTTGGAAATGTAAACACAATACCATCGTCAGAGCTTTCAAAATTAAGATAAATTTAATGCCTATTACTTCTTAAGAATGTGACATTGATTTTGATTTAGTTATGGCTAGAAGGATGGTTTGAAGCTTTCACTTGGGCTTCCTCTTACACAACAGACCAAGAAACCAGTCTTGGGGTTGTGCCAGTTTCCAAGTCTGTTCACTCCACTTACACAATTGAGGACAAAGGAAATTAATACTGATGGATTTGTGGAACCAGTAGACTCTCTGAAAACCAGCCCTGGTCTAGGACTCCTGCTTTTTTTTTTTTTTTTTTTTTGAGAACGAGTTTCGCTCTTGTTGCCCAGGCTGGAGTGCAATGGCGCAATCTCAGCTCACCACAACCTCCGCCTCCTGGGTTCAAGCAATTCTCCTGCCTCAGTGGCCCAAGTAGCTGGGATTATGGGCATGCGTCACCACGCCCGAGTAATTTTGTATTTTTAGTAGCGACAGGGTTTCTCCATGTTGGTCAGTCTGGTCTTGAACACCCGGCCTCAGGTGATCTGCCCACCTCGGCCTCCCAAAGTGCTGGGATTACAGGCATGAGCCACTGCCCCTGGTTAGACTCCTGCTTTTTTTTTGTTTAACTGGGCCTCACGTTTGTTTGTTTGTTTGTTTGTTTGTTTATTTATTTGAGACAGAGTCTTGTTTTGTCACCCAGGCTGGAGTTCAGTGGCATGATCTCGGCTCACTACAGCCTCTGCTCCCTGGGTTCAAGCAATTCTCCTGCCTCAGCCTCCTGAGTAGCTGGGACTACAGGCGTGTGCCACCACGCCCAGCTAATTTTTTTGTATTTTTAGTGGAGACGGGGTTTCACCATGTTGGCCAGGATGGTCTCGATCTCCTGACCTCGTGATCTGCCCGCCTTGGCCTCCCAAAATGCTGGGATTACAGGTGTGAGCCACCATGCCCGGCCTGTATCTTTATTTTAATAGGGGACCATTAGATACCTGGTGCTGCTTCATACCCAGGGTATACATGTCAACTTGTACAGTTGTCCATTAGTCTTTAGAATATTTGGACATTTCTCTCTCTCCTCAGCATACAACTACCCAAGTTAATGGATGTAGGTCCTTTTAGTTAAAGACCAGAAAAGTGTTACCATAGACTCTTGCTGTGTTATTGTAAGATTCTTCTCCTGGGGACTTACCCTCTCCTTCAATCAATGGATTCTGTCTTTGAAAACTAGCTTAGGTCGAGAAACAGAGCAAAAGATTATGACTTTTTATTGCAACATCTGCCCTCATCTCTCTTGATCATCCATTCTTGATGTCTTCTGATTCTATTAATTGAGGAATGTCTCTTTTATCCGATAATCCATCTTTCTTGTAGGGATGTCATGCTATGTTAACCATTTCCATAGCTCTCTAGGTCAAGTCCCCTTGCAACTTCAATCTTACAGTAAGTGCACCCACTTTGTTTTGATGGTTTAGTGCTATTATTTTAGAATTCTATATTCCAGTTACTGTCAGAGTGCCCAATCTGTAAGGTGTTTCCTAGCATCAGGTCTAACCTACGAGGGAGAGCCACCTCTGAACTTCCCAACAATGTTGGTGCTCTTCTCACCAGCACATTTCTTATTGCTTTGGTAAATGGAGTGTCCTTTGGGCCTCTGGCAGATCATAGTCAGCTGATGGGCTTTTCAGCTGTACCTAATATAGCAGCTTTAGCCTGCCTAGTTCTGAGATTTGGTTTGCTTCTTCCTCTGTCACAGCAATTCAGGCATTTTTACTTTACTTAACATGGTTCATTTTTTTTTTGTTCAAATTTTCAAGAGGCACCCTGGTGTTATCATCTTCTAGGGTTCTTGATAATGTGTTAAATCCTCTAGTATAGATTAGTGCTCCCACAATGGGAAATTCTCCTTTATCCAACTCTAAGTTCTGCCCTTTTTCATCCTTCACCCTCAGGATCCAGTCCCCCACTCTCTCCCATTCCTGCTAGTACATAGTGATTAGGTCCTGCAGCTAGTTCTTTTGAGATGTAGTTTTTTTCACTCTTAGCAGCCTCTTCACCTTCCCTGATCAGGCACATTGCTCTGCAAAGATTATTAGATCATTTGAGATACTACTGGGAAGAGTAGATGTAGTAAAACCCCAAAGTGAAGTCAAAACTATTTCTAGAGAGCAGACTCTTTTCTCCCTCTAAGGCATATATTACATGCTAATGTCACCTTGACATAAATTCATGAAGCAAGGAGGGGCACAATCTGAGTAATTCTGGGAAATTTTAAAGTCTCCTTCTCAGTTGTCTGGGAACTAGTATAGCAAAATAGTCTATGTTTACACAAAAAGGAAGTGTAGATAATTCTACCAGCAGAAGAGCATTTTCTGCAATCAACGAGCTAAGGCTAAAGAGTAAAGACAATTATTTCCTGTAATGTCACACCATCGGCAAGATTATATGTTAGGTGGCTTAACTGATTTGTCATTGGTAACTCTGTTAACATCAATCCTATCTTTCAAAAATATTTAAACTATTTTAACTAGTCTTTTTTTCAAAAAAAACCCTGCTTTGTGAATATTATTAGCATTAAAATGATAATTTTTATTGGTAAGTTTATTATGAGTTAATCAGAGGTGGAAATTAATTTTCATGGATCAGCATTGTCATAATGATAGCTAGTTGCCTTACTAAGGTAATACTTTCATAAAAGAAACCTTCCTGGTGTTCTAGGACAAAGATATAAACCCAACAGGTAAAGGTTCATATATGATTTTGGCCTTATTGAATATAGCACTAACTATCTGAAAAAAATATTTTTGTCCTAATATCAGGATAGTCATAGCAATATGAAATATAAATATTATAGCTAAAAATAGTTAATGTAAATTAAAATGTACATCAGTTGCCATTGTTATAGGTGTCTATCTCAATTCCAAGGTCTTGGGTTAAGTTGTCTGTTTCCACGAAGGCATCTGCTTCTGAAATGAAGATATCGTGGAAGCTATGCCTTAGTTGTTTCATACAGCATGACACATTTGTGGTAAGAGTTGTTAAGTTGTACTGAGAATCTTGTGCCTTAAATTTTTGATGTTTTTCCCCAGAAGACTGAATGATCTATAGCTTGCAGCAGGAGCCTTCAGATAAATGAATGGAAAAAGCAAAACCTTTCTCAGGATGATGGGGGTGATTGGCTTTGATTAATAATATATTGTGATTACCAACAATATTAGAATGGAGGAATTTAGAATACAGAGGGGTAAAAAAATGTCAATCTATGGACATAAATCCTTGATTCCTCTGGAACGGGAAAATATTATAGACAGTAAGGGCACTGAAAAACTTTCAGAGTCTTTTATTAATGCCATAAAAGATATTGTAATTAAATCCAAGAGACATGCATTTAGATTTTTCAAAGATGATTCTAATAAAGTAACTATCTAGATTCAGCTAATTTGCAACACTGTCAGAAATTATAAAGATCTTGTTTACTATAATCCAATATAGATGAATATATATGTTTACATTTTGAAGATCTTGAATATTTATAACAATTTTAAGACTAGTAAAATTTGTATAGAAAATTTAGGAAATTTAGAAAACTTAGGTTTTCTATGGGTAAATAAACCCTAGTTTTGCAAAGTCTAGAATATTATGCTACCATTTTTACACTGTGAGAAAACTATGGAAAAGGCATATTATCAAACCAGCCTAATTTTCAAGGTTTCACATTAGTCACATTACCAGGCAAGGGTACACATATCAGCAGAAAACTAGGCTGAATAATTTGTTGAAGGAAAAAGCCAATAATTTGTGTATGTATTAGGGAGTTGGGTTATGGTGGGTTTTGCTGGTTAAAAACTGAAGGCTACACTCTGGATAAGACAGATATAGTCCGTAAGTCAGTAGATAGTTGGTTAAAACAAATGCCACTTTTTATCACTGAAAAAAGTTTTCAGTTAGGTTGGTGTGGGTCTGTACCTGGGTCACGTGAAGGTCTCAGTTGCTTATCTGCTTCCACTGGTGGAATGCCCAAACATCACAGTTGTTTGTCAACTTCGGAGGGTTGGAAGCAATTATGTTGAAACACCACAACCAGTTTGAGGTCTTCAAGCAAAGTGAAAATGGAAAAATTGTCTTGACACTAGTGTGTACCAAATCACTATGTTATTGCTATCCCATAGAATACCTTTATATGTGGTCCAACAGTTTGATTTTAAAATTTTCATCTTATTTTGCTAGAAACTTAACTTTGCCATTAATTAAATGTATGATAAACATTTTAGAGATGAAATATAAAATACATAAAAGTACTTTTTTTTTTTCAAAAATCATAGGAAGTATTTGTGTAGAAATGTTTGGAGTTCTGTGTTTTAAGATAAATATTAACGAAAGCAAATTGAGTCAGTCTTATTTTATAATTCCATGGGTTTGTCCTTTGTAATACTTTGTGAGCCTTGGACACGCTAGTGGATATGGAGAGGTTTATTTTGTTGTTTAAAGTTTTGGAGGTAGGAGGAATATCAACTCTTGTGTTGGATCAAATCAGATCAAATAGGGAATCAGCCTATGGTCAGAATATTCTCTCACCCCAAACAAAGTTAAATACAGAAATAATGAAATAAATTCAGCTTATCTTAAGTCAAGCCCTTTTTTTTTCTGGTTTCAGCCAAGGCTGTAAAACTGAGTGCCCTCTGGTACCTGCCCTAGATGACAGAAGAAGTCAGAAGGCAACAAAACTTTAGTACTCAGAATAAATCTGGTTTAAACTTTATTCCAAAGGCTCAATTTGATTGAAAAATCCCAAAGAACAAAAAAAGACCTTATTCCTCAATGTTCTTGGTATTTTTAATCCTGAAGTCAGTTGGATCCAAAGCATCTGGCCTCCCATCCCTATTTTCCTCTTTGACGGTACTGAACTAAACAGCTCTTAAAAATCACAGAGTCGGTTGAACTTCAGTCAGGGCATCTGTCAGTACCATATTAGCAGATTTGGGCCAACATTTAAAAATGAGTAATTGGGAATCTGGTTCATTTTGGCATGCTGAGAGCCTGGCCAGAGTCTTCCTATAGCAGGTGGTTTAATGGGAACTTGGTCCATGAAGGCTCTGATGTGCTCTATTTATGTCTCTGTGTTAGATGATAAGCCCGAAGCTATGGTTGCTGTGAGTCTGCCAGACAAGAATCTAAAACAAAGCACAGAGTTGATTACCACCAGGCTCATTGCCAAGGGCCCTGCCACAATACTGCATAAGTGTAGTGCCCAGTGCCCCAATTGTGATTGGCCTTATTGTTTGTTTCTAGTATCGGTCTGGCTGTTAGTACCACAGTGTATTGTATCTATTCTCTCCCAAAAACCAGAGGGCTAATACTTAGTAGCGAGGTGGGGCTAGATACACTCACCCTATATCATTGAGTAGAGCATCACTTAGTCACATATTAGACACCAGAAAGCTTTCTCGGCGAGATGGTGGAAGAGATTCTTGTTCATAGATCTTGGCAATAAAAGCACTCCTTAGCTTTATATAAACACACATTAAATACATAAGTAGGTAAAGTGTTATAAAGAGTTTTAAATGCATGGCCTCATTTGATGCTTATAACCACTTAGTGTTATAGGAGAGGTTTGTATTATTATTCCCATTTTCTCATGAAAGAGGAAGTTAGAAGAGTTAAGTGATTTGCCTAAGATCACTCAGCCAACAAGAAGATCCAAGAATGGTTCTGAGCTTTGCCGTCTCTCCTCAGCTTTTGTTTCATGCACAGCCATCTGATATCTAAGTGGAGAGAATGGTGGCCTGGTGATTGCATTTAAGACTTAATAATGATACATTTAAAACTGTAACATTTAGCAGACCTCTAGTTGTGGCTACTACTGCTGTCTTGCCACAAATTCTACTGTATTGATTTTTATCCATGCCGCATTTTAATATTGTGGACTTAAAAATGAACATCGGAATCCTACCATCTTTGCAGTGGCTGTAGGGGTTAGTTTTTTTGCCTGGAAGGATGCTGTGAGGAAACATTTTCAGGTGGCTTGGGTAAGGCTTATAATGTCTGGATAGCGTGAAGTTTGTAATTAGATCATGACAGAATAGCAGCAACTTTTTGTTCAATTAATCAGAAAATATCATGGCATGCCTATGATGTTCAAAGAACTATGCCAGTTTGCTAAGAACTAGACAAGGACTGACTGCCTTCAAAGAACTTACAGTTCCATTGAGAGATAATACATGTGCACACAAAATAACCAGCCACATAGGGCAGCTATTTATAATGGCAAGGGTAGGTACGAGGCAAGGCAAGCCTGTACAAGGAGAGGTCACAGTGAGTTGAGGTTATTTTGGAAGACTCTTGTAGATTTTTTAGTGGAAGCAAAATTTAGATACTGTATATGAAATGGGGGTAGGTTTCTAGATGGTATGTTGGGAGTGAAGAAACAGCCAAAAATAAATAAATAAATAGAACTATAAAAGAATAAAACATATTGTGGATATGAGTAGACCTGTCTCACTGCGGACAGGAATTTATAATGCAAAGGAGTGGAAGATAGATGTCAGAAAATTGGTGGGAAGATTATGGATGGCCCTGAATACCTGCATGAAGAGCTTGTTCTGTTAATCTGTAAGGAAAGAAGTGTCATTCAAGTATTTTGAATGGGAGGCAGAAACTTAGAAAGCATCATTTCACCGGGTGGCAGTGCCCAGGATAGAGTGAGGAATAAAGGGAGAAACAGACTATCAGTGGAGGGACAAGTTAGAAAATGGAGCAAAAATCCGGATGGGAGGTGACCCTCAGCAGAGCGTGATACCGGACTGGACAGAGGCACTCGGGTCTCACCCCGGCTTCTGCTGCTCTTTTCCTTCCCACACAGTAGCCACAAGGTGTCGCTGTAGCCTTTTTTTGCTCCCTGAAAAATGGCTTGGGGGATGATGAGGAGCTTTTCAAATGGCTGCAATGTGAAGTCATTTCTGCAGTTTTGGTGCCATCTTATTTCATATTGAACAGTTTAGCATCATCTTGGAAAATACCTGCATACCTCACCCTTTGGCCCACTAGACTCTGTGTCCTCTTGTAAGCTGTTCTGTTTAGGCGGTTGCAACTCTCAGGTGTTGGGGACTGTGGGGGTTGTTGCTGGCCCTGTAGTAGTAAACACATGGACATCAAAATTCAGCACTTAAGTCCGTGTGTGTGTGTGTGTGTGTGTGTGTGTGTGTGTGTGTGTGTCAGAAGCACTTTTTTTCTTCTTGGGAAAAGATACTGTCATTGACAGAGGAAGAAATAGCAGGAGTCCTTATCTGGGAGGAGAGGAACATATCAGGGGTCCTCAAGACCACCCCAGGTTCAGTGATTCACTAGGAGGACACACAGGACTCAGTGTATAGTGCTAATATCTATAGTTTATTACAACACAAGGATGCAAAGTAAAATCAACAAAGGGAAGGGCTCATGGCACAAAGTCTGGAGGAGGCCAGGCACAAGCTTCCAAGAGTCCTCTCCCAGGAGAGTCACACAGGATGTGCCTAATTCCTCCAGCAAAGTACTGTGAAACACATGTGGAAGGAATACTGGACTCAGTGTCCAGGGTTTTTATTGAGGCCTTTTCACATAAGCACTTTTCACATAATCACATAAGAGTTGCAACTGCCTAAACAGAACAGCTTACAAGAGGACACAGAGTCTAGTGGGCCGAAGGGTTAGGTATGCAGGTCTCTGCATTGCACATAATAAAATTCCAGACTTCCAGAAGGACAAAATGTACATTGGTGCAAAAAGTTTCTTTTCTGTCTTTTTTTTTTTTTTTTTAATTTTAATATAGAGATAAGGTCTTACTGTGTTGCCTAGGCTGGTCACAAACTCCAGGGCTCAAGCAATCTGCCTACCTCAGCATCCCAAAGTCCTGGAATTACAGGCATGAGCCACCATGCCCAGTCTGTGCAAACAGTTTAGGCCCAATGAGACTCTCTTAACTGTGCTGTCAATTGGAGAAACCCTCCTGCAATCCGAGTTCCCAGATGCCAACCAAGGGCCAACCTTGCAAGCAGCCTTTCTTTATTTTTTTTTAAATTTTTTATTTTATTATTTTTTTTGAGATGGAGTCTTGCTCTATCCCTCAGGCTAGGGGGCAGTAGCACGATTTTGGCTCACTGCCACTTCCGACTCTTGGATTCAAGAAATTCTCCTGACTCAGCCTCCCGAGTAGCTGGGATTACAGGCGCCTGCCACCAAGCCCAGCTGACTTCTCTATTTTTAGTACAGACGGGGTTTCCCCATGTTGGTCAGGCTGCTCTTGAACTCCTGACCTCAGGCAATCTGCCTGCCTCAGCCTCCCAAAGTGCTGGGATTACAGGCGTGAGCCACCACACCCAGCTGCAAGCAGCCTTTTTAAGGAGTCTGATTTGCTATGTTAACTCTTTTCTGCACAGGGAGTGAAAATACCGCTTAGGTTTTTGAGAAGGAGGTATTGATGGATACATTTTTCAAAACCCAGGAGAGTCTGACGTTAAGGTCATGTCTCTGGAAGTGGTAGTTCAGGTTGGAGCAAAAGTAGTGAAACCAGTCCTGGTTGTCTGTCCACATACAGAAGACTGGAGAGGTAGAAGAGAACTGGGATGGTGTGTTAGGAAATCAAGAGAGGAGAGAAGGCCGGGCGAGATGGCTCACGCCTATAATCCTAGCACTTTGGGAGGCCGAGGTGAGCAGATCATGAGGTCAGGAGATTGAGACCATCCTGGCTAACACGGTGAAACCCTGTCTCTACTAAAAAAATACAAAAAATTAGCCAGGCGTGGTGGCAGGCGCCTGTAGTCCCAGCTACTCGGGAGGCTCAGGCAGGAGAATGGTGTGAACCCGGGAGGCGGAGCTTGCAGTGAGACGAGATTGGGTCACTGCACTCCAGCCTGGGCTACAGACCAAGATCCCGTCTCAAAAAAAAAACAAAAACAAAAACGAGAGAGGTTCAAAAGGAGGAAATGCTCGGTAGTATATAAAGTACTGCAGATGGGCAGGGATTATGGGCGCTGAAAAATGCCATTGGGACATAATTTAATAATGTGGTAATTGATTTTCAACTTAAAATTATCTGTACACATTAAGCCAGACTTACTTAGCCAGTGCCTTGAATAGCTTTCCTGCCTATCACATCTTTCTGTTTTCTTTTGATCACCTTACAAAAGCTCTGTTTTAACATTTTTTATTGTGGCTTTGAATTTTTTGTTTGGGTTTAGATTTCACAGGCAGAGGGAAATGGATGAGCTTTGGGAAGGCTAAAAAAATTCTTTGTGCAATACTACATACTTCTCTCTGGCCATTATTTAGGGACAGCAGCAGCCGAAAATCACCTCTTCTGTTCTGGATGGAAAAGTAATTCAGTTTGTTCCTTTAAGAGGATTAGGTTTACCATTTCATTGATTTCATCGTTGCTTCCTGGTAAAGAATAAAAATTAAAAGCTGCTTGTTTTGAGTGGAGACATCTCAAGGGGCTTATGAAAGTGTCTGAATTTACTACTACACCGTTGGACTTCTCCCAGACCCGGAGTTCCAGTTATTGTCTCTCTGATATTTCATTTCTTTTTTTTTTTCTGGGTTCTCGGATGCTAAAGTTGTATAGACCCTCTGAGATGAATGATTATTGTTAGACAAGACCATGTGAACCAATAATGGCTTTTCCTTTGGTTATAATAAAAACATATCAGAACAACATTTATTTTTTCAAAAAGCTCTTTTTGTGTGGCTGACTTTGAGTAGTAGGTGGTCTAGGAAATACCAGCACCTCCTCTCTCTCTCACTTGAAATGCTTCAGGATTAGAAAATCATTGCAGGCAGAAAGTGGAGAGTGTGGTGCTCAATGTGGCCTTTGCAATTCTACTTACCTCCAGTGGTGGGTGACAGTCCTGGCCTTCTGGCCTTATTCACGTCATTGCACTTCAGGAGGGCAAATGTGCGCTGTAACTGAGGTGGTTTTAAATTATCTGTCTCTTGTTCTAATATCCCAGGGCTTCCAGCAAAAGTTCTCCTTCCACAGTAAAGAGATTGTGGCTATCAGCTGTTCCTGGTGCAAGCAGGCGGTAAGATTGGGATGAAATAAAGCAATGTGGGCTCATGTTTTGTCGAAATACACTTGTGTCATTATTTGAGTTTCTCCCTGGAAGTAGAAGGCATTCCTAATTTAATGTATTGCTTTTCTCATATAGGATCCTTGGAGGAAGAAAGACAGACTGAAACTATAGAACAATAGCATAGATGAGCTGGGATACACTAGAGAGATAAATTAACTTCTATATTTTATGTACATTAAAGCTTGGGGTCAAAGACTAGAAAATCCTCCCCTAATTCTAACACTGGGTCTAGAGTTGAGGACTTCTCACACCTAGACCACATTTTCCCTCCAGTACCTCTGTATTGTTGAGAACTCCTCTGGTATGAAGGTACAACATTAGAAGCAAAGCAACGTATGACCTAAGAGGTCCCTCCAACACAGGTGGACAGGAATCCTGGCTCTTCTGGTTTTAATGTTTAATGTGCATGACTTTTTATTTTGGGGCTAAGTGTGAGGATAAGAAGAGTGGTTCTTGTATGCTTTTTTAGGTTTGGATGTTGTCTGTACACTCATTGAAATGTAGCTCTTTCTTACATTTGAACATATATATACTCATTAGGATCTGATGGTAATGTCCCTATTTATTTTTCTTTAATCTACCTTTTTTCCCACTTTATTTAGAGCGTAATTCCTCGGTCTGTACCAGATGCTACATTTTCTTATTTGTTTGTACATGTGTACCTGTGTACCTGTTCTTTCTTTTACCACATAACATATAGTCTAACCCAGGTGTTGGCAGACTACAGCTCGTAGGCCAAGTCTGGCTGCCATCTATTTTTGTAAATAAAATTTCACTGGAATGCAGCCATGCCCAGTTATTTATATATTGTCTGTGGCTGTTTTTTTTCATTTATGTATTGTCTATAGACACTTTCATGCTACAATGGCAAGGATGAGTAATTGCAACAGAGGTGGATGATCCCATAAGCCTAAAATATTTATTCCCTGTGCCTTTATAGAAAAAGTTTGCTGATGCCTGCTGTAATTTCTCAATGTCCCTATTCTTTTGAATAAGTTGGAATATATAACCCCTTCATTGCACAGGGGACCTGCAAAGAAAAGGCTGTGGTGTCTTGGTGAGGTTAAAGGTTTGCAGAAAACTCCTGCCACTACACACATCACGCTAAACTAGCCACACAGGCCATGGGGCTGGAACAGATGCATTTAGTTGAAACATATGAAATGGACATTTTGTGGGTCAAAACCATTTATATTTTGGCAGTTCCATATAGTTCAACTTAATAATATCTCTAGCCTCCTACATGTCAGAAGAACCTGCTGTCACTAGATAGAGACTCGGTGGTCTGGAAAGCTCAGTGTCGCTGCATCACAATCCTGTGACATTTTTTATTCCTGGCATTTTCATTTACTTTCAGTTAGTTGTTACACAAATAATCATTTCACTTCTGTTCAAGAATGTGTGCACAAATATAAGGCCATCCTAGTTATTGAATGAAACTCTGTACCAGCAAGGCAATATCTCCATTTGTGGTCCTGGGGTCCCCAGTGCTGCTATCTTTGCTCCTGGTTCTTCTAATCTGGTGAGACCCCACTGGTGGGGCAGCCTTCTGGGCAGCGGTGTGCTCAGATCGGCTGCATCTGCTCCTGCCCTGTGCAGCTACCAGGCTGTGGTGCGATGGTCTATCCAGATTCAATTAATTTGGAAACTCAATCCCACTTTACAATGAACATGTGTGCTCTCTTTCTATTAATCTGTAGTCCAACTGAATCACTACAAAGGACAACTTTCACCTGACCATTGTGGTAGAGCTTTGGTCAGTTCCACTTATCTTTGAATTTCCCAGTTTCCCACCTTGTAGAAGGTGATTTTTGTAAGGATAATAGGTACAAAAGATTTGAACACAAATTACAGCGGTTGATATGTTTTCACAGTCCAGGTGAACCCCTTCTAGGATATTTGATGTCAGACAAGCAAATAAATATGTGACCCTTTATGGTACAGGAGAAAGAATATGGGGTTTGGGACCTGGATTTCCAGGGTTGGGGTTTTGATTCCATCATTTAAAAACTGTGCAATCTTGGATGTACCTCTGAGTCTCTAGAGTGGAGATTACTTAAGTATTCATTGAGAGACTTGACATAGGCAGTCTCTGCGATCCCTAATGTTTTAGAAATGCAGTGGTCATACATTTGAGGGTTTATTTGAATTGCCAAGAAAAAAAAGCAATTTTTAAAGAAGGTATTCAAATGTTAATAATATTTATCTGGTATATTTGTTTGCAGATCACCAATAACTGGTGGCAGGCAGAATTATTAATTATTTTACCAGTATTTTATATACAATTGCTTGATTAATGATTAGCCACTGGATCACAGCAGATCTTGAAGACATGTAGAAATGAAAACAAAAACCTCTCTAATGTTATGTAATGTAATTAGGGTGGACATATTTGCCAGTTTTTTTGGAGACGGTCCTAATTTGTGTTTGTGTTTTCAACATAATTATTATCAGTGATACTTTTTACTTTTAACATTGTTCCAGTTAAAATGATAAATAATATAGTTACGTGAAGTATAATCTAAGAAGAAACTGAGGTTGAATTTTTAAAATCACTGTGATTAAAATTTAAGGCCTATAATTATTGCATAATGTTGATTTTAGTTTTCTTTTTCAGAAAAATAAATGTTATTACACATCACTATCACTTTATAGTCACACAAAAGATGGTTGAAAACTTGACTGGCCTAAGGTCACCAGTCTGAGTGTCACTGTTGGGGTATACAGTTAAGACCCTAATACTGTGGTATTGTTATGATCGTTAGCCTACATTTACTTCCTTTCAAAAGCAAAAATCACTTTAGACTTGCCAAGAGTAATAGGGTCATTGAATTTTTTTTTTAGCAGTCCAGACAAACCCAACAGAAGCAATCTCTTTGTACTTTGTTACTTCTGGGATTTTCAACTCTGTAGAAGAGACATCATGCTTCTTTTCTGCCTTCTCTAAACCGGAAAGACAACCTGGGAGGATTTATATCTATGATAGGAAAAGGAAAGGCAGGTGGTAGGCATTGCCTTTCTGCCTGTTCATTTCCTTCTTAACGTTATCTTAGATCAACCAAGTCCATGGCCAGCACAGGTCAAGGGAAGTGTATGTGAACATTTTGTGCAAAATCAGGATTAATAGAACCCTCCAAGACTCTAAAACTTTTAAGTAAATATTCCATGCAACGATTAGAAAGTTTTAGCAGGCTTCATCCTGCTAGACTGATTTCTTGTTATCAATGTTATAAGTTTGTAAACCGGAATAAATCTGAAGTCTGGTCTCTAAGCTCCTGGGGCTGGCTGGGTGGTGATGAGGAAAGCATGTCCTCAGTCCTCAGTGTGTGCCCATGTGTGCATGTGTGCATGCATATGTATTTTTGTGCATGTAATGAGTGTGTGTGTGTGTGTGTGTGTGTGTGTGTGTGTGCGTGTGTACATATTTATCCCTTCTTGCTGCAGCATTACTCTTTGACCAGAATTGTTTACTGGCTTATTTTTCTCTTCAGTTTCACAATAAGGTGACCTGCTTCATGCTGCATCACATTGAAGAACCCTGCTCCCTGGGGGCTCATGCTGCTGTTATTGTCCCGCCCACTTGGATCATTAAGGTGAAGAAACCTCAGGTAACTGCCAGGACTCTGGTGCTGCTGGGCCAGTGCAGAGAAAAATGAACTGCTGCTTCGTGCTTTTCTCCCCAGACTAGTCTTTGGGTTCCTATGACCTCAGTTCACTCATCCCCAAGGCCCTGTGCTTAGCTTCCTCAGTTCATCCCATTGGCCCATCTCTTTCCCACTTTGGGCTCTCTCATGGAACCAGCCTCCCCATCCTAATGAATTCAAAGTTCTAGAGCAGGAATGTTGCCTCCTCATTCATGTGCTAATGATATTCTCTTTGATAGGTGCTCTTCCAAGTTTCATTGAGTACTAGTGGTGGGTATAGCTGATGCTTATACAACTCTGTTCTCTTCCAGCCTGGGCATTCCCAGAGGGTCAGTGTGAGGGCAAACTGTTCAGGCTTCATGGTTTGGTTAAGATTCCTGCCACTTCCAACCTGGAAGGCAGACCATGAATCATGACCTTCCTGAATACACAGGCCTGCTTAGAGAGTGACATTTGTTTTTTTCTTAAGGCAAAGTAGAATTTATTCTCTTAATATCTAATCTCATTCTGTGTTCTCCCCAGTGCACTTCCTGTCCTTGTGAGTATCCACCTCAGTATTCAGGGAAACCTTAGTGGTTTCTTGACAAGGTCGTAATCTTTGAAATAAAATGTTTCTGCCTTTGTACTATACATCCTTGACAGTTAGCTTCAAGTTATGGGATGGCAGATTTTTAATGCTATGGGAAGAGAGACTATACCTCCCTTAGGGTGCAGGTACTGTAGGAAGACTTATCAAATGCAATACCTTTAAATGATATGGTGGTCCTACTTCCTGTGGTCTCCAGACTCATCATGTGATTCATTCTCATTGACTCAGGTTTATTTAAAAACTGGTGGATCAGGGATACTGTTTTGCTTTCTGTGTTTTATATAAAGTTTAGACTCTGTTGATGAGTAATGTTTACGAATAAAATTATAGTCTATGGAAGCCCTTGGGATATTTTTTTCCAGAGGCAAGTATAGTGTCTACATATTAAAAAATGAGGAGCCTAGTGCTTCATTTTATATTTTAGAACCAAATGCCAAGATATGTTAAATGAGTTACCCAAGGTGATAAAACAAATTATATATAGTATTACTATTTGAAATTCAAGTGTACTGAATTCCAGTTTTTATTTTTAAATCTCTTTAACATTTCTACTTTAAAATTTTTTTTTTCTAAAATTTGGTAATCTCTCCAAGGCTTTACATTAAACATTCATTCAGTTAAATCCACATCTTTCCATTGAAAACCTCGATTGTATCAGGAAGGCTAATAGGCATTGCGATAAAATACGTGATCCTTACTCTTAAGAGTCTTGTTATGAAGTGGGGGGGAGGGCTTCATGAAGAAGATGGGATTTGTTCTGCTTTGTAAAAATGGGTGAGATTTAGGTCTGTGGAGTAGAGAGAGAGTAGCAGGCAGGAGAATGGCACACAGGCATGAGTACTGTGTCCAAAATTATATCCGTGGAACTGTGAGTCTAGTTTGACCAAAGTGCAGGGTTTATGCAGAGGGTGTGTGGGAGATGAACATACAATTGCTCAGGCCTGACTGTGGAGGAATTTTTTTTTTTTTTAATAACCGTGAACTTTATCCTGAAGTAGCAGCAGAGTTCCTTTTAAGCAAAGGAATGATAGAGTAAAAAAAAAAAAATATATATATATATATATATATATAGTATTTTAGAAAGAAACAAGTAGCAAGAGTGTGTAAAATAGCCTAGTGGTATGGGAATTTGGAAGTCCGCAGACACACTAGTTAGGAAAATCAGGGGATAATACCAGTTTGTAGGGAAATTGCAAAGTTTACTCTTCTAAACCTTAAGAAACCCTTTTTGTTATGGAAATTTTCAAGCAAATGAAGAAAAAGGTTATAATGAATCCTCTAGCCATCAACTTTTCTGCCATTCTTTTTCATGTGTCTCCTGCTACTTCATATTTTCATTTTATGAATTACCTTTTTCTTTTGAGATTCACATGCAGCTGTGAGAAGCAATACAGAGAAATCACTTGCACCCTTCCAAAATTTCTTCTCATGGTAACATCTTGCGGTATTACAGTACAAAATCACAACCAGGATATTGACCTTGATTCAGTCAAGATACAGAACATTCCATCCCCAGGAGCATCCCTGGTGGTCCCTTGTCAGGAGTCATATCCATTTCCTCCTGGCCTCACCCCATCTACCCCATCTTCCTGGAAGTGGAATCCCCCTACTTTTTCTTTAACTAGAGTATTTTAAAACAAACATTAGACAGCATACCACTTAGTCTGTAAACACTTCATTATGCTTCTGTAAAAGATAGCATTAAAAAAATCCAAATGCCATTATCTCAGTCATGTTAATAATCCCTTAAAATTTTTTCCTGTTGTCTAAAATATATCTTTTTTTACTGTTTTTCAAGTCAGGATCCAAAGTTCACAACTGCCTTTTGTTGACGTAGTTCTTAAGCTTCCCTTAGTATAGAACAATACCCCCTGTTATTTGTCAGGCCACTTACCCGTTGATGAAATTGGGTCACTTTACCCATAGGATTTCCCATATTTTGATTTTGGCTGATTCTTACCATGTTTCCAAATTATTTCTCTTATTGCCCATATTTCTTGTAAACTAATATTTAGACCCAGAGACTCAATTATATTTAGGTTTAATTTTTTTTTTTTTTTTTTTTTTTTTTTTTGGTAAAAGGGATACACTGGCAGTACATTGCCATCACAGGAAGAGGATATCAGCCATTTCACTCTCAGTGATGCTAAGATCAATCAGTGGGTTCAGGAACTGTCATCCTAATCTGTCTATCATAAAGTTCACCATCAGCTTGTCATCTATTGTTATCTATCAAAGAGTTTTGCCAAAGTCTATTATTGCATTAGGGGTTGCCAAGGAGTCGTTTTCCAATTTTCACTCTTTTTAGCTATGATTTTTAGAAAAGAGACCTTTCCTTCATCCCAACAAATACATGACAAACGTTTGAGTATTTGCCTTTATTTGTAAGTTTTCAGAATAATAAGCTGATGCCTTAGCAACCCTTATAGGATGTAGTAGTGGTTGTTTTTTTGGAGAGTATCATTACGAAATTACTTAATTATGTTTTTATGTATTATGTGTTTTTCCAATACGTTGTCATCATTCTTCTTCCTATGTTTATATTGTTTCATCTCCAACCATTGGAACCTCTTCCACATGGTGTCTGTCTTCACATTTGTTATGAGCCATGAGGTTTTGAGAGCTTCCTTGGTTTTAGGAACAATACCATGTCCCAGGATCATTTAATGCATTTCCTGTCCATACCTGGAATCAGAGTCTTGGTTCTTTCTCTAGAGTCTTGGTTACTTTTAATGGGATATGGGATTTATAGCTCATAGTCTGGATGCACAGTCCAAATTCATTATTCAACATGTGCCTTTTTATTACCGTCTATGATTCAGGACAATGTAGTAATAATAATAGTAAGAAGAGCTAACATTTATATGTGTTAGGAAAGTTTTCAGTATTTTACATTCAGTATCTTATTTTATCATCATAGTATCCTATGAGCAGGTATCCTGTTATTCTTACTCTATATCTGAGGATTGTGAGGCACAGAGAAGTCAAATAAATTACCCAGGGTCATATAGTTATTAAATAGTTTGAGATGGGACTTGGACCCAGGAATTTTGATTCCAAAAAACAAGCTCTTATTGGTATGCCACACTGCCTCACTATCTTTCTGTAGCCAGCCTTGCTGAATCAGATGTTTTAAAAATTTTAGTAGTCTTTTCTTTAGTGGGCTTCAAAGCCATCAAGTAAGTTAACCAATGAACCATAGTCTATTTAAAAGCTGAGGTATGGTGAGCTTGTGGGGACAATGCAGCAGTGGTTAAGAGCTTTCTGACTTTTGAGCCAATACCACCTGGGCCCGTAATAACCTTGCTGTAGCCACGTAACTAATTTGTGTAATACCGAACAATTAAACTCTTCTATTGAAACTCTTCGACACCAATGTTAAATTCTATAGACATAAAAAAACCACGAGGAAGAAAACAAGGAGAAAAGTCATTGTGTCTCTGATCTGTTCATAGATGACAGTAAAAACTATAGTTTGTAGTGTGTGGATCATGGGTGGCAAGTTTTAGCCATGATTTGGAGGTCAATATATTAGAGAATTCATTTAAGACATTGGGAAGTGACTAACGGAAAATTTGGAACATAGGTGGAGAATAGCAGAGTAAAATGTTTTTCCAAATTTGAGGATACACACACACACACACACACACACACACACACACACACATACATACATATACACATATATGTATATGTATCTATATTCTATCATACTGCTTCAAAATAAATAATAGAGAAGATGTTCTTAATTGAATTCAGTTCATGTTAATTTAACTACATTCAGAGATGCTATTGTATACAGTAGGAGGTCCAAAGATGAATCCACCGTGATCCATTTCCACAAAGAGTATACTCAATAGTGGGGAATATAGCTAGAACTATCTAAGTCACTGGGCAGAGTGTTTGTGGATTTTGAAAAATTCAGCTGTGTGTAAATCCTTAATAAAAGAGTGCCTCCTACTATCTCGGAAGGTTTGCTTTTTGGTCAGTATGCATCTTTGGGAGAAACACACAAAGGATGGTGAGAGGAAGGGGCCAGACAGGTTGGTTGAATCAGCCATGGTCAGCATCCAAGGTGGCCTATCTATCCAAGGTGGAGAGTGGTCAGTGCTACCTAAGATGTATAAACACAGTGTGAATATGAAGCAGTACGGAGCATTTTCGGTCATGGGGATCAGGGT
Source organism: Homo sapiens (assembly GCF_000001405.40). Taxonomy (NCBI): domain Eukaryota; kingdom Metazoa; phylum Chordata; class Mammalia; order Primates; family Hominidae; genus Homo; species Homo sapiens. The sequence continues at coordinate 137,615,017 of NC_000007.14, read as the reverse complement.
AAGCTAAATAGAAAATATGCCATTTGTGGTAGGCCTTAAAGGATGTAGGCAGTGTCAGTGAAACACGGGTTGAGAAGGACAGTAAAAGTTGATAGAACTAACTGAGAACAGTTAAGATGGATCTTTAAATAAAGTCAGCTTTATTTGGGATATTTGTGTCTAAACAAGTGACTCTAGAGAGGAGGAGTAAAGGAAATCTATTTGAGGGTATCATGGTCAGGAGACATGGTTTATAAAGAGTTGGAATTAAACCGCATATTTCATTTTTACTCCACGAGCAACTGTGGAATTGGCAGCTCTGTGAAACCTTGATGCTAAAGGGAGTGAGGGCTGCTTGGGTAATTTGCTAGGTTTCATCACCTCATTATTTAGAGAGATGAAGAAGTTATTTTGTAGAAATAAAAAGGTAATGGAAGATAGATGATTTTAAATAACTCAAATGAAAACCCCAAATTTAAGAATCAAGCCTGGATCTGTTGATATATTTGAAGTCCAAGTTATATTTAAAGTTACAAATGTCAGTGTTTCTCTTTCGGACTGAAAATATTACTAGACAATATTTTGATTGGACAGGCAAGTTAAAGATGGTCAAATACCAGTGCATATACTTGGAGCTGAGGGATTGAGACTTACGTGAATTTTCTGTGGGGTCAAGTTGTAGAAGACCACAGTTGGGAAAGCTTTTACAAAACTTATGTATCATGAGATGACATCATTTGAAAAAATATTTTGTACTTGGTCCCCTAAATTTTCCAAACTGTCACTTTTTTGTAACTTTCTCATGAATCTCACTGGGCTGCTCCTATCTTCTAAAAAGAATATAAAATGGATCCTCCATTCTCTTTCCTTAATACAGCCTGTTGTGACTTCATAGTACTGAGTGGGAACAAGCTGGTTTCTTTGAAAGAATGATAGTGCTCAATCTTTTATTGTTTCGTTTGTAGTAACATGAGTAATATATAAATATGCTCCCTGTAAAAATTAAACATCTCAGATAAGAGAGTCTCCTTTCACCAGCATTTAAAATGATAAGCATCTCCGCTGTCTCTTCCTATGATATATGCAGAGTTTTTACTGTGCGTTTACATGCATGGAAATGCACCCACAGAAGAAATACAGAACCACTTCGAGTGTAAGGGTGTGTGTTTTTAATAAATAATTCTTCACATAATGCTTTAAAACTTGCCTTTCTTAGTAAAAAAAGATTCTTGGGGAAAAGTCTGTTATTATATGTAGACTTAACTCATTTTTTAAATTGCTGTATGTATCCCATGCTGTGGATATATCCTAGTTTATTGATCCATCTGCCTACTGGTGGATATTTATATTGTTTCTAATGTTCTACTTATAAACAATGCTGCATTCATTTCTTCATAGCCCTGTATGAGCTTTCTTCATAATAGTCCCCCTTTTTTTGGTTTATCTCTTCTGGTTAGATAATCTTCTTAAAATACTGGGAACCCATGAAATGTAATAGCTAATTTTGTGCAACGACCAATAATATCCTGTAAATTAGCCTCAAAATTGCCTGAACCATTTCCTTTGGTGAATTCTAAAGCTTCATTAGTACTTGTGATTTAGTCAAATAGGCCTGGTTGGAGCTGTTGGGACCCTGTCTGTAACTTTTGGAATAAGTTTTCTTTATCCTTCTGCCTTCCCATCCTCAGAGCAGCCTTTGTTCCCTGGCACAATGGGAGCCCAGCAGAGTAAGAATGCGCTTTAATAGACTAAGTCCATTACTCTCTCTCCTACTGTCTACCAGAGTTTTGTCCAGTATATGATGGGGGGGAGACTTTATTTGGGATGACAAAGAAGAGCGAACAGATCTCTTCTCTTGGGATCTGTTATTATAACCAGTCATTTGTGATCTTATAACCTGGAAAAATCCCTGAAGATTAATAAGAGGTAGTTAAGTTTCAGTCACAGTTGAGTGATTTACCCGTAACTATTTCTTAATAGCCCAGCAAGGAGTCATAAGCATGATCAGGATTTTATTGATAGGATTATTTCTGTGGCAAGGTACAATTATCCTGGTATGAAGTACAGGAAAACAAAAAGCCTTTTTATTTAGGTCTTTAACAAAAGAGCAGGCACAGAATGTCTAGGGGGCGACTGCTGTTGGAATCAGAAGAATGCAAAAATCCAAGTGAGGGTACATACAGCATTTCACTGTGTTTTTAGTGTTGATCTTGCAAAGCGAATGCTTTTATCACCGAGTTAGCTGCCCTTGATATAATAGAGATGATTTGTTTTGGAACATAGCACAAGTGTTACAGGTTTCTTGCATATATCACCAACAAATTCTACACAGTAACTTCTTGACATAATTTTAACATTCTCGAAAAGCGTGCTCTTTTGTTTAACTCTCTCAACAACACTGACCCAGGCAGGATAAGCGATCCTGTAGATTATCAAGAGTAGGTGATTTATTTCATCATGGTCAAAACATATACAAAATCTGCCTTCAAACCCATCTGTTCCTAGAGGTAGAGATAGATACATATTTATACAAAATAGAGATATGTATTTATACAAAAATAGAAGGGAGCCATGGGATTTTGAGGTATGCTGTGAAATTCCTACTATTTATCTTTTGTGTTTGACTATCCGTAGGGCTGTAAGCTTACTCAGAGCTCACATAGATGCGTCCAGGTACTGTAAGTCAACGACTGTGCTTGGTCTCTGCCCTGTTCTTGTTCTGTGAAGTGAAGAAGGCCTCAGATGCATTTGGTTTGGTGAGGCTAGAAGCACTTGTATTTGCTACCTCTGTGTTACAAAAAAAAAAAAAAAAAAAAAGCCCGTTTTGTGTGTCTGTTCCCTATAAGAATTGAGTTCTTTGCCTGCTCTGTTTTCAGACATCAAGCCTTACTTTAATGTGTTTTTCTAACTCTGTGCTCCCCATACGTGCTTGATCATCAAAATCACCTGAAATACTGTGAGTTCTACGATCAGACAAGTTTAGGAAACAATCTTAGCCTGATGCGTTAGATCTGTCTCATGGAGTTTAATTGCTGACATCCTGTCAAGGACCTAGGTCCATAGCATGTTCCTGCAAGCACTTGGTGTCTGGCATTGCTCTTGGCAGTAAATGAATTAAAACTACAAAAAAGTTAGGAGGCAAGCATTCACTTCCCAAGGATCCTTTCCCAAATCAGGAGAGGCTCAGTAAATGCTGTGAATTATAGGAATATTTGTTCATTATTTCAACAATGATTCGAGTGTACACTATGTGCCAGGAATTTGTGCTCGGTGTTGGGGACACACAGCTGAGAATGAGGCATTATTTAGAATGAGCTAACATTTACTGAAGTGCTCATGGTGGGATGAATACCCAGCTAACTGCTTCATGTACCTTTGCTGGTTATAACTTCATAACTGTCCCATGAGGTGGGTAGTGTCACCATCATTTTAAAATTAAGAAACTGTTATTTCAGAAGTTTGACTGACTTGGCCAAGGTCACTGATCTCACAACAGGGAGATTCAGAGTCCATACCAGACGTATATTCCTGTCTCTGTTCATCTTCTGCTTAACACAATCTATGTGTCTCCTCACTTTCCTCTTTCTACTGCCATCACTCTGTGATAGAGTTGCCTGGTAAACTTTTAAAAAGTATCCTTGCCTGGGCTTTACCCCAAACAGATGAAAGAATAGTTGATGGGGCCCGGGCACGAGCATTTTTCAAAACTCTCTGGGTGATGCCAATGTGTAGAGATGGTTGAGAAGCATTTAGAGCATTGTTAATTGACACCAAATACATACTGTTCCTGCCAGCCTCGTGGTTTCTAGCATTCTTCTTAGATCATTTGGCTGATTAAATGATTAATGATTCCAAATCACTTTTCTTCCCTTTTAAACAAACAGAAATCTATCAAAATATAACAAATACTTTCATAATGCGAAATATTCCTCAGTGAGGGACATGATAAAAGACCCATTTAACTGAGAATTTAGAAACTCGAAGATCTATTTTCAGGGGGAAGTAGAGTCAACAGTGAGTGATGAGGAATGACCTGGGGTCTAGAGCACCCATGAGCTCCTCGATCTCTCTTTTCCTGGTGTGACTCTGAGATCCTGAGATCTTTTAATCTGATGGGAAAGAAAACCTTGGGACAGATGGTAGTTCTTGAAAATTTCCCTCATCCCCGGTGAACACAGGTCATGTATCAACTTATTTTTTTTCCCAAATCCAAGTCAAAGTAAAATAAAAGCTAAATAGGAGCTTACTAATTTGGATGACTTAGTATATGTACTTTATACTAAAGATTATTTTGAATGCTCAAAGAAAAAAGAATACATTAAAAAGTAGAATAGACATTTGCATTTCTTGAGGCTGTTTGACAACTTTACTCAAACAATGCATGCATATATACTTATATAAACTTTTAATTTAAGAATTCTGTGTTTCTTGCTGCCAACACTTTGTTAAACATCTATTATATGGTCAGTAATATCTTGCCTTTTAAAGATAGCAGTCTAATTAATCATTGACTCTCCACTAATTAAATCTGTTTTTATCTTGTCTTCAATCAGTGGGTTGTGACTGATCCCTATGACAGGTTCTTCTCAAAACATCTGTATCAAATATTAAGAGAAAATGGTTAGTTGAAGTAATCACAATATTGTGGTCTATAAAGTTTCTAGAAAGAGAAAGACAAGGAAAGTAAATTTGGGGGTCACTGTATTTCAACAAGTTTGAGGCACTTTTATAAGAAGAAAAAAATCAAGGCTACCAGGGGAGGGAAAACTTTTTAAACCATTAGGTCTTTAGACAGAGAAAGAAAGAACAATGACTTCCATCCCACTCTCATAGTGATTTAAGGTGAGTATTATCTTTGCATTTTACATGTCAGACAACTGATAGGACAGTTGGATCATAAATTTCGAGTAGGGTCAAGAGTCACTTTATGACTATTACTAGAAAAGATCATTACCAAAAGAGTAAACTAAGAAAAAAAAAACAAAAAAGAAAAATAAAAACATGAAAAATGGCCTCCTTTTTTACATTTCCACATAGGTGATCTCCATACGAGGAGATGAACTTGAACTTGGTTGGGCGGGAGACGAACCTGGTTGGGCGGGAGACTGGAGCCCCTCAGAGAATTTGGGATTCTTCCATTTTTACTGGGAGGGTTGGCAGGTATAACATGTGTTGTTATGTGAGTCCATGAGAGCCTCTGGGGTTCTTACTCCCTGCCTCTCCGTGTGGTGGAGAGTCAGTCGCTTACTCTGAAGCACTCGACTGATTTCTGTCTGTGGCTTATCCATGAACAGTGGCTTGGAAGTGTGAAAGCATGAGAAGCATGCAGTGGAACAGCATGCGCTGCCGTCATCTTCTACTTGGTTCTGCATGGGAAAGCTCCTGGGCTGGCTGCCTCTGAGCTCAGGCATTTCTCTCTCTCCCTACAGAACTCCCTGAAGGCTTCAAATCGGAAGAAGAAGAGAACAAGCTTTAAAAGAAAAGCCAGTAAAAGAGGGATGGAAGTAAGTGTTTCAGAGTTTTATTCTGAGGAATTTCCACTTTCTTTCCATAGTCTACTCTGTCCTATGAGATCTGGTCCAAGTTGATTTTTCTGATCTATCTTCTACTACTGCTTTCTCCTCACTACACTCTAACCACAATAGGATTCTTTCTGTTCTTTTAAAAAAACAAACACTCAAAACTAACCTCTGCGCTTGCCTGGAAATGTTATCCCCAAGATGATGATGATGAAGATCCAAGCTAATATTTCTGGAATATTTGGAGTTTACAGAGTAAAATAAAAAGCCTGGCTTAATTCTCTGGAGCAAATGATAACTTGAGATACTTTCTTCCAAGCCTTACATGGAAGTCGTGTTAAGAGTCAGCCCTGGGAAACAAAATGTATTATTGGGTGGTTTTCCACCTCCCTTGCCTTGGGGTTGCCTTTCAAGCCATGGATGTGTATCCTAACAGTGCTGATTGCTTCTTTCAGCAGGAAAACAAAGGTCGTCCTTTTGTGATAAAACCCATCTCTTCTCCTCTCATGAAACCCTTGCTTGTATTTGTGAATCCCAAGAGTGGAGGCAACCAGGTGAGTAATTTTTCATGATTTTCAACTTAGAAGTTTTGATAATTTCTTGACGACACAACTCTCACTGCCAATTAAAATAGTACCACTAGGATCCCAAGCTTTGGAAGACACCGGTTTCTCAGGAACAAGGTTATTGTTTCTCTGATAGCTTTACACATTACAGGGCTGGGCAAAACCTAGATGTTCTATAATTTATCTGTCTGCTTCCATATAAGACTATAACAAAGGCACTTAAGAAACCTAACTACTGACTTTTTCCTTACAGATTTTCAAGAAAGGATATTCTAGAATTTCTCTTAGTTCGTATGTTTCAGGATTCCTCAATTCTTATAGTTAGGAGGCCCTTCATCAACTTCTTTTTATTTCTTTCTATTGCAATTTAGATACAACCACTTTCATCCCTATCCTCAGAGAAGAAAAAAGGATGATTCATGAGCCATGATAATCCCTACCAAATACCACCAACATTATAGAAAATATCAACTTCTTAAGGTTTCACTTGGTCCTAGCCCAAATCCAATAGTACAGATACTTATCTCATTTGAGAATAAAGAAATTGACTTAGAAAAGTTAAGTCTAAAGGCATGCCTAAAGTGACACTGGTCTATAAAGGACAGAATTTGTTCTTGAATCCTGGTCTTTGTCTCTTCATCCGATTATCTTCCCACTCTCTGAGGCTTCTTATCAATACTCTTCTATGGGCTTTAATTTTCTGTTATTTTCTTCTGAGTTTGGATGAGAAAATATTTTCTTTATCCACGAAGTATATATTTTACATTTTGAGACAAGATTCCTTCAAGTTTTACAATAAACAACTGGAGATTTGAAACCCTTTAGTCATCCCATATAAGGAAGGTAAGTTGTATAAATAGGATTGACCCACTGGTCCAAGATGATGTTCTTATTACTAAAGACAATGGGCATTGTCCAGAATGTATTAATTACAATAAAACTTCTCTTATGGGAGCTTATGATTTAAATGAAATATTATTCTTCCTTTCATCTCTGCCTTCAAAATTCTCAAAAACTTGATATGGTAAAAATGTGTATTAACATTTTGGAGAACAAGGAAAAGAAATTTGTGTAAGCAAAGAAACCATTTGTTTTCAAGTCCTGCATTTTTGAGTTGCTGAGAGATCTTTATGGAGTAATGATGGCAATTCTAAGACATCATTAGAGGAGGACCTAGACATGGGTTTCCTTGAAATGAGGTTTAATTTTCCCTGAACAATACCCACTCTCTTGGGCTAGTATCCCTATGTTCTATCAAAGGTTAGAGATGCAGTTGGGAACCCTGAAACATGGAAATGTAATTAGTTCCATGATTTTGGCCACCTGAGCACCACATATCAATTAGTTTCAAATATATTTTGTCATGACAGTCCACATATAAGATGCATTTATTAAATCATTATAAGCTCTCTTTCCTAGGGCGCACAGAGGCTAGTAAGTTATCTATTTCTTTAAGGAGCTGATGATCCAGTTAAGACATAGCCTGTTCCTATTCCAGTCTATGTGTAAATTATTAATGACGGGGACTTCAGAGATTATCTAATATTGCTTCCTATTTCACTAAATAGAAAAGGGAGGTCAAGGAAGCTTAAAATGAATTTTCTAAAGACATCTTGTAAATGACACAAAAGGAACAAATGGAAAATAATTTAAGCAACATTAACTGCATGTGACTTCTAAATTGAGTGGCTCAGACTGCAGTGCTATGATATTTCAGAGGTAAGCAGTGACTTGGGAGTGATAAGGAAATGGTGTCATGGACATGGCTGAAATCAAAGATGGGTACTACTTAGTTATGCAGAGGAGAGAAGACTGGAAGGTCTGTCCTTTTCCTGCTCTTTACTGTGGCAGATTCCTGTTCAGCAAATTCTTGTTCATCCTTCGAGGCTCAGTGGTGCCTTTCTGAACCATTTCTCGAGATCAATCATCCTGTCCACTATGCCCCGATAGCCCTTGGTACACACTTGCATGATATGAACAGTAACATAACTGCTCTATGTGCGTCTTCACTGTTGGGGTACAGGTCCACCATTGAATCTGTGATTTCTAGAACACGGCACATAGTTAAATAATTGTATAATAGGATTAGAAGAACAGATGTCATGATGCCGATTATTCATTTTGAGGACAATATGATGAGTGGTGCATGCATATTAAGTTATTGGAAATGTGATTAAAGATTAGAATGATCCTATGGAATCACGTCTTCAAGAAACAGGATACTTCAGGTTGAAGACTTTGGATTTATGCAATGGAAACTAGTTTTTTTGCTGTTTAAAATATTTTAGTTTAAAAAATCTTTTGGCTTTTGAACAGAGGAATAATATGGTGGAATTTAATGTGCGTATGATTCAGATGGGAATTGTGCTAAAATGCAGATTCTGCTTCAGTAAGTCGGGGTGGGCCCTAAGATGCTGCATTCGTAATAAGCTCGCAGGTGCTGAGACTGCTGCTCAGAGAACCATACTATGGTTAGCAGGGGCTTACTGTGATAAATAGAAAAATAGATACTTTTTGTTAAATCTTGAGTTTTGCCTTTTAATAATTTACTTATTCCACTCACCTGCTTTTAGATATAAAGGATTCCTATCTCCTTCTGTCTTTGAAACTTAGGCTTTAGACTTTTTTTTTCTTTTTTTTTAAAAAATTTTTAACTTGCTTAGTCTTCTAAGTAAATTACTGGACAATATTGCCACCTACTGGCAAGAAAAATAGCTTTTTCTCTTTATATAATATTTTACTTGTGTAAGAAAAACATTTTGAAGGAATGTATTGGGATGAACCGTGTAAGGACTGCTTCTATGTCTCTCTTTTAAGAAATCCCATATTTTAAAACTCTTTAATTTTTTTTCTAAATTGATACATTCTTTTTGTACATACTTATGGAGTACATATGCTATTTTGATACATTTATGGCATGTATAATGAGCAAGTTAGTGTATTTAGCACATCTATCACCTCAAACATTTATCATTTCTTTGTGTTTGAAATATGTCAAATCTTCTAGCTATTTTGAAATGTGCAATATACTGTTGTTAAGTATAGTCACCCCACTGTGCAAACACTAGAACCTATTTCTTCTATGTAATTGTATGTTTTTACTCACTGTCCAACGTCTGGTCATCCCCCACACCCACCACACCCTTCCCAGTCTTTGGTAACTATCATTCTACTCTCTACCTCTGTCAGATCCACTTTCTTAGCTCTACTACATATGAGTGAGAACATGTCAATTTTTGTCTTTCTGTGCCAGGTTTATTTCACTTAACATAATGACCTCCAGTTCTATCTTTGTTGCTGCAAATGACAGGATTTCATTCTTTTTTATGGTCAAATAGTATTTTATTATGTATATATACCACAGTTTCTTTATCCATTCTTCCACTGATGAACACCTAGGTTGTTAAATCTCTTCTTTTAAACTTAGCAGTAATTGTCTCTTTGTTTTTCCAACACTCTTAAGGTAGCGATGACACTGGGTGTTTTGCAAAGCTGTAGAGCTTGGTAGCACTGCTGCTATTATTTTATTGGGATTTGACTTATTTGAGGAATCAGGGACCAAAATTTCAACTTTTTTTATTTTATTTTATTTTATTTTATTTTATTTTATTTTATTTTATTTTATTTTATTTTATTTTATATTTTTGAGACGGAGTCTTGCTCTGTCACCCAGGCTGGAGTGCAGTGACACGATCTCAGCTCACTGCAACCTCCACCTCCCAGGTTCAAGCAATTCTCTTGGCTCAGCCTCCCAAGTAGCTGGGATTACAGGCATGTGTCACCACACCAGGCTAATTTCTGTATTTTTAGTAGAGACGGGGTTTCACTATGTTGGCCAGGCTGGTCTGGAATGCCTGACCTCAGGTGATCTGCCCGCCTTGGCCTCCCAAAGTGCTGGGATTATAGCACTGTGCCCAGCCAAAAATTTCAACTTTGAATACCTCCTTCGGTGGAAAGAGATAGTAAGTGTAACATAAAGTTTACTCCAGTGCAATCCCCTCCTATGTGTGGAAACTTTCGAGTACTAGAGAAATACGTCCCCTCCCTTACACTTCTGTTTGCCTTAATGTCAAAACTTAGATTTTTCTTTGAGGTCCTGGACTCATTAGCATCTTTCTGAGTTTTATAGAATCCTGTGATATCTCTCAGTGTTTCCTGCTTTCACACTGTCTCTCCCTCACGTTCTCTCATGACTTTCTCTTCCAGTGACCTAGACTTTAACTTCAGGGTAAAGCAATGTTCTGACCTCTAGGATGATTCTATCTGATCATCCCTGAGAGCCAAGGGATCCAGACCCTGGCTTTGCACACTGTTCGATGTGGAATCCTGGGGTAGAAGTATGGCAGGAGTTGGATCCTTGGATTACAGGTCCCAGGGTCTTTATCAGTAGGGTGATCGAGGAAGAGGTGTCCAGTCTGTGGACAGACACATGGCAGCTGAGTTTACACCACCATCTGGGAATCGGCTTTCTCAGACTAGGGCCACCCCTCCTAAGTCAGGGGCCAGTCACATCAAGGTGGGGAGAAGGGGAAGACAGAAAGAGTAAATAACTTCAGATGAGAAATTTGAGTCCCAAAACTGTTTCTAAATAATTGGACAAGCAACTTTAATGAAGTAGTTACTTTTTTGCAGTACTGGAAACTTCTCAACCTAGTGATAATTCAAGGATCATTATGTTTAGATAAAAGTGCAGGCTCCCTAAGGTTTAGAGTAGGCAGGGAAGAGGGCAGAGGGAAGTCAGTAGACGAGGACACTTGTCAAAATGCAGCCTCAACATCTTCTTGTCCAGCTAGCCTCAACAGATGGAATTAAAACAACCAAATGATGAACCTATGGAAAGTCCTATTTCTGAAATCATAGTATTGGTGGGAGGATTGGGCAGCTAAGACCCAAACTAGCTCCTGTGATAGGTCTGGTTCCTTAGTCTGTAGCCAGAGCGATGCATAAAAAATGTCAGTCTGGGAGAAAAAAAAGCTGGTCTGAATCTCTTAATGAAGACTTTTCAGTGACTCCTTGTTTTCTATAAATTAAAGCCTAAGCCTCTCAGCATACATTATTTAAACCACAGCTCACTTCAGCTGTCTCCTCTCTCGCAACTCCCTGTCTCATGGTTCAGAAAAGTGAACAGAATGTAGCTTTTTCATGGGATGTCTTGCTGTTTCACACCTTTTGTGCCTTTACCCTGAAGGTTCTTCATCTATTCGAGGTGGAAAGAAATAGTTAAGTCTACTCATTTTTCAAGACACATTTCAGATATTTTACTTACAACGCCTTCTAATCTCTCAACTTGGGCTTAAGAGTGTTTCCTCTGGGCACTCATCCTCCTTAGCAGACGTCTGTATCAGAGAAGTTCCCATCTTTGGTGAATTAATTTATTTTGTATTGCTCTCCTTCCAGTAAGTTCTGAGATCCCGACGGTACACATGGACAGAGTAGGGGCCTAATACGTATTTATCAAATAAATGAGGCATTCTATTTGGATTGTTTGAAGCAGTTTGAAATAATAATTTCTTAAGCCCTTCCTCTCATTAATGTATTTTTCTCAGGCCTTTCTTATTGTCTGGGCAGTTGTTCTTTCTATAATCTAGATAATGCCTGCATGATATAAACCAAGACTTAGTAACATAGCAGAGTTTCAACCTACACTAGAGTTATGGTGCTTTGATGAAGATTGATGAGCTATTTGAACCGACCCGTTCTTGATTGCTTCTCCACACCCCCAACAATTGTCATTATGTTTTCCTTTATGAATAATGCATGGAACTTCCTTCTGAGAACAAGATCATCTCTGTCTTGTTCATCTCTGTATTCTCCTACCTAAAACTGTGCCTGTCACATAGTAGGTGAATGAATGAATCTTGTTCAATCCAGTCACTTTTTGGGAATTTGTATTCTCCTGTTGCACTCCCTCCCTAGTACTTGCTGCTTGGAAGAATAATGTTCTTTTACTCCTTAGGAATACCCATTCTTATAATATCTAAAAAAGTTCTGTGGCCAGTGAGGTATATCTACAGTAGCATGCATGGATTGGGATTGGCATATAAGCTGTTTTTTTTTTTCATTTAGAGAAAATTAGACTCTTGCACAAAAGTTGCAGTTTTTATGTTTGGCATTATAGCATGTGATAACTATGAGAGTGCTGGAGAGTTGTTAGTAAGTGACAGATGTCTAAATGAGCAGATTTAATCCTACTATTGAGGAAGAAATGAATTACCCTTCTCCTGGTGAATTAATATTTGTCAAACCATTCAGTTACATTTAATAAATTATCTCTATTAAAGCTTTAAAGTTACTTAACCCAGAGGTAACAGCAGAGTTAATAGAATTCATTTAAGTGTGTGAGTTAGATCTTTGTTTCTCCACACACTAGGTGGAGCATTTTTTCAACGCTTTCTTTTAGATACTTACATTTTTGGTAATAAATACCATATTTTGAAAAGAAGATTACTTTTTAAAAGATGTAATCATATCATGCCTGAATGTCAATTTCAACAGGGTAGCCATGCCTGGCTATGCAAGTTATCTTTACACAATTGCAGGCATGTTATTCCAATAGACTGCAATAGAAATGTCACCTCTGTGGCCACTCGGACCTTTTAGAGAAATTCAAGTTTAAGGAAAACAACCTCTCAATGCTTTTTATTTTTATTTTTTGGAAGATGTTAGTTACCTATTAATATTTGCATAATGGAGAGGCTGAAGCTGAGCTGTGCACTCTACTATAGCACAGGTGGAAAGGAGTAATTAACATCAACAATTCAAACTACTCTAGGAATCTAAAACTGAACAAAGAACTTTCTAGCAAGTCAGTTGGAAATGTTTTATAAATTAGTTGGTCATTAAAATAACTCCTGTGTTACCTATTAAACATAAAAGATTATTCGAGATAATCCCAAACACACTTCATAGCAAGGCTCAGCGTGAGAAGAGGGAAAATGATCTAGTATTTAGTGTGTATACAGATCTAAGTCTATGTTTGAATTTGATAGGAAGCACAATATGTCATTTGGTGAAACTCAAGGATTCGTTGTAATTATTAGATAGAACGTGATTCCTAAAATTATAGCAAGCACATGATAAGGCAGAACTTTTAAATTATAGGTTTGGCTGGTACATGCAACAAAAGACCTGCATTGGCCTATGTAACAACAGGAGTAACAATGTGATAATTATAAGCTATACTTTAGAGCTCACATTCTCAAGTGTAATTTAATGAGTAGATTAACTGGCTGCAAAAAAGAAAAGGATTAACGGTAACAAAGGTCTGTTTTGTGCCGCATACTGTGCTAGATACGTGACTGTTAGTGATTCACTTAATTCTCATACTCACCCTGGAAGGTGGACATCCTTTCTATTTTATATACTGCATTTCTGCAAGGTTATAAATGCTCATGATTACTCAGAACACTGAAGTTAGTTTGACCTCAAATCTCATACTATGTCCAGTATACTGGGATGACTCTTAAATGCAGCTTATTAGATATACAAACCTAGGCATATTTTAAGAAAGAGCAATTACGATATCTACTAAAACAACAATATTATGAGCAACAAACTCGGCTCAACTGGTCAAATATTATTTGCTATGGGTGATAAAATGGGGCATCCTACTGATTTTTAAAGCTCTTTTGGTATTGCTTGATAAAAAGATCCTTCTTGCATTTCTTTTTCTTTTTTTTTTTTGAGACAGAGTCTCGCTCTTTCACCCAGGCCGAAGTGTAGTGGCGCTATTTCGGCTCACTGCAAGCTCCGCCTCCTGGGTTCATGCCCTTCTCCTGCCTCAGCCTCCCGAGTAGCTGGGACTACAGGTGCCCGCCACCGTGCCCGGCTAATTTTTTGTGTTTTTAGTAGAGACGGGGTTTCACTGTGTTCGCCAGGATGGTCTCAATCTCCTGACCTTGTGATCTGCCCGCCTCGGCCTCCCAAGGTGCTGGGATTACAGGCATGAGCCACCGTGCCCGGCCCCTTCTTGCATTTCTTGTTTGCTCAATCCAATTTAAAAATGATCTCTAAAGTGACCTTATGTCTGCTGTAATGATGATCTCTATAAATGTCACAGTTACTTAAAATGCCCCAAAAATGTTCACGTGACAGAGAAGTGTTTGGCTTAAACAAACCAGTATAGGCATGGAGATTGAAAATGTCAAAGTAAGCTGTGATCTTACTAAGGAAGTTTTATATATGTATAAAATAACTGGGAGCCTGGGATACTTTTGCTTCAGTTAGAAAAAACTATTTCTATAAAATTATATTAATACTTAGCTAATACTGCCCATATTTTATATTATACAGACAATAATCTGTACAATAAAGTGAAAATTAATGTCAAATTACATAGGCTGACTAATAACTTTTCTATATGGATTTTCATACATTAATGATAGTAAAATAAATATTATTCATTAAGGGCTTACTGCATTTTAAACACTGTGATGTACTTCTCAAAAATTATGGCTTTTAATCCTTGCAACAAGTCTGCAAACTGGGTATTCTTGTCTCTGTGTTAAAGAAAAGGAGGGCTGAGCTAAATGAAATGAAGAAACTTGCCCAGAGTTACACAGGTTAGATAAACATCTAAACTGACATTCAACCTATGGCTATCCATGACCAAAGCCCGTGATTTTAACTACTCTTCTATACTGCTTATAATTAGATATTATTTTATTTATTTATTCATCATTCATTCACTCACTTATTATTTTTTGAGACAGGGTTTCACTCCTGTCACTCAGGCTGGAGTGCAATGGTGTGATCTCGGCTCACTGCACACTCCGCCTCCTCAGCTGGGACTAAAGACATGTGTCACCACACCTGGCTGATGTTTGTATTTTTTGTAGAGACGGGATTTTGTCATGTTGCCTAGGCTGGTCTCAAACTCCTGGGCTCAAGTGATCCACCTGCGTCAGCCTTCCAAGGTGCTGGGATTACAGGCGTGTGCCACCGTGCCCTGTGTATTATTTTAAATAAAAGTATTTATTTTTTAAATGAGCAGTTATTCTTGGGAAATTTCTTCCTATTATTGCCTTTTTGTGTATTTATTTTTTACAGGGAACCAAAGTCCTGCAGATGTTCATGTGGTACCTGAATCCACGGCAAGTCTTTGATCTTTCTCAGGAAGGGCCAAAAGATGCGTAAGTCTGGAAATATTCTCCATGGTCCATATGTATTTTAGGCAAGTGAGAATTTTCTGCTTCATTATCTGATTACCTTGTGAGGTATATCCTGACCATCTGTCATCTACCTTCTCACCTGTACTCTCCTTCCTTTAAAACTTCATCCAAAGTTCTCTCCTACTCTTTATTGGCTTAGTTCCCTTCGAAACATATCTTCTCAGCTATTAACTCAGGATACGTCTAGTGTGTTTGTTACTTACGTATGTGTAACTGTAGGTTATTCTCTGCAAATCTGTGAATTGAGAAAGGACTCATTGTTTTTCTATTTCTTCATGTACAACTTTGGAGATGCACATTAATGGAATGTAAATGTATGTCTGTGGAGGGTGGAGCCATGTTTGTTTATGAATATTTGAACTGAAAAGAGAGAGTGTGTGTGTGTGTGTGCGCGCGCTTGTGTGTGAGAGAGAGAGAATCAATTGATTATACCTGAGGACTCTGCACAAATGTGGGGAAGACATATTAATTCCTGCTCAATCCCGTTTCTGAGCTTCTCAGAAATCTCATTCTCTGCTTTTGTTAGAAGTGTTTAAAATAAAGTCTAGATTGTAGGTGACCCATATCCTGCTTCTCTCCTTTGGTGGAGAGGCACACAGTGGAAAAGACCAAGGACACTTCTGCTGTTCTCTGGTTCTCCGTTTTAAATTCATGTACTAGGATAGTTCAGATGTTATCTGATAAATGTTAGAACACAAGGGTACCACTTATTTTTTAATAAGTAACAATATCAGAGGAAAAGGTGATTTCTAGAGAAATAGTATTCTTGTATAAAATGGATAAATTACTTATTTTAAGCATGCAGATTAGGAAATATGAAAATTAATTTGTTATTTTCTTAACGTATGAATTTCTTCACCAGTTGAGTTTGCTGCAAGATTCTTCCTCTCTCTGTCCCATAATACATATATATATATTTATTTATTTTTATTTTCTGTACTTGATTATGCTAAGGCAAATCTGCTATCCTGGGATGTGCCATTTTAGGAGCTTATTTTTCTTAAGATTTTATCACTTTAGTTAGACCCTAGAGAGACACTTCAGAGGTCACCGTAAAGAACATGGTAGGACAGGAAATATTTTCAGAAAAAAACCATATTTTGTGATTTAAATAGGTGATATTTTCTAGATTACAGCCTCTAGCAACTTCACCTAAGCAAAAGATTTAGCAGGGGCAGTGTCAATGCATTTTCCTGAGATCCAAGAGGAAAGACAAAATTATCTTATTTCAAGCAGAGAAGTTTGAAATAAATAAAAATCAGTCAATCTTCCCACTTTGGGTTGGAGGTGTAAGTGGTGTGTAACTGAGCTGAGAGAAAGACTAGATGGAATTGTAGATGTGATACCTGTGTTCACATCTGAGAGTGCGGAAGCCTCCCCGTCTCGCTGAAAAAGATTTCTTAGGATTAAGAGTAGAAAGTATAAGTTAGAAGAAGTAAATACATCCAGGGAAAACTAATAAATATAAAGAGGGGATATATAAGGACTACTGATTATCAATTAATGATGATTTTCTTGGGGAAAGGGGAAGAGGAAATGATGGGAAAAGAAAAAGAAGGAAGTCAAAACTAACGAGGAAAATAATGTTGACATATAATAGAAGTTATGGGAAATAAAACTAGGACATCCTAAAATCCCTTAAATTCCAACGTTGAATTATTCATTCAAAAATAATGTCTGATGCCTACACCTGTTCCACTGGTGGGAGTCATTCTTCCTGTGGTTACTTGGGACCTATGATAGCATTGTCATCCTCATGATTACACATTTTCTCCAGCGGACACCACCCCTACCTACCCATGTTGTCCTCTGCTTTCTCTCTGCTCTAGCCAGTGAAATGTTCTTTTGTTTACTTTTTCTTCTATTTCCTCTACAGGCTTGAATTGTATAGGAAAGTACCAAATCTGCGAATTCTGGCCTGTGGTGGGGATGGAACGGTAGGTCCCTGAGAGAGAATCCAGTTCTCTGCCAATTCTATCTTTCTTATTGTTTTCTTGTGGCACTTCTTTTTATTCGTTGCTCAGTCTTTCTAATCCCCTAACACATGTATATCTCTCATGTGAATCATAGCCCCTAAGAGTAACAAGGGACTTTGTTATTGTCCTTATGAATACATACTTGATCCTTCTAATGTGTGCTTCACTCCTTCAACTATGCTGTATTCTTTTGTGTGCCATGAAGTAGGGATGTGGTCAAATCCTTAAAATGAAGATTATAGATAGATAAATTCCTTTTAAAATATAAGCTGAACTGTTTCCATTTATTCTTAATAATTTGGCCACAGTAGGGAGAAATACGTGGACACAATTGAATTATTATGTTTTTTTTTTTACTAGTGGGAATAAAACTCAGAATATTGAGTGTTGTTTTGCCTTAAAGATTATTAATTGGTCCTATTTATGTTCTTTTTTGTTGACATACTTTACCTGTATATGGGGTATGTGTGATATTTTGTTATATGCATAGAATGTATAATGATCAAGTCAAGGTTTGGAGGTATCCATTACCTAGGCTATCATTTCTATGTGTTGGGAACATTTCAAGTTCTCTTTTCTAGCTACTTTGAAATATATAATACATTGTTGCTAACTGTACTCACCCTACTCTGCCATTGAACATTAGAACTTATTCCTTCTGACTGTATGTTTGTATTCATTTATGAAAAAAAGGTGGAATTGGGCTGAAGGTTAATATCATGGATATATTTTCTCCTGTTTATTATGCCTCATCGGTTTTCTCCATTTGGCCTCTACTTATGGTGATATATTTAACAAAGTAAAGAATTGAGAATCATGACATTTAGATTGTGTTGTCTGGTTCTTTTTCTTCCGGATTTGGAATCTGATCTCATAGGATCTACGAATGTATTATGAACTATCTTTAGCTTTTCTCTAATTTCCCTAATTAGAATGTTTTATTCTCAAAGGTAGCAACAAAATCTTCGAATACTATCTCTCTTAGCACATAAGCACTTAATGTAGGGTTGGATACACATTATATACCAATAAATGCAATGAGAATGAAATAGAACTGTGATTTTTATTGGTCTCTCAGATACTGTGTGGAGAGTAAAAACAATGTTCAGTTGGGAAAAATAGTCTTTATCTTTCTTCAAGGTTCATATTACACATTATTAGTTTATAAAATTCATTATAATGTCTTACAGCAAAGAAGCCAAACCTATTTAACTTTTTTAAACCCAACGTTTTTCAAAATTATTTGGCCATGGAATTTTTTTCCCCCACACAATACCAATTTCAATTGATTTTAGTGTTCTAGGGAGATCAATTTAAGGGATATGGTAGGGCAAAATTTCCCAACTTTCTTTAGTAAGAATTACATCCAAATGAACCCTCTGAGGATGGATATACTGTGTTCTTCCTAACTCAAGCATCCCCCAGCTTAGTTATCTTTAATGAAAGGGTAAACTCACTGTGACTCTTTACCATACCCATAGTTATCTTCCTTATTTTAGCATCTACTTGCCTTCTCATATGACTTCAGCATCTCACTCACATCTTTTCTCCTTTTCTAAACCTCAGTGACAAAAACAGATAAGTTGAGGATGTCGTCCTTCCTCTTTCTTAACTCAAATCCACATAAGCTATGCATAACATCCCCAGATCTTGGACTTCTTTGTTGCCTTGGGTGCTCCACCTCCCAGGCCTCCCTTTCTCCATGGAAACTCCCATTCCACCTCTCCCTCCCTCATTCTCTCTCCTTTCTTCTTCCTTTTCTTTTCTTTCTTTCTTTTTTTTTTTTTTTTTTTTTTTTTTTTTTTTGAGACGGAGTCTCACTCTGTTGCCCAGGCTGGAGTGCAGTGGCACAATCTCAGCTCACTGCAACCTCTGCCTCCCAGGTTCAAGTGATTCTCTTGCCTCAGCCTCCCGAGTAGTTGGGACTACAGGCACGTGCCACCACAGCGGGCTAATTTTTGTATTTTTAGTAGAGACGATGTTTCACCGTGTTAGCCAGGATGGTCTCGATCTCCTGACCTCGTGATCCACCTGCCTCGGCCTCCCAAAGTGCTGGGATTACAGGTGTGAACCACCCTGCCTGCCCGTTTTCCTTCTTTACTCAGCAGATATGTGGAGGAAGCACTGTGCTAGGTCATGTAGTATTGAGATATTCTCTGCAATTAGATGAATATTTGAAAGTATGGGATTCCAATGAATAAAAGATAAAGAGGAAAGAGAGCCAAGTCCACACACTTGTGAAATGTATAATTATGGGTCCGGAGCCAAAGTCCAAAAGGAAAATAAATGAAAAAATAGAAGAATAGGACAGCCACCAGTCTGTTCTGTCAAGTAAACAAACCAAAAAAGGAGTTTCAAGAAAGAGGCAGTAGTTACATTTTTAAGGAGAGACTGAAAAGTTACCATTGAATATGGAATTTCAAGAAAGCAGTTTCAATAGAGTATGTGGGGCAAAACCCAGAATGATGAGTAAGTGAAAGTTGGTACAATCTTAATAAATTCCTAATGGCCAGATCCGATTACAGTTTCGAATGTCTGTGATCTCTCTGATGCCATTGTCAGCCTCCTGACATGTAGACTACCTACTTCTCCTATTTTTCATATCCAGTCTTTTCAAGCAACTCTTCATTAATGATAGCATAACTATGAGTATTCCATAAGGGTAACTAATTTTTTTAATGTGGTAGGTACCTTTTCCTCTTAGGGACATTATCTATATTTTAACATCTGTTTTTACCTCCTCTGATGTAATTCACAAATGTACTAGTCATTTACACTTGGGTGCCCCATGGCCACTTGCATTCAGCATGCCTAAAATAAAAGTAGTACGTTTACCCTAGAGTTGGCACATTTAAACTAATTATTTTTGTCAGTGGTAACATCTGTAGTTAAAATACTTAGAATCAAAACTTTGCTTATCTTGTACCTTATGTAAACCCAAGTTTTATTTAATTTACCTTGTTAGGATAAGATGTTTTGTGAAAAACATGGGGTATATGAAATGTTTGTCATGGTATGTGATTGATTTTTTTTGTTTTGTTAGTTTAGAAAATGAAACTTTTAATTGTGGGCGGAGGCAGAGTTTATATAGAGGAAACAGCCTGAGGAATTCATGAAGAAAACTGCTGGCTTTAGGCAAGTGGAGTATAATTCTGAATTCAGGTATATATTTGACACAAGGTATTCAGCCTTTCGTTAGTGAGCACATCTGTCACTGTAGAAGCTGGCAGAATGCTGCCAGTAAAGTGACAAAGCTTAGGGAGAAATCAGAAATTGAATATTTTTCACTGACTGGGATGAGGCTATATTACCCCATAACCGTATTAGTTTAAATTAAGAGTATTATTTAAGGTATAGAAAGTATTATTTAAGGTATAGAAAGTTTGCATTACTTTGGAAAAAAGTTCTTAGGCTTCAATATTAGCTACTTTAATTGTATATTATTTAAAAAATACATGAAAGGCCAGGTGTGGTGGCTCACGCCTATAATCCCAGCACTTTGGGAGGCCGAGGTGAGCACATCACTTGAGGTCAGGAGTTTGAGATCAGCTTGGCCAATCTGATGAAACACCATCTCTATTAAAAATATAAAAATTAGTCGGGCATGGTGGTGCACACCTGTAATCCCAGCTACTTGGGAGGTTGAGGCAGGAGAATCACTTGAACCCAGAAGGTGGAGGTGGCAGTGAGCTGAGATTGTGCTACTGCACTCCAGCCTGGGTGACACAGTGAGACTCTGTCTCAAGAAAGAAAAAAATATGAGAAAGCAGAGGGAAACATTCCCCAATAATGCACTTGGAAGTGGAGGTGAAAGAGGTGGTTCTGCTCTCATTTCTGTGACCTTTGGCAGGTTCCTTAACCTCTTTTGAGACCTTCTGAATCTACAAAGAAATGCATTCAGATCTCTAAGGTTCTTATAGCTGTAGCATTATAATAATATAGGCTATTGTTCAAGGGAACTTTAATGCAAGCCACATTTGTACAATTTTGAATTTTCTAGAAGGTACTTTTAAAAAGGTAAAAAGCAGGTGAAATTAGTTTATAATATATTTTATTTATCTAAAATAGTATCATTTCAATATGTGTTAATTTATAAACATTGTTAAGATATTTTATGTTCTATTTGTACAGTCTTCAAAATCTAGCATATATTTTATACTTACAGCACATCCAATTTGGATTAGCTATATTCGAGTGCTGGATCACCACATGTGGCCAATGGCTGCTGCGTTGGACAGTGCAGGTGTAGTCTCTTTGTTACTGGCTTGCACAGTTCAGAGGCTGTCACATAGTTACAGCTGTCAGATGGTCTGATCCCATTTTCAGATCTCTTGGCTGCAATAAATTCAGCTCACTCAAGAATGATCTCAAACCTTCATGTTTATAAATGAGAAATAGCCTGTCTTTGGTCATGTGATAAATTTGTATTTTCTCACTTCCTTGGCCACGTTGACACCTATTCAACTCCTAATGGCTGTCACCCTGCTGAAATATTGACGAGCACATGAACTGATCTCCTGAGGCTCACGTACTCTCATTATGGTTCCTTAAGGTGTGTGACCCATGGTCCCTATCTATCTGGCTCCTGACTTTGGTGAACTTGGCTGGATCTGCAAGTCCACCTTTAACCATTTTAATTATTTCCAAAAGGCCTGACATTAAATTGACTCCAGCCATCCACTTCATGCTTATTTCTTGTTCTATTGGCTTTTCTAGATGAAAAAGCATCCCAAATGGTAGACATCCCCATGCCCTGACTCACCACAGCCAATGCAAAGAAGGAAGTATTATTTTCCTTTAATTGATAGGGACAATCCCTCATCCTAAGCCCCTTTCCTCATTCATCCTCAGCCTAGTTATATTTCATCCTCTCTCACTGAGTAAGCACACAGTGTACCTTCAGTGTGGATTCTATATTGTTTCAAGAAAAGGTCATATTCTGATTTTTATCTTGATTTCTTTTGGGCTAATTTTAAGCACATTTCTTTTAACACATGTTGGCTTTATTAAGTGCAAACATACATTAAAATATCAAAAGGAAGAATTATTGTGCACATATTCAAAAGGGTCCCCCAGTCATCCAATACTGTGTGGTCATTTTCTTTCAGAGCTCAGCAAAACTCTTGTTTTCCTTTGATTTCCAAACGTGAGTGTCCTTCGCTTTTTGGCCTGCATGTACTACAAGGCAGCGCAACGTGCATCTGTTCTCTTGGAAGAAAATATCAGTTTGCTGTCATCTCCACCCTTCAGCCACCCCTTATGTTAGTATACTGCAGAATGAAAATATTGCTCAAAATGCACTTGGTAAACATTCAGTGACAACTAATGCTAAAAACGGACAGATGGTGGCAGCATTGACCAGCTGCTGCTGTGCATGGCTGCTCAGGGACAAAGCGGAGGACCTGGTGTTCTCAATCTGTCAGCCCTGCTTTTCCTAGGAAGGAAGGAAAGAACTTTGCAAGCTGGAAAATCATTAGGCCCAATCAGGATAACTTTCTTCAGTTCTGGTGGAAAATATACCAAGTGCAATAAGTTGCAGTTAATTAAATAATTTAATTGAAAGGGTGCTAGGTGAGCTGGTGGAGATGATTTGGGAAAATACGAAAGCCGTGGCAGAGTTCCTGCCCATAGAACCTTTCAATGTGCAGTCTGGACTTCAGGTGGAAACGGGTTCCGGATTACTGTAAAGACAGAGCTTCCAGTAACAGCTTTAAGATCTTTTGTAAAGTTTTTCTCTAAGGACAAAGACACAGATTGTTTCCCAAGATTTTTAATGTCTCCTGCTATTGTAAGTGTGTATTTGTTTCCATTTTGTTTTTTATAGCCCCTTTTTTACTGCAGGGAACCTCTGCTTTTACTGTTCTTTACAGTCTGCAAAAGAAACGCTTTCTGATTTGATGGCAGCTGAAGGTGGGGCTGATTTGCAAACTCAGGGCTCAACTTTAAGTGGAGAAATGGGAAGAGGGCATTTTTCTTCTAGGAAACTGGGCCTTTATTGAGGAAGGTTGGAAAGAGGTAGCAAAATCTAGCTGAGTCATAGTAGCTAATGTTAGTTTAGCATTTCCTGTTTGTCAGGCACTAGCTAAGCAATGTCTACACATGAGTTGATGAAACAACTCTAAAAGTCAGGCATTATTATTACTCTTGCTGTACAGATGTGAGGGGAGCTTAGAGAGATTAAATGACTTGCCTAAACTCACCCAGCCAATTTGTGGTGGAGCTGAGCTCCCTGCCGCTCAGCTCGGTGCCCCACACTTCTGCGCTGTGCTGTCTTCCGGGAATGCTGGCTGTTGGGGAATGCTGATAGAGCTGCTGGCTGAAAAAAACTATTCAGGAGCTGTGGAGGGGCGATATAGACCCACCTCAGCCAGAGAACTATTAGCCTAATATTGGTTGTCTGTGGGAGAATTTCAAGACAAAACAAAATCTGTGCTGTGAAAGGCAGGAGGCCTTTGATGACTCCAAGGGTGATGGAATGATGAAATGCAAGATTTTCTGCTTATATTCAGGAGACAATGACATATTTGATCATTTGGCTACAGAAAAAAGGAGAAAGAATCTATTTATCCGGTTCATAAAGCAAATTGATTGATGAGAGGCGAAGCACCTTTACATTCACACACTGTGTACTTGTCCTTTTCTGCATAGACCAAGGGTAAAAGGAGAAGAGATGGTGAGAAATCCAGGCACCCTGTGGGCTCTGCCTTTGTGAGGAATCGTAGCTCAGTATCACGAGAACTCCTGACAACCTTCTCTGAGAAAACAATTAGGAACACAGCCTAGAAGATTTGAATGAGGGCTGTTAGAAGACGCAGCATCAGCTGGATGCAGTGGCTCATGCCTGTAATCCCAGCACTTTGGCGGGCGGATCACTTTGAGCTCAGGAGTTTGGGGGCAGCCTGGGCAATACGGCAAAAGCCGCCCCCATCTCTACAAAAAATGCAAAAATTAGCCTGGTGTGGTGACTTGCACCTGTGGTCCCAGCTGCTCGCGTGGCGGAGGCTGGAGAATCGCTTGAGCCCACGAGGTAGACGCTTCAGTGAGCTGAGATTGCACCACTCCAGACTGGACAACAGAGTGAAACTCTGTCTCAAAAAAGACAAAAAAAACAACAACACAGCATCGATTCATAGAAGTTGTGGGATACGTCACGTACTTCAGAGTCATTTGGAAATTGTTTGTGTTCCATGGGCAGTGAATTAACCCCCTAACGTTCCATCTGTTTTAGTATTAGCATTCCTCCTGCACTGTGGAATTGTTTCTTCTTTGCAAGCTCATCTTCACAGGAAGTTGTTTTATTTAATTTTTACTTTTCTATCTCTGAATCCCTTTGGTTTCTAGTAATATTGAATTGTTTTCAGGACTTTCAGATGAGAGCTGGGTTTTTCTATAGATTCCTATGGCTCCACCCTGGGGAGATGGCAGGGGTATGTCACTGGGCTTTTGGGAAGTCGGGTTGAGCACTTACCAGAGTGAGGCTTTCTGGGCTTCTTTCAGCCATAGTACGTCCCACCTTTCTGTGGGCCATGACCTCAGACTGGTTTTCACATTCCTTCCTCCTCTCTTCCTCCCTGCTATGAAAGAGCCGTGCTCCAGGACAGCTTGCTGTCAGTAGGGCACACACTTTTATTTCTCCATTATCAGGCAAGCCAAAATCCCAGCTTCCTCTGCTATTTGCAAGACCAGGAGCCAAGCTGATCCAAGCCTTTACCCCAGCTCTGCCACTTTGTATTTTTTTTCTGGCCCATTGAAGCTGCGTCTTTTTTTTTTTTCTTTCTTTTTTTCTTTTCTATCATTGTTGTGTCTGAGTGAAATGGGATATTGAAAGTGTAAACTCATAGCATTTTCTTTACCCAGAAAAGAGAGACATATTTCAAGTGAGCATAAGAAAAATGTCTAATTTAAATCTGCCTGAAAGAAAACGGGCTGACTTGGGAGCACAAATCATAAAGGAGAGGTTGAATGATTGTCTCTTAGAGAAGTTTTAAGGAGAATGCCTTCTTCCTTCTTTGGAAGGGGTGGTGAATTAGATTTCTACTGAGTTCTCTGGTGGGTCTGTGAGTCTGGCTCTATTCAGGGCTGTTGTTTCTGCAGTTGGTGATCCCAGATGGGTGGGCTTTTTCTGAGTATTTATGTCCTTTTTATGGCCTTTAAGACCCCTTCTTGCAGTTTATTAGAACTATCTACTTTTACTGTGTTTAATCTGTGCTTTTAGCAGTGCAGAAACAATGTCAAGCACAAACATCAGAACTAATTTAGCATCAGGCATTTTTATTTGGACTTCAGTAGCCAGCTTTGTTGGTATTGCACGTAAAAGAAGAGACTAAAGAAGCTCTGGGTCAGAATCTAAGGATCTGTCTGGGAGTAAGTTCCCCAGTTTAGGGAAGTGGACAGACTTTTTGACATTTATAGGTCTGGATTTTTAGTTACCACATTGGGTGAACCATGTGGTCTGCCTTTTTAGAAGATGAACACAATTTTAGACATAATTGGTAGACGAGCAAGTTTTACATCCTGGTAAGTCACCTTTGTGGAGGAGAAAGAATTTTAGTTGGAAGTCAGGAGAACCAACGTTACCATGACTCTGACACTTCTAATCATTTGGTCTTGAGAAAATTCCATGGTTTTTTTGCACCTCAGTTTATCAATCTGCAAGTTCACTGAATTTGATTAAGCAATGTTTAAGGTTTCTTCATCTCCACAGGTTCCAAAAATCACATGCCACTGCTTCCAGGAGGGTCTGGCCATATCCAGAAGGGGGTTGAGTTCTTTATTTAAGGGTTCCCTATACCTTAGCAGTTAAGGGGTTGGCCACTGGCATTAGGCATTCCTATTTTTGAATGCCATCTATATCGTGTAAACTGTGTGATACTAAGGAGGTCACTTACCTTTCCAATTCTCTGTTTCCTTATCTATAAGATGGAAATGAAAATTACATTAATATCTGTCTTACAGATAATGTTTTAAAGTTTAATACAATAATTCATTAAAGGACTTTGCTCAGGCATGGCACATAGAAAGGCATCGGTATGGGCCTGGCACGGTGGCTCACGCCTGTAATCCCAGCACTTTGGGAGGCCGAGGTGGGCAGATCACAAGGTCAGGAGATTGAGACCATCCTGGCTAACACGGTGAAACCCCGTCTCTACTAAAAATACAAAAAATTCGCCCGGCGTGGTGGCATACGCCTGTAGTCCCGGCTACTTGGGAGGCTGAGGCAGGAGAATGGCGTGAACCCAGGAGGTGGAGCTTGCAGTGAGCGGAGATCTTGCCGCTGCACTCCAGCCTGGACGACCGATTGAGACTCCATCTCAAAAAAAAAAAAAAAAAAAGCATCGGTATGTCCATCTTTGTGTTACTGTGAACTCCTGGAGAGCAATCTTTCTACCTTATCTGTCACAGCCTAGCTCATTTATCTCTTTATTTTGATTGCTTAGTTCTGGGTTTTATATGAAGTAGTGTTCAATAAACAAATGATCTAGTATTTTTGAGAAACATGACTCGTACAAATATAGAATGAATACATGTCAAAAAATTTGCTTAGCTCTTTAATGAGGGAGCCTGCAAGATAGTAAAGCTGATTTATCAGAACTAGAGAAAAAGAATTATGTACTTCGTATCAAAATAATTTTTCTAAATTTGATGCAAAACTGATCAACGTCCTATGAGAGAATAAAACTATAAACTTTAAAGCAATCATCTCTTCTTGACATTTGTGTCTCTATAGGACAGAAATCTATGTTAACCTACAGTTACACAATTCTTAGGCCTGCGAAACACTATTTTAGTATGACATTATAAGGACATTCAAACTCCTTTTTGCCATTTCAAATTTTGGTCAATTTTTCTAATTAGTTATAAGACTAAACCCAAAGTATTATTTATCTTAGAAAAAGATTAAACAGGGATATGATTCTAGTATATAAGTATCAATTTCCTGCCTAAACTTATAATAGGTACTAGGTCTGTCCATAATTATGTTTTCATAATGTTTCATTAAGGAAAATAGAGGGATATTCAGGAAAACACTATCAATTTCCAAGATGATACTATAGAGGGCAACCATTTAATAAGTACTTATATGGGCCATGTACCATGTTAAGTGCTTTATGTACATTTTAGTTTAATTAGTAAACAATCGTGTGAGGTACGTATTATTATCCCCATTTTGAAAATCAAGTAAATGAGTCTCAGTGAGGTTAAATAATTTAGTCAAGGTTATGCAGCCAGCATGAGTCAGAATTGAAATTCAGTCTTATTCTGAGTTTTATATTCCCTCCTATGCCCTGTTATACTACCAAAGTCTTAAACTCTGAGAAATTTACAAGGGTGTTTCTAGTTAAACGCACGCATGAATGGGTTTAGTTTTGCTTGTGTGATAGAACATGTGCAAAATGGTCCTTTTTCCTTTAACCATTTTGTAACTGCCTGTGATAAGCGACCTTTCTGTTCCCTACTCACTGAATGAAAACATACATGTTTTAAAGAAAAATAAAACCATTCTGTTTAGCTCTTGGAAGCCTCTGTTTCTCAAACTGTTTTCTTTGTAACTTATTTATCTTTCTTATATCTCTTCTGGCCCCCGATACGCCTGTAGGTGGGCTGGATCCTTTCCATCCTGGATGAACTGCAGCTGAGCCCTCAGCCTCCTGTGGGGGTCCTTCCTCTGGGGACTGGGAATGACCTGGCTCGAACTCTCAACTGGGGAGGGGTAAGAACTGCTCTCGGGGACTGCCCATATCATCAAACAACAAACCGGATTCCAGATCCACTGATGTTCTAATGGAAGAGGGGGGTACTGCTGCTGCTGTCCCAGGCATAAGTTAGAGTTGAGAATCAAAGTGCCCTTGAGCCCTTATTTGATCTGGTAGCTTCTTCAGTTTAAACTTAAAATCAGCTAGAAGGGAAAGGAAAGCTTGGTATGAGAGAAATATAGTGGTTAGTACACAGGCCTGCGGCTTTTTGAGGTATCCACTAAAAGACAGTGGGTGAGTTTGGCCTCAAGTCTGCGTGCAAAAGGATCATACAGACTTCAGTTAATCCAGACTCTCAGCCCCAGCTAGGATAGCACATCTGGTTCAACTTTACACACCTTACTTGGGAGAGTTATGACTTTTTTTTTTTAGCATTTTATTTTGTTTTGTTTTGATTAGTGTCATCAGAGCTTTGGCTGTATAGGTACTTACCTGTCCTTTCCACAATGAAGCCAACTTCAGGCAAGCTTGGGGGAAATCGTTCTGCAGTCACTAAACAGCCATTTATTTACTTACGTATGTTATAGTACTAAGATAGTAAGAAGGCGCAATATATATACACACACTGTGTATATATACATATGCATACACATATACAGCCCCACCAACTTTTTTTTTTTCTTTTTTGAGATGCAGTCTTGTTGTGTCGCCAGGCTAAAGTGCAGTGGTACGATCTCAGCTCAGTGCAACCTCTGCCTCCCAGGTTCAAGCAATTCTCCTGCCTCAACCTTCTGAGTAGCTGGGATTACAGGTGCCCGCCACCCTGTGCAGCTAATTTTTTTTGTATGTTTATTAGAGACAGGGTTTCGCCATGTTGGCCAGGCTGGTCTCAAACTCCTGACCTCGTGATCCACCAGCCTCAGCCTCCCAAAGTGCTGGGATTACAGGCTTGAGTTACTGCACCTGGTCCCCACCAACTTTTTATCTGCTCATATGAGAGCATTACATGGGCTGGGCTCTGTGAAAATTATATTCAGATATTTAGTAGATGCTAGTTGACCTTTGGGCAAATTAACCTTCCACAGGTCTTTTTTTAAAGTAGGCAGTGTAGAAATAAAAAACGTATTTACATGGGGCAACTAAGGTTATCATCAGTGTTAACTTCTCCCTTCCAAATCAGAGCCTTGCATATCCTATTGAGGACAGTCTATCGTGCTGTCAGTAATGGATCTTCAAGGATTAAGTAGCTCCCTAACAGGGCCATTCCTCAGTGAGACTTGCTTCAGGTCACGGGAAGAATGGTGTCTTCCAAGGAGGTCAGGGAGAGGTGATTGAGAGGGAGTGTTAATAGATAAGCATTGTCAATCCAATCCCTCCTTGATTCTTTCCCTGCCTCTCCAAACACATTTGTTTTGTGTTTCCCCCAAATTCCTCCAGTGAGAGCCATGGGGAGTCCTGTTTTTTACTCTGATAACAAAGTAGCCATCCAGCCTCCAGTATGACCCTTAATGTGTACCGGTGACTATTGGTTCTTGCTGCTGACAAAAAATATTCCTCAGCTCAAACCAGCCAGAACTAGTGTTTCTATGTATCTTACTTATAGTATTGTCTCAAATTCTAAGTACCTCAAGGTAAAAAATTTGCTCTTCAAACCTTGCTAATTATAAAATAAACAATATAACGGCTTGGCTCTTCCTTGCGTAAAATAGCATTGGCTTCACTGTTCTCCACTCTGGACAGCAATGGATATGTTCTCTGATTCCTCAGGGCTACACTGATGAACCTGTTTCTAAGATCCTGTGTCAAGTGGAAGATGGGACAGTTGTACAGCTAGATCGCTGGAACCTCCATGTGGAAAGAAACCCCGACTTGCCTCCAGAAGAACTTGAAGATGGCGTATGTAAGGTTAGAGAGTTTTTTGTTCTGCAGAAAGGAGCCCTGGAGCATCTGCCTGAGCTACAGGAAAAAAAATCCTGGCTGGAGAGTCATGTGCTGATGAATTCCTATGAGATAATGTGATAATATTTGAGTTGATGGCTACTGGGGCTATGTGTATAATATTACCACCTAATGATTCTGCCCCATAGACCTCTAAATACCTAGATTCCGTACCTGCTTCCAAAGCTCAGGGAGCTCTTCTCTGTCTTCAACTTCTGCACTAGAAAGGCATGTATTTTGTCTTAATCATTCATGTTAATAGCAAATAACCTATGAGAAGATGAAAAAATATGTATATTTGTAAGCATTGGGCACTTGTTCTTTCAGTAGAAATATAACCTCCTGAGATTTCTGGCCTGATATAAAATATATCTTACGTTGAAGAGGTATTAACTATGCCAGTGTTACCACTTGGGTGGGACTTGAAGATACCTCAATAAATGTTTTGACTTCATGTTATTTAAAAAAAAATTGACTTTTATTTTAGATTCAAACTGCATATGTGCAAGTTTGTTTCATGGATATATTATATGATGCTGAGGTTTGGGGTATGATTGATCCCATCACCCAGATAGTGAGCATGTTAACCAACAGGTTTTCAATCCTTGCCCCTCTCCTTCCCTCTCTACTCTAGTGGTCCCCAGTATCTATTGTTGTCATCTTTATGTCCAGACTTTATGTTTTCTTTTAGTGATTGAGCTTTTATTTCAACCGAAAAGCAAACCAAGGGATATATGAATAGTTGTAATTAGTACTGTGAGCCTTCAGTTGGTCCTTTGGTTCTAAATTATGGCCTCAATTTCAGATAAATTTGGTAGGTTTCTGAGTAGCCACTTCCCTCATATTACTTTCCATTTTCCTTCTATGATTGAATTTTTAAACTCTGTATGTGTAAGAATCTCCAGGTGTGTTTGTTAAAATGCAGATTACAAGGCCCAGTCACCAGAGATTCTGATTAAGTAAATGCAAGTTAAGGCCCAGACATCTGTACTTTAAATGGTATCCCAATTATAGTGAACCATGCCATTTATTGAGGCTAAGATTTTGTGGGTATTTCCATCTTATAATAGATTAAGCCCCATATCATTTTAGATTTAGATCAAACCAACACCCATTTATTAGCATCGTGATCCTGATCAATTTAATTACATATATTATAATTTAATAGATTTTCAAGTTTCTAACTTGGCTAAATTAGATTAAAACATGTTTTACTCTGTCTTTATGGTTTTTTCACCTAAACCATGATCCTGAAATTCTAGTAGATTTCTAGTAGATATCATGATTGCTCAGCTGAATTCAAGTTTATAATGTCACAATGTTGTTTAAACAACAAGTGTCATCTTGAGATACGAAGCTTTTTTTTAATGTGTTTGACTTATAGAAATTGGATAGAAAACAGCTAAAGTATAAAGAAGAGTACCATATGGATATTGTAAGTTTCTTTTCCTACTAAACTTGGAATAGTTAGACGTGCAATAGAAATCCATATTTAATTCTCTTTCCAACAGCTTAAGAAATGGAAAGACTTCTTGGTGTAGCCAGGGAACACCAATCCAGATAATTAAAGGGTTTATTTAAAATGGGTTTTTAAAGAGATGTATGGGAAACTGGGGCAAGTTTTCCTGGAAAATATAAATAACTTAAAAACAGACTAAATTGGGATATGATTTAGGTGATGGTGACCAGATGTTCTCCTTAGCTATCAGTAGATGTTAAGACATGGGTTAGAATTGTGGCCAAAAGAACATAAATGGTAGAGGAGGTGAACATGTCTGTGCTTTTGGCAGGATCACCAACCCATGCTGTCATTACTAAGAACTGGTATTTTGTTTAAGTGCAGGAACTGGATATTCTCAAATAAGAAGGCTGAAGAGTAAGACATGATTTTGGCATTGTTCTATGTGTTTAGTTTCTCTCTCGGTCCTTCATTTAGTGGAGACCATTTCTAAGGCTCACTTGGACTCTGAATCATTACATAGGCTTTGAATCAAGAGCTTCCATGTGGGGTCATTCCTTACTTTCATTAGAGACCAAGCCAATCCAATTTTCTTTTTTCTGCATTTATATCTGTCTTGTTCCCTCTCTTATTTCACTTTTTTCTTAATGAAAGGAAGTTCTCCTTCTAGTGAAACAGAAAATCTTGCTAATCAAGGGGCATATGAAGCACTGTAAAAAACATACTTTTGAAATCTTGAGGGTTAAAACACTTATCTCTCAGAGAAGACAGGTACAGTTCAATTTGGGACACAAACCGGATAATTAGCTGGAAACATTTCTCGTCTTTATTTACTTTAATATTTACCTTCCACTTGAGTCGCAGAAGGAAAAGCGGGAGAACCAGCCATTCCCACTCTCACATTTTCCGCATGCTTTCTTAATTGTTCTAACATTTAACTGAAGCTTAAAATCACATTAGTTTTGCAGTTTTAATGCAGGATTTGAGGCTGCAGAGTTCTCTTCATTCAGCTTGCAGTGGTAACAGCCAGAGACCCAAAGGACTCTAGGAAGGAAAGTTAAAGCTTCCATGTGTATCTGTGTGGCTGTGTTTTCAGATTTCATGGTCATAATAAAGATATAAGGGTTGATAGATTAAATGAGAACTTGAATAATAGTAATAGGTAGTTTTGTTGTTGTTTTTCTCTCTAGGCCAGCAATAACCAATGGGTCACATTGCCCTATTTTTTATATGACTTTTGTAAAAAAGATTGTGTGTGTGTGTGTATATATATATATATATAGAGAGAGAGAGAGAGAGAGAAAATGGGTGATGGATAAACAAGTTAAATATTCATTTTACATTACAGTATTGGTTTGCTGAATATAAATTCTTGAAAAACGCACATCCACTGATTAAGTTGGTTAGACATTATCTTTACAACTGGATTTACTTTCTAGGTTTGCTTAGTGAATTCTTCTCTGTAACTATTGCAAATATATATCCTTCAGCATAACAAGTTCCTATTATTACAGCATCTATAAAAATGATTCTCATTTAATAATTTGTATTTGTGACACATTTCTTATACTATTTATAATTCTTGAGAAAATTACTTGATTTTAGCTTTCACTCATGAATTAATCCAATAATTTCCTGTTCTTTCTACATAAGCACCCTCCACTTTGAGTTGTGGCTGATCTGTCTCCTAGGGACTTCTTCAGAGATAGGGGTCCAGCTTTAGGTTTTATTCTTCTCTTTCTGCCTGGCCACACAAAATTTTGCCTCTGTCTTTGTTTATCATTGCAGCTCCCTCTGAATGTTTTCAATAACTACTTCAGCCTTGGATTTGATGCCCATGTCACACTGGAGTTCCATGAATCCAGAGGTGAGGACAACGTCCCATTTCCATCTCCCAGGGAGGAAGTTTCTAGCAGGTGTTTTGCATGTTCCCTTTTGTTTGTATATCACTTACGCGTTTACAGTGTGCTTCAGTGTTGTTTCATTTTAACCTTCAGGATGACTCTGGGAGCTAGACAGGACAGGAACTTCTTATAAATGGGACCCTGAGACCTAGTTGTTCAGACAAATGGGACCCTGAGACCTAGTTGTCCAGGGTCTTAAAGACAGTAAAGGGCAGGACTAGATGTGTGTTCCAGGTCTTGGGATTGTTAATCTTTATGTTCTACTGGAAGATTTGAAGTGAGTAAAATACTAAGAAGTGATAGAGACTATTACTGAAGTCACTAGGATATTCTTTAGCTTCACAAAACACTATTAAAGTGCAATACTACACAACCACAGCCATTGAAATATGGTAGCAAAAACAAAAATGTCCCCTCTGTTTGTATAAAAGAAACAACAGGCATCTTAGAACAATAGAGGAGCTATAGGTAGTTTAGGTTGAAAGCATAGGATGTAATGGTGATGGGATTAATTAGGAAGGTACTAGGGATCCCCACTGGATGATACAGAGGTGTGAATGAGACCATGTAGTGATTTCAGGTACTAAAAGAGATGGAGTCAAGATTAGGGGAACAGAATTTTTGAAAGAGAAGATGAAATAATGATATGCTATTAAATATTTCATCAACATTTTCTCATGCCATTTAGAACTGATAAAGTTTATGGGTTTGACTTATGTTTTGTAGTCCCGATTGATCTCTCTCTCTCTCTCTTTCTGTCTCATTCTGTCTCTTAAACTCTGTTCTTATTAATATAGCTATACTATATATCCATGTCTATGCCTGTATCTATATCTGTACCTAGTGCCTTCTGAATATATATAACCAGAACCATGCTAGGATGTAGATTGTTAAGAGACTTGTGAGATAAAGTCATAAATGAGAAGTACTTTACTTTTTTCCCTCCAGGTTATGTAAGAAAGGAAGTGGTGTTTAGAATTTTTGCATACTTTGGAATTTGAAATAACAGAGCACTAAAAGCTAGAATTCAGATTTTCAGATTCTGGTAATAACATGAAAATTCTGATCATGCACTTATGCACTAGAAGTCAAGAGTGATGCTACAGGATTAAAAACCACTAGAGTATAAAATACAAGTAAGGAACAGATCTTTAAAGTCTCTTACTGGATCCAGCAATGTTAGCAGACTTTGACCTTCCTGGTTTCCCAAGGTTTTGAGAGGACAGGCTCTGTAAAGGTCAAATTCTGTGCCAAGCAGGAATGATGCTGTTTGAAGAGAAAGCCATAGTTTGGTATTCCTCTCTGATTGGCCAGAAAAATCACAGCTAGAAGGCATGATTGATAACAGAACCTCAAATATCCTGAGTCAGAAACACTACCACTTTCCGCCTCCCTGCCTTAGACAGTTCTTGGATATTAGGTATTCAGAGGGACTTACCTTGGGGCCAACATTTATGACCTGTTACCCTTCTTATATTTAAGGAGAGTTAATTTGGGAAGTACATGGGGGATTTTATTCTTCATTTCTTACCCCATTTTTTATCTCATATTCTTTAGCAGGATCCAGATCCTGGGCTTCTTAATAAAATACCCCAAACTTCTTAATAATACTTGTAAAGTAACACAATTATCACAAATACATGGATTTCCAAAAATAGGCATGAAAAGAGGTCTAAATGAATAAGTGGCCAACAATGAGCTCATTCAATGAGCTCAATGAGCTCAAGTGAGTCTCATATTTAGTCTAACTTATCCGGAAGTTTTTCTAATGATTCACTTCCTTGAACTATGATGAAGTTTCTATGCATCAGAGTGAGAAGGGAGCAGGGAGAGACCCTTACATGGGAAGACCAGGCTTAGAAGAAAATTCTTTTGGGGAAAGTGATTTTTCTCTTTTATTTTAAGCTGTAGGACTATTTTAGAGTGGAATATGCAAATTGTTGAGTGTATGAACATGTACATTTATATGTATGTGATTATAAAACAATTAGTTAAAGATGTCAAGCATTAATCTTTGTATAGTTTATTGCTAAGGCTTATTGTGTTTTGATGCAGTATGAAATGGAATTGTAAACATTTCCCCTGCATGTAAATCAGAGCCTTTGAGGAAAATCAGCCACTGAAGGGCTGTTAAGGGAGAATTTATGTTAATTGGAAATAATAGGTAAATATTCATGCAGGTGGGATAGAGGTGGTAAAAAAATTAAATAACTATAAGATATTGGAACCAGATTTTGCTGATACACTTAGACCAGAGGTATGGACTTTTCAGTAGCTGTTATTCTGCTTTTTTTAAATAGTAAATTAAAAAATTATTTGTCTATGAAATATATAATTAAGCAAATAGCCTTTTTTTCTTTCTTTTTTTTTTTTTTTACTGTTTCTGTTCATTTGTATTTTCCCCCTATTTTTAACTAGTTAGTCAAGAAATCTTAAGCTAAGCTATAGAAGAAAAAACAGGATAAGCAAGACCAGATTTTTAATTGTGGCAAGCTTACTTATTTTGTCAGTAGATAGTGAGTGGCTGTTCTCAAACCAAGAAAACTCATAGTGAGACTTTAAACTGTTTTCCAACACAGGCACTGTCTGCGGCTTCATGGATCACTTGCCATAAAATACCTAAAGGGTAACACAAAGGCTCATGAAAGCCATTGTGAAAAAAATAAGCTTGGATAGTAGAATCTATGAGGTATTAGTCAAGAAAATGTAATACTTTTAAGTTGAGAATTATGCCAATACATCTACATAAAAATAGGCAATTAATATAAATCTCATTAAAGGAGAATTTTTAAAAATTTAACTATGGAAAGAATTTTTAGCACAGATGTAAATATAGCCCATCAAATGGACACTTCTCAGCATAACTACATATATTGTATTTCTTTTAGAAGGAATAATTAAACTGGCATTAATTCCCAATTTTATATCTACTTTATTCCAAACACAAATCAAACTCAAAAACATGTTTAATTACATTTGGAAGCTGCATACATAGCTTACGGAAGTCATGCCCTATGAAAGTCAAAGTAAATAATCGCTTCTCCACCTTCTTCCACCTTTTCCTGTTATCTCAGCCCGATATCCCTGGAAACCCTCCAATTTTTACAAAGCATCTAGAGTGCCTCCATCTTTAATGTGCTTGAGAATCACCTGGAGAGCTCCCCTCCACAGATGTATAGACTCCACACTCAAGTCATTCTAATTCAGTAGATCTGGCTAGGGCCTAATCATTTGCAATTCTAACAAGCTCTCAGC
Organism: Homo sapiens; assembly: GCF_000001405.40. Taxonomy (NCBI): domain Eukaryota; kingdom Metazoa; phylum Chordata; class Mammalia; order Primates; family Hominidae; genus Homo; species Homo sapiens. The sequence goes on along the minus strand of NC_000007.14, from coordinate 137,578,557 downwards.
TAATGTCAGTGATGCCGGTTTGGAACTACACATTTATAGTCCTGGATTACTGTCCCTGTAGCACTGGGCTACTGTACTAACTGGCCTGGAACTGGGGGAAAGATGATAACCAAACCATGGGATCTATTGGATCTGTAGGATAGGAGGGAGCTGGGGAGGAAGTAGGAGTGCTAATCTAAGTCGCTACCTTTAGTGAGGTCTCCATAACAAAACTACTTTTCCTCTTTCACAGAAGCAAATCCAGAGAAATTCAACAGTCGTTTTCGAAATAAAATGTTCTATGCAGGGGTAGGTATACATTTTATTTCATAATTACTACATATTACTTATTGCCAATTCACTGTGTATCATAAAGTTGCAAACTACATGAGAAATAATCACATATACATCTCATTTATATATGTCTATCTATGGTTACTGTTTCATGGCTGGGCTTAAGAATGAAAGTGAGGTGTATTTCTTAAGTTAGCTGTCAGAAAGAGAGTTGGTGTTCCTCATCTCTGAGCTTTTAAGCAAGCCCCGAGGCTTCATGTTGAACAAGAGAAGATGCTATTCAAAAAGGGATGTGAGAAACAAACATCAAAGCCAGTGTAAGAAATGGAGGAATTGTGTAGACTGAGGATGTCTGAAGAATTTTAGGTAAGAACGTAGTTTTCACCAGGGTGCGCACATTGACGTTTGGATTAGAAACTGGCAGAATATGGGGTGTTTTTCATGGACGCATACGTGAGGTTAAAGGGAGTGCCTTCTTTTTCCTTCTTTTGTTTCTCAGGCACGTTCATAGTAGTAAATAGAGAATGAAAAAAAGGCATCCAAAATATCAGTACAGTTTAAATTTATGCCAATCGATAGGAGGAGTTTAAATAAAAGGCGTTTGGGAGCTGCATACGTAGTTTATGGAAGTCAAACCCTGTGAAACTCAGAGCAAATAAGGAAATCTTAGTGGAAAGACTGTATCAGCACTTAATGGACAAGGCAAGTGTTCAGAAAAGGTTGTCAAAATAAACCTTCCAATGACCCTCAGAATTGTCTATTTTTCACTCTCATTCTGTGTTCTTAAATTTATAGTGAAACTGTAAATTATAGTTTGGAAACAAAGAGAAAAATTTCAACTTGACAACTACTGCACTGCTTTACTTTGGATTCTGCAGAAAGAGAACATGTTTAGAATTTTTGCATACTTTGGAATCCTTGGAATCTAGGATATGGAAGCAAGGATTTGGTATCACCATGTAATTACGAATTTCTTCTTCTTTATTTCCCTGTGGTATAGGCAGCTTTTTCTGACTTCCTACAGAGAAGTTCTAGAGATCTATCCAAACATGTTAAAGTTGTTGTAAGTATTGAATATGTTGATTTATTTAATTTGAATATGATATGACTGCCACAAAAAACTCCCAAATACTTAGTTTATATATTGAATCACTGGACTGCATAGAACTTTGGAGATCATTTTGTGTAGTTCATTCAACCTACACTTATTATGTGTCAGGCACTGTCTTAGTTGCTGGGGATGAAGATAAATGAAAAGACTAGTTTCGCTCCTGAAGAAACTCACAGTTCAGTTTTGAAGAAGGTCACATAAGTCACTTCAGAACAATAAAACTGTTATTCAACCGTGTGTATAATATGGTTGTGGCACAAAGGGAGAAGTGATAACTCTGACTATGGTGGGGTCAGGAAGACCTTTATAAAAAAAAATGATGTTAGCTGGGTCTTGAAGCATAAATCGGTACTCTCCAAACAAGTATCTTTATTCCAGGATAATCTGAGGAGGATATTTATTCCAGGATAATCTCCATTTTAGAACGAAGTGTTGATTTCATTATTTTGTGGTGACTCACTCTCCCACCTGGTCAAGGTTCCTCACCACTAGATGGATTTTTTGTGTATGTGCTGTTTCTTCCTGGGTCTCTATATCAGGTTGCGGAAATATACTGCTTGGGGGCAAGGGAGAGAGAAATTTATCTTTCTCAAGGTGACACATTCAAAAATAGAATAAAATTAGGTATTAAGAAAAACATTAATGTTTCCTTATAGTAAACAAGTTAAAAGAAGGAAGGAACATGACTTTGTTGCACATAGTCGTATAAGTAAATGACAGAATGAGAAAGAGAAAAAAGATATATAGATGGAAAAGAAGTGATGAGAATATAGCAATGTTTGAATTTATCAATGCTTGAATTTATCTTATTCTAAAGAATAAGAATAATTTTGATGGGCCAGGCGCGGTGGCTCATGCCTGTAATCCTAGCTCTTTGGGAGGCCGAGGCAGCTGGATTGCCTGAGCTCAGGAGTTCGAGAGCAGCCTGGGCAAAATGGTGAAATCCCATCTCTATCAAAATACAAAAAATTAGGCAGGCGTGGTGGCATGTGCCTGTAGTCCCAGCTACTCGGGAGGCTGAGGCAGGAGATTGCTTGAACCTGGGAGGCAGAGGTTGCAGTGAGCCGAGACCGCACCACTGCACTCCAGCCTGGGCGACAGAGCAACACTCCGTCTAAAAAAAAAAAAAAGAAAAAGAAAAAGATTAATTTTGACAAGAGAGAACAGAACAAAATATATACATGAAAATAGAGAAAAATATATGATCTTAAGCTAATGAGATATGAAGAAATATAAGGAGCATGAAAATATAAAAATTAAAATGTGTAATCACCAGTAAAGCATGTATAAGACATGAATCTCCTAAATCAGTTGAAACAAGAGACAAAGGCCTTTACCGCTGCTATTAGCAACACTTGGCATCCCTTTCAGATGTTTCAGTTCTCATACAATAAAAATATAAAGCAAGTATCTTTTAGTGGTGGAGACGCTTGAGACTGAAATATTGCCTTCTTAAAGCTAGATACAAGAACACAGGGCCCATTGAACTATGAGGATTATTATTTCAATAAAATCGTGGCTATTAAATTTAAGTAGCAGCAACCTTACATTAAACTTCCCCTGTTTCTTCAGCTGCCTGCAGCCTAGCAAAAATTAAACTTTACTGCCCTTTCCAGTGTGTTTTGCATTTACAGGCGCATCCACAGTACCTGCCAGGAGACCCAGTGCATGCTGGGTGGTGGCCATATAGAATGGCAGTGTACTGTGCAAGTCACCGGATTGATATCAAACTCTGTAACTTCCTAACTGCTAGAGAGTTTTCTCTCTCATATCTCAGTCCCCTTGATGATACATGTCTCATGCATGGGTGACTTTATAGTAGAGTCTAAAAGATGCTTGCAGAGAGGCCAAAATGGCAGCAAATAACTAGGAAAGATGTGATATCAGCCTATATATGTAATATTAAAGGTGGAATGTTTATATAAATTATATCTTATGAGGAGGAAAAAAATCATTATAACTAGGTGTAAACATTTGGGATTTAGTTAGGTCTACCTTTGCTAGGTATATGACTTTGGGGAAATCATTTAACCTTTCAGAGGAGTTTGCTTTCTTCATCTGTCAAATAGGTGTAACAAGACATGTCTTTGATGCAATGGTTTTTGACCATTGTGCTGTGACATAGAGAGACACAAGGATACTTTTGCAATGACATCATTCTATGTTTTCCTGAGTGTGAGATGAAAAGGATGGAAGGTTAGTGAGAGTGATTAGATGTCTCCCCAACAACAGAGCATCTTTTCTTTGTCAGAGGGTGAAGTCAGTGTTTCTAATGCAATAGCTAGTAATGTCTCATAGAGATATAAAATATGTATTTGAATATTAGACTGAGAAAATACAAAATGACAGTAAAAACCTACATATAGCCATTATTTGTTCCACTTTCCATATTTTCTTCTTGTTATTTATCAGTATATGAGCTTATACAAAGGAACATATTTTGGATGCAAATATGTCCCTTTGTGTGTATTTGAAGTTGGGAAAAAGTTGAAAACTGCTATTCTAAAGGAATTGCACAGTTTATTGCAATAATATATAAAAAAATCTCTGTAAAGCAGTATACAGTGTAAGGCCCACATTTTCGTATGATTTGATGAGTTCCCAGAATCACTAACATGTTTCCCAGAAGGAAAAAGTAGAAAGTTAAAAAATGAATTCTGTTCTAAATACAATAATATTTATTATAATCTTTCTGCAATGCAACCATAATGCTTTATACACTATTAATATATCACATCCTAGGTTTTAAGTTTTAGTTGCTTATAACATGCAATTTTGACATTTACAATGTCTACTTTTTTATTCATTGGCATAGTCATTTATAACTCATTTCAAGTTCTTAAGTAAGTTGGAAGATGTTTGCTTAGTAGTTGAGAGTACTAGAAAAACATCTTTAATGTCTAGAATTTTATTACTAAGTTATATTTGAAAATAATTTGTTTATTTAAAATTGTAAGATTTCTTGGAAACAATTCTTTGAGAATACTCATGAAAATTAGGCTGTATGGAGATCGACTGGGAAAAAAAATGCAGGTGCTGGAGACAACCTGACCACTAGCAAAATCATTATACTTAGATTGAAACTGATCCTAAAGAACTCTTTCAGAATTTGCAGGGAGCTTGGGGATGCTTTGCTCCTCTCTCCAAATGAGAAGGTAATGGGGAAATCCTGTGATAAGGGTATAAGGAAAGCAAATACGAGAGCAGGCTTTACGCCTTTGACATCGGAAAGTCTATAGTCATGACTAGAGTTATTCTCTTTTGACTTTTGTCACCAGTGGGAAATGAGAAAGGAACATGAAAGACTTTTCCTTGATTTATCAAAGGATGATACCCTTGCAGAAAGCGCTAGCAGATCAGGGAAGCCATCCATGTTCGAGGGTTGTTGAGGCCAAGCTAGGCTGAGACCCTTGATTCCCAGGTCTAAATTCCAGGAAGACAGTGAATCTTAGAAGTCTAAAGTCTGAATGGCCAGGCGCAGTGGCTCACGCCTATAATCCCAGCACTTTGTGAGGCCAAGGCGGGTGGATGACCTGAGGTCAGGAGTTCAAGACCAGTCTGGCCAACATGGTGAAACCCCGTCTCTACTAAAAATACAAAAATTAGCTGGGCGTGGTGGCGGGCACCTGTAATCCCAGCTACTTGGGAGGCTGAGGCAGGAGAATCGCTTGAACCTGGCAGGCTGAGGTTGCAGTGAGCTGAGATCACGCCATTGCACTTCGGCCTGGGTGAGTCTGTACAAGATTAAGTTTCTAAGAACAAACCACGAATGAAGATAATACTACTGTATGATAGATATCTTTTCAAAAGTTTGCGGTACATAGACTTTTTAAAAAGTCTTCAAAATATTTGACATTTGCAAAATAAAAATTGTCTCAAAAAACGAAGAAAATAAATCATTATATTTGTGACTTGTTTGAATCAGATAATGATGGTGGTGAATACTACTGCTTTAACTTGAGGCTTTTTTCTTTTCATTCTTTTAAGTGTTCATAAATCTTTTAATGTTGACACCATCAGTCTAGATAACTAATAATCATCCATTGTTAAGAATGATAATATTTCCTTTGATTGTGAGACCAGAGAAGAAATCATTTTAATCAAATGGAGGTTTTGTTCTTACCTTAAGTGCGAACAAAACCAACCTCTGTACCCTGGGTCCAGTAAAGCTATAACCAGAATATATTTTTAATCACTGTGACCGGCATTCACTTAAGCAGAGATAGGGCAAGGAGAAAGAGACCATGGTGTGTACTATTGTCAAACTAGTTATCTTTCATAGGTTTTTAGACTTGTGACTACTTCAAAACCCCTTTTCTGTTTTCATTGTTTCAGTGTGATGGAACAGATCTCACCCCAAAGATTCAGGAACTGAAGTTCCAGTGTATAGTATTTTTAAATATACCCAGGTAGGCTCTGTTTGTATTGTTTCCTTGGTTTGACGTGAACTCTGACTTGAGGTTATCTGTTTTCATAACAGAAAAGTTTCAGATGTAAACAATGAAGATCAGTTATCTAAATGGGTAATTAAAGATTTCTAGGTCTGATAATTCATTCTCCGATTTGGTTTATTTAGTGTTCTTTGTGGTTGGTGGTTTTGTGCGTCATGTGGCATGCATTGTCTGTACTTACCCATCTTTAAGAAACCCAGGCACCCCTCTTGACTGGAACATCTTAATTTATTTCTAAATTACTGTTCTTCCCCTCTTCCTCCCCATCTAAGAATGAGAGAATTGAAACACTTTTTTTGTTCTCAGTTTCCTAAAAACTGTTGAAAAACCATCCAGTCTGATTCAAGTGCGGAATTCATTCAAAATTGTTGCCAGATGATTTCTTTGAAAAATAGGATGAGTTAGAGTATTGTTTTCTAGCCAGGATGTCAACTCTCCATGGTGCTATTACGCACTTCAGGAGAAAGGGATATTTAAGATAACTAGACTCAAAATAAACATATTATCTCAGTGGCATAAATTATGTTCTAGGCCCTGAAGCCAAGATTTTGGAAGGGATGGATCTATAACCATTTATTTGCCTGCCAAACAACTCAGACACAAAATCTGCAAATACATTGTATTTAGACTGAATTTAATTGAAATGAGAGTTGTATGTAAATCTGTGGCTAGGAAAACACATCATAGTCTCCTGATTATTCTTGGCAGTGCTCAATATAGTCAGTTACAATTTTATTCCAGAAATATTTACAGCTTAATTGAAGTAGAAGGCCTTGATTCTCAGAAAGCATTGTTTATTACTTTGCTTTATTATTCTTTCTCTTGTCCTTCCTCTCTTGTCCTTCTTCCTCTCTTGTCCTTCTTCTGTCTTTTCTTGCTTCTCCCTCTTTCCATCTGTATTCTTCTTCCTCTATTTCTCCAATTTCTTCTGTTTCCCATTCTCTTTCTAATCTCTTATCTATATTTCATCTCTTCTTCACTCTGTCTTCCATAGTTACCTTTCCCTTCTCCTGTGAGTACCTCTTATTTTGCTTATGTATTAATGGCAAATGCTTCCCACTTCATTTCCCTGTCTCTTTTCTACTGGCATGCATACATCTTCCTTTAAGACCAAATTCTGAAACCACCTATAGATAATTCATGATATATCATAGAAAACAGACATACATGAATCATAGTGAGAAATATAGATAACGAACGAGGAGAAAGTTGGATACCACAGGATACTTTTGTTGCAAAATTATGGCCCGTTTTCACAGCTTGGTATTTTGTAGATGATAAGAAGTGCATTTCCTTTTCTAATGGAAGGTGTGTACCAAGAATGGAAAACTGTTTTTATGTTTGATAAACATTGGGTCTAACTACAAACTAACACCTCATGATAGTCATGAGAAGGATGGGACATATTTACTTCTGTCTTTAATCTTCTCTTGCAGATATTGTGCTGGCACAATGCCCTGGGGAAACCCAGGTGATCACCATGATTTCGAACCTCAGCGTCATGATGATGGTTATATTGAAGTCATTGGATTTACCATGGCCTCTTTGGTGAGCAATATAACTGTTTTATTAAAATGAAATGTATTTTAGTCACAGAGTTTATTCAATTCACAGGACTTTAGTTAACTTTTTCTCCTGCTTTATCAAGTTACACATTTTATGAATTATAGAGTTGCTTAGGAAAAACAAGAAAAAAAATCATCATTTATGTCACTAAGAAAACTGATGCACATTTGTTTGAACCTCAAGAATAAATGAGTATCACTTCTTACTTTTCCTGATTAATTTTCTAACAGAATGAAAAGTTTTTATGCTAATTAAAAACATTACACTGGGCTGGGTGCAGTGGCTCATGCCTGTAATCCCAGCACTTTGGGAGGCCGAGGTGGGTGGATCAACTGAGGTCAGGAGTTCCAGAAGAGCCTGACCAACATGGTGAAACCTGCCTCTACTAAAACTACAAAAATTAGCTGGGTATGATGTGCTGCCTGTAATTCCAGCTACTTGGGAGGCTGATGCAGGATAATTGCTTGAACACAGGAGGCAAAGGTTGCAGTGAGCTGAAATTGTGCCACTGCACTCCAGCCTGGGTGACGAGTGAAACTGCATCTCAAAAAAAAAAAAAAAAATTACACTATAGAAACATCCCAGCATTGGCACAGAAGCCATAGCATTTTATACTTTTTTGGTTCACTGAGGAGTTTTGTGTTTAGGTAAAAAAGAGACAGTAGCAACTTGTGGATATCCGTCTTACTTATGAGTAAAATGATCATCTCCATTATCACAAAATATCTGAATATACAAAGACATCATTATTGTGATATTAGTGCATACTCAGTTGCCACAATATTGAGATCACCTTGTATTTTAATTTTGTTTGCTTGCATTAAGGAAGGAAATTTATAGTGTAAGTATATTTTCAAACAGGTTTTAGCCATGCATTCCTGCTTATTATTAAATGATGTGCGGACCAGTTAAAATTATGCTTATCATTTCTTGTGTAAATCAGGCCACACTGAGTTTGTAATGCAAATAAAAACAAAGCTTCTGCTTGTCACCTTTGGTTGGCACATGATTTGTGCTGTACCTTATGCATAAAAGAAAGAAGGTTGTATTTCTCATTCTAAACAAATCAAAATAGGTCTCTCTTTTACTCATCTTATGAATTCCAAATAACTCTACCTCAAATTAGTGAAGTTTAACAGAAAAATCTATTGTGCTTATGGCAAGAATCTTCATCACCTGATTTTGTGATGGCCCTTGTTAACTCATCTCTAGAATAAAATAGTTGTCATGGTAGAAAAGATTGGACTGGGGTTGACTTACTTTCCAGCGTTGTAACACAATATAGCTCCTTATCTCCAGAGCTTTTTATGTTTATTGCAAATGAAGATACAAGCCAAGAGCAAATAGGATTAAGTTTAGGAAGGATATATGCAGGGAAGAATTCTTTTTTTTTTTTTTTTTTTTTTTTTTTTTTTTTTTTTTTTTTTTGAGACAGAGTCTCACTCTGTTGCCCAGGCTGGAGTGCAGTGGAGCAATTTCGGCTCACTGCAAGCTCTACCTCCTGGGTTCACGCCATTCTCCTGCCTCAGCCTCCCGAGTAGCTGGGACTACAGGCGCCCACCACCACGCCCGGCTAATTTTTTTGTATTTTTAGTAGAGACGAGATTTCACCATGTTTGCCAGGATGGTCTCGATCTCCTGACCTCGTGGTCCACCCACCTCAGCCTCCCAAAGTGCTGGGATTACAGGCGTGAGCCACCGCACCCGGCCAGGGAAGAATTCTTGGAGGTGACAAAATCATGCCCGTATATGATGGAAAAAACTCTCTAAACTGTCCATACGTGGGTTACTTATTCTTTATTCACTGATCGAGTGAACATTTATTGAGTGGTTATCATGTGCTAGAGCCTCCTAGTTCTGACTGTGGTAGAAGGCTCTCAGGGATTGTCTGCAAGATGACAATCCCTTACCTAGGCCTGGAAGTCCAAGGGGAATATTCAGTATTTCCCCATTGCTCTTAGGATCAAAATCTCTGTCCTTATTTGGCCTGTAAAGTTGAGGTTCTGTCTGGTTCTCTAGCCTTCCCTGCTCTCATCTTTGCTTTCTAGCTCAAGCAGCTGACAAGTGAAGCACAGCATCGGCTCTCCCTTGCTTCTTTTGTACCACCAAGCCATTGCACGTGTGCTCTCTCTCTCTGAAATGTACTTCAACTGTTTCTTCTATGCCTTCTCAGACTATATCTGTGTCTTGTTCTTGTTCTTTTTGTAGTCTTTTCTGGTATGGGTGTTTTTTTTTTCTAACAATTGTATAATTAGTATAATTTTTATTATACTAATTCGTATATTTAGTATGATAATTAGAATATTACACTAATTATATAGGAGCAATACTGAAACTGGGTAATTAGTGGAGAGTTGAATGGAGGGCTCTTTCACAAATAGTGCACTAGGTTTATGAGAAACCAATTCTTGAGCTGAAGATAAAAAGGAAAAGAAGATAAAAAGGAAAAACAGTACCAGAAAAAGAACTACTTGGAAAGGGTTACGTGATAGGAGTGATATTTGCAAAGAGGAAGCAAGCAACCTGTGCTCACCTGGCAGAGAGCAAGCCAGGGACATAAATACAGCGACTGCCCACTTCACCTTGACCTCTAGATCTTCTGCTGGTGGGTCTATCTGGAGAAGTCTGATTGGAAGCCAGAAGACATGGGAGCCACTGATGCAGTCCAAATAGCTCAGCCTCACAGAGCAGAAAAGAGGGCAGGGAAGGCTGGAGAGGCAGCTGGGGCAGCAAATGGTGAATATCCATCACTCCACTGTGGGTGGCCAGTCCACAACAGGGAGCCTGTGGCATGCAGTTGGCAATGCGTGACGTGACTGACTGAATTTTACCAGGAGAAGAAGAATGGAACTTGGCATTCTGGAAAAAGGAAAATTTACAAACATTTGGAAGTAGGAGGAATTGTAGTGCTTTGTGGGAACTATAAGTAGTTTCATGTAGTTTAAATGTAGGTGAAAAGAGAGAGTGATCACAGGTGGTGCTAAAGATGTGGGTAAGGGCCAGATCATAGAGTGCATCACAGCACTGATCTAGGAGCATTTACTTTATTCAGCATTCTTGAGGAGTTAGTAAAATTTTTTTAAAGATAAATATTTATATGGGAAGGTTTCAGTGTAAAAATAGACAAAATAATACAACAAACTCCCAAGTATCATCACTCAGCTTTTATAATTTTCAATTCATGGACAATCTTATATTTGTCCCACCTACAACCTCTTCCATTATATTATTCTGGAGCAAATCCTAGACATTACGTATATACAATATATGTCATATATACATCATATGCATAGCATATATATCATTTTATCCATCAATAATTCGAAATGGACTTTTAAAAGATACTTTCTTTTATAAACACAACCACAATAACAGTATATTATTTAAAAAAATGAAAATAATAGTACCTGAATATCACTAAATATTTACTCAGAGTTTGAATTTCCAGTTGTCTCACAAATATCATTTATTTTCTTATGCAGTTTCTTTGAGTCGGAATCCAGATAAAACTTACACATTGTGGTTGGTTGATATGACCTTAAACTCTCCGTAGTTTCCCCTTCAACTCTTCCTCATTTATTTATTGAAGAAACTGGTCATTTGTCCTGTCAAGTTTCTGAGTCTGAATTTTGCAGATAGGATCCCTGAGGCATTTATTAAAATGTGCTTCTTTCTTTTTTCTGTACTTGATAGCTGGATCTACATACACTACATATATTTTCCCCCAAATCTACTTTGTAAGCAGTGTTTTCTTTTTCTAAAAAAGAATATATAATGTCTGGCTTTCTTTCTCCTTTTTTAATGTTGGCAGATATTGATGGTCAATGTCTGGATGTAGGAAACATTAAGGGTTGCAAAATAGTGATATTCTAATTCTCTTTTTTTTTTTTTTGAGATGGAGTTTTGCTCTTGTTGCCCAGGCTGGAGTGCAATGGTGCAATCTCGGCTCACTGTAACCTCTGCCTCCCGAGTTCAAGCGATTCTCCTGCCTTAGCCCCCCAAGTAGCTGGGATTACAGGCACCCGCCACCACACCTGGCTAATTTTGTATTTTTAGTAGAGATGGGGTTTCACCATGTTGGTCAGGCTGGTCTTGAACTCCTGACCTCAAGTGATCCACCCGCCTCGGCCTCTCAAAATGCTTGGGTTACAGGCATGAGCCACCATGCCTGGCCTGATATTCTAATTCTATCCTTCTTTACCTAGATAGCTAGGTAAAGGATAAATGCATTAAATGAGATAGAAAACATAAAAGAGAGAATATCTCAAAAGAAATACACTGTGTTTTATCTATTTTAAATTCAAAATCTCTGTAAGACATCTAAGGAAATATAGAAATGGGCAATTTAAAATATATGTTTAGAGTTCAGGAGATCTTTTCAGGAGAGATTGTTTTGGAGAGGGAGGGGTTCTGCCAGATCCTTTTTATTCTTCTCCTATCATTTGTAGGAAAAAGAGAAATAATCGCAGATGGTAGTTGGCAAAAAAGGAAATGGAATACTAAAATTAGGTCCATTATTTTTTTCTCTTTTCATCATGTGAATAAGGTAATCCATATACATCATCAGCTAGCATCAAATGCATGATTGAATCTCAGATTCCAGTGACTCTAATTGCTTCCAAGAAAGAGAATGCTATCTAAGAAAAGCAAAATTAAATGGAGTTTAAACTGTATGGTTTTGAACATTCTATGACCTCTAAATGTATACTGGCATATATTTCTCTCTTTTTAGACACATTTTATCTTACTACTTGCTACTCATATAGCAGTAAAGCATTGTATTTTTTTTTCATTCAGGATGAAATAATCTAATTTGCAGTCTTCAATTTCACATTTCTTGAACTACTATATTGCTTATATTTCTAAGGAAGTAAATTATTTGAAAACTCAAACATTTGTTTAAGATGATTATGTAAACAGACAAATATAGTTATTTGGGTATATGTGTATATATTTTTGCATATTTAATATAGCTGCTATATAATTAAAAACATAACCAGTAGGTCAAGCTTTTTAGAAACAAACTATTTTTCTTAGAAATTTATATGTGTGTAGTAATTAAAGGCTATAAACTTAAAATCATGGAATACACTAATAAATATATTTGTACATTGCTTATGATTTCAGTGAAATCCAAAAAATTGAAAATTCAGAATGGCACTTTTATTATAAGAGAGCTTTGAAATAGAATTACTGGAATGAGAAAAAAGACTGTTTCTTTTAGACTCTTTATCTTGTAATTGCAAATTTCAAAGTAGAAGTCTTCAATTCATTTTACTGGTTGAAATGCATTCCTGCTAATTAAGATGATTCTTCATTGGGTGCTGGGTAATCTGATTACCTTTTTGGAGTTTACACAGACCATAATCAGACATTGTAATTTGTATTTATTTCTGCCACAATTTTCTGCCATTATTGTTTCTAAGGTCCTTTCATGTTGAGTTTGTTTCTAAGTAATTTAAACTTCTCAAGACGTTCAAAGCATTATTCAGTCAGAGGAATTGGGAACCTAATTTGCCATTCAGTATGAAATCCAAAGATTTCAGTCTCGTAAACTTTAAAGAAGGCACGTCCAGCTTTCTTTTTGTTAATTGAAATAAAACTGTGTAAGTTTCTTTATAGTTATGAATTAGGAAAGCAAGAGGTTATCCAGTGAGTAAAAAGGACATGGAGAAATTCTCAGGGTTGAAGTTTTACACTTACCATATATCTTTGTTTTAAGAAAAAGGTAATATTAAATGTATGCTTATTTTGATAATATACATAAGAATTAAAGTAAATTATCAGTTATAATTTTATGACTCATAAATAAATAACTATATTTGATGTGTTTCTAATTGCTTTATTTTTACATTTTTAAAAATACATGAAACCATATTATAAGGAAAACCCATACTACAAATGGCTACCTACTTTTTTATTGTATAAATATAGCCTAATTTATGTAATAATTATTTTATGCAAAGTTTCCTTTATGAAGCTTTTAGGTTTTTGATGTTTTATATTGCAGATAATCCTGTAATTAACATAATTGTTTGTAAACCTCTCTTCACATTTCAAATTATTTTCTTATGGCAAATCCTAAGGAAATTACAATGACATAAGCATTTTGAAGCCTCTTACTAAAAATTATAGAATTATTTTTTAGAAATGTCATACTGTTTACTTGCCCAAGAGCGGCATATAGAGTTCCTGGATGAGAAGTGATTTAGTAGACAGAGTTCCTGGGGCCGGCCGCGACTGTGGCGGTGGGGGCGGTAGGAGCCCCGCAAGGCGTTGGGGGTCGCTGAAGGCCAGCCAGCTGCATTCCAGGTGGCACGAGGGACCGCCCTTGTGCTCAGAGAAGTGATTTAAATATCCAACAGATGTTGAAAATGTGTTAATGGATACAGACATAAATGATGTTTAAATATTATACTTGATGAAACAGGGAAGAGAATAAACTTCCATCCCTGGAAGGAAGTAAAGGAATTATATATGTTTTATACAGATAAAATTCTGGAACAGACAATTATGTCCTTACAAACAACAACATTTGAGAGTAAGGATAAGTTTATTTTTATTGTTACCATTTTGTTTTTTTTAAAAGAAGTCAAATGTGTTTTTTTGCATATTTTAATGGGCTGTTTATCATTTATTGTTGAAATAGAAGAGATATATTCTGGATACAAGTCTTCTGACAGATTTATTTATTAAAAATAAATTCTTTTTGTTTATACTTTTCCTTTTTGTGTTTTTAGTGTTTGTTTTGATGAGCATGTTTTAAACATCCAATTTTATGAAAAAGGCTTAATTTGTATTAGAGCTTTTTGTGTGCTTCCTAAGAAATCTTTGATTACTCCCAGAAAGATTGGGAGGCCATTCTCCTATATTTTCTTCTTGAAGATTTATAATTTTGGCTTTTATATGTAAGTATATGATTCAGCTCAAATTAATTTTTGTGTATTGTGTAAGATACATATTCATTCATAAAAAATGCATTTATCCAGCTTTTTCCAGCACTATTTGTTGAATAAACTTTCCTTTTCTGTAAAATTGCTTTGGTGCTTTTGCTTGGTGTCTAGATTCTATTCTGTTCCATTGATTTGTTTATCCTCATTGCCAATACCACACTGTCTTAATTAGCTGTATGGTAACCCTTGAATCTGGTAATATGAATCACTTTATTGTTCTAACAGTGTTTTCCTTGTTCTAGATCTTTGGGCATTTGCATATAAATATTAGAATCTGTTATTATCTGCAAAAAATTAGGATTTTAATTGGAATTGCATTTAAGTTTTAGATAATTTGGGGAGGAATTGGAATATTAACAATATGAATGTTCCAATCCATGAACATGGTATATTTCTCCATTTATTTAGGTATTTAATATCCATCAACAATGTTTTGTAGCTTCAGTGCAATTTTCAGGTTTTTGCACACCTTTTGTTAAATTTATTTCTAAGTATTTTTAATGCTATCTTAAACAGTAATTTAAATTTTACATTTAATTATTGCTAATATATAGAAATAACTATATGTGTGTCTATACATATACAAATACATATTTGTTTATTGACCTTGTCTCATAACTTTGCTAAATTGACTTATTAGATCCAGTAGCTTGTTTTTTTTAATAGATTCCTTAGGTTTTTCTGCAACCACAATTATATTGTTTGAAATAGAGTTTTACTGTTTCCTTACATGCCTTTCCATTTTTATTTTTTATTTAAAAAATTTTTATGCCACTCTAGAAAATTCTTTAAAATTTCTTTTTCTTGGATGTTCACTAAGATGTTGAATAAAAATGATAAGAATGCACATGTTTGTATTGTTCCTGATTACATGGGGAAGCATTCCATATTTTTCATAAAATATGCTTAATTGTAGTTTTTTTTTATTAGTGTCCTTTATATGATGAAGGAATTTCCATTTCATTCCTACTTTCCTGAGAGCTTTTGATCACAAATGAGTGGTGTATTTTATCAAAGGTTTTTTGTATCTGTGAAATTGACATACAATTTTCCCCTTTCTTTTGTTTATATCACTAATTTCATTAATTTTTAAAAATCTTATACTGATCTTGCATTTCTAGGATAAGCCCCTCTTAGGCTTGATTTATTATCATTTTTATATTGCTAGATACAGTTTACTAATATTTTGTTAAGCATTTTTGTGATTATGATTATGAGGGAGAGCGATAAATAAATTTCTTTTCTTGCATAATTTGATTGGGTTTTGATATAAAGGTTCTACTGGCCTTGGAATCTGAGACAAGAAATGACATTCTCTTCTATTTCCTGAAAGAATTTGTGAAGACTGGTACTATGATTTTTTTCCTTATATATTTCATAAAATTTCCTAATATACTATTTGGCTTTGAGATTTCTTTAAGGCAAGTATAGATATAGAATTATTCATATTATCTATTTCTTCTTGAGTCAACTTTATTAAGTTAAATATTTCATGAAACTTGTTCATTATTTTGTCTAAATTGTTGAGTTTATGTTTACAATGCTATTAATATTTTACTGTTTGTAGGATCCCCCCTCCATTCTGGATACAAGTAATTTTATCAATTTACCTATCTTTTTCTCATAATCCTTCTTCTCTTTCTTACCTTATGCTCTTTTTTATTTTTTGATATGGAGTTTTGCTCTTGTTGCCCAGACTGGAGTGCAGTGGCATGATCTTGGCCACTGCAACCTCTGTCTCCTAGGTTCAGGTGATTCTCCTGCCTCAGCCTCCTGAATAGCTGGGATTATAGGTGCCCGCCACAAGGGCCGGCTAATTTTTGTATTTTTAGTAGAGGCGAGGTTTCACCATGTTGGCCAGGCTGGTCTCGAACTCCTGACCTCTGGTGATCTGCCCACCTTGGCCTCCCAAAGTGTTGGGATTACAGGCGTGAGCCACTGTGCCCAGCATTACCTTATACTCTTACTTCCATACATCTTTCACATTCCATATGAGCTCCACAAATCAGCATTAATGTATTTGCTTTGAACAATTGTTACTTTTAAAGAAATTAAGAGATGAAAGACAAATAGAAAGTCCTTTGTTACCCACCTGTCTCCCTTTCCAGTGCTATTCACTCCTTCCTGTTGATCCAAGTTTCCATCTGGCGTCATTTTTCTTTAATTTCAATGATTTCCTCTAACATTTCTTATAGTGAAGTTCTGTTGGCAACAAATAGTTTTAAATTTTATTTTTCTGAAAATGTCTTTATTTTATCCTCATTCTTTGAATTATGTTTTTGTAGATATAGAATTCTGAATTCTGGACTGACAGGTTTGTTTTTGTTCGTCTTGCTTTAGCTCTTTAAATAGTTGTTTTGTTTTCTTCTGGCCTCCATATTTTATAATGAAAAGTCAGCTGTCATTTGCATCATTATTTCCTTGTATATAGTGTGTCTTTTTTTCTCTGTTCTTGAGATTTTCTCTTTATTTGTTGTTTTTTTAAAAATCAAAATTTTAATTTATGAGTAGTAATTGTGCATATTGATGGAATACATAATGATGCTTCAACACATATAATGTACAGTGATCAAATCAGGATAATTAGCATATCGATCATCTCAAACATTTGTCATTTCTTTGTGTTGGGAACATTTAATATCCTCCTCCTAGTTTTTTGAAACTAGATATTACTGTCAACTATAGTCATCCTACAGTGGTATAGAACACTAAAATTTATTTCTTCTATCTTGTTTTAATTTTGTATCCTTTAACAAGTTTTTTCCTGTCCCTCCCTTTCCTTCACCCTTTCTAGCCTCTAGTATCCTCTGTTCTACTTTTTACTTCTGTGAGATCAACTTTTCCTAGCTTCCACAAATTAACGAGAATGTGTGGTGGTTAACGTTCTCTTCCTATCTTATTTTATTTAGCATAATGTTCTCCAGTTTCATCCATGTTGCCACAAGATTTCATTCTTTTTAATGGCTGAATAATATTCCATTGTGTATACATACTACATTTTTTTTTTTATTTTTTGTTGTTGGACACCTAGGCAGTTTCCATATCTTGGCTATTGGAGCAGTGCTGCAATAAACATGGGGGTTACAGATGTCTCTTCAATATACTGGTTTCCTTTCTATTGGATAAATGCCCAGTAGTGCAATTGCTGGATCATATGATACTTCCATTTGTTGTTTTTTGAGGAACCTCCATATTCCTCTCCATGGTGATTGTACTAGTTTATCTTTAGTTTTAAACCTCTTTGTAGCTGTATTACTTTCTTATTGCTGCTGAGAACAAATGACCACAACAGTGGCTTAAGACAACATACATTTATTATTTTAAATTCATGGAGATCAGAAGTCTAAAATGGGTTTGTAGGCCTGTGTTCCCTCTGGAGATTCTATGGAAGAATTAGTTTCCTTGTCTTTTTCAGCTACTGGAGGCTGCCCACATTCTTTGGCTTACAGTCCTGTGCCACTCCAGCCTGTTTCTATTCTTGCATTGTCCTCTCTGACTTTCATTCTCTAGACCCTAATTTTTCTTTATAAGGACCATTGAGACTACATTGGGTCCACTAAGACAATCCAGAATAATCTTCCTATCTCAACAACCTTAGTTTACTTACACCTGAAAAGGCCCTTTTGCTCCATGAGGTTTGTGTGGTTCCTGGGAGTTAGAACATGGGCATCATTTTTGGTGGTTGTAGTGGTGAGCACTGTTCTGCCCACCACAGTGGTTTTCTTTGCATTTATGCTGTTTTAGGTCCACTGGTCTCCTTGGACCTAAAGGTTTATTTTTTTCCCCAACGAACTAGGAATATTTTTATTCATGTATTTTATGCTCAATTCTCCCTTTCTCTGCTTCTGGGATTTAATTAAATGTATTTTAGATTGCTTGTTATTGTCTCATAGGCCATGAAATAGAATAAAACATTTCTGTCTCTGTTTTTCAGATACGGTAATTTCTATTCATCTGTTTTTATCTTCACTGGCCTCTTTTTTTCTGCAGCTTTCAATTTGCTCTTAAGTTCACTCAGCAATAATTTTGTTTTTTTCATTTTATTATGGATGATGTTTTCTTGCTTCTTTGCCTGTGTTGTCCTAGTGGATGATACATCGTATGTGGGTCTGGATTGTGTTTCGTTGTGACTTAGTGTGTACTGTCTTAGCATTACATTCTACTTAGTTCTCCACTTCCTGCTTCACAAGATAAAAAATCAGTCTTATATAAGGGACGAATTCTACTGGACCAGTATTAAAAGATGGATAGGGTATATTTCTTTTGTTCCAGAATTATACAAATCTATTTTATTCCATTGCTCCATTATATTTTATTGATTCTGTCACTATACTGCCAGAATATTGCAGATTTTAGAGGAATGATTGTCCATATAGCTACCTTTAAAGCATACAAATGATTTTTTTCTCAAACCGCATCATGAATACGAGTCTAAATCTCACTAACAGCTATGAAACTGGACAGGTCCACAAGAGTGGCTTTTTTTTTTTCCTGCTTCTCATAAACTCACTTTGGTAGTGACTAGAATCTACTTTCATTAAACAAAAGTGAAAAAAGACACATGTATACAAGTAATCCCAATGAGAGTTTTGAGATTTTTACAAGACTTTTTCATAGAAAAATTTTTGACTTATAGTAAGTATGCAATAATTGCTACTATTTTTTTTAATTTGCAGAAGGGAGGTTTTTCAAATGCAGTTCTTTCTTTTTCACTCTCTAGCAGTTTAGAGTGGCTGGACAATATCACATCACTTATATAGTCAAGGAAAGAAACAGGGCTCTAGATGGGAGGAGGTGGAATTTGAGAACATGATTATAGAATTGTAGGTACAAGGCCAGGCGCGGTGGCTCACGCCTGTAATCCCAGCACTTTGGGAGGCCGAGGCGGGCAGATCACGAGGTCAGGAGATCGAGACCATCCCGGCTATAACGGTGAAACCCCGTCTCTACTAAAAATACAAAAAATTAGCCGGGCGTAGTGGCGGGCGCCTGTAGTCCCAGCTACTTGGGAGGCTGAGGCAGGAGAATGGCGTGAACCCGGGAGGCGGAGCTTGCAGTGAGCCGAGATCCCGCCACTGCACTCCAGCCTGGGCGACAGAGCGAGACTCCGTCTCAAAAAAAAAAAAAAAAAAAAAAAAAAAGAATTGTAGGTACAACCTAGAATCATAAAACGCTAGTTCTGAAAGTGATTGTAGCAGCATACTGTAATCACTTTACATATGAGGAAACTGAATTTATCGAATTATTTTTGCTATAAATATTTATTAGTGTGGACAATAATTAATACCACCACTACTAATAGCATTTAGGTTCCCTACAGCATGTTTTACCATGGAGCTTTAAAACACACCAGTGGGCTGGGCGCAGTGGCTCACACCTATAATCCCAGCACTTTGGGAGGCCAAGGTGGGTGGATCACCTGAGGTCAGGAGTTTCATAAAACGCTAGTTCTGAAAGTGATTGTAGCAGCATACTGTAATCACTTTACATATGAGGAAACTGAATTTATCGAATTATTTTTGCTATAAATATTTATTAGTGTGGACAATAATTAATACCACCACTACTAATAGCATTTAGGTTCCCTACAGCATGTTTTACCATGGAGCTTTAAAACACACCAGTGGGCTGGGCGCAGTGGCTCACACCTATAATCCCAGCACTTTGGGAGGCCAAGGTGGGTGGATCACCTGAGGTCAGGAGTTTGAGACCAGCCTGGCCAACATGGCGAAACCCTGTCTCTACTAAAAATACAAAACGAAATTAGCTGCACATGGTGGCGTGCACCTGTAGTCCCAGCTACTCAGGAGGCTGAGGCAGGAGAATTGCTTTGGAGGCAGAGGTTGCAGTCAGCCGAGATCGTGCCACTGCACTCCAGCCTGGGCAACAGAGTGAGACTCCATCTCAAACATAAATAAATAAATAAAATAATAAAAAAAACCCAGTGCCTAGAAATGTTAATTCTTGATAAAATGAAAAAAATCTTAATGATAGATGTTCCTGACAGTAAAATAGCTTGTAAAATGTTGTGTCAAAAACTATGAATTAGCTGATATTGGTGCCACTGCAAATTATGTAAGTAAAATTTCTCATTTTGGTGACTAGCTGAGTATATCAAAGAGGAAAATAATTCAATAGGAGATAGATCCATTGAGGCTATTTAGTACAGGAGGCTAGTTATGGGATGCTAGAAGAACTGAAAAGAGGTCAACCCATAGATTAGCAATTCATAAATCGACAACTGCAGGAAGTCTCTGTCACCTCTAGGGCTAGAGGGACAGCGAGAGAAGATGGTGTTATTAGCATCAAGGAGCTCAGGCTATAAAACAGAGCTGGAACCTGGGAGAAGTGGCCACCTGAGAGGCCTGTTGATGGGCATGGTGGGAGGGTCATACGGCAGAACTAGAACTCTGGAGAAGGGAATCGCTCCAGGAGAGTTGGAGCCTCAGTGAGGGCTGCCTGTCTGAGTTGGAGCCACAGGGACAGGTTCGCCTGGAGAGAGTGCTTCTCAGTAGGAAATGGAAGCTCAAAGGAATTACTAGCTATTGCCAGACACTGATTGAGAAAAAGAGATGGGAAGAAATACTTACTCTCTCCTCCCTTTCAGCCCACTAATATTTATATTTGTATTTTTATTTCTTGTTCCTTTGTGTATGACGTGAGGTAGAATACTGATTTTATTTTTCTCTATATAGTGGGAAATATTCCCAGCCTCTTTGGCTAAATTATCCATCATTTCTCCAATAATTTATAATGCCACATCACCGTAGTTCATGTACTCGTATCTTTGAGTCTATTCTGTTCTGTTATTCATTTCCACTGGCTTTCACTATTTTAATGACTGCATCTTTAAGTATTATATATTTCGGATTCTAACAGGGGCAGTCTGCTATCCATTGCCCCTGTTCTTTCCAACTATCCTTAGTAATTTGTGGATCTTTATCCTTCAAAATTAATTATTGAATCATTTTTATAAGTATATTAGTCAAGATTCTCCAAAGAAACAGAACAAAAGGGAGTGTGTGAGTGGGGGAGAGAGATTGAGATTTATTTTATTCTCACGTGAATTGTGAATTGGAGGCTGGCAAGTCCCAATTTGCACCAATTTGCAGGGTAGGCTGACAGGCTAGAGACCCAGGGAGCAGTTGATGTTTAAGCTCAAGTCCAAAGGCAGGCTGAGGTCAAATTCTTCCTGTTCTGGGAAGGTTCTTCTTTTTTCTTTTTAGAGTCTTCAGCAAGTTGGATGAGGCCCACTCATGTTTGCTTTACTCAAAGTCTACTGAGTTAAATGTTAATCTCATTAAAAAAATACTTTCATAGAAGCATCTAGAATGTTTGACCAAATATCTGGTTACTGTGGCTTAGGTAAGTTGACATGAAATTAACATGACAACAAGATTCCTTAAAATAGTATTTCTATTATTTTAATTTGAATTACATTGAATTGGTACATTAATTTTGGAAAATTAACATTATTAGAGTATTGAATTATTCTGTTCATGAATATAACATGCCTCTCCATTTACTTAAGTCTTCCCTTACATCTTTCAATAAAGTTTTAAAGTTTTCTGCATAAAAGTCTGCATGTACTGTTTTTGTTGATATTGTAAATGGCATTTTATATCCTATTGTATTTGTTTATTTAATGCTAGAGTAGTAGAATACTATTGGTTTTTTAATTCAACAGTGTATCAGCCATCTTTCTTATGAGTTTTAACACTTGGCCTGTGAATTTTCTTGGAATTTTTGTGTGTGGGATGATATCAGTAGAAATATTAGTAAGTTTGCATTTTTTCTTTTAATTCTTTTTTTTTCTAATTTTATTTCTTTGTCTCATTGTGTTGGTCAGTACTTCCAATATTATGTTGAAAACTTTCGTTGCTGATGGATAACTTTGTTTCTTGAAAGGAATGCTTCTAAATTTTTTTTTATTGTGAATAATATTTTTTTCTAGGTATCTTGGTGGGTGATCTTTATCAGTTACAAAAGCTACTTTCTGTTCTTAGTTTTCTATGAAATTCATTTTTATCATAAAAGGCATTGAACATCTTTTTTTGCTTAATCTTTTGAGATGATAATGTGGTTTTTCTCATTTAAATAATTAATGTACTGAAATTACAATGATGTATTTTCTGATGTTGAGTAATTCTTAATTTCTTGATTCTTAACAATAAACCATAATAACTTTAACTTCTATAAAAGAGACCACTGGCAGCAATTAGATGTTTTTAAATGATTTTGGCATTATGATCATGAATATAATTTAGGATAAAATTTTTTGTTTTCTTGTACTGCTTTTATCTAGTTTTGTTACCTTAAAAGCTATAGCATCATATTTTCTAAAGCATCTTGTACTAAATAGACACTGTCTTTCCTTAACATTTAGGTAGGACGGACTTATAAAACATCTAGCCTCTTTGACATTTTTGGGGAGGGGGTAGTGGGGCAGGTAAAATGAGGAACATTTTTTGATAACTCTTTCAATTTTTAAAATAGCCCTAATCTATTTAATTTCTGTATTTATTACACCAAACTTCGTAAGTTATATTTTTCCACGAAATTTCTTTCTTATCTAGGTTTTTCGATTTATTGTTTTCCTAAAATTCCTGCATGATTTTCAGAACTCTGTATTATCTCTTTAGCTAGCTCCTTATTTTATTTATTTAATTTTATTTTTTAGATACAGGGTCTTGCTCTATTGCCAGGCTGGAGTGCAGTGGCGTGATCATAGCTCACTGCGGCCTTGACCTCCTGGGCTCAGAAGCTCCTCCTCCCTAAGCCTCCCAACTAGCTGGGACTACAGGCATGCACCACCGTCCTCAGCTGATTTTTAAATTTTTTGTAGAGATGGAGTCTGACTATGTTGCCCTAGCTGGTCTTGAACTTCTGACCTCATGCCATCCTCCCACTTTGGCCTCCCAAAGTGCTGGGATACAGATGTGAGACACTGCACCTGGCCATTTCTTATTTTTAATAAAGAAAATAATTTTGGCCAGGCACAGTGGCTCACACCTGTAATCCCAGCACTTTGGGAGGCCGAGGCGGGAGGATCACGAAGTCAGAAGATTGAGACCATCCTGGCCAACACGGTGAAACCTGTCCCTACTAAAATACAAAAAATTAGCCGGGTGTGGTGGCACATGCCTGTAGTCCCAGCTACTCAGGGGGCTGAGGCAGGGGAATCACTTGAACCCGGGAGGTGGAGGTTGCAGTGAGCTGAGATTGCACCACTGCATTCCAGCCTGGCAACAGAGTGAGACTCCATCTCAAAAAAAAAAAAAAAAAAAAAGAAAATAGTTTTATGTTTTCTATTCTTTTTTGTTTAGTCTTACAAGAGGTTTGTTTACCTTGTTAGTCTTTAAAACACAAGCAGATGATCTCTTGCGCTTGATCTCCATGTCACAGATTTTTTCCTTCGGGTACTTTGTTCCAGGAATGAGGCTGGGGCTGATAGTGGCGGTGAGGAAGGAAAGGAGAGTAAGGTTTGCTCTTGCTTCACCCCTCCCCCAACCCAGGATTGCCTGTTCTTTCCATCTGACAGCAAGTAGAATGACTTAGGCAGTAAGGAGGAGGATATGCTTTGAGAGGGGTTGAGGGAAAATATTCCAGGGAAGAGTGTAGTGTGAAAAGATAGAAAATCTCAAGACATAGCTGCAGTGCAAAGGAGAGCTATGGTCTTGGGTCAATAAATGGCAATGAATGCATTAGGTCAGGGACTGTCTCAGTTTTCCTCTCAAGTCACAGAAAAGCAATATCTGACGTTCTCAGAAGACTAACACATGCTAGGTTAAATAGACAGCGACTGTCACGAATAAATCAAAGTATTACTAATAGTAAATGATTCATTCTAGAAAGTCTTGGGGCTTTCTATTAGGGCTCTTAGAGACTATGTCTTATAAGATGCTAAGCCTAGACCAATCTGAGACATGAAAAGTATGTATTTCTAATAAGTTTTAAAAAATTACTTATACTCTAATTTGTTCCAAAAATAATTTAATGTGACCGTGCTAACAATAATGGAAATGTCTCTACCCTGAAAAGCTAATTACAGTACTTCCTCTTGTCTCTGTGCAACCATCTTGGATTGATTGTGAAATGCCGGTAGGGGCGGCATTGACAGTTATTAACTCTACCTGCTTGTAATATTTGCTGTTGTTTTATTTTTGAGTCTGAGAAGATGGCTTAAAAGTGGTCTAGACTACTGTGTATGACTTCAAATACCAAGAGGTTGGAAGGTGTTCAAGCCATTTTCAGTCCGGTTAGACTCAGCAGAATACCTTCTTACCAGGCAGGTTTTACATTTTATCTGTCATGAGGCCTACTCAAGTCTACAAAATAAAAAGAGTAAAATCATATCAGATAATAAGGCAAAAAGAATTTTAGTAACTTCTCACATCATTCTCCTCTGCTTTCTTGCTCACCAGTCAGTTGGCGGGAGGTGTGTAATAGACTAGGAAGGGGCACGTAGGAACCTTCTGGGTGTTATACATTTTCCAAACTTTGGTCTCGATGGAGGTTCACATGTGTATATAAAATATTTATTAAACTGTATAATAAAATTTGTGTGCTCTATGTATGTTATACAACAAAAATGTATGATTTTTCTTTTATTTCCTAGAAGGATAAATAATACTAAATACATTTTTTTTTTACTAAGTCAGAAGAGGTTATACAAATGTGTTGCTCCTTAATGACAGACTTTTAATATTGTCTTGAAACTCCATTCTGTGGCTACCATGATGAACTGAGTTCTGTCTTTCATTTTGATCCTTAAAGCTGCTTTGCTTTCCAGAGTGTTTTAAATTAAGTAATTGATGTTATTTTGCATTTTGTTGATCTTATACAGGTTAGAGATAGCTTGTGGAAGTTTAGATAAAAAGCAAACACCTATTTAAACTTGAAAAGTAACAATGTGCTGCATATTAAAGTATTGGATAAATACAATTTAGAGGTTAATAAACTACCTGCTTTATATTCTTCATATTGGTTTTGTTCTACTTTCATTGGTTATTTAATGAGAATAGATAACACAAAGAAAAAGCTTTGTATTAAACTAACATGCTTAAATTTAGATTTGAAACATATAAGAGCAAAAAGTGATAGTTAATAGGAATTTATGGTAAAGCTCGTCAAAATTGTGAATATTTGGTTTATTTGCATTAATGGTTTATCCAGGTTTCCTACTATGGTGGTGGTTAATTTTACTAATTTTAGTATGTTTATCAGAGACTCCTTGGTTATGTACAATGGACTTGGGGGTTTCCAGCTTTCTTTTCCTTTTTTTTCTTTGAGATGGAGTCTCGCTCTATTGCCCATGCTGGAGTGCAGCGGCTTGACCTCGGCTCACTGCAACCTCTGCCTCCCAGGTTCAAGCGATTATCTTGCCTCAGCCTCCTAAGTAGCTGGGACTACAGGTGCCTGCCACCATGCCCAGCTTTTTTTTTTTTTTGTATTTTTAGTAGAGACCGGGTCTCGCCATGTTGGCCAGGCTGCTCTGGAACTCCTGACCACCGGTGATCCACCTGCCTTGGTCTCCCAAAGTGCTGGGATTACAGGCATGAGCCACAGCGCCTGGCCTCCAGCTTTCTTAAATAATAACTAACTCCTTGCTCCCCTTTGACTCTTGTTTTTATAGGCAGCCCTGCAAGTTGGGGGCCATGGAGAGAGGCTACACCAGTGTCGAGAAGTCATGCTTCTAACTTACAAATCCATCCCCATGCAAGTGGATGGGGAGCCCTGTAGGTTGGCCCCAGCTATGATTCGGATCTCCCTGAGGAATCAGGCCAACATGGTACAGAAGAGCAAGAGGAGAACATCCATGCCTTTACTCAATGAGTGAGTCTGCTCATGGCCTACCTTGCTTAACATGAAGACCTTGGAGAGGAGAGTGCAGAGCATGTGCATGGTCTGGGGACCTCACTGTGTTGGGAAGAGGAAAAAAGTCCAGGAGACTCAGTAGTTCCTTGGTTTCTCTCATAGGAACACATAGAGTTTTTTTCTCCTTGTTTATTATACAGTTCCATGCCCTTCTTTTAGTAGTTATTACTGTACATGAGATAGATGATTCTTCTTCACTGACCACTTGAGAATATATTTACTGGGACTAGCAGAAAATCATTGAGAGGGATTCTAGGATGGTAAACCGTGTTCAGGTAAATGCGTTTTTGTTTGTTTTGTTTTAGGGAAGCACATAGTTAGCCTGCTCTTTACCCAGGTCGCTTGGAGAGTGTTGGTTTCTCCAGTCACGGGTGGTTGGCAGAGCTGGTCAGTGGCTTGCCTCTATCCACATTGCATCTCTTTCTGCCTGCCAGTGAATTGTTCCCTTCCTGATGTTCCCATTTTGGGGTCCTCCATACTCTGGGGCTTCAACTCAGTGTTGGCTTTCTGGGCAGCATCCTATTGTCCAGACATAGCCTGACCCACTCTTTCTACCCCTGAACACATGGTATCCCACCTGGAGTTTTCCTTTCTTAGGCATTTTAATAAACTGACTTGAGGTAAGGTAATATTGGCTAGATATTTAGAATTCATATTCATCTTATAGTGTGTCTCACTCCAACTAGTGATTAAGTGTCTGTGGGGTTGGAGAAGGGGACGGAAAATGAACATAATTTTTGGCATCTTTTGAGTATTTCCTCTATATCATGCTATGTGCTTAAGGCCATTTCAGGACTTAGCCTTTTGTCATTCTCTATCACAGTGAGGGACTCTCAAAGGTGCTCCTCCCGTTTGTGGCCTGTAATGCATGGTTACCTATTTGCACTGAGTGGCTGGCTTCCTTGTGGTGCCTGTAAAGCAAGGGCGTGCTTTGCCATGCATTTATTGAGTCAATATAACGGTATGCAGAAGTCCTTACAATAGCCAGCAACACAGGTGCCCTCATTCACTACCAACACTTACTGCTCTCTCTCTGTGGTGGCACATGTTGGTTGAGGAACAGGATTAGACAGTGCTCTCAGAGTGTTCCAGCTTTTGGCATCTGGGTCTCAGTTTGAAGCTGGGGTAAAAAATCCTGTCTGTCCTCTCCTTCCTTCTCTCCCAGAATCTGGACTTCCCCCAGAATTTTTCCTAGATCATTTTCCAGAGGTGTTTTTTAGTTACATGTCTTTCTTTGTTTACATTTTGCATTTAGTGAAACTCCTCGCTCATTCCTCCTGTCCTCCGTGCCTGCTGCCCTCCCTGCCTTTACCTTCTATCAGGTTAAATACACAATTGCTGAGGTTATATGTTAAAAAATGTGGCATGCCAGTGGTTGTATATGGTTCATCCAATTCCCCCTAGAAATGTTAGAGTTAAATGGACCAAGGGTTTGCTGGAAATCTATGAACTACTAAGTGAAAAACCATCTCTGAAACTGTGCTATAGCCTATGTTGTTGGGTCACTTGTAGATAGTTAAGAAGATATGCAGAATCTAAAAGTTTTTACTATATATAGGCAGAGAACTCACAGTCTTAGACCTGCTGCTTCTGTATTTAATAACCTTATCAGACATGAAATGGTTTTCAGGTATTTAGTTTTAAACAGCTTTTACCTTTGTGTTGAGAATTCGTATTTGCTCAGCAACCATATTGTTAAGAGTTCATTTGACTTTCTGCATCTATAGAAGCACATAAAAAGAATTTTTTTCTTTTTGTACTCAAGGCACACATGATATATGATGGCATTTTTTGTAGCACTTAGCTTTGCAGGTGTTCAAGAAGCAGCCTCAACTTAAAAATACTGTTACTGGCTGGGTACGGTGGCTCACACCTGTAATCCCAGCACTTTGGGAGGCCAAGATGGCCAGATCACTTGAGACCAGGAGTTCAAGACCAGCCTGGTCAACACGGCAAAACCCCTTCTCTGCTATAAATACAAAAATTAGACAGGTGTGGTGGCATGCGCCTGTAATCCCAGCTACTCAGGAGGCTGTAATCCCAGCTACTCATAAGAATCTCTAGGACCACAAGGCAGAAGTTTCATGGAGCCGAGATCACACCACTGCACTCCAGCCTGGGCAACAGAGCGAGACTCTGTCTGAAAAAAAAAAAAAAAACTCAAACAACAACAACAACACACCCCAAAACTGTTACTTACTTTCTACCAGAGGCAGTGATGCCTGCATCCAAGCCACCCCATGCCCTCTGAAAGACTTATGAGAAATGGGAATAATAGTATAATTTTCATTTTATTAATGAATATTTATAAGACTTAAAGATAACAAAAATCTTTATTAGTACTTGTGAAAAATTATCATTCAACACTACATTTTGAGAAAATCAATACGGATAGCACATTTTCAAAAGAAAGCAAAAAAACCTAGTCATCATGTAATGTTTGCTTACTAAACCTTAATTGCTCTCATTCTGATCTTATTTACCTTCTAACCTATGATTAAATATTTCTTTCAATTTTACCAGAAAACCTTGTTTTGAAATCTAAGGTCTTCCACTAGATTTCCAAGTGGAGTTTCAAGTTCAAGGTCAGCCTTTCCTTCAAGACTGTTCTATAAGTGTTCTTCCACCTTCTGAGTCCTTCAAGCCTTTGTCTGCTTTGACCATCAATTGTGTGAAGTGCACCATTTGAAACAATGAAGAAAGAGAAACTTGAAAGACATTTTCTTTATTTCCTGCCTTCCTGTCTTTGCCTGTCTTCTTTTTTCCTTTACTTGAGGAGAACTAGTCGAAAATATCTTTAGCATTTTTAGCTTAAAAACCTCTGTGTGTGTGTGTGTGTTCCCAGTAAGAAGAAGGTGGTTGTTTAATTCATCTTTAAAAATTAGGCTTCTTTCACACAGCATGTTAATTGGATATTCGAGACGTAAGTGCTGTGGCTCCCGTAACAACAGTTCCCTTTCCACTTAGATGCCAGTGCTCCTTGTGGTTCTGCCCTTTCTCTGGGAGACTGTATCTCTGATCTGTGTCTTCAGCCCAGAATTTTCTTCTAAAAATTGAAGACTCATACCCAAATATCTTAGTTGACATTTTTACCTTAATGTCTCATAGTAACCTCAAACTACATGCTAGAAACTGGACTCATTAACTTTATTTCCTTGACTTTTCTACCCCACCATCCAGTGAGCCTATTCCCTTCACAGCTGTACACATGAAACTACCATCCATTCATTTGTCCTGTTCCTGGCCTCTGGGGTTCCCTCAGTCGCTTCTACTTCTATACACCTGTGTTAGTCCATTTTTGCATTGCTGTAAAGAAATACCTGAGGCTGGATAATTTATTTATTTATATTTATTTGTTTATTTATTGAGACAGAGGCTCACTTTCTTGTCCAGGCTGGAGTGCCATGGTGCCCTCTTGGCTCACTGCAACCTCCGCCTCCCGGGTTCAAGTGATTCTCCTGCCTCAGCTTCACGAGTAGCTGGGACAACAGGTGTGCGCTACCATGCCCAGATGTATTTTTGGTAGAGACAGGGTTTCCCCATGTTGCTCAGGCTGGTCTCGAAGTCCTGGGCTCAAGTGATCTGCCCGCCTCAGCCTCCCAAAGTGCTGGGATTACAGGCGTGAGTCACTGTGCCCAGCTAAGGCTGGATAATTTATAAAGAAAAGAGTTTTATTTGGCTCACAGTTCTGTAGCCTGTACAAGCATAGGACCAGCATCTGCTTCGCTTCTGGTGAGGCTTCAGGAAGTTTACAGTCAGGGCAGAAGGTGAATGGGGAGCTGGCATATCATATGGTGGGAGAGAGAGCAAGAGAGACGGGGGAGGCACCATACTCATTTAAACAACTAATTCTCACATGAACTCAGAGTGAGAACTCACTCACTACCTCAAGGAGGGCACCAGGTATTTATGAGGGATCTGCCCCCATGACCCAAACACCTCTGACCAGGCCCCACATACAACATCGGGGATTCCATTTCAACATGAGATTTGGATGGGACACACATCCAAACCATATCAGCATCCATCAGGGTAGCTACTACATTCTTTGAACTCTATCTTCTGTTTATTTCCCAAGTCTTTGACTCTCATCTCCTCTATCTTCTCTACCAGTAAAGCAGCCAGAGTTCAAAAGTCACGTGAGCTACCTCTCAGCAGCATTACTAAAATATGCTTCTGACTATTTTCTGTTCCTGCCCTTGCTGCCTTCACATAATCTGTCTCTTCTGATATACCCGTTAGATTGATATAAGAATCCCAAGCCTGTGTTCCTTAGCTTTGCAGACCTTTTTGATCACTCCCTTCTTCATTCTCTTTGCTCTTTGTTCCAGGGAAGATTGCTGTTCCTGGAACAGTAGCCTGTCTCCTACATCATCCTGGTTTTGCTCTCTGGTCCTCTTCTTGCAGTGCCCTCTGCACCTCTTTATCTTCTGCTAACTCCTCGCTCACAGCTTAGGACCCCATTGAAATGCTACTATTCCTAATAAGCCTTTTCTGTCTACTTCTAGCTGTTAGATGTACCTTTACGTGTTTCAGTGGTGCTCTTGGTTATTTCCATTACACCACTTACTAAAAATAGTGTAATCATTGATTCACTCCTCCCTTCTCTGCTCTGTGGGGAGGCCCTAGGATTTTCCTCTTAGGATCCTCAGTGTCTGTCATAGCTCCTGAGACAGTCACATCTTGCATCAGCGACTCACACATGAATCCATTCTATAATGCTGTCTCTGCTGTGTTTCTCAGAAATTGCTTTCTAAGATAACATAAATCTAAAATTTTGTGAATATAAAACTAATATCAAATGTGTTTTGGTCACATTGTCTTATAAGTGAAAGATACATATTTAATAATTTCAAGCTATGGTCCACATGGACAGAAGGAATTTCCATGAGAAATAGTTAACTAATAGGGCTTCATGATGCCACTAGATCTTCATTTATGCAAAAGGAAAAATTAATGTTTTCTAAAAAATATTTCTTGGCTTATAATCCCATTTGCTATTATTATACACAAACTAAAAAGCTAGGTCCCACTGTGTTCAGAAGCTCCTTATATATATGGGAGCATATGTCATTTATCATAGCATAGGAATCTACACAGAGTATGAACTACAGTAAATACCTTCCCCACAAAAAGTAATAAGCAGATTTATCTAGGTTCATATTCATATGCTAGTTACCTGATAGCCAATATGCTGGATTATGTTCTTTATTTGAAATGTGCCATTGAAGGAGAATAGAAACAAAATTACCCAGGTGTTTTGGGAGATCTTCAGTGAACTATTAATAAATAGATAATATTATCCTTAGTTCACTAGTAATTAAGGCTACATTATTAAAGATGATCGTTTCATCCAATGACCAGGTTTCTAGTCAGCAAACTTTGAATTGAGCAATCGAATTCCATCATCCTAGGCTGCTGAGAACTATTATTGTTTGGAAACGATAGTACTTGGAGGATAACACAGACAGAGAGAGTCTTGGGCTGGAGTTACCTCATGGGTGACTTTGCATGAGAAGTTATGTATGCTGCAGAACAGAGAGATCCGTGGAACTAGGTCTAATGTAGTTATAATGAAACTCTTTAAATAAGAGAGTGGAGAGAATAATTATGTAAAGTCAACAAAACATTTTGGGTTTAGTTTCTTAAATTCTACATTTTGTCTTTTCTAGCAGCTGCTGTAGACTCCAATATAAAAGAAGGGAGAAAAGGGAGAAATCTGTGGTTTCATTTTTCTACCCAGAATGTGGGTGGAATGATAGCAATACAGTGATACAATTAGACTTTCTTGGTATTACCTTTGGAGTTTTTAAAAAGCCTTTGTTGTTTAACTGAAGGAAGTTGAAGTTTTGGTTGAGACACTCTTTTTAAGATGATTGTCTTTTGGTGAGTGTTCCTATAAAGCCTGGGGAAACCTGATGGCTGTGTGATGAAAGGGTTAAATTGACCTTGAATCTTTTCAAAGATGAGTTTACCATGCCAGCCTACCACTCAATATGTAAGTGTGTGCCTTCTCTCCTTGGGTGTCCTGATGGGCCTGAGCAAGGGAGGCCATGGTCATCCCCCTACACCCCCCGACCTGCCGTCCAGCATCGATCCCAGCCTGGCCCCGCTCCGGTCTGTGACTTGCCTAGAACCAGCGCCTTCCGTGTGTCCTGTTGGCTTCGTTGCTATCACCGGCTTTTTTTGGATTATTTCCGTGGCTGGCTTGGTTTTCCTTTTCCTTTCCTTCGCTGTTCGGTGATGCGCTCATTTAATTTCTGTTTAAATTTTGTGTGTCTCTCTTTCTCTCCCCTGGCTTGTTCCTTGTCTGTCCACGCTGTCGCTGACTCTGTCTTCGCTGCTCATTCCCTGCTGCCTCTAGTATTCATCAGGTGCAAACTGCGGACCTGCGGCGAGTGTCTGCTCCCCCCGGCTCCTTCACCATGTGAGTACAGTGCCATTCTGTTTCTACATTTTCTCCCCAGCCTCGTCTCCTCAGGGTTGGACTACCTGTGTCCCTTGCCTTCACAGGTCTGTTCGTCAGATAAGGAAGCCACCTCACCAGAATTGCTTTCTGTTGCCCTCTTTGATTTGAAATGGAGCTGTGAAGTTTTTCATGTTCTATGTGCTTCCATCCTCTAAGTTAACAGTTCAATTTTTGGATGAGATACTTTAGGGTCCATGGTTGCCTGGGGTTGTATAGAATTCCATGCTAAGCATTGGTTTTTATGGGAAGTGCATAATACCGTTAGACTATGTCATTACTTACGGCTCAGAGATAAGCTCGAGGAAGTGCCTGCAGCCCTCAATTTCTGGATGAAACCTTAAGATTATGCGTGGAGTTTTGAGTGTGTGTGTGTGTTTCTGTTTTGGAAGATCCATAGTTACAGTAAAAGTTCAATGACCCCAAACTGTCACTGAGTTAGCAAAATGCATTTTTATGTATATTTAGGAGTTTTTGCTTAATGTAGTCCAGGGTATTATTTTTTTCTAGTGAGAACAAAAAAATATGTTTTTTAGCATTTCAGCTCAGAATTATTTTGTGCTGTGTACTCTGCTTTGTCCTTTGTTTTCTCCATATCACATATGCTTACCTAGCATTTATTATGTTTCAGGGACTGTTACAGATACTTTACATATTAATTAATTTGCTCTCCCAACAACCTTTGGCCATATGTGGTATAATTATCTCCCTTCTATGCATGAGGAATCTGATAGACAGAGAGGTTAAGTAACTTGCCCAAGGTCACACAGTTAATAAATCATAGAGTGGGATTCAGACTCAGGCAGTCTGGCTTCAAAGTTCATGTTTTTAACAATTCATAGTCTGCTGCCTTTCGTCTGTCAGGATCCTGTATATTTCTCAAGGCCCACTTGAATGATTACCTTTCCAAAGAATTCTTCTTTGATTCTTGCTGTCAGAGTTAATTACACCCTCACTGGAGTTTATCATTCATGTATCTGTTGCAGTTCTCAAGGTTTAATTTGGTGTTAATTACATTAACTCTGTGTCTGTGTATTTTACACAGTAGACTTAGGCTATTTGAGATGATTGGCAATATCTTAATATGAATCTTGTGTTCCCAGCCATGTTCACAGATTTTAATATGAAGTATTCTGAAGCCAAACAATGATTGATTGGTTTTCTTGGTGGAATGAGTGCATAAAAGAATACATGTCTAAATAGAATTGCACAATATCTAACATCTGGTGATATGTATGACAAAGCAATTCCTAAAGTTCAGTTATATAATCTACTTTCAACTCTCATCTTATGGATACTAATTTACTTATTATTTAAAATATGTATTTATTCAAAAACCTTTATTTTGCACTTGCTCTGTGCCAGACAGTATTTTATGCTCTGTGTCTAGTGGTAAGCATGACAGAGCACTACCTTCCTGAAGCTTACACTTGAGCAGTCAAAGAATCAATAGGAAAATGACATTCAATTGCCAAACTGAATGTTGTGGCTGGAGTAAAATTCTATATTCTATATAGGCCAGTTCAATAAATTTGAGTTTAAGGAGTGGCTGCATGTGATCATTATTTTTAGTGGCTCCGTTGATTGTGATCAAAGAATTGAGAATGTTAACAGCAGAAATGCATATGATAGTCATCTTGTTTCTATTATGGGTTAAGTTGGTTGTATTTACACTTTAGTTGTGTATCTTAAATTGGACTGTTTATCTCTTATTCCATGAGTGTGCGTGCTACATACAGTAAAGTAAATTGTCCATACTTGTTTCTGTAGGGTGCAGCAGGCTCTAAGTTGTGGTTACCTTAAAACTTGAATGTTAATTTGAAAATATTTTATATCTACATATGATATATATTGAATATTACATGTCATAGATTTTCTACCTATAGATAAAACATTTACATAATAAACATTAAATCAGGATATTATTTTAAAAATCAGTTAATAAAACTATATGGAATACAGCAAGGAATGTGGAGAAAAGTTTAAGCACAACATGTGCATTTTGTCTTTTTATGTTATGGCAGTGCGGATAGCCTTGATTTACTCACACACTAGTGTTTGCTAATTTCAGCAATGTTGAAAAAACCATGGTAACATTGCTTTGGTCCTGTAGAAGTTAGGAGCCCCAGTATCGTTAAGTGAGATTTTATATATTTTTGGCGGGGAGGGGAAGGGGGTTGCTATCTAATCAGCCACTCTCTGCTCAGAACAACTCTTTTTTACAGATGGTCTTTTCTTTGGGTGAACCCTCTCTTTATGCTGCTCTTGAAGCAATTGTTGCTTCCTTCAAGAAGCTTGAAGTGATCTTTTTTTTTCTCTCTAGCTTTCAGAAGACTTTTTCTCCAGGAATGGAGTACATGGTGGTAACAATGCAATGTATGAATTATTAGGAATTGCAACATACTACTAATGTCTGTGTATGTGCAAAATTTCCAGTTTATTCAAAGAAAAATCATGAAATTTTATGTTTTGACCATATATGACAACATATGAATTGATGAATTTTAATCAATGGTATTTACTGGTCTCATCCAATAGGACAAAACAAAGCAAATAGAATATTTCTCCATAAATCTTGTATAGTGCAAGTTAATGAATTAATAAATTCTTTATAATTGATTGGCTTCATAATGAAGTAAAGTCCTCATTGGAAGACACATGTACACACTACATTTCATAAATCATGACTAGTCATGGTAAATGCTGTAATTGCCAACTCCTATTCAGCTAATGCCAAAAAAGTATAAAACTGCAAAATGTGTCTTTCTAGAACTCTCTTAGCCTTTAGTAGCTACCTCTCATTAGGTTCTGTTTCCCTCCTGCTCTTCCCCCATCAAAATGAAATAATGTGTTCCATTTACACCTAATTTATTCATTGCTTTCATCTTTAAACAAACATTATTGAGTGTTTACTTCAGTTACTCAATGCTCTGTGGGATATTGGAGAAGCAGAGACAAGAACATTAAGGTTTCAGTTGTGTTGCCTATGACAGAATTACGAAGCCATGTGACAAGCATCCAAGTAGAGGTTCTGGTTGTTCTTCCATATGAACGACTTTGTATTGAATGTTTATTATATTTGCTTTTATTTTTAATATTTAAAGTTAACATACTGTAAAACGGACTTTTCTGGTGTACAGTTCCATAAAGTTTAAGACATATAGAGATTCATATAACCACCACCATAGTCAGGATATAGATCAGTCAGTCACCCCAAAAGAGCTGCCTCATGATGTATTCCACTGTAGTCAAACCCTCCCATCTCCCAACCTCTGGCAACCACTAATCATTATAGTTTTGTGTTTTCAGGAATGCTATATAAATGGAAGTATACAATGTGTAGTCCATTGTAGATGGCTTCTTTGACTGAACACTACACCTTTAAGATTTATCCAAGTTGCTGCATGTATCATTTATTTGTTCCTTTTTATTGCCCAGCTGTATTTCATTGTATGGATGTTTTAGCTTGTTTACCCACTCCCCCATTGAAGGATATCTGGGTTATTCTTCCAGTTTGGGGCAATAATGAGTAGAGTTCCTATAAACATTGATGAACAGGTTTTATGTAATAAGCTTTATGTCTCTAGGTTAAACATGTAGGAATGGGATTGCTGGGTCATATGGTAAGTGTATGTTCACCTTCGTAAGAAACTGACAAACTGTTTTCCAGAATGGTCGCACCATTTTGCATTTCTACCAGCAATATATGATCATTCCAGTTGCTCCACACCCCTATCAGCACTTGGTACTGTTAGCATTTGGGAAGCATATGTCCAAGTCTTTTGATCATTTTTTAATTGGGCTGTTTGTTTTCTTCCTGTGAACTTTGAGAGTTCATCATGTATTCTGCACCCAAGGCCTTTGTGTGCTTTGCAGACATTCTCTCCCAGTATATATCCTGTCTTTTCATTCTCTTGGTGATATCTTTTGTAGAGTGAAACCTTTTGACAGAATCCAGATGATTTTTTTTTTTCTTTATAGAGTTGTGGTTTTGGTATTACGTTAAAGTACTCTTTGTCTAATTCCAGGTGAATATTTTCTCCTTTGCTTTCTCCCTAAAGTTTTATAGGTTTTCTATTTTGCATTTAGTTCTGTGATCTATTTTGAGTTCTTTTCTATGAGATGTGCCATTTAGCTTGAGGTTAATGTTTTTGCATATGGATGTCCAATGCATTTGGCACCATTTATGAAAAAATTATCTTTTCCTATTGAATTGCCTTTACAACTCTACCAAAAATCAATTGGATATACAAAAAGTCATCCCTTAGTATCCATAGGGGATTTTTTCCAGAGTCCCTTTTCTTAGATTCTAGATGCTCAACTCCCTCATATAAAACGGGTATTTGCATATAACCTATGTACATACTTTCATGTATTTTAAATCATCTCTAGATTGCTTATAACATCCAATACAGTACAAATGCTATGTAAATAGTTGTTAAATGCATTGTTTGGGGAATTGTGATGAGATAAATAGTCTGTACATGTTCGGTATAGACAAAACCATTCTATTTTTCTGAATATTTTCAACCTGTGGTTGGTTGAATCTGCAGATGTAGAACCCACAGAAATGGAGAACTGATTATACACACACACGCACATGCACACACGTATACGCACACACAGACACACAGATCCAGTGTAGACTCTATTCTGTGCCATTGACCTATGGCTTATGCCTTTGCCAGTGCCATATTCTTTCTATTATTGTACCTTTATAGTAACTCTTAAAATCTGGTTGCATTATTCTTCCAAATTTATTCTTCATTGTCAACACTGTTGTGGCTATTTGAGTTCCTTTGTCTTTCCATACACATTTTTAGAATCAGCTTGCCTATGTCTCCAAAAATTCTACTAGAAATTGGATGACTGGAATTATATTGAGTCTATAGATCAACTTGGGGAATGTTGATATCTTTACTGTGTTGAGACTCTCAGTTCATAAATTCTCTGTGTCTCTTCATTTATTTTATTTGTCCATCATTTCTTGGTAGTTTTTTGCATAAAGATTTTATACCTATTTTGTTAGATTTGTGCCTAAGTAGTTCATGTTTTTGGAGCCATTGTAAATGTTTTTTTTTTTTTTTTTTTTTTTTTTGGGGGGGTTTTTAAAATGTTTGTTTCCAATTGCTCATTGTTAGTATATAGAAATACTATGGATTTTTTTTTCCTTTTGATACAGGGTCTCACTCTGTCACCCAGGCTGGAGTGCAGTGGTGCGATTTCAGCTCACTGAAACCTCTGCCTCCTGGGTTCAAGTGATCTTCCCACCTCAGCCTCCTGAGTAGCTGGGGACTACAGGCACATGGTACCATGCCTAGCTAACTTTTGAAGTAGTGTGGAGTTTTATATGTTGACCTTGTATCCTATTGGCCTTACTAAATTCATTTTTTAGTTCTAGGAGTTTGGTAGCATCCTCAGGATTTTCTACATAGTCCAGCATGTCTGTGAATAAGGATACTTTTATTCCTTTCTCTCTCATCCTTATGCCTTTTCTTTCTTTTGCATTGTTGTCCTGGCTAGGATTTAGAGTACAATGTTGAATAAGAGTGATGAGAGTTTCCCTTCTTGCTTTCTTTCTGATATTAGGGAGAAATCATTCTGTCTTTCACCATTAGATTGATTATTAGTTGTAGAATTTTTGTTGAAGTGTTTTGTCAGCATATCTGGAAAAGATTAGGGTATTATTTGTTCTTTATATGTTTGTTAGAATTTACCAATGAAACTCTCAGAGCCACAAGATTTTTTCCTCTTTCTTAAGCTATAAATTCAATCTCTTTAGGAGTTGTAGGACTACTCAGGTTATCTATTTCACCGTGAATGAGTTTTAGTTGTCTTATAGTTGCTCGAAGTATTTGAGGAATTGGTCCATTTCATCTAAAATGTTAACTAATGTATGTAGAGTTGTTGTATTTCTTTCTCTCTTTCATGTCTGTGAGGTCTGCAGTACAAGTCCTCTTTTATTCCTGATATTAGTAACCTGTATCTTTTTCTTCTTTGTCAATCTTGGTAGAGATCTATCCATTTTATTGGCTTTTTTGAAGAATTGGCTTTTGTTTTACTAACTTTCTTGGTTGTTTTTCAATTTGCAATTTTATTGATTCCTGCCCTTTATTATTTCCTTCCTTCTGCTTGATTTGGGTTTATTTTGCTCTTTTTTTCCCATTTTTTTCTAAAGTGGAATCTTTTATTTATTTGCTTCAGTATGCAATTGACTCAAGTTCAGGCCACAAGTTTTGACTAATCTTCTAAGGGTTGTGGTTACAACGTTAGTTTTATTACCAAAGTCTTTGCATTGCTATTCTTATCTGTCTGGCTTATGCATGACTAAGTTGCCAGTATGGGATCTGGGTGGAGTTCTACCCTGTAGTTCAGTTCCCAAAGTCTATGGTCTGGTGTTTAGGGCTAGATTCATGTATTTACAGCCTAGAGATAAACACCCAAGAGTTCATGAACATCTTTATGGAGTTGTTTTCTGAGTTCCTTCCTTTCTGCTGTCATCCCTGGTACTTTCTGGTCTCTTGGGGCTTCCTTTGTTTGGTCCTTGTGCCAGAAAGCTAAGGGTTTAGTTACCTCACTCTGCTGCATACTGCCTGTAACTGTGTTCATGTCCAGGGCCAACCAATGATAACAGAAAGAAAAAGAAGCAATGATAGTTTCTGCCACTCTCTTGGCGTCACAGCTCTTGTGATTAGAGAGGAAGCCCCTCTTCCCTCCTAATTTTAGGTGCCAGAAGGCTTTGTCATTGCGGCTGCCAGAAATAGTGAAAAGGCCTGAGTAGTGTAGTGGGAGAAAATGGAGGGGGGAAAAAAGAAAGGGAGATCCTTTTCCATTTCTTTCGGCATTCAGAGTCCCTTCTTTTCTTAGAGCTGGAGCACAAGCATTTTGCCAGAGCTCTTTCTCTCTGCTCCTGGTGTCCCCTTTTGGGCTTTATGCTGCCTGGAGTCCAGGCTGGGGCTTATTGGAGAGAGAGGGATTGGGGAGTTTACTACCAATTTGATAGTATCTTAAAATCTGATGTTCTTCACCAATCTACTGCTATCGTTTACTTTTCAAAGTTCTCAAATAGCTGCTTTATGAAACCTGTCCACATTGTATAGCCGCATGCAGTGGGGAAGAAATAATGCTGTGTGCTGACCCACCTTCACCAGGATAAGATCTCCCCTGTTTTTTGAAGCAGAGAACTATCGGACTGCATTTCTTCTTGCCCACTGCAGTGACTCAGCGAGTGTCATAGCTAAATTCAGCAAAACAACTCTGCAGAGACACCAGTGTATTTTGAATTACAACTAACATATGTTAAGTGTAATATACCATCTTGCACAGCAGTTGCAATTTAAACATAAACAGGATATATCCCACTGCTAAATTGTGTGGGTCTGCTTATTACCTTGGGAAAAGCAAAGTTAGAAACCGATCCATGAAGAAAGTATGAATTGTCATATTTGACCACTGAATATGACTCAGCATTCCAAAATTCCTTGTGATAAATGAAGACTTCTTGGTAAGGATGAAAGTAAATTGATTTTTGTTCCAGGAAGAAAGGGAATTTTATTAAAAGCAAGGGAAATATTTTCGATATATTAAAATTTTTTATGGTTCTGTTTTAGGTTGAGTTTAAGAATTTTATTTTTATAAAACTACCAAGACAGAGCAAAGAACCTTTGATCTTCACAATTGAAGAAAACATAAATTAGCCATAGATGGCTAAATGTTTGCATGCCTCTGGCCAGAGAAGTAAACTAGAAGATCTTTTGAAAAG
The DNA here is from genome assembly GCF_000001405.40 of Homo sapiens. Taxonomy (NCBI): domain Eukaryota; kingdom Metazoa; phylum Chordata; class Mammalia; order Primates; family Hominidae; genus Homo; species Homo sapiens. Next base: position 137,538,098 of record NC_000007.14, on the reverse strand, counting down.
CTTTCTAAAATTCTGTAATTCTATTCTACAACTAGTCACATCAAAACTTTTGTTCTAACATTTACTTGAGTTTGTATAATTATATTATGAAAGGTCTCTTTATTCTGTTTACTTAGTTGTGGTCCTACAATTAGAAAATAAGACTTGATTTGTGTTATTCAGAACCCTCTTTCCTTTCCTTTCCTCTCTTTATAAACTCTGCCACACCTTAACTCTTTAAGGAAGTAACAAAAATGATACCAAAGTGGAAATTTACATGCATGCCTTTGTAAACTATAAGGCTTACCTCTAAAGCAGCTGAGATGATCCATCAGATATGGTTTGCCTCAATGAATTAAGCTGCTGGTGGCTAATACACAACCTTCCTGAGAGTCTGAGAATGAATCGCACTCATGGGCCAGTGGAGCCTCCAGAAATGTGCTTCATGTCTGGGGCAGAAATCTGTCCAGATTCTGATTCGTGGATTATAATTTTTGAATCATACCTCCTGGACCCAAAAACCAATTTCGAGGGTACCAAAACAGCCTAAGTACTTCAACTTGTGTGATTAGGTTTGTTGGTCATGCTTTTGTTATTATTATTATTGTATTTCTAGGTGATTATCTCTGAATTGTAGGATTATCGATAATTTTTTTTTATTTCTGTATTTTCTGATGGATTTCCATGAATGGGGAGTACTTCTAAAAAGGGAAAAAAAGCAGAACATTTCATATTTTTGGAAGAACAGGAGAGAATTGCTACATTCGTAGAATTTAAAGGCATGCTATTTGCTGAATCTTAAGGTCGGATAGTGAAGTGTAAGAGTTAGCTTCAGGCTACCTGGAAAGCAAAGCTATTTGCTCTCTAAACTTCTGAGCAAAGGAAGATGCTAAACTTTGCCCATCGTCTCTTCTTCCTTCCTCTCTCTCCCTTGGCTCCTGAATTTCTTGGGTACTCTTACTAGTAATTTCACTTCAGACTGTGCACAGTTTCTTGACTTTCAGTCATACCATCATGTCATCCCTTCTTTCCTCTTGTTATGCCACTCTTCCCTGCTAGTTCCATAAAACAGACATCTGCAATGGACAATTCCAAAGAAAAGAAATAATGGTTACTTGGACTTCAGCTCATGCCAGTTTCCACACTTTATCTCTCAGTTTCCATGAGAGCCCAGGCTGCAACTCGGTTAATGTTGTTTTTTTTTTAATTTGTTTTGAATTTTTTAAATGAATTTCTCCCATGAGTTCCCTCACTCTGCCTGGGCTTCCATTCCACTCTGAGAGGTCTAGTGACACAAAGAAAAGGGGCAGTGGAAGCAGTCCACGGGTCTGTAGCCAGAGCGTCTTCCTCCTTATTCTGCAACCCCTCTTTCCTTATGGTAACATCCTTCTGATTTGAGTATCTGGGGGAACCCTGCATTTGTCTGTGTAACATCAGCCATGTATTAACCTTTTGCATTTCAGTTTTTCAGATATTTAAAAACTGCAGTTGGTCCTTCGAATTCCTATCAGCTTTGAAGTTCTGTTATGGTAGAATTCAAAGCATGATCTTAGAATCATAAGAAAATCTGCCCTCCAAAAATCTGTAACATGAGGTGGATGAGACTTGCTATGGGACAAGACAGCGTTGTCCTTGGTTCTGAGTACTGGGCAGGGGGGCCGGGCCCTGTTCTTCATTGGTAAGCATAGTTCATGTCTCACCTTCCTGTTAGCAAGAACCAAAGTGGATTTTTACATTTAGTCAGAGACATAATATGTACCTAAGCACCTTGCTCTGTGATCAAATTTAACACCCTACTAACTTCTAAGGTCACAGTTGCTACTAGTCTCATTCCCTAGATGAGAAGACAGAGAACAAGAAATGGTAGGAAACTTGCCTATGATTGCATGCTATACATTGATAAAGTTGACATCGTAGCATTTAAGGCATTTATCTCTGCTGTCAATATCACTTCTGGTCATTTTCTTGTGTGTGCATATATGTATGTATATTTATCTCTATTATTTATATATTTTAATCCAATCATATTATATAAACTTTTAAAAGAAACTTGATTATGAAGAATAACAGTTCAATTCTGAGTGTTGCAAATGTGTGAATCTTTGGTGTCATAGGTTTATAGTTCAAGTGTTGTTATAATAAAATTTCAGAATGACAAATTTCAGGTAAAAATAGCACCACTAAGTAATTTGAAGTCTTTTAGAATCGTAAGGAGTGGCATTTGAACTGAGAAACAGGCTTATCAGGAAATGTCATGCTGACATCCACAGTGGAGGAATCGTTCCTGTGTTCTTATATTAGTAACAGTCCACCCAGAGCTCGGCAATCAGTCCACTTATGTAAAGGCGCAATACACTTAGGGCCCCTTCCACATTTAACATTCTATCTTATTGCTTTCAAATTTATTTTTAGAGGTGAATTATTTATGTCCTCATAGGTGTAGAAATAGTCTTACCACTCAGCACTTTTCATACAGTAAAAGGTTACTTCAAAAGTGCAGCGGATATTTACTGCGGGTTTTGTTGCCTTGAGTGTGCAGGGAATAAGGGAGCTCTTGCAGAAGTCAGACTTGGGGGTAAAGGAGAAAGTTTGCAGGAAGGTTTGGGGGTAGTACATGTGCCAGGTATGTTTGGCAGGGAAAAGGAGGGGGAAACATTTATGAAATTTTTAAAAAATAAAAATAAATTTCACAAATAGAAATCTGACTTTAGAGATACAATTAGTCCAACAGATACAACACTTGTTTTTTAGATTTTTCTATGTTTTTAATAGATAAGTGAAAATTAGGGTCTGAATAGCCAGGGCGGGGATATCAAATTGGCAGAGATTCCCAAGCCAGATTGAAATTTTTGAAAATTAAAAATTAGATTTCTCTCATTCTTCCATTATATATCTTTTTATAAACACTAGTTGTAGGATTAGAACAAAAGGAGTTAGTTCTTTTTGTGCATCTTTTTAGTAGATACCTGTATGAGTTTACTAGGACTGCCATAACAAAGTACCACAGAGTGGGTGGCTAAAACAACAGAAATTTATTTCGTTACAGTTCTGGAGGCTGAAAGTCTGAATGAAGGTGTCAGCAGGGTTGGTTTCTTCTGAAGCCTGTCTCCTTGTCTTGTAGATGCTGTCTTCTCATGTCTTCATATGGTCTTCCCTCTTTGTCTGTGTCCAAATTCCCTCTTTATATAAAAGACACTAGTCATGTTGGATTAGGCTCCACTCTAACAACTTCATTTAAACTTAATTACTTCTGTAAAGACCCTGTTTCCAAATACAGTCACATTCTGAAGAGCTATGGGTTAGAACTTCAACTTACCAATTTGGGGGACAGATAACTTAGTACATAACAGCATCATACTGGATAAATTTGATTGAATTTTAGTTATATTTCTGTGTCACCCTCTGAAGACTAAACTTTGTGTATATTATTTATATAAATATTTTAGTTGTTTAAAATATTTTTTTATTAAAGGGTATAAAGAGAGCTGAAGAACATTACCCTATTATTCATAACAGATTTTCCATATTAATTATATAGATACAATAAGGTGATTGACATCTCTGGACCCAAATTCACTTTCTGTAAAATAAAGTGGTTGAACAATATGTACTTTAAATTTTTGTTCAAATCTGAATTCCTAAAGCATGATTATAGTAAAAACAATCTGCAGAAATACATGCAGACTATAAACGGGAAGGAAAAGGAATACTTTTGTTAGTCTTTGTGAGTAAAATATTTATTTAAAAATGGACTCCCCACCCAGAAAACAAAGCAAAACAAAAAACCTAAATATTTTTGGACCGACCATTATAACTGCAATGTTATTAATGGATTTACTGCATTCAGGAAGGAAAAAGAGACATTTCAACTTTTACTCCAGTACTAGAATAAGAACTGACATTATCCTCTGACATATCAACAAAGAAACCTAGATGTTCGTTTTGAGCGTTCCAAACAAATAATCCAAATAATCCAATTATTTTGGATTACTTTGCTGAAGTGGTAATGAAGTGTGAGGTGCGTTTCATTTGTAGGAGGGCTTCAATTTAATTATACCAATTCCACTGAGTTTTGCTGGTCTCTCATAACACCCTGAAACACTTCCATGAAATGAAAAGAGTACATTTTAAAAGGCATAAAAAGAAAGTACTCGTTGATGCTACATTTAATTAATCCCTAGAACACATCACATTTTGTGTCAGAAAATGAAGTTCTATACATGATTCACCAAGTTCCAAAGTTATAGCTCAGGTATTTGACTGAAATAGAAATACTTTTCATCTTGGGCCATTATAAAAATTAAGAAAAAAGATAAATAAAATAAAATGAAAGTACCATTGGAAGAATCACAAATGGAAGGAAAAGGCCAAAGCCTTTCAGTCTTATAATATATTATAAAGACCTATAGTTGTATTTATTTTGAAAAAGTAATCACTTAGACCTTACTGCTCTTAAGAAAGGTGGCTATGTCCTCTAATTGGGACGTGATTATGTCATTTGGCTTGATGTTATTTTGTTGTCCAGGAAAAGTAAAACAAGTATGTTTTCTTGAGTAAAAGCTCTTGTCTTATAAATACATTGGTTTGCTGCCTTTAATAGAGACTTGATTTACTTTAATGTGGTAAGTGAAAGGAGAGAAAGAAATGGAACAAGCAAAGGCACTCCAAATTATTTTCACATTCTATTATGATATTATCAATAAAACCATTATTTTCTTTCTTTTTCATTGTTTTCTTTTTAGTATTTGTAGCATCAAAATATCTAACTATTTTGTGTTTGTTTCTCCTTCATCCAAGTAATTTATTTTATATATTTACTTTCATTTTTTTCTGAGACAGGGTCTCACTCTGTGGCTAGGCTGAAGTGTAGTGGCACTATTATAGTTGATTGCAATCTTGAACTCCTGAGTTCAAGTGATCCTCCCGCCTCAGCCTCCTGAGTAGCTAGGACAACAGTTGCATGCCACCGTGCTTATTTATTTATTTAAAAAAAAGTTTTTAGAGATGATCTCACTATGTTTTCAGGGTAGTCTCAAACTCCTGAATTCAAGTGATCCTCCCAAAATGCTGAAATTACAGGTGCCACTGCACCTGGCCCCAACTGACCCATTAGTCCACCCATTAAAGTATATTCTAGGGAACTCTTTTTCTCAACCTTGCTATCAAATTTTGTAAAAGTTATTTTTGTTGATGAATAATTGTTATATTGATATAATTATTGTGTGATTCTTTTAAGTTCTGTTCTAGAAATGTCTTTATTCTGTCATTTTTACAAAGACAAGAAGAATGTTTCCAAGAAATAAGAGCAGTTTATAAAATCCCTCAGTCATTGGATCAGGAATTAGAGAAGGGAAATGAAAGGTTTCCTCCCAGTTGGCTAAATGGGCTGAATTGGGAAAGCGGGAGGGTCAGGTTTAGAGGACTCTCAATTATTCCTTCTTGGATTTCCGACAAGAAACCTTGGGCTGGTGGGAACACATCTGAGCTACTAATAGGAGCTGAAGTTCCCACCAACTGTAGATTGATGAACAGAAATATGGGGCCATCTATATCTCTTTCCAGAGCCAAATGTAGCTCCCCACTGAGGATTGAGGACCTTGGCAAGCAATTGTCAACCTGTCCAGGTAAAATATTAATTACCTACTAATGAAGAAAAACAAACAATTCTGCAATAATTTTTTCTCTGATACTCAGATTTTAGGAGAGTATATACATTGTTTCATAAAATGTTTTATGTGAAGGGCTAAAACCATTTAAGAAAATGCCTTTTATGTAATGCCGCTTATTGTCAGGTCAATCCTTACTTTTTATTTCCATTATAAAAACAAAACATGCTCTTCCCTTGACTGAGCCTGTTTCCTAGAAATGCAGATCTACTACCACACAATCTGTAGAGTAGCTTTTCAGTAGTAATGCGTCCTGTAGCTCATACATTCCATTCTTTCTATACATAATTGGGTTATGTGATTTCCCCATTTTAAGATAGCAATATCTGTTTTCACTTCATCATTGCTTCATGAATTTTGGCTACTGTTTTTTTTGATATTTTTATTTATAACACATTCTGAATCTTTGATTTTTTTTTCTATTGGTTTGTAGATGAAATGTGTTCAATATTTAAAGATTATGTGTAGTCTATTTTGGTTAAAATGCTGTTTTAAAGTTACACATAGACACTCAAATATCACTAATTAATTCGTTAAAGTGCTTAGAGTTACTAGAGGGTTAGCAACTATACCAGTAGTTAGAAGCCTAGTTTCAGTGTTCTTCATGGTTGGTATGAAAGACCACAAGTGTTTTCTTCTGTGAAATGACATTTTTAAAATACGCAAATCATAACACTTCATCCACACCCTTTTTTAGCAACGAAAGTGAATTTATCGGTTGCAAATAAGAACAGGAAAATACAACTGTTTGTGATTGCAAATCCTGGGGAAGATTTTTAGCATTTTAAATAACAATTAAGTTTAAGAGATCCCTCTGATACATAGAAACTGAAAGCTGAAGCAGAAAATGTCTGTCTTCCTGAACACATGAGATCTAAATCCATTTTGATGGCTTAAGAGTATCATTGTCCTCTTATGTCTCATTGGTTCAAGCCCAACTGCTCCTTGCTCCACTAAGTATAGTGATGAATGGTCCTCCCTCCAACTGACAGTAAAAGAATTCTCCATGCTGTGAGAATTCCATTTAGTACCATTGATTGCAGGCTATGGTATTAAAAGTAACTCATGTTAGTGTTTTGTGATAGAATCTTTAATCATTTTTAATAACAAGGAAACCTTCATTACATGGATTTACTTCTTAAAGTGGAAATGATTTTGGCCTGATGTGATGAAAGACAGGGCTTGAGTTTTTACTTGTTCCCATTCCAACAGTTCTTAATTTTTCTTCATCTCAACAGTTGGAATTTGCAGAATTCTTCTATGAGAATGCATGTTACCTCTATGTCTAATTTCCATTTGTTTCTATTTCCTGTGGTACTTACTTCTCCTTTGCCTTTTATTAGGATATTTGTCCAAGTTTTATACTCCTTAAGCATGAAAGAATGTACAAAGAGTGTATGTGGGAACTTAAAGTCTAAAATTCCTACCTTAAAATACTTTTTTAAAGGTTGTCATCTCTAGTTGCCAGTTCACCAATATCAGGGCAGAAGACGGCATCTTCGTAAGACTTAAATTTGCAATAATATCTAGTAATGAGTAGAAATTCTTCTCTTTTGTATTAAGCAGGGGCAAGCCAGAGGCTCAACTCGATACCTGAAGGTGGTACAGCAATAATGTAATGCATAATCAGTGATTTTATTTCTTGTTTGTTGCTTTTAGTTATGGGAGTAGGTTTTTCCTTTGAACCAAATTCTTTTGAGTGGTCCCATTCAGGCCAATGATTCTGGCCTAATCACACATGATTAGGTGTGATGAAGAATGTAGTCAGATGTCAGAAAAAAGATGTTTTTCTCATCGCAAATTTAGGAAGTCCATATGGGGATCAGTAATTTAACACATATTGAAAACCTCATATTAAACATATGTAGTGGGAGATTTAAAGATAACTATAGTTGGGCATCCTGTCCTTGAAGAGCTCATGATTTAATGGGGAGAGCAACATTGTCATATCATGATTACATTTATGTTTTAAACAGTGTGCAGTGTGATGAAATTTTTGGATGCATGGGGCCCAATTAGCCTAGGTGCAAGATGATATTAACTTGGTCTAAAGGGGTTTTAGTGGAAGGAGCAAAGAAGCATACGTATTTGAAAGATTTAGAGGAGGATAAACTGCAGCAGAGAGAAAGAAGGAGCTTCTGGTAACTTAGTTGGCAAACCAGAAGAGTGTTTTGAACTGAATTCCAAAAGTAAAGAGCTTCAGGCAGCAGGGAGTTAACCACAGTGTGGAAGGCTACTGAAAAGTGAAGTCAGGTGAATTTAATATGCATGGATAAAGGAAAAAGAGAAAGTAACAATATTGTATAGTCTTATGGAGAGGGAACTTTGAGTTTCTGGGGCAATGAGTTGTTCAGTGGCTTAAAAAATAAATCTGTGACTCTGGTAATAAAAAGTTATAACATGGCCGGGTGCAGTGACTCACACCTGTAATCCCAGCACTTTGGGAGGCCAAGGTGGGTGGATCACCCGAGGAGGTCAGGAGTTTGAGACCAGCCTTATCAACATGGTGAAACCCCATCTCTAGTTAAAATACAAAATTAACTGGGTGTATTGGCACACTCCTGTAATCCAAGCTACTCAGGAGGCTGAGGCAGGACAATTGCTTGAACCCAGGAGGCAGAGGTTGCAGAGAGCCGAGATCGTGCCATTGCACTCCAGCCTGGGTGGGCGACAAGAGCAAAAAGTCATAACACATGTATGTAGGGATGGATCCATGTAAAATTCCAGAATTGGATCAACGAGCCAGTAACAGTGATGGCATTCACTGCCACAAAAGGAAACAGGTGGCCAGAAGAATTTGAAATATCATTCAAGGTTGTTAGTATGTCTATTTTCCTTTAAAACAAAAATGATGAAACTGCTATACTTGTTAACCTGCTCTGCAATGCCACTGAGGGAAGCCACTGCTTGCTTGTTCTATACCTTTGCTTCCCTTTAAATACCATGAACACGACACTGAACAGAAAACACACTCTAGAATAACCATGTGGTAAATTAGTTATGGGAGTAAGTTTTTCCTTTGAACAGAATTCTTTTGAGTGGTCCCTATTCTGGCCAATGATTCTGGCCTAATCACACATGAAAAATCTATGCTCAAAAGCATAGATTTTTTTTATTTTAAAAAGTTTTGTAAGTCTGTGGAGTACAAGTGTAATTTTGTTACATGCGTAGATTACATAGTGGTGAATCAGGCCTTTTAGGGTATCTATCACCAAAATAGCATATGTTGTACCCATTAAGTAATTTCTCATCATTCACGCTCCCCTAAGCACAGAAATTTATTACAAATTTCCATGGAGGCTTTAAAATTTTAATTACAATGTGACTTTGAAGATCTCCAGAAAATTTAAAAAATAATTTCTGTTTCAGCCAATGTCATAAAAATTTATTGACATTTGATGCTTATAGTCTGTTTGCAATATGTTAGCCATCAAGGCAGCAAATATTTCTTTGATATGCATCTAGCTTTGGTGGTTAATGTTTGCACTCTTTTGACATTAGTCCATGTGACTGATTATTTTTGTAACTTAAAAGCCAATTCCCTAAAAATGGTGGTAGATGGGCTAATAAATAGAGACTGCAGAGAGGAAAATTTAGACTGCAGGGAGAATTTGCAAATGATTAAGGTAGCCTGAACAAAGACTAAGCCACTTCCATTAGCATCTTACTGCTTGGTGAGGATCAAGCAGAGACTTAGAATAGCCACTTGAAGATGCAGTCATAGGGGCGTATAGAATTAGATGGAATAGCAAATACTGAATTAGATGAGATCGAAGATTGCTTTTGACTCTATAATGCTTCCATGATGATCTTATAAGAAGGGCTGGAAGAATAGCTGCCTCAAATAATTTGTAAGCTGTAACATATCCTATTACCTCCTCACAAATGGATGTCTTAGAGACTGAGAACTTACTCAACTTCCATCAAAAAAGAATTAATAACCTCTGAAGGTACTTTCTCCAGGAAAACATGTTGGGCAGTGGGAGTGCATGACTGATTGCTGCTAATGTGATTTTGGTTTATGCTTGGTTTAAGAATCAAAAACTTCTGTACAATGTGTTTCAGATTTCCGAGGCATTATTTAATTGAAGAACAGGTAGTTCAGAAAAGGTTTACTTACTTTTTTGATGGGGACATCTACCATTTGTAGGTTCTTCTGTCTTTTTATTTGTGTAGATTCTACTGGAGATAAAAAGTGGGAACATAATTCAACATGGATTTATTTCCTGATCCAGAGGTCAAAGAACAGAAATGGATGACCAAATCAGTTATGACTTTTTCACAAAGGGAAAAGCTGCTAGAAAGCAGCTCAGAAATGCTCCAATGCCAAGCTGTGCTATAGCATCAGAACCATGTACAGTTGCAGAGGAATTTGATTTCCTTGCATTCATTTACTCATTTGTTCAAAAACATTTATTGTAAGCAACATGGACCAGGCATTGTTCTAGCTGCTGGAGCTGCAAAGAGGAGGAAGAGATTCATAGTGTGAATTCATAGCCTTTCACACTGTGAATTCACACTATAAATTCATATTTTAATAAAACTCTATTTATAAAACGAGCCAGTTCAAATGAATTCTATTAGATTAGTTAGAAACAAATTTTATTATATCTAGATTATGATCAGGTAGAATTGCTTGAAAGAAGTTAAGGCAATTCATTATTACTATTAAATCAGGGCTAAAGGGTGAAAGGCAGACAGAGTTATGCTTTTCTGTCTCATAAAAGAAAAACAACTCTATATGAGTAGCAAATGCCTGGTTGAATTACAATTATTTATAAAAATCAATGTTTCTACATAGTGCGTGTTACAAGGGGCAAGCCTTACACTGAACTAAGAAATGTTAATGAAAACAGGATATTTATAAGGTACAAAATGTAGAATGATTACATAACTTTAAGGATCTTGTCTCAACATGAGTTAAGATTTATATTCATAATATCTTTAAAAAGTAAAAAAAAACTTGCAAACATTCACCATCCCTACTTGCATTATTGTCCAAAAGACTGTGGATAGCGACATTCCACTGAATCTTGTATCCCTACTGATGTTGACGGATGCCCATTCTGCTAAGGTTTCCTGTCTACTAAGTGCTAATTAGAGCTGCAACTCTGGCTTCAGCTATGATATTATTATCTAGGACTGAATAAACAATATAAGGCTTATGGAAATTGCAGAAGCGCTAGGGCGATAATAATAGTAACAACAACTATTATTATTTTTGACCACTTATTATTTGCCAGGAAGGTGCTAACTGCCTTATATATGTCTCATTTAGTGCTCACTACATTTCTATTATCAGTCCCATTTTCAGATCACAAAATGGTTTAAAGAAGGTAACTTTAGCGTTCTGACCATTTAGATTGGAACTAAATTTTTTGACCATACGTCTTGCTTTATCCACTTGCTATCATGTCTTAATATTAACGGATATCACTCCTATATAATTCATGTTTCCAGTGACAGAATGAGTTAATGGAGTCCGTGGTTTAAAAGTGACCCTGGAGAACCAAAACGCTCAGCCCATCCACTTTATCCATAAAGAGATTAGGCCTGGGTGGGAGATTGGATGAGAGGCGTCTCTTATCAGTCCGAGAGGAATAGTGTATACTAAAGAAATTGATCAAAAGGAGGAAGACGTTTGAGGGCACTAGGGAGGAATACGACTCTGATGGATTGAAATTCTACATGGGAACAATTGAAAAAGAAGCTATTGGCAACATCTACAGGAGAGCAGAGAATAGCAAGATTAAGTGTAAATTGAATAGCAGTGAGTGTTCAGGGAGTTGTCTTAATGGAAAGTCAGTCTACCTCCCTTCCAACATCTCAGGGTAAAAGGTGTGTATAACATGGATAAGGGAAGCTGTGGCATGGAGGTTACTGGAAACCCATCTGAGTGATTCAACAAGTGCTCTTATTATGGTTCTTGAGAAAGTGTTCATGGGAGACATTTGGGAATTAAGTCCAGAGCCACGAACTTCCATTCTGCATAAGGATCTCAATCACAGTGTTGCAGAGAATTGGGGTAGTGACCTAAACCTGTCGGCTTAGTGAGAAGGCGACAGGTTTAGGTCACTACCCCAATAGGAAAGGGAATTCACAGACTGCTAAATCCCTTCTAGGGAGTTTGAGATGTTCCATGGAAGCCGGGTTTAGAACCCCTGATCCAGAGCCTAATCAGTATGGCAGTATCTTGTGGCAGATGTTGGCAGGAAGGCAAATTTATTTTTACCCAGGATGTTTGTCTCTTCTTTGCTCTACTAACTTCCCAGACAAAATTTAAATTTAGCAAACTAATGGCAGTGCTATTCCCCAGACTCCAAAGAACAGCTTTGTCATCCTCTACCTTCAGTCAGCCATTAATGGGACACTAATATATTTTGACATAAAGGTATGAAATTGAATTACTTGGCTTTCATTTAATCTCTATGCACTTCCCCCGACTCCCCCATGTTCTAGCTGTCTGTTTTCATGTTTTTAGTTGGCCTTTTAAAATACTAGGTGGGAGAGCACCCAGAAGTGTAAAATGTCATGCCACCAGCCAAGCTAGACAATCTCCCCCCAGAGGTAGCCCAGCACCTTGTCAGAAATGTTTAGGGAGGTTCCTTCATGTGCTCTAAACATTTTCCAATATCTGGCAGAAGCAGCAAATGCTGTTGATTATTAGGTAGAACCTTATCTAGGAGAACGATTTTCAGAATAATTATTATAATGATAATAGCTAAAATCTATTGAGCACTGACAATGTGCCAGGCATTTTTCTAAGCATATCACATGTATTGGCTCATTTAATTCTCTTAATATGCCTATGAGGTGGATACTGATATCATCTCCACTTTACCTATGAGGAAAATGAAGCATAGAGTTTCCTGATTAACTAGGAACTGGAAGAACTTTACTTCAAATCCAGGCAATCTGACTTGGAGCCTGAGCTCCTCACCACTTTGCTGTGTTGCCTCCCATACCTGCTGTTTACACCAGGGTTGCAAATGATTCGAGAAGGTTTACCATTATTGACCCTGGGGTCTAATGCCCTAGAATTTGCTGATGAGTCTCAACTGGGACATCTTTTGATAGGAGTTTAAAAAAGAAAACAGATACCCCGCCCAGAAGACTAGGTTTAAGTAAGCTGCTGCTAGTGGGAAAGTGGAAACTGTTGTAGGTTGTTGGGAAAAGATGGGAGCTAAGAGCAAGAGAGCAAAAGTGTAGGAAAGTGGATGGGAGAAAGTGTTAAGCGGTGGTTAGAGTCTGATTTCTTCTGTCTTGCTTAGCTGATCATTCTGGAGATGAACTGAGATCATATGTGAATTCATTTGGGATCTATAAAGTTTGATTCAAATAATAGTGTCTTTTATGCCATGGTGTGCCCCCTGGAAGTTAGGGTGGAGTAGTGGGTGGCCAGAGGTTCAGGAGACAACAGTGCATGGGTTGGAATCAGAGGGCATAGATGAGAACCTGGGAGGACATGGCACAGGGAGCAGCCACTTTATGGGTTTTGAGAAAGGTGATACACACTGGTAAGCCCCAAATTGGGGAGCTCCAGGAAGGGGAGTCCAGGAACTGGTCAGCAGTCATTCTCCAAATCTCATTTCCCATTTGCAACTACTGCCCAATCGAGGTCTTAGTCCTGATACCTCCAGCCCAGTAGAGAAGACTGAAGCCCACTGCCATTAGATTTACTATGATCTCAAATAATTGCTTAGGTAGAGTTCATTCAACCTCTGCCCCTCCTCAACTTCTCCTATTAGGGTCTGATAGGCCACTACATTCTATGGTTCCAGCTTCCCTTTTATCTGCTGTGTGTGCAGGAAAATATTTTCTAATTACAGTCTTTGCAGATCAGTTGAGTGAACTTGGAAATAAAGGGATTATCAGACCCCTTTAATTTGGGGATAAAAATCTAATGTGAACACCATGTGGTCACTCTGTTAATTGCGTAAATTTTTTCCTCCCTACTTGCATCTAATTCCTAACACTCTTTGCTATAGGCCTTATTTTTATTCTTGTCCTGCATTATTGTTTATTTACATATGGACGTGCTTTTAAAATAACTATATTAATTCCTTAAAAATTATACTTGATATAAAATAATGCCCAGGTTTCACCACACAGAGATAACAACTTGCAACAGCTTGTTGGACGTGTCTCCATGCACTTCTCTTGCATGTGCAAACTCCTGAAGTCCACAATTTATATGAAGGAGCTTATGCCATATATAATTATTCATGACTTTTCTTCACTTCACAGCATGTTGTAGCCACACTTCCCTCTAAATGAATAAAGACCTACACATTCATTTGTACTCTCTGCCCAGTGTTCTCTGGTTTACTTAACCACCCCGCCTGATGATTGTTTATTGATAAAGAAAGAAATCTGAGCAGCACACAGAGATCATCAGACTCTGCCAATCCAGACTTTATAGTTTTGCCGTCAAATCCATGGGATTCTTGGTATTTATCCATTGACAAGAGAGTCTGAACTCCTCAGAGGAGCAGAGAAAGAACATGAAACTGATGAGTGAAGGGTCCAAGGCTTTGCGTTTAGCACTGCTACTTAGTGGCTATGTGACCTTAAAATCACTTCACCTTTCTGAACTTCAGTTTCCCTACCTGTAAATGATATTGTGAGTTTTCAGTATATTCAAGGTCTGTTCTACTAACTGAAGGTCTGTATCTATAAATATACTGTCAAGCTGTATCTCCAATCACAACTTAAATGCTTCGGCTTTATTTGTCCATACCTTTTTGATGTCCAGCACTATGGTAATACAAAGTAAATACCCAACAAACACAATTTGAGTGATGGATCGGTATAGCTGTTGAATCTGTCTTTTCAAATTTCCCCCAGAAATATCCATCTCTGTAGTTTTATACTGATTTTTTTAAGCCAGTGAACCTCAGACATTTTTACCTGCCTACCATCTCTCTTTAGAATTTGTGCATGTATATCTACACTTTTAAATAGCCACAGTTTAAATCTCTCTCTCTGTCTGTGTGTGTGTGAGAGAGAGAGAGAGAGAAAGAGAGAGAGAATGCACCATGTGTGAGTGTGCACATATGTATCTATAGTTTGATATGTATGTGCTATTTTGGGTGAGTAAAGTGGGATTCCATATGGAGGGAGTTACTATACTTTGCACTAAAATGAGGCTTTAGACAACAGAATGAGATTATTTTTTTACTCCCTCTTCCAGAGTTTTACTGAAATTAAATGGGTGTGTGTCTGTGTCTCTGTGTGTGTGAGTTTGAAGTGAAGGTAGAGAGGGGTGTCCTAATATTGTAGACACAGTATTCCCTTCTTTCATGTATTCTTTCTTATCTTTCCTGTTTTCCTTCTTTCCCTCCCTCATTCTCTCCCTTCCTCTCTCCCTCCGTCTTTCTCTTTCTTTTTTTCTTTATTTCTGTTTCCTTCTTTCCTTCCTTTTCCTCCTTTACAGGAACAAATTAAAGAATAATGCCATTCTTTCTACTTTAGTCAATGACGTTAGTCAGTGGTGACTTTTGTCACCATTTAATATAAAAAAAAAGAGAAGCCTCTGTATGAGAAAATTCTCTCAACCAATGAAATCCCAGTATAAGGTCGTATTGAAAGACAAGTAGGTATTTTGTTATATTAATATATTGAAGAAATGTATTGACCCATCGTGGTGGTGATGAAAACCAAATTATTCCACTCAACTAATGCCCAAGATTAAACCACTTTCAAAATATCGCTTAAGAAAATCAAGGAGTCGAGTTACAGACATTTGGGGAGTGAATAGATGTTCAGAAAGTTTGGTGCTGCACCATTTTATTGCTTAATATGTGTCTGGAGTCAGTATGCATTGAATTCTTTCAAAATGAGTTACGCACTTCATTCTCTTCCTAAAGAAAGGACACTGTACATATTTAAACATTTTTCTTCATTTTGGAATGCTCAGAGCCACCATTACAAGCAGTGTTTATTGCAATATGCTTTGACTGAGAGGTGCTGTCAAAAGAGGCTATTGAGCTGTGTAGAGCTACTTCGGTCTCAACCCTGTGGCTTCTGGACTCTTGGTCTGCTTTTTAAAGATAGTTTTTCCATCTCTCTGAGGGTCAGGCTGCCCCTGACCATGTCTTACTGTGATGTGCATATCTGCCTGTGGTTCTTAAAGCTCCACTCCACCTCCCACTATTTCAGATTTGCTGAATCTAATTTATTATGTAACAAGCACATGATCTTATTAAATGTTTTAAAAAATCAATAGAAAATACGATATAAAAGTGGGCTCCAAAGGCTCTTTTTGCATATTTCTATATTCTTATGTAAATTCCAGAAACTTTTGGTTTCTGGAGAAGTGTTCTCCAGATCACTGTTCAATTCTGATAAGGAACCCACCTTTCTGGTTTGAATGTGAACTCTTCCTTCTAAACATGAAGAGACAATATTGCCCTTATTCCTTCAGGTGCATGGCTACCAATTCCGCTCTCTCATTTGTATCTGACCACTCGGTTCTTGTTTTGCAGTCCCCAGTCTGTCCCAGATCGTCTGAGGATCCGGGTGAACAAAATCAGTTTACAAGACTATGAAGGATTCCACTATGACAAGGAGAAACTCCGAGAAGCTTGTAAGTTGGAAGTGCCTCATTGATTTCATGCGATCAGCCTATCTTCAGCTTCTTGATCCTCCTTGGTTTGATGGGTAGATTCATTTATCCTTGTGCCTGAAAATCATGGTTAGAGAAGTGAAGTGAAACACAGTAACATGTGGGCTCCAAGTGATAATGTATGGGCTACAGAAAAAGGAACTGGAAAAGGAAAGCAGCTGAATAAAATCATTCTGCTGTGGATGCCAAGTCAGGATCTCTTGGCTTATTCGCCACTTTAGTCTCAGATTTGCCTAAAATGAGGAAAGCAAAAAGTTCGTGATACCAATGGTATAGCACCATCCAGAAAACTCTTGAGACAACACAGATCTCTTCTTGGAGGCTGCGTTATCAAACACTGCCCTCATTCGTCACAGAGATGTGGCAAAGAGGCACATTCAGCACTTCTAGATATTATGCTATTATATAATGTCAGAGAAGGGCCTACGGGAATGTTGTGATATTAAAGTGATTCATTGATGATGAGGTGCCATTATTTTTGAAACCTGCACTTGAGTCGACGTATGAATTACTTCTCAAAGTTTGTATTTTCTGTATGCTTCTTTGAATACATAGCTAATTGTTAGTTCATCTCACTAGTCAATCAGTATGTATTGGACACTTTTTACAATCTGGTACATTCTGATCACTGCATTAAATCTGTCTGTATAATAATTTATGAGGTAATTGGTTAAAATAAGCCAGAAGTTAAGACCATGAGAGTGTTAGATATTAGGGTTCTCGGCTCCTTCCTAATTGTGGGGGCCAATAGTCAACTGCAATAAAGTCAAAGAAGATAAGGAAAACTGGTGTCCAAGGGAATAGGCAATGATGCTGATATAAAGAAATGACTTTTATATGGAACCAAAGACTTACGAACCCAGTCCCCAAATGGTCTCTAAGTGTAGACCTGGCTACCTGTGTAAAAGAGGAAAATAGTTAGAACTGGCAGGATTAATAGTAGGAAAGCCTTCCTGGGATGGTCTTTTCTGAGCTCTGGTTTCTGAGACTGATCTGAAGTAAGCTTTAGTGGATGGAAATTCTGAGGTCCAAGGATAATCCCAGGGGTGGGTACAGAGGGTTCTACAATCTGGAGTTGCCACGAGGTGAGGAGCCATATCCCTGGTAGCCTAATCACTGAATCTACTAGAGAATTTGCTGTGAATTTTCTTTCTTAATTCTCTCAGCTGCTTCAGCTTCCTAAACCCTTTATGTTGTTTTCCTTAGACATCAATATCTTTTAATTTCTCCCCAGCCTTCTCACTTCCATACTTTACCCTCATTTCCTTTTATAGGAAAGTGTGAGCTGGAGGAGGAGCAATTCCCCAAACCTCTGAATTTCTTCCTTCTGTAAACAACATATTACATTTTCTAATCTAAGTGAACTTATAAGCGACAGACTAGCATATAATCTGTTTGATCCATAAAGTGTTAGACATATATTTTTGCGATGGGAAGTGTAGCTACAATGCAAATTAAATTGAGTTCTAAAGGTTACTAATCATAAAGAACAGTGTTTTATGTTCTTTCTTGTTTGAAGCTTCCAAACAAATAGCTAACAGTTCTTAAAAGAAGATAACAGATCTCAAATAATATTTTGCAGCTTACGATCAACTCTGAAGAAATTCAATTTGGAGTGGGGACACATTTGAAATTTTTAGCTGAAATGAGATTTGAAGCTTATTTATAGCTTTCAATTATCTGTTTTATCTTTTCTGTGGCATTATCTGTCTACCATTCCTGGAGGTAATTGTGGTTTGAGGTTTTCCAACAAGATGACATTTTCTGGCAAGGGCTTTACTCAGCATATGTGATAAAATTTCTATGTGAAGAAACTTCTTAAGTCAAATATGGCATAAATGTAAGCCAAATAAATTGAACAGTGTCTTTGGGACCCCAAAGAACACATATACTCTCTAAAAGGGGATAAAGGAGTTATTCTAAAGATGTAAAAATTCATTCCAATGATTTGGATTTGAAGAAAACAATAAAAGAATTGGAATTAAAAGTGACCAACTCAATCATTCTACTTTTAATATGCGGTGATGGTGCTTCTAACTGTGGTTTTTCAGGAAAGTTTATCCTTTGAGGTTCTGGATTCACTCCTACTAACCTTTACTCTTTTGCCTGGTTCCAACTTGAAACAGAATACAGATTCATGGGAAGGCTGACAGGGCTCAAACTGAGTATAAAGACAAAAGCAAGCTTAAGTCCATATATGAGGTGCATGCCAAAATAAATGTTATTTCAGAAGCATTAATTAAGTGAAATTTGCACAACACATCTAGATAAAAGGGACTCTAGGAATGTACTCTGACCTGCATCCCAGAACAAAGAGAGTGAATCCTCTTAGGTCATTCATTTATTGTCATCAATGACTGACCTAGAGCAGTAGCATGGTACTGCGTTTGAAGTTAGTTCCATTTCTTGATGGTGTGCCAAGTGATATCTTCAGGCAGCATGTGGTTCTTTTCCATCACTGTTTAGCAGAATCTTGCTCATTGTTCCCGTTAGATAACAAGCTCGCATGTTTGTCACCTAACAAAGCCCATCTTCCGTCCATAATGCAGGGCTCCCTGACAATAATGGATGGCAGCCCTTTAAATTGCTTTGCTTATTTTAGCACAGAGAAAGAGGACTATACTCTTTCAGATATTTCCCATTCCTCTTCCACTTAGCCCCATCTCACTGGGGGGCAATCCTTCTAAAATAATATCCCGGAAAAATTTAGTCCTTGTCAATCTTTCCCTCAGCTCTTGCTGGTAAATTTCAGACTTATGTAAGACACTAAAAGTCTTCCTCACTCCATAGGATTTATCAACCCTCAGATAATAGTTGTGGTTTGCAAGAGGGGACAGTCTATTCAACTTAAGAGGTAGAACATAAAGAGAAAGTGGCCATATTAAAAAAATTAAAGCAAATCTGTAATAATGATATCAGAAAATCACTCTCATAAACAGAAGTATACAAGTGGGTCCTTAATAAAGCTTATAATCATATAATCTAGGCAAAGGATGATCTGTTTTTAAAAATCTGTTGTATTTCTAACCCCAGAAGAGATTCACTGACACATGATATATTTTTTAAAAATCTGAGATAACTTGATATTCCCCCAAATTTAACTCTGTTCCCATGCAAACTGGTTAAACTTCAGTTTGAGCACCAGTTTATTCTGCACTTTTAAATTGCCATGATAATTTACACAGATCTAGGGTTTAAAACACAAGCAGTAGAAACCAGCTTGAAGCCAATTGAAAACAGATGTAGTCTATAAGGATAGGGAATTAACATTTGTTGTATATCAAATACAGTGTTTGACAATGCTTTTACATACATGATCTCAGTATAATTCAGTATTATCTGGATGTTTATAACATGTAATGCATAATATATCAATAAATAGGGTAAAATCCTAGTATCGTTAGTGTTAACCAAACTAGGTATTTAGTTAAGCATTTGCCCTAATGGAATTTCCTTGTTTGGTGATTTAGTAGAAAAGTCAGAAATTTTGGTGTTTGAATCTCAGTTGAAACCTTGACAAAGTCATTTAATTTCTCTGATGATCAAATCTCTCATCTGTAAAATGAAAATATAATTATAACCCCATTCAGTGCTGAGGGTTAAATGTAATGCTGTATATGGAACCCTTGGTGTGAAGTCTGGCACATTAGTGTGCTCTCCAAAAATGGTAGCTATGATGCTTGTGGTGGTTGTTGTTAGAGAGGCCCTGCTGTCATACTGCTCATCAGTCTTCAAGTCCATAAAACCAGACTCAAAGTAGGTCATAGAGGCTGACTTCCTCTATGTAGAACTCTTCCTGGCTTGAGGCAGCTCACTTCAAACTGCACACACCACCACCCTCCAACTCACTTTCTTACTTTCAAAAATAGAATTGAAAATACTGGTAAATATCACAGAAAGATTATGGGAAGAAAGTGTAACTAAATCATTCAATTTACTTTTATTGTGTCTACTTGTGTAAACATCTGCTGTAATGACAAGATACTTAAATCTATGAAGCATGTAAATACTGAATGCCCATATAGGATGATCTGAACGTTTACCTGCAAATTTCCTTCCTTAAGTCCTAATACATTCTCTTAAGTGTGTCATCTGTTATCCACCACTGAATTTTTTGCAACAAATTTTTATTTTGGAATAATTTTAGATTTACAAAAAAGTTACAAAGGTAATACAGGGCATTCCTGTGCATTCCTCCCCCAGTTTTTCTCATTGTTAAACACTTTACATTACCATGGTGCGTTTGTCAAGGAAACTGATATTGCTACATTACTATTAACTAAACCTTTGGAATTTCTATCCCAGGATCAAATCTAGGATACCATATTGCATTGAGTTGTCATAGCTCCCTAGTCTCTTCTGATCTGTAACCGTTTCTCAGCGTTCTTTCTTTTTTTATCTTTCTTTCTTTCTCTCTCTTTCTCTCTCTTTCTCCCTCCCTCCCGCCCTCTCTCTCTCCCTCTTTCTTTCCTTCTTTCTTTCTTTCTCTTTCTTTCTTTCTTTCTTTCTTTCTTTCTTTCTTTCTTTCTTTCTTTCTTTCTTTCTTTTTCTTTTCTTTCTTTCTTTCTTTCTTTTTCTTTTCTTTCTTTCTTTCTTTCTTTTTCTTTTCTTTTCTTTACTTTTCTTTTCTTTTCTTTTTCTTATGACCTTGATGGTTTTGGGGGAATACTGCTTCCTGTAGAATATCTTCCAATCTGGCTTTGTCTGTTGTTTTACTCATAATTACACTGGATTTATGGGTTTTTAGAAAGAATACTGTAGAGGTGAAGTAGGCTTTTTGCCCCATCATGTCAAGACTTATGTGATATACACATGACATCCCTGGTGATGTTAACCTGATCATTTGGTAAAGGTGGTATTTGCCAAGTTCCTTCACCATAGACTTACAATTTTTTCCCCTTCCCTACTCTATTCTTTAGGAATAAGTCACTAAGTCTAACCCACTTTCAAAATGATCAGAGGAGGTGGATCAAGATTTTTTAAATTGTTTCCAGTTTGCATATTTGAGCTCAACTGAATTTGTTAACTATGCCAAAATGGTAGAGCCATTCAACCATTCATGCATTCATACTTTCAATAATTACATGTTTGCATCAGTTATATGTCAGATACCACACTAGATGTTAGTCATTGAAAGATGAAACTAGAAAATCCAACATTATAACATAATTTATTCAGTGTACCTTTATTGAGTCCTTACCGTGAGCAGGGGTTGGAAGAAAAAAAAACAACAGAATTCGTTCCTGATTTTCTGGAGCTTTTTTTCTTTTTTTAAAAAATGTGATAATAACTGTGATGGGGCTATGGAAACATTCTGTACCTATTTTTCTAGCAAACGTCATTTAAATAATGAAAGAAAGATAAAATATATAAGCAAGAATGAGAAAATCCAGTCTAACCACTAATTAAGTGTGTGACCTTGGGCGATGCATTTGTCTTCTTCAGGCTTCTGTTTCCTTATCTGTTAAATGCAGTAGTTAAACTAGACATTTCTTAAGAACAGATTATAATATAATAAATGTTTAGTTTTATAGAAATTACACAGGATTAAAAAATTTTTCATCAGCATATTTCCTTAGTAGAGTTTTTAAAGCTCCAACATCATTCATAATGAGTATAAGCATTAGAAACCATGTAAGTACATTGTGCTTCAAGAGTTTGCTAAAAACACTGATTTTTTTTCCCTATCAATAGCTTCATCTAAAATTGAATCTTTCCCCCTCATTTAACAAGTTGACAACAGGGCTGTTCAGTAGAGATTAGGCCTCCATTTGGTGGAGGTAGGCTTTCCAAGTTGAAATCTGTCTGAGGAGTTAAATGATGTCAATTTGTCCTCTGAAGGGCATTGTCCTTCCTTTTTGCAAGTGTGTTTATGTTTATTCCTATTTTCACGATTTGACATTTACCCAGAGTTTCGTGCTTAGTTTCTTTTACTGTCTTTTCCCATCTCTTGTCTGTCTCTTATATTTATCATTTTATTAAAAATATAATAATAATAATGGTTAACACACATCGTACTATTGCTGTGAGCTAGGAAATGCCTTTTTTACATATATTGTGTAATTTAACTCACCCGACATCTCAGTGTGATAGATAGTACTGTTATTCCCATTTCACATATAAAGCAATTGAGGCACAGAAAACTCAGACAGTCTAAGGGGCTGACATTTTGAATACTTATTTAATCACTGTGTTTTCTGCTTCCTCCAAGTAGTACTTCCTATTTTTCATATAAATGTCTTTAATAACATAAGTAAAAATTTACATGTCAGTCTTTCACAATTCCATTTCAAATGTCTTCTTACATTTAAACTGACTTTGACTTAGTTTATCACACTCAGGTTTGTTGGACAAGTTTCTGTTTTTGGATCTTCCTCCAACCTCAAATCAGCCATTCATAAATTCAACAAATATTAATTGACTGCTTACCTTATTTCTAGTACTATTTCAAGTATTTCTAGTACTATTTCAAGATACAGAAAAGTGCTTGCCCTGGAACTTATGTTCCAGTGGAGAGACAGACAATTGAATAAATAATACAATATGGCAGCAAGTGCTATAAAGGAAAGTAAAGCAGAACAGTGACAGAGGATCCTGTTTTTGATAAGGTGGTCAGCAAGAGACTTTCTGAAGAAGTGACATTTAAAGAGAGACCAGAACAAAAAGAGTGCATGTATATGTGGATTTCTAGAAGAGTATCCCTGGGCAGAGGAAATGGCAAGTTCCAAGGCCAAGCATCCTTAGTATATTTAATGAATGTCAGGGATGTCCATGTGACTGGAACCTGCTTAGTTGAATGGAGATAGTCAGGAAGTTCTTTTAAAGGGTCAGCACATGGAGGGGGCTTATAGGCCATGGAGAAGGCTTTGGATTTTATTCAAAGTGTAATGAGAAGGTGTTGGAACTACTTGAGGAGTGTATCATGCCTGAATTTATTCTAGATAAATTTGGCTACTAGGTAGAACATTTTCAGGTTGCAATGATGGAAATAGGGCAGCAGGTACCAGGCTAATGTGATACTCCAGGTGACAGGCAATAGGAATGAGAGAGTTAAAGTAGTAGAGTTGGAGAGAATCAGTTGGATTCTGGCTACATTTTGGAGGTAATGCTGGTAGGATGAGATGATGGATTCGCTGTATTGCATAAGAGTGTAAAATTCAGTTGCCTCTGATGTTTTGACCTTGGCAACTTGGTAAATAGAGGTAGGGAAGATGCAGAGGATTCAGCAAAGGAGACCAAGAAGGAGCAATACCAAGGAGGAGCCTATGGTTAGCTACAAAAACAGCAGGAGAGCTTGTTCATTGGAATCAGAGAGAAAAATAACTCATAAAAGCTGTCTAGCTGTCAGCGTTTCAGAGAAGTTGAGTAAGATGCACACTAAGAATTGGTAGTTGGATTGGAGTAGAGGGTAGTTAGTGGTAGCCTCACGAGATTGTGGAGTGAAAAATGTGAAAGTGCATAGAGAGGATTCGTGTGCAAATAGGGTCAAGTGAATGTCAGATGTGAGCTGCATAATGACATCTTGATCAATGATGGACTGCATATACAACAGTGGTCCCATAAGATTTTATTTTATTTTATTTTTTTTAATTCTTCAGCTAAAACCGCGGAAGAGGTGATTTATTATATGGTTGTTACACTCGGCCACAAATAAACACAGAAATAGTCCAGAATGTCACAGGTCCAGGGCAGAGGACCAACATGGGCATTTTGTTCATGAGCAAGGTGGGTCTCAGAGGTGATCGGCGATCAGAGGGCGATGAAGTTCTAGATCCATTGAGACAAGCTCTAGACAGTAGCATGCAGTCCCACAACTTGTACCAGCATCCCCAGCGTCTGGCATTCCATGTTTCTGCTCCTGTGGCCTCCACGGTGCAACAAGCTAGCGGTTTACTTGGACCTCTGCCTCATCTTTCTTCTTTTGCGCTTCAGCCTGCGCATTCGCTTCTTCCTCCACTTGGCTCTCATGGCGCAGAGGTTTCCAAAAAAATGGCGCTAAGGCCGAGAGCAAGATTTTAATACCATAGTTTTACTGCACCTTTTCTATGTTTAGGTATTTTAGATACCCAAATGCCATTGTGTTACAATTGCCTGCAGTATTCAGTACAGTAACATGCTGTACAGGTTTGTAGCCTAGGAGCTACAGGCTATACCGTATAGCCTAGGTGTGTAGTAGGTGATTCCACCTAGGTTTGTGTTAAGTACACTCTATGATGTTCACACAATGAAGAAATCACCTAACGACATGTTTCTTAAAACACATCCCTTTCATTAAATGACATATGACTATAATTCACCACAGATTGCTCTTTTAAGGTATTTAACTATAAAACTAAGGAAAGAAATGGGATGATGACTATAAAAGAATATAGTAGAATCAAAGGAGGATTCTTTTTTTTAATTTGTAAGATAATACAGCAAGTGTGTATGCTGGTGGGACCAATTCACTAGAGAGAGAACTTGATTCAGAAGAGGGCCAAATGCAGGAGCAGTGCCTTCGAGTAGGTGGTAAGATGGAACCTGGTGAGCAATAGAAGGTTGTGGGCAGGAATGTGGGGCAGGTTCTCCCGAGTACAGCCAGAGAAGGCAGAGGAGGGAGTACAGATACAGATAGCTTGGTGTACTTGGTGCTAGGGAGAAACAGAAGTTCTATTCTGATTGCTTTTATTTTCTCAGGAAAAGAAGAAGCAAGCTTACTAGTTGAAAGTTGGAAATGGATAGTATCAGTGTTCTGGAAAAAAAGAGGAAGGTTTGAAATAGCTTGAGGAGAGAGACAGTGACAGGGTTCGGCAGAATTGCTGACCTTTACTTTGGAAATGGATGATTGAATTCATTGTTTTTTTGTAAGCACATAGAGCCTGACTTGCCGGTTTCTGGCTGTCTTGGTTTATAGATGAGCCTACTCTATGTCTTTCTAATTTCAAAGGACTCTGATACCCGGGGAATATTGGGCCAAAATATGATCTTATTATTAATATAAACTTTTTTGCCATCTAATTCTGTTTATGACCTAAAGGCTTTCTTTCTTTATAAGAAAATAAAATATGCTCTGGTGCTGTGCTATATTAGAAGTTAATAATGTTAGATTTCAGACAAAGAACTGGGCCTAAAATGATGATGATATTTGATCCTTCCTTCACTGTTAAAACTTAGCCTTTGGCAATGAGAGCAATCAATTGCAGGTAGATCCTTAAGTCTCTGCCCAAAATAATATTTTCTCTTTTCATTGGTTTATTTTATGTAACACATACTCAAAATTATGGCCAACTCTTACTATTTATAGACCAGCCTAGTCCATTTGGTTGCTGTCTTACCAGGTTGACAACTCTGGAATGTAAGCTCAGATGGTAGTTAGACTTCCCTTTGAAGACTTTCTTCTAAGATCTTTGTATAAAATTATTACTTTCATTCATCTTGCTAAGGTTTGAGTAGTGCAGTGTTGGCCATTGCAGAGTCACAACTATCCTGTTTAATAATAAATAATAACATCCAATCATTGCATAGGGCTTCATGGTTTACAGAGGGCTGTTGTATACACTGGCCACATGCATCATTACAAGGACACTTAAGATTGCCTTGCACAGGGTTACATTGCTGTGGTGGGATTTTAATAAGAAATTATATATTTTCTCTCTTAATCCAGGGCACTTTCTAGTATACAGCCTACTTCTTTATAAAGACAAATTTAAAAGAATTTGCGGTCATAGGTCTTGTCATCATTTGAGTTTCTGGGGAAACAGACTGTGAGACTGAGTTTTGTGTACAAGGGTTTTATTGAGGATTTCCCAAGACGGAACCACAGCTGTGCAGGGCAAGAAAAGTGGGACCAGGAAGAGGGAGATGTTGAACTTTGCTGTAGTCACAACTGAGGACTCCCACAGGGACCTTTGGACCTGGGACAGCCATTTTGAGTTTTCTAAATTGAGGCAAGGGTTATTGGACACAGATCAGGCTCTGCCCTGGAAGGGGATAAACCTTGAGTGAGGTAGCAGCCTTTCTGGAGAAGGACTCAGCTGTGCGCTATCAGCAAACTTTTAGCCTCTGGGAAAATGAGTGCCTCAATCCTAACATGAATGCATTGCTTCAGTTCCGAAAGCAGAGTCTTGCTATGTATTAATAACCTGATTTTTGAACTAAGGCCAAGAAAGAGCCACCCACATACCAAAATCCTTGAGTTCATTCATTCAACTCTTCATTTAACAACGATCTATTGAACACCTACTATGTATCAAAGACTGTTCTAAGTGCTGGAAATTCAGCTTCAGTGAGTGCTAGCTCTGAAGTGTTTCTCTTGTTATATCTTTTAACCTGATTTCCCTGCTATGCCAAATTCAGGGAATTGGAGTACAAGTTGATTATTCAGAAGTGTCTGAATTAGCAAAGTAAAATGGAAACCTAAAAGGTGAATGCTGACCTTTCCTTAAAAGTTCTTTCTGATGAATTATTGCCAAGCCAAATATTCTCCATTTGGAATTTGAGTAATTAAAAGTGGAAACCTGAATATAAAGCCACCTCAATTTCTGGCTGTCACTTCTAGTCTGACGCTATAGTCAGCAGAGAAAACTTCAGAGTTTGATTCTCAATGGGATGTGTATTTTTTATATATTCATTTCTTCCTTCACTGTTAAAATGTAGCCTTTGCTAATAAGAGCAATTCATTGATTGAACTAAACAGAATCAAGGGCGGAAGTGTAAGCTAATCTGAAAATAACATCTTTGCAGATTGACTCAGAACCACAATTTTATGCACTAGTTACGTGGATAAAAACTTCAGGCTTTCCCTAGTTCACACTGGTGGAAAACAGTCTTTCTCAGTACCGAGTGGGTTTCCTGAATCACTGGTCCACTGCCAGTCTCCTGGAGTCATCTGTAAGCAGAATTAGAGATGTCCCCAGGCTGTCAGCTGCTAGGGATGTCTTTGTTTGAGACTGCCCTATTTCACATCTCCTCATAGAAGCTGTCCATGTATAATTTGTTTATTCATTTTATTTCCCAAAAGAGGCTTGGGGCCCCTTCAGCTGATTTTAGAAAATTTTTCTGTCATGAATTCTTCACATGTATCTAATCAACTCAGAAATTCCAGGCTGCATGACTGAATGTGTCCCCAGCATCTAGTTGTTGGTGACCTTGACCATCACCCTGCAGTGTAACAGACAGCATGATGTAGAAATTGTGAAAGAGATTTGGACCAGTGTATCTAATCATCATTTCAAGTATTGAAGTTTTAGGTATGGTTGTGAATCTTTCCTTTCAGACATGTAATATTTCATCTTGATTTTCAGATGTATCTGGCTAGCCTGGCCATGTAGCCAAGATTCCAGTGTCACAGTCAAGCCTTTGTTATCTCCCTCCCAAGTACTTGAGCACTGGTAGTAAATATCAGTAGTGGTTCTTTCTGTGTCTAAGAATTTTACGAATATTCATTTCCATTGTCAAGGGCATGCTAGGACCTCACAGTTAAAAGCTTATATCACATTTAACACCAGGAATAATTGCCAAAAGATTATATACATCATCTTGTTGTACTAGTACTTTATTGCATGCAACATTAGGAACCTTCTTTGAAATGGAATTATCTTCATCAAAAGTAGGCATTTACATCATTGTCATTAAACTTACATATTCAGTTGGACAAGGATGACATGTCATAGCACTATTTGGTCTGGACCTTTGGTTCCTACTATGTATTAGAAGAGAAGTATGTGGGCCTTCTGCCCATACTTGCTCCTGGATAACCACGGTCAATGCGTGAACCGCAGTCATCAGAAGTAGGAAAAAGGCCATTACGAACAGCATCCATGATTGGATCTCATGCTCCACCTGACAACTTTTGTCTTTGTTCAGAAGACCAGGCTTTAACATCTCCTTTTTTTTTCTCCCTGGGATTTTCTTTCTCATTTCTGCTTTTCCATTTATCATGTCATGAATGCCAAAGATTTGGAAAGAGAAAAAGAAAAGGATCTGTTACTAACTCCTGAGGGGTTGTGGGCTGGGCTTCGATGGGCACCTGGAGAGTGTAGTGTTCCCTTTCATTCTCTTTCTTCTGTTCTTTCTTCTCCAGCCTTCAGAATTTTCTTTCCCCAATTCTGTCTATAACACATTCTAACTCAGAAACCATTTTCTTGTATTTTAGGTGTTATCAAACTGCCTTTGAGGCATTGACAAGTGGTCTTTGTCCTCCATCATCACAGTTTTCACTAATTTTACATTATTTTCACAGTCTCTCTGCTGCCGCCTTCTTTGCTCTTTTTTGCTCTCTCCAGCTCAGCAGGCCACAAGTCCATGGTGTTAGGTAAGTGTATCAGAAGGTTGTAACCCCCACAGCTATGCAAAACGACTTCACTGTCACTCTTGCTCCTTTTCCCTCTTCCCATCCAACTGGCCACAGAGGAGTTGCTTCCTTGGACTTCGTATCTCTCTCATATGCCCTTCCCTTCTTGTCTTTCTGCCACTCCTCTATTCCAGACCTCACCATTGCTCAGCTCATTGACTGTATTCGCTTCCTCACTCATCCTCCAGTCACTCACCTAATTTTTCATCAATTTGTCTTCCGTATTACTCCCAATGATTTTTCTAACATTTTGTCCAAGAAAAAGGTGGGAGATTTTTAGGCACTGAGATGAGCGAGTGGAAAAGTACTGGAGGATGTTGTGGGGAGGTTGGTCAATTGCCAACCCATTGTATCTGATTATTGTCATCCATCAAGTAAGAATTGTAGTTTTTTGATAACCTTGGCACATTTGAAACTAACAGAATAAAAGGAAAGATTCCACTTGTGTTTACATCCTCCCTTAGGAATTTGTTTCTTTTCTCTACTCCCCTGCCTCTCCTCCTTGAGTTCCTTATTTCCACCATCCTTTTGACTTCCTGAGTAATGTGAATGCTATGAGTAACAAAATAGGTACTGATAATTGTTCTATGTCAGGATGATCTCATCAGCAAAGTATCTGTCCATAGCAAACTCAGAACAGTTTCTTTTTCTTTTCCCTTTCTCTTGATTTTTCTGTAACTAGGCATCTGTGTTTGCTAATTGTCTCTTATTACCAATAATTATTTAGGCTCTTACCCACCCACAGAGCCTGAGAGAGAGGGGCTCTGTCTTTCATGATGTTTACATTTCAAAAAATGACTTCTAGCTCCTGGAGAAAGACATTCCTGGGTTGTAAAATTTGGCATGAGTCTGGGAGCAGATTTACATACATCTCAAAGGGGCAGAGAAAGGATTTACAATGGAAAGTTTGCTAAAGTAAATGCTCTAAGAAACAAGTGTTCAGAGCCATATAATCAAGAAGAAACCTGTCGGCCGGGCATGGTGGCTCAAGCCTGTAATCCCAGCACTTTGGGAGGCCGAGGTGGACAGATCACGAGGTCAGGAGATCAAGACCATCCTGGCTAACACGGTGAAACCCTGTCTCTACTAAAAATACAAAAAATTAGCTGGACATGGTGGTGGGTGCCTGTAGTCCCAGCTACGCAGGAGGCTGAGGCAGGAGAAAGGAGTAACCGGGAAGGCAGAGCTTGCAGTGAGCCAAGATTGTGCCACTGCACTCCAGCCTGGGCAACAGAGTGAGACTCCGTCTCAAAAAAAAAAAAAAAAAAAAAAAAAAGAAACCTGTCTAAAGTTCCATCATGCTAAGGGAAACATGAAGGCTGTTTTGGTCAGTATACATCTGGAACCTTCACCTTCTGTTGGAAACCTATTAGTATCTACCCATCCTTTTGAGAATAAAGTCTCAACTTCTTAGTATAAAAATCAAACCTCTGGTCTTAGCCTCACCCTACTCTACTCTGTACCTACCTACCTTCCTAATTCCTGAACATTTCCTTTTCTTCTTTTCATGCTGTGGTTCCTTAGAGCCTAAGGGTGGTCTGAGATAATTTCCTTTTGTCTCAAAAACTCTTGTTCCTTTTGTCAAACCACCTTATTTTCTTCACAGCTCCTCGTGGAAGAGTGTCTGGTCTTGGGGAATGTGTAGCCCTTCTGGATTCTAAACACGTGGAGTACATGTCTATCCAATTCCTGCCACAAAGATATCATCAGTAGGATGTTTTCATGTACTCCCCTCCTCCTCCAATTCTGTAAACTCCTTGAGGGCAGGTACCATGTCTTACTCAGCCTTCTGTGACCAACTGCTGACACTAGAGTTGTCCCCAGCACCAGAAAGTCCTTAAAACCCGTTTGCTAAAATGATTAAGTGAATGACTTATAGACGTGAAAAATATTGTGGCATAATTCTTTGTATATGCAATATATATTTACCAAATTAATGAAGATAGAAACCATGAGTTGCTCTTCAAGATTATCAATGCCATAAGCATTTAAGAGGATTTTTTTTAAGTGAGTTGCATGTTCCTTATGTTGCCCACTTAGGTAGTATACTATCATGATAAAAGCAGAATTGGATCTGTACTTGGAAACCCAAATTTCTAGAGAACCTGTTAGTTTCTGGAAAGCACTCAGAAATCTTATCCTTGAATAGAATCCAATGAAAACTACATAATTTACTTTTATCTTGTGGATGACATTTTTAATGGACTATAGACAGGACCTGGTTTAGCTCAAGCTAGGGAATCCAAACTCTATAATTACTTTTAATCGTAAGGACTAGGAGTTGTGAAACTGCTGACAGGTCCCAGACATGGCATGGCAAGGTATAAAGTTCTTGGGATGTTATGTTTCCTTTTGAATGCTAATATGCCCATTCGTTGCTCCCCATTGGTTCCAGGTGAGCAGTGGGAAATTAATGATGACCAGGTGGTTGTAAAATGGACCTGTGACCCACAGCAGGGAAAAACTGGATTGAAATACCATATTGCAAACTGATTCTATCTAATTCTTATCAGCCATCAAGTAAGAATTGTAGTTCCATGATAACCTTGGCACATTTGGAACTAATGAGGTAAAAAGAAAGATCCCACTTGTCTTTACATCCTCCCATATTATATTTCCTATAGACAAAGTATCTGTCTGTAGAAAACTCAGAACAGTTTCTTTTTCTTTTCTTTTTCTCTTGATTTTTCTGTTTCTTTTTAACTAAGACTATTTT